>NC_000023.11:93712542-94337542 GCF_000001405.40 Homo sapiens
CTACATTATTCTGTTGATTGTAGTAAAAAAGTTCCAGTAAAGTTTTTGAGAAGGAAATTTTAAAAGTACTCATGAGCACTTGATGAAGAAGAGGAATGCTATTTTTTATATTAATTATAGAACTTACAGCAGAGAAAAGTGCTATAGAAATATGGAGGATAATACACTAAATAGATTTAGTTGAACATTAATATGTAGCTTCTAAATTAAAAGCAACATAATTTTGTCCCTATTTGAAAAGCACTAAAGTTGTTATTAGTGATCTGCCTATGTGCTTAGTAAGGAGTATAGCTTTAGCTATAACATTCAACTCACTTTGGCTATGGAAAGGGCAGCAGTGAGAAAGTAAACAAGAAAGAAGATGGGAGATGGGAAAAATTGATACACTCTAGACTCACAATTTAATTTTGATAACAAAAGGAATTTGAAAGATCTCAGGCTTCAGGTGAAGATTTAGATTGGGGATAAGGAAACAAGAAAATTTAGAGTTCTTGTTTTTTATCTTGTGACAACTCTCTTGATAATTATAAATTTATTTTGAAGAAAAGTTTCATTTGACATTGTGACATTTATGTAGTCATTTCTGTTTGGCCCTATTTATTTTACAAAAAAGACATATTTAATCTAAGATGTAGGTTTGTAACTACGTCATGTCTCATGAAAATATAGACAATCATTCAAAATCACCTATGTAATTTAAAGTTGAACTGACTTTCTCATTCCTGTCTGAGCTGCAAACAAGGTATGTTCTTTGATCATAGGCTCCAGCACTTTTTCTTGACTCTTCATGCCACTTAAGTTTAATTTGCTTTATATTATGTATTTTGTAGACTCATGGACTCTTCGTGTTATGAGCCTCAGCTCTCAGCTCAGCACTAGGTTGAAATTTTCATTCTGCCATTTCTTGACATGTGACCCAAAATAAGTTATTTCACCACCTCTATGACACAATTTCTTCATATACAAAAATCAGAGAAAATGGTATCTGTATTAAACCATTTTTGCGTTGCTATAAAGAAATACTGGAGCCTGGGTAATTTGTAAAGAAAAGAGGTTTAATTGGCTCACGGTTCTACAGGCTGTACAGCATGGCACCAGCATCTGCTCAGCTTCTGGTGAAGGCCTCAGGAAGCTCACACTCATGGTTGACGGTGAAGCAGGAGTAGGCACCTTACATAGTGAGACAGGCAACAAGGGCAGGGGGAGAGGTCCCAGACTTTTAAACAACCAGATCTCTTGTGAACTAACTGAGTGAGAACTCACTTGTCACCTAGGAGACGTTACTAAACCATTCATGAAGGATCCACCCCCATGATCCAATCACCTCCCACTAGGCCCTACCTCCAATAT
This sequence comes from Homo sapiens, assembly GCF_000001405.40. Taxonomy (NCBI): domain Eukaryota; kingdom Metazoa; phylum Chordata; class Mammalia; order Primates; family Hominidae; genus Homo; species Homo sapiens. The sequence goes on from NC_000023.11 coordinate 93,713,893, forward strand.
TGGGAATCACTTTTCAGTATGAGATTTGGAGGGGACAGACATCTAAACTACATCAGTACCTATATCTAGGATTGTTATGAAAATAAGATAAAATAACATTTAAAGTATTTAAAAATTCCTGGCACATAGTAAATGCTCAATAAATGTGTTTTTTTCATCCTCCACCTCCAATTATCATCATTATCACATATGACATAATGATGATTACATTATTATGATATCGCCACCTTCTATGCTGCATTTTAACTTTTTTAAAAGTAGCGCCTGCTTCATCTTTTATCTCTTAACAATGATAATACATGGTGTTTTGCATATGATGGGTGTCTCCTAATTTTCATTAAATTGAATTAGTTGAACAAGATTTGGGAGAAAGGAAACTGAATGAATGTAGTATACTAGATGTTGTGTGTAAGCTCCTTGCCTTACGTTTTACAACAGCTGAATTGAGATATAATTCATATACCATAAAATTCACTTCTTTAAAGTATGCAATTCAATGGTTTTTAGCGTATTTACAAATACATGGAAACATAATCAGACTTTATAAAAGACATACTATGGCGATTAAACAGTCACTGCTCCTGCTTTATGGACATATATTTCTGGACCTAACCAAGAATTCCATATAACCACAATGTTAGAACATGTAAATCATCTCAAAAAGAAACTTTGTCCCTTTTATCTTCCCTACTCACCCCACCCATCCTCTCAAGCCTTAAGCAACAACTGACATACTTTCTGACTCTGTATATTTCCCTGTTGTGGACATTTCATATAAATTGAATTATATAATTATGGTTTTTGTGACACTTCTTTCACTTTGTATAATATTTTCAATGTTCATCCATTCTTTATCATGTATTAACAGCATTTACATCAAGATAAAAAGAAAGAAAATCTAGTGCAGTCCATAGAATTTCTGCTAGAACCAGGAGAAAAAAATCTTCCCTATTTAAATATGCCAGACATCATTAATCCGATTTGCACTGATTGAAAAATACTGATTATACAGAAGGCTATTGAGCGTTTATACTTCTTGGATGTAAAAATGTTTGAATATGAATTAATAGAGAAATTGCGTCAATTTTTATGATAGATGCGGATAACATTAACCCAGCACGAGCATGATTTGTGTTCAGAAACTTGGCAAGTTGAAATTGTTTTAAGGAGAGCATGGATATGCTTGTTTTCCTTCCAATAAGCTACTACTCTGAATGATTTAATCAAGAACTCTAGTGTTTTGAAATGTCTTTTCTCAGAAGCTGTTTACAAAGATCAAAGATACAGATTATCTCCCTTCAAAGAAGACGTTGTAATCTGCTTTTCTTTAGTGCCCCCACATAGCTTTATTACTTATTTATCTATATGGTATCTCATTTTCAATCCATCCACTCACCTTCCCATCTTCATTCAATTACTTTACCTAAATTTGTTTTTAAGATGTGTCCCATTTACCTGCTACCCAAACCTTCACAGGATTAATTTATCTGACACTATTCAGATATAATACACAAGAATATATTTTCTCTATTGTAGTCTCTTTACTGACATAAATATTTCACCAGTACAACAAACATAATACGAAGTAAAGAACCACAGCTAAGGCCCTATTACATCTGTTACAAATGAACAGGGGGAAAGCAGTGGATGAAATCCATGAGCTAGTATAACTCAAAATGATCTTAATAATGTTCCAGTACATAAAAATAAGATAAAATAGAGATAAATATCAACAAAAAAAATGGAGACTTTTCAAAAGACATACTATGGTCATTAAGCAGTTACTACTCCCGCTTGATGGACATGTATTTCTGGACCTAACCAAGAATCCTATATACATAATTTCCATAAGTCCAATGATCTTTTGCAATACCACATAGATCTTTATCTATCATATTCTAGAAGTCATTGCAATCAATTAGCAGGGCAAGATGTGATTATCCCCAATATATAACCATATATGCACATGTATAGATTAACCCTTTAAAAAATTGCTTGGAAATATCTGTCATATACCTGCCCAGCCACTGATAGTAGGCTGTACCAAGAGCATTCCCTGGGAGGTTGCATCAATCAGAGATCCAATCATTTAACAGATGGCACACTCCAGATAATTTGAAAAGGGTTTATTTACAAAACGGCTATTTACAAAGGTGTTGGCAGAGTATAGAAGAACCACAGGGCTAGTGAGTACAGTAACCTTGGGACTAGTAACAATGAGCTATCACTACTTTTAGGCCCAAAGAGACTAAAACTAAGAAAGAGAGTTGTGTATAGAAGGTCACTTTGAGCTGAGCATAGTCAAATCAACCTGAGCTGTCATTAAACAAATAAATACTCTGAGTTCACTTCCTTTCTTCTGATCTTTTGTCCTGCTTCCCCATTAGCTGAACCCAACTGGAAATCAGAAGTCATGGGATCTCACTGATGTTATCTATACAGGTCAGCCTCCTCAGGCACAGGGAAGGTGAAAGAAGGATAGACAGTGGAGCTGGAGGGGCAAATGAAATATATACCCAGCACTGCACACCCTTTTTGCACGTCAGCATTCATTCTTGTCCTTTGACTGAGTGAACATTTTATGTCTCCATCCAAGAAGTTTCATGAAGTCACACAAGTTTCATATCATCTCAAGGTGATGTCAGTTTGATCACACTGCAAGTAAAATATTAGCCACCACTGACATTATTCATTAAAATAGTGATGGGGTATCGGAAGGTGAGAGGAAAAGGAACATAAAACATAGTGCTACATCTTTCTCTTCTATAACTGTTCATGAGGCTAAATCGGTTTCCACAGCTACCTTTCCTCTCCATTCCATGTTCCCCTTACCTGCTGCCAGCACCTGGATGGATGGGGTTCTTTACCTACCCAGGTGTAACAAACTTTTATTCCTGATGGATCTGAGTCCTTGTGGTCCTGCCTTTATTGGGTTGTTGCAGTTTTCAGTTGACGAGGACAACTGGACAAGGGAGTAAATAACAAGAGGCACCCCAGTGAAGTACTTGGATTCTAAACATAATCCTCTTGGTGCCATTGTGTAGCGACAACCCAATTTTCCCCTAAAATTACAACCAATTACCTAGTCCGATACAGTGACTCCCTTCTGTGCCTGTTGATTTAGTGGCATCAGGAGCTCAAGAAAAGGCCACTGGGGTAGTCTCAGCTTCCTGCTCATCAAACCCATGATCTGTTTTTTCTTTTTTTCTGGTGGAAGTATTCTTCCCTTGTACACTAGGATTTCCAAATATACCAAGACCAAGACTGTGAAAATGGGAAAAAAAATGTTCAAGGAAATTATGAACTGTACTATTAAGAAGAGCCACTCCCACCTACCCTTTAATTCTTTGTTATGAAAGAAATTGCACCACTTATTGGCCACGTGGTTTAAGCCACATATTGTATCGTTTACCACAGCATCCTAACCTTCCAGGTTTTTTTTTTCTATTTCAAATAACAAATTAATCTTTAGTAGGCCATATAAGTCCAGTTAATTCTGTGGGTGTGAACTTATTACTATAAATGTGTCCTATGGTTAGAGATAATATTGTGTGGGATGCCACAGCAATGGATAAAGGCATTCTATAAGTCCAAGAACAATTGTGCTGACCTATCGCATCAAAGACAAAATTTTCTCCTTAATAAGGGAAGGGGTCCAATATAATAAATCTGCCACATGCGAACGCATGGCAAATTATACCATATTAGGAGTTCAACGTTGGCCTTTGCTATTAGCAGGTTGGGCAGTCAGAAGAGGTGGTAGCCAAGTTAGCTCTGGCAATGGAAAGACCATATTGCTGAGTCCACACGTAGTCTCTATCTCTGCCACCATGTACACATTGTACGTTAACCCACTGAATAAGCATCAACGTAACTGGGGAAAGGTTGACTCATTGAAATAACAGGTTATCTTGCCCAGCTGATTATTGAGAGCCTCCTCTGCTATGGATACCCCCGGCTGGCATTTGCATGGGCTATGAATGTGTTTACACTATTGTAAGAGGAACCATTCTAAGAGTTCCATCCAAGTACCTTCCCCCATTCCCATGACTTCTTTTTACTGATTTCCCAATTATGATTTTTCCAAATTCCTAACCAGCCTGTTAGCCTTTGCTCATTAATTGAGCTAGATCTATATGTCTAGCTATCTTTCCTTCCACTGATGTGTAAAACCACATATACTGACAAATATTCTGCTAACTGGAAGGGTTTCCTTTCACCACTGATTTTCACAACCATTTCTTCTTGGTCATATTGGCATAGCATGCATATCCGTAGGTAAATCAAGCCCACATTTTCTCCTCCTCGTTAACTACTCATGAGGAACTCCTCATGGGGTAATAGGTGTGGTTGAGGGCAAGTGATAAAATAATATAATCAAGTAGCATAAAAGCCTGAGATAATTGTCCATAATTTTAATAGACTATTTTTAGAGTAATTTTAGGTTCACAGAAAAGTTAACCAGAAAGCATAGAGAGTTCTCATACACCTTTTTTCCCATACATACACAATCTCCCTCACTACCAATATTCCATAGCAGAGTGGTACATTTTTTACAATTGATGAGTCTTCTGGAACCAACCCAAATGTCCAACAATGATAGACTGGATTAACAAAATGTGGCACATATACACCATGGAATACTATGCAGCCATAAAAAATGATGAGTTCATGTCCTTTGTAGGGACATGGATGAAATGGGAAATCATCATTCTCAGTAAACTATCGCAAGGACAAAAAACCAAACACCGCATATTCTCACTCATAGGTGGGAATTGAACAATGAGAACACATGGACACAGGAAGAGGGGAACATCACACTCTGGGGACGGTTGTGGGGTTGGGGGAGGGGGGAGGGATAGCATTAGGAGATATACCTAATGCTAAATGATGAGTTAATGGGTGCAGCACACCAGCATGGCACATGTATACATATGTAACTAACCTGCACGTTGTGCACATGTACCCTAAAACTTAAAGTATAATAATAATAAAGTAAAATTAAAAAAGGAAATAAGAAGACAATGCTAAATAACTAAAAAAAAAAAAAACGATTGATGAGTCTTCATTGACAAACCATCATCACCCAAAATCCATAGTTTACATTAGGGTTCACTCTTGGTGTTTTACATTCTACTGATTTTGACAAATGTATAATGGCATGTATCCACCGTTATAATATCATACAGAATGGTTGCATTGCCCTAAAAATTCTCTGTGTTCCATCTAATCATCCCTTGCCCCTCTGTAACCACTGACAACAACTGAAATTTTATTGTTTTCACAATTTTGCCTTTTCCAGATATCGTGTTTTTGTAATCGTACAGTAATGTAGCCTTTTTAGGTTGGCTTCTTTCACCTAGTAATATGGATATTTAAGGTTCCTTCATGTCTTTTCACAACTTGATAGCTCATTTCTTTAGAGCACAGAATAATATTCCATTGTCTGGATGTACCATAGTTTGTCTATTAACCTAATGAAGGGCATTTTGGTTGCTTCCGAGTTTTGGTAATTATGAATAAAGCTACTATAAATATTTTTAGGCAAAGTTTTGTGTGGCTATCAGTTTTCAACTAATTTGGTTAAATACCAAGAAGTGTGATTGCTGGATCATCTGCTCATAATTTTTATGTTGCCTTTCAAATATATTTAGGCCAGGTATACACCACTTCTATTTTATAATGAAAAGTTTCTGTGCACATCCAAATTCATGGTTATCTGAATCAGATATCACCAATTAATGATGAGCAATACAATCTCTTCTAGGGCCCATTCATAAAGCAGGAGCTGCTTTTCTAATGGAAGTAGGGTAAGACTTTTCTCTTAAACCCAGGAATTCTGTGCTATTTTTCTCCAATTGGAGTTTCCAGAGGCTGCATGCAACATCTCTTTCTCCCACAAAACTTTGCATACCTTCAGGACCTTTGGCTCATAAAGCCTTAATAGTCAAGCATGTTGCACTGCAGCCTGGAACTCAGGGAGACCCCATTCTTTTCGAGCACTCACTTAAAATTAGAAGCTCTACAGATCACCAAATAGGCTGTCATAGCAGCATGCCAAGTATATTATATGTTGCCTTCCAAATCCAAAGAGGTCCGCCAAGCATTATGTCTCGTGTGTGTGTGTGTGTGTGTGTGTGTGTGTGTGTGTGTGTGGTGGGTGGTAAAAGGTAAAACAACTTGTGTCTCATTTTGAATAAATTTTCCCAATATACCCTAGACCACTGGACTCTTCCCTAATGTGGCAGGTCTTGAACTTCTGTGTAATGTATCTTCCACTCTCTGGCATTCACATGTCTTACTAAGGCATCTATGGCAGTATTATTGAAAGTAATGGATTCATGTCGGTTCAGGAACTGTTTGTCATTAGTCTACGATAAGATAAATAAGAAAATTGACATTTTAAAACAATCATACAGAACTAATGACATACTTGCAATATCCAAGTACATAGATATTTTTCTAGTACTTTATGTTTATTATATTTTACAAACCAAATACCACATATTCTTACTTATAAGTGGGAGCTAAACACTGAATACACATGGACACAAAGTTGAAAAGAATAGACACTGGGGACTGCTTGAAGGGTGAGGGTGGCAGAGGGTCGTAGATTGGAAGGCTACTTATCAGGTACTATGCCCACTACCTTGGTGATGGGATCATTTGTACACCAGGCCTTAGTGTTATTTAATTTACCCATGTAACAAACCTGCACATGTCATGTAATCCTTGAGCCCAAAATAAAAGTAGAAAAAAGTGTCAATCTTTGATGAAATTAAAAATAATTAATAATTTTTAATTGAAAATTTTAAAAGATATCCTTTGCTAATGAAATTTGGTAAGAACTGATCTATAGTGCTTGTTGCTATTTCTGACTCAGTAGGTCCAATTAACATAATTTAATCCAATTAACATCACTCTAACGGGCCAAAGTGATAGTCTGTGGGATATCAAGATGATCAAAATCTCTTTGGACTACATTTGGACCTAGAGCAAGAGAGCTTTCAGTCCTGAGGTGATACAGTAAATAATGTATTATTGTCCATGCTATGGAAATATACACTGTTTCTGATAGTCATTACGGATTGGAAGGTTAAGGGAAAACATTCTACAGGTCAGTAGTTGCGTACTTGAATCCAGGAGCTGTGTTGCTTTGCTTCAGTAAAGATTCCACATCTGAAATCATGCCTGTAATTGGCATCACATCCTGGTTATTTGCAATAATTTACTGTCATTTTCCATCATCCATCTGGCTTTTGCACCAGCCAAACAAGCATAATAAATGGAAATGTTATAGGAATCATTTCCTCTGCATCTCGAAATTCTGATAGCAGCACTAATCTGCAAATTCCTTCAGGGTTTTTGGTTTGTTATCTTTGAAGGATCTCCCCCTTCACATTTTCTACCATAATAGTCCTTACCCCATGAGAAAAGGAAGCATTGTGGAGATCTTGTAAGTTACTTTATATGCCTATTCCCACTATATACTTTGCAGCCAGTGAAATAACCACGGAATGATCCTACATTTCCAATGAATATATTGTAAAATAAAGCCAAGACTCCATCTATCATCTGATTTTACTAAGCCCATACTTCTACCAGTGGAATACAGTGGCATTTTCAAGTATCTAGGCATCAACCCAAATTCCAGGTAAGTAACTATTAATCCCCAGAAGCTAAGGCTATCTTTCATCCCCTAGTGCAGTTACTCAGACTAATGGCTGCAGGGTTCACTGGAGAAGAGCTGAGGAAACGTTTATGGTATAAGTCTGTGACCATATTGCAAGATCCCTCCTCAAAAGTTCACAGTTTGCCCTCAGTTGGAGGTCTTTCACCTGACTGACCCTGAGGAATTGGAGAAGAGGCCATGGATTCACACTGTGGTGAATAAATTCACACTGTGGTGTAAAAATTAGGATTCTAATTGTTTTAGAATTTTTCCACCTTTATTATCAACTAGCAACTTAGTAGGATACCAATCTACTGAATTTCTAAGGACCCTGTGATCAGGTGGCCATTGCCACAGTTTGTTTTAGGTCAAAACACTCTGATTATCATTACAATCCCTGGGTTTTTGAGAAATTTCACAGAACTTGATAGTTAAATGCTGCTACTTCATCTCTACCACACCAGGATCCCATTATTTCCATTGACATTAGGGAACCCAAATCCATCACATTTCATATTCTTCGCTGGTTTACAGAGTTCGGCCACTACAGAGTTAAGATTTTACATAATTGATGCACCAGTGTTTCCATTTCCCTGGGTCTTTGGCCTTTTTCCTCTAGTGCAGTGGTTCTCAAACATCAGTGTGAATCAGAATCACCTGGAGGGTTTGTTAAAACACATATTACTGGGTGCTGCCGCCAGTGTTTCTGATTAAACATTTCCGACTACCCCGGAACTAATAATTTAGAATGATAACAAGTTCCCAGGTTAGGCTGTTGATGATGGTCTAGGGACTAATTTTTGATAATAGTTGCTCCAGTGTATGCCAGGAAAATACTAGCATTTTAACCTCATTAACTGTAGTCCACTATTGAACCCAGAATTTAATTATCCAATCTAGCAGATTGTTATTAGCTAATCCAAGGTTCTTGAGCTGCCACATCAACTACTGTATCCTAGGTGAATATACTCATGTCAATGCATTTAGTTCATTGAGTCTTAAATTTCACCTGCCTTGCTCAAACATTCTTATAATTCACTCCCACACATGCCCTCCACACTCTCTTATGGGCCCAAAGACAATGAAAGATGGTAACTTACAAAGAGGAATAATTCCAATTTGTGAGGCAACCAGTCCTGGTCCTACTACTGAAAGTGTTTTATGCAGAGAGGCTGCCTTTACAGGCAAGAGAGTTGAATGGACACAAGAAACCTGTACTGACCTCACTGGGAGAATGCCAAGAGAATAAATATGCTGGGCTCACAGTGCTCCCTCTCTCTCCTGTCTCTTTCGAGGATTCTCATTTCACTAAACCCAAGGGGAAGCTAGAGAGCACAGGAGCCTATTGATGTAACCCATAACTGTTAGTATCCCAGGGCAGAAATCAAAGGGTAGAGTAGAGCTGGTGGGGCACATAGATATTGAGAACAGGAGGAACCCATCCATTGGTGATCAGTCTATTCCTGTGGAAACTTGAGCCCTAATAGGTCTTCTCTTCAGTCTGCTCTCAAATCTTATTCATCTTGTTGCCTATGTCCTGAATCTGACTTGACACATTATCAGTTCACAACTTGACTGTCAACTATATAAAGTGTTCAACCTACTAGTTGCCTAATATATTTCCCTTGGCGTGGTAATCATTAATATTATTCAATAGATATTAATGGTTCCCCTTCTGAGCACACGGTAAGATTACACCTGTGTACCTCCTTCTAGTTTGAGGTCACCATGTCTATATGCCAAAACAGATGCTCTCTCTATCCCATGTATATTTAAAAGTATTCATAAACAAAGATTTAGAATAATCTCAACCTTTAAGTATAGAAAAATTATTTGCATGCCTATTTTGAATGCTCATTTTAATTGTAAAAATGACTTTATATAAATTAGTATTTAGAACGAGCTAAGAAAATTTGATGGTAGCGGTAGAGAATGGGACAAACTTGAGCCACTAAAGTTTGTCAAAGGAAACCACACAAATTAGATATTAGATAACATTTTAATATCTTGGAGCTAAGAGGTTAAAACTGAAAAGCATAAAAATTCTACATTGAGGTAAGAATGGCAACATTAACATGAGAAAGGAAAAATAAATTGTAGTACAGGCATGCAAAAAAAATATAAACAATTTCATATTTTGCTCATTGATAAATGCATATCCGATAAAAGTAGAAAGTTATCCTTGGGAATGATAACTGCCAAATTCAGGATATTGGTTACTTTTGGGCATGAGGAGGGAAAGTTGATTGGGCAGTGGTATACCAGAGTATAACTGTATTTGTAATGTTTTATTTCTTAAACTAAGTGGTAGGTACAAGAGTAGGTATGTGGTATCATTCTCTCTACCTTCTTATATATTTAACATATCACATAATAACAAGATGGAACTGCAATCACGAAAACTTCTTTCTTTATTTTATTTAATCAAATAGTTATAAGTGTTTATGAGCGACTGAAAAAAATTTCTGATATTTTGCTGATTAGAAAATTAACTGCTTCCACTCTTGATTCTTGGATAAAGCTGTGGAAGAAATCAAAATCCTGTCATATTGGACTTTTGTTCTGAATTATGGATATAGCTATATTTTCCTTTTGCACAAGACACTGCTATCAGCATCTCCAATTTTATTTAGAGATACTTACAAATCATTCTTATAAAACTAACTTTGACATGACTTAATCACAGTTAATTGTGACAAAAATCCATGGCAGAGATGAAAAATGCTAAAACAGTCATACCAAATATGTCTTTCATTACATTCTTTATAAATCACTAACCTAACTTTATTTCAAGCATTTAACTTAAGGAAATGTTTTTCAAAATATGATGCTCAGACTACATGTATCACAATCACATGGAGTGATTGTTAAAAATAGATTTCTGAGCTCTGAGCTGCATGCTAGACTTTCTGAATCAAACTTTCTAAGTATAGGTCTGTGATTCTTCATTTTGAACGAAGTTTTAGGACAAAACTTGAAGACTGACTTCTATATAAGAAGTGGTTTGTGAAACAAAATGGAAATTAATGGTATTGTATGTTACATATTGGGGTTTTTACATGAGAGTAAGGGAAGTAAAATCTTGATAAAATTGAACTTAACTAGAGAGAACACTCATTCAACACATATATATAGGGGGCCTACTATGTGTGTGACACTGCTAGGAATTAGGGTTAGAGTGGTTATTATGATATAATCCTAATAGACATGCAAATGCATCATTATAAAAAATTATTATTAGTGAATTTATAGTGATAGGCACAGGGGAGGGACACATCACCCAAACTGAGGAAGTCAACAGTGTCTTTCTGGAGGTGGTGATACCTTCATGGACTCTTAAATAACAGATATCAGCTGACTTAGTGAAGAGAGAGATGTGTGGGGTATATGCATTCCAAGCAAAGACATGGGGGCATATGACTTATGGATAAGAGAAACTGAAATTTTTTCTACCATTTCTGCTTTCTAATGTCTCATTTGAAGATGCCACATTTTCCCAACCTTCTTCCTAGATTCCGGTTTCTAACTAAATCGTGGGTTCTCCCCATCTCCAGAAAGGGATTTGGAACTTCATTCACAGTTTTCCCATTCATTTATTCTCCTGTAATCCTGAGAAAATTTGTTCTTAGCAAATTCAAGATCATGGTGATGACTCATCTAACAATGTGGTTTTTCAGTTCTGATATCTATCTTATACTCCACCAAAAATTACCCTCAACACTTCTGTAATTCCCTCTCATGGGCCCACCCTAGACATAGTAAACATCTGGGAAAATGCAAGCATTGAATTCTTGAATTCAGAAATGACTCTTTCTTGTATCTTTCCACTTCCACTCTCTACTTTCCCACTCTTCTACTTTCTATATCTTTAACCTGTGATCCCTCCCAATTCTCCCAGGCTGGCGGGCCCCTCCAGCCTTCATTACCTTCCCATTCTCTTCTAGATATCTTGTCAACTACACCTTCAGGCATGAAGCCCTTCAATTTCCATTTTTATTCACCTTCAAATGTATCTTCAAAGAGTCTTGCCTTTGTCACTTCTCATTCTTTGTTCTCTACCTGAGAAATCGTATCTATTTATGAATATGATGCCATTTTTAACCTGAATGAGCTCAGACTGTCATTGTAATAGAAATTTGTAAAAACAAATTGATAACACAAAGAGAGGTAAATTGTTTCAGCTATTAACTTGTGGGTGATGTTCCTCAGCTTTACAACTCAAGCCATGATCTATTTCTCCTGAGCTTCAGACTATATATTCAAACTCTTGCTGGATAACTCCATTTTCATGTTCTCTGGGGTTTTTAACTCAAGATGCTCCAACTGAGCCTATTATGATCCTATAAAATTTTTTGTAGGTCTCAACTTGATGGTTCTATCTGGATAGTTACTAGTTGCCTTAACTTGGCTATTTAAAAAAGGCTTTAAAGTTAATTAATTTACCTCTGAATACTTCCTTGACTATATCTCCACTGTAAAATAATAATTATTACAATAGTTATACACACATAAATCCCATAGGCTCATTGAGAGGAAGAAAAGTGTTTATGTAAAGATCTTTTTTAAACAATGCTTTGTGTATAGTAAATGCTATATAGCTATTATTATTTTCTAAATATTATTTTTAGGCAATCAGATATTTTCAATTTGTCTTTGAGTTATTACTTAGGGTGCACCATTTTTGTTTCTAAACATTTACTCTTTTTTATATTACTAACTTAATTGGATATTCTCACCTTTTTTGGCAGCTTGATATATTGTCTGTTATTTTATAAAAAGACATTTGAAAATGAGTATAATTTCAATTAGTGAGTTATAGAATTTAAAGCACATCTAATTCTATGTTAATAATTAAATTTTTATTCCTTTGCTATTTAATTTGTTTAGTGTTATCTGTGGTAGATTGACATTAGTTAAACATATCATGCCACTATTGTTTTCCTCATTTTTTCTTTGTTTCTAGTAGTTTCTAAGGACTTTTGATTTACAGATTTCAGCCTTTCTTTTTAAATTTTTTACTAAAAACATGTGTCTTATAAGCAACATATAATTGAATTTTATTTCTAGTTAAGTCTGAGGTGTTATATGATTTGATGGATGAAGCTAGGCCACTTACATTTCTTGTGATACTTATTGTATTTTGCTGCCAAACTATATAGATTATAGCTTGTTCATTTATTTATATATTTGCATATGGACATCCAATTGTAGCTGTAGGCCCGTGGTCCTTGTTTCCTCGTTGCTTGTTAGCTAAGGCAGGTCTTTGCTCCTGGAGTGCAAGTGCACATGCATTACTTCTCATGTTTTCCATGTGTTCCCCTCCCACTACAGTGGATAGAGTCCTGGTTATGCTTTGAATCTTTCTCACAGTCCCTGATACTACATCTCTGTGACCTCAGCTGGAACAAGTTCTCTGCTTTTAAGGGTTCATGGAATTACATTAGGTCCACATGGAGAAGCAAGAATAATCTCTTTATTATTTTAATGTTGGTCACCTTAATTACATCTGCCAATTCCTTTTTGCCATGCCATGTGACATATTAACAGGTTCCTAAGATTTGGATTTTGAACATCTTGGTGGGTATTCTATCTACCACAATCCACCCTCTGGCCACAAAAGATTCATGTCCGTTCCAAATAAAAAAGAAAATACTCACTTCATTCTAAGTTCCTCAAAGATCTCATTCCATTACCATGTCAAAACAAAGTCCAAAAATAGCATGTAAATCTCATCAGCTCAAAAAACCTAAATCTATTAATCTAAATCAGTTGTGGATGAGACTGTGGCTATAATTCATTAGATACAAATTTTAGGGCATAATTCCTCTCCATCTGCGGGCCTGTGAAGCTAAAGAAACAAGTGAACTGCTCCCAAAATACACTTGTGGCACAGATATAGGATAGCAGTTACAGTGTAGACATTTTATTTCCAAAAAGGGAAGATGGATAGTAAACAATAATCAATAATCTAAAACAGTTTTGAAATTAGTCATTCAAACTCCCTTATAGTTCAATACCTGGAAATGGAAATAATTTTCTGTGGTTCTCAGCCTTGCCCTCGGTGCTCTAAGCTCTGTCCTGTATGCTCTTGGCTCTGTCCTCTAAGTCATTCTCCCTTTTTCATGGGAGGAAGCATGTATTTGCAGCAAAATAACTTTATCAGCCTGCTTACTGTCAGCAGCATTTCACAGGTTCTCCAGCCTTCTTTAATTACTTACTTTCTCTGTCCTTTTCAATCTAAGCTGACAGTGTTCTGATTATATACAATTCTCAAGAAGTTTGTGGATCTCATCTTGATGTCACAAGTATTCATTAGACAGAAGTTAGGTCTACAGATCTTTTTGGATGATTCTCTATGCTTGGCTTCTGCTGGGATGTCTAAGGCATGATTCCCTTAAGATACCTAGAGGGTCCCTGATTTGTTTAAGGGGATCTGTGGGCCACACCTTTAATGCATTTTGTGTGACTGAATACTCTGACTTTTTGGCATCTGAATAGGTTGGAAAATTTCCAAATCATTAATTCCTGGGTATTTTTATTTTAATTTCACAGTTCTTTCCTTAAGTTCTCTTTCTTCTCTTTATTTTTACTATAAGCAGTGAGAAGAAAACAGAATGCACTTTAAAATTTTGCTTGGAGATGTGAGGTAAATGATCAGGACTTTCATTTACAAGTTCTGCTTTTCATATAACTGCAGGATGCAATTTCACCAAACTGTCTGACAGTGCATAACATGGGTCTCCTTTCCTTCAGTTTACAGAAATATGTTCCTCACTTCTCTCTGAGCCTTAACCAGTACTATCATCCAAGTCTAGATCTCTATTAATAGTCTGTTCAAGTGATTTAGGCTTTCGCTAGTGATTTACAATTTCTCTCAAGTTATCTTCTCTTCCTTCTGAACCCTGACAAGCAGCATCAGTATTTCTACTTACAGAGTGTTAAAGTCAATTTAGTCTTTTTATGTCATGCTCCTCAAAGTCTTCCAACCTTTATTCACTAACCCATTCCAAACTCACTTCCACGTTTTTTGATATTTGTCATATAAATGCCCCACTTCTGGTACCAAAATATTCATTGTTTTTCTATTGCTTCCATAACAAGTTGCTAGAAATTTAACAGCATAAAACAACAGCCATTTATTAGCTCGATTCTATGAATCAGAAGCCAATCACAACATGACTCACTGGGGTCTTTTGCTCAGGGCCTCACAAAGCCTAAATTAAGGTATCAGCAGAGCTATATTTGTTTATTACTGGAAGATCTGTAGAAAAAATCGACTTCCAAGCTTATTCAGGTTATTGGCCATATATATTTTCTTTCATCTGGAGCACTGAGTTTCCTCTTTCCTTGCTGAATATCATCAGCTGGGGCCAGTCTTTGCTTTTAGAGGTTGCTCACATTCCTACCCATGCTTTCCATGTGGCCTCCTCTAGCAATGGCATGTCAGGTTCCTCTCATTCTTTGAATCTCTCTGACTTCTTATTCTTCTGACTCTATCTGACTCCAGCAATAACCTTAATTACATCTCTACCGTCTCTTTTGTAATATAATAAAGAATATTCACAGGTTCCCAGGATTAGTTCATAAACATTTGGGGGGCCATTCTATCTTTCACAATATTTTAAATATGTTTAACCAGAGAAAAATAGGCATTTTTTCTCCTGTTAACATACCTTCTGATAGTTTATTTTTATAATTTGTCCAGAGGTTTTAGTTGTAATCAGTGGAAGAAATAGGCTATAGTTGACTTACTCTATCTTGCTTGGGACTTGAAGTCCTTATATTAATTTTTAAAAGTGTTTATTGAGTGCTTTTATGTGCTTGGCAATGTGATATACAAGGCAAAAATATAGAATGTTGTTACTTCAACATCATTCAAGAACTTATAACCTTTTAAGTAAAAAATCAAAGCTCATTAAATTCTGAGATTGTGTAAACCTGGGCTATAGTCCTTTCTTAAAGAATGGATTTTCTAAAAGTTAATTGACTCTGTCCTCCTGTAACTGATATTTGTTAACAGAATTTCATCAGAAAGAGAGAACAATGCAGCTCTTGAAATACCAGCATATTCAGGAATAGCTAATTTAGTTTTCTGAATGACCTTAAAAGCCTGTACCGATTAGAGAAAAATTCAAGATATTTGAAAACTGCTGCTATAGAAACAGCCTTATTTCAGCATTTTCAAAAGGTTATTTGTATGAGTTTGACAATGAATGTTAGGGAGAGAATGAGATCTAAAAAGGAAGAGAGCACACATACCAAAAGAAATTTACACACGTGTGTGTGTGTGTGTATGAGAAAAGAAATATGAAATAAAGAAAAAGATGGAAACAAAACAATGATAAACTGAATGAACATGTGAGGAACTCTTCCAAGGCTGTTATTGTCGTTAATAACAGAGTCAATGGTTTAAAGGAGACAGTATTAGTTATTTGGTTAGCAGTTCACAGAAGTAATTAGTCAGTCTAATCAATATTGCAAGCATAAATTGCCACTGTTTGTTACAAGTGCTTTAGGAAGATTTCTCTCATATTGAGTTCTTAGGTAATTATGTTCCTTGACATAACAAAGAATCACTAGTGCATTGGTTAACAGCACAGTTTCTAGAGATGAATGGTATCAATTTGAAGCCTGATTCTGAACCATCTGTAAACACTTGGGCAAGTTATGTAACCTCTCTGTGCCTCACTTTCCTGATTTGTAGAATATGAAGATTAAAATAGTAGTACCTGCCTCATTGGGTTATTGTAAGAATTAAATGAGTTTTTATGTGTGAAAAACTCAGAATAGTATTTGCCACATAGGAAGCACTATGCTAGTTATTATTACTGCAGCCATCAACAATAACAAGTGGGATGTGAAGTGTAATTGTGTGTCTTTAGGGCACAGGCTCTTGAAGAAGCCTATAAGTCTAGTATTAGGAGACAATGTAAAGGTAGCAGGGCCTATTCTCCATTTTAGTCATGATTTTGGGGGGCTTTGGAGGTAATTTTTAAAAAGATATAGACTCTGTGAAACATAATGCTAAAATATTTTTTTTTATTTCATAGCACCTTCAATGCTATAGGTTATGAGTCAAAGTCTAGTTCAAGTCTGAAAGAGAGAGAAAGAAAGAGACAGGGAGAGAAAGATGTAAGTTTTCATCAGGATTCGCTAGAAAGTATACTTTATGGATAGTAGGAATTTTGTTTTGTTTTGTTTTGCTCATCGATATATCACAGGCTCCTAGAACAGTCCTAGAACAGTACACAGTAGATACCCACTAAATATTTGTTTAAAGAATAAATGTTATCAGCAGTTGTGAGTAACCCCCCAACTCCAGTCCTCCTCCAACATAATACTAAATTATTCACATTATATTGGGGCAGGGAGGCGATAGGGGGGATTTATATGAGTGAAGATAATAAATTGGTAACTTCCCCCATTATTCTAAGATATGTCAAATCTTATCTTATCCAGATAGTCCAGATAGGCCATGACCACACCTCCAAATATTAATATGTAGCCTTTTTTTGTAGGTGGATGTGAGTGGGATTCCAATTTAATTAACTATGAATTAAAGGAAAAAAAGGAAGTCATTATGCAAATGTCTGCCCTTTGAAAGCAATCAGACCTAAATACATTAATTCTTTCATTTTTCTATTAGTGTTTTTCAAAGGCATGGATCAGAATGTCCTGGAAGGCATGTTAAAATATAGATTGTTGGTCTTCACTCACTGCATTCTGAGTCAGTTGGTCTGGGATGGGGCCTGCTAATTTGCATTTTTAGAAATTTCCAGGGTGCTGCTGCTGCTGCTGATATAGAGATATACCAGATACTCTTCTGGGTGTTGGGGATACACGATAAACAAAAGTAAGGTACAAGCCCTCATGGGGTTTATACTATATCGAGGGAAATAGACAAACAAAAATATAATATCAGGTATGGAAAGTGCCATGAAGAAAAAAAGTAGGATAATAAAACAGAAAATCATGGGGTGCTTTTATAGACAGGGTAGTCAGGGAAGATCTCTGTGTTGAGTGATATCTATATAGATATATTAACCAATATAAGCCAATGGGAAAGGAATAAAATTTCTTAAACTATTTGAGACTTGATCAGTTTTTTTATAATTTTAATATACTATTTTATGAATTGATTGTCATTTAAAAAATAGGGGTTTGTGACATCCTTTTAAAGTCTTCTGAGATAATTAGCAGCTGGATAAAATACTTCACATTTTACATATTCAAAACGAAGGGAAAGCACATTTCCTCTCTATCTTTAAGATGGAAGTTAGGCTGGGAGAAGTGGCTCATGCCTATAATTCTAGCACTTTGGGAAGCTGAGGCAGGCAGATCACTTGAGCCCAGGAGTCTGAGACCAGTCTGGGCAACATAGCAAAATCCCGTCTCTATAAAAAAAAAAAAATACAAAAGTTGGCTGGGCGTTGTGTCATGTGCCTGTGGTCCCAGCTCCTCAGGAGGCTGAGGTAGGAGGATCACTTGAGCCCAGGAGGTCGAGGCTGCAGTGAGCCGTGATTGTGCCACTGCACTACAGCCTGGCAACAGAGCGAGACCCTATCTCAAAAAAATAAAAAATAGATGGAAGTTAAGTCAGTTAGTTTTTTTTCTGCTCCCCTATGAGGTGCTAATAATGGTCTTCATTGTGTACAAAGGAATAGGCTCTAATGACATGATGACATGATTTTCACTGTAAAAACTAGGATATTTTGGGCAGATCTTTAATATGTTGAAAAGACAAAAACAGGAGCCTTCCTAAAATGGTTCCTCAGCATCCTCAACAAAGATAGACTCCTGGAGCTCTGCTAAGGGGAGAATGGGTGCTAGTCCGGTATGCTATGTTGAGATGCCGTCTTTCTCTAGCCTCGGTGTGGATCTCTATGCCTCAGTTTTTCTGTTTTGTGCCTTAGTTTCATTCTTTCTTTGAGTCACCTCCCAATTATAGTTTCTCCATTGCATGGTGTACAGTCCACTGCTTCAGTGATTTTTTATTACAAATAAACATGGATAAACAAGTGCAATTTATTAAGTACACCACTGAGAAACATTTCTGTATTTTCCAAGAAGCCATAATGTAAAGTGGGCTGAGTATCAACCCTTGAGTCATAATTGGTGGCATCACAGTTATGCATCTCTTGTTATTTCAAAATTATTTAATCTACCTAAGCCTCAATTTCTCAATTTGTGAAAGTAGTAAACAGCTACAAGATGTTCTCTAAAATCATACGTTCTTTGGATAATTGATTCCATGTGTTTACTTACCTTCCCAATTTATTGTGAATAGCTTTTGGATTTAACATTCCATATGTAGGAATAACCCACGTCTGCACCTGGGCAAGGTAAGAGGGGGCATTCTGAACATTTTTTTTTCTCCCACAGCCAGTTGTTGAAATGTCACCTTTTATCTTGATAATAATAGGGAACTACAAAAGAGTATCCAACCCAATATCTGTTTCTTGAGTCTCCTCATCTGATAGGATTCTCTTTAGAACAATTCCTCTTATCATGAACCTCTGGATCTTTCTTTAGATTTTCATATTTTCTTACCCTTGTCAATATTCATATACCCCCAACACACACACATACCTGCACACACTTGTGCTTTTGATCTGTTTGTTATGTTTGTTTTATATAACCTGTCACTGAAATATTTATTCTTTTGCTCATTATACCATACACGTGTAACAAATCATTGCCCTAAGCAGAAATAAATGTTCTGCTTAGCGTACCAACTGTTCCCTTATTTTTTATGACTGATAATTGGAAATGCAAGTATTTGGAATGTTGAAATCCATATTATATCTTATTCTTTAAAAGGTAACCACCTGGAGTGCTGAGATACACATAAGCAAGCTTTCTTAACAATGTTCATATCAAAAGTAAATTCTGCTTTAGAATGAAATCATGTGAAAGAGGTAATCAGTTTTTTTTTTTTTGGTCTTTTCTCGGCTTTTATTGTAGGATCGGGGGTACATGTGCAGGTTTGTTAAATGGATAAATTACATGTGGTTGGGGTTTGGTATACAGATTTTTTTGTCACCAAGGTAGTAAGCATAGTACCCAATAGGTAGGTTTTTGACCCTCCTACCCTCCACCCTCAAGTAGGCCCCAGTGTCTAGTGTTCTCTTCTTTGTGTAATCAATGTTTAGCACCCAGTTATAAGTGAGACCATGCAGTATTTGATTTTCTGTTCCTGTGTTAATTTATTTAAAATATTTGCCTCTAGCTCCATCCATGTTGTTGGAAAGAACATGATTTTTCTTCTGTTTAACTGCTGTATAGTAGTCAATGGTGTACAAAAACCATATTTTCTTTAACCAGTCCACCGTTGATGGTCATCTAGGTTAATTTCATGTCTTTGCTATTGTGAATAATACTGTGATGAATATACTAAGGCATGAGTCTTTTCGGTAGAGCAATTTATATTCTTTTGCGTATATACACAACACACCAATGGAATTGCCGAGTTGAACGGTAGTTCTGCTTCAAGTTCTTTGAGAAATGTCCAAATTGCTTTCCACAGTGGCTGAAATGATTTACATTCCCACTGGCAGTGTATAAGTGCTCCCTTTTTTCTCTAACCTCACCAACATCTGTCATTTTTTGACTTGACTAATAGCCTTTCTGACTGGTGTGAGATGGTATCTCATTGTAGTTTTTTTTTGAAATGGGGTCTTGTTCTGTTGCCCAGGCTGCAGTACAGTGGTGCAATCTCAGTTCACTGCAGCCTCAACTGCCCAGGCTCAAGCGACCCTCCCACCTCAGCCTCTGGAGTAGCTGGGACTACAAGCGTGTACCACCCCGGCTTTTTTTTTAATTTGTAGAGATAGGCGTCTCACTATGTTGCACAGGCTGTTCTTGAACTCCTGGTCTCAAGCGATACTTCTGACTTGGCCTGCCAGAGTGCTGGGATTGTAGGTGCAAGCCACAACACCCAGCCAACTAATTGTGGTTTTGATTTGCATTTCTCTAATGATTAGCTATGTTGAGCATTTTTTCATATGCTTGTTGGCCAGGTGTATATGCCTTCTTTTGAGAGGTGTCTGTTAATGTCCTTCGTCCATTTTTAATGCAGTCATTTGTTTTTTGGTTGTTGATTTAAGTTTCTTACAGATTCTGGATATTAGGATTTTGCCTAATGCATAGTTTATATTTTCTCCCATTCTGTGGGTTGTCTGTTTACTCTGTTGATAGTTTCTTTTGCTATGCGGAAGCTCTTTAGTTTAAGTAGGAACCACTTATCTATTTTTTGTTTTACTGCAATTGCTTTTGGAGACTTCATCATTAAATCTTTGACAAACCCTATGTCCAGAATAGTATTTCCTAAGTTTTCTTCTAGGGATTTTACAGTTTTAGGTATTACATTTAGGTCTTTAATCTACCTTTAGTTGATTTTTGTATATGGTGAAAGGAAGGGATCAAGTTTCAATTTTCTGCATATGACTAGCCAGTTATCCAGTTATCTCAGCACCTTTTATTGAATAGTAAATCCTTTCCCAATGCTTGTTATTATCGACTTCGTCAAAGATTACATGGTTGTAGGTGTATGGCTTTATTTATGAGTTCTCTAACCTGTATAATTGATCTATATGTCTGTTTTCATACCAGTGCCATGCTGTTTTTGTTATTGCAGCCTTGTAGTACAGTTTGAAGTCAGTATGATGCTTCTGGCTTTATTCTTTTTGCTTAGGATTACTTTGGTCATTTGGGCTATCTTTAGGTTTCATATGAATTTTAAAATAGTTTTTTTTTGTAATTTGGAGAAAAATGGCATTGGTAGTTTAATAGGAATAGCACTGAATGTGTAAATTTCTTGGACAGAACGGCCATTTAAACAATATTGATTCTTCCTACCAGTGAGCATGAAATATTTTTCTACTTGTTTGTGTCATCTCTGATTTTGTTCAGCAGTGTTTTGTTATTCTCATTATAGAGATATTTCACCTACTTGGTTAGCTGTATTCCTAGGCATTTTATTCTTTTTGTGGCTATTGTGAATGTGACTGCATTCTTGACTTGGCTCTTAGCTTAGATATTATTGGTTTCTAGAAATGCTGCTGTTTTTGTGCATTGATTTTGTATCTTGAAATTTTACTGAAGTTGTTTATCAGTTCTAGGGGTCTTTGGGAAGAAACTATCAGGTTTTCTAGGTATAGAATAATATCATCTGCAAAGAAATATAGTTTGAATTTCTCTCTTCCTATTTGGATGGCTTTTATTTCTTTCTCTTGACTGATTGCTTTGGCTGGGACTTCCAGTACTATGTTGAATAGAAGTGCTGAGAGAGGTCATCCTTGTCTTGTTTCAGTTCTCAATAGGAATGCTTTCAGTTTTTGCTCATTCAGCATGATTTTGGCTGTGGGTTTGTCACAGATGGCTCTGAATATTGTGAGTTATATTCCTTCAATGCCTAATTTGTTGTGGGCTTTTTAAATGAAGAGATGTTAAATTTTGTTGAAAGCCTTTTCTGAATCTATTGAGATAACGATATGGTTTTTGTTTTTGGTTCTGCTTAAGTGATGACTCATGTTTATTGATTTGCATATATTGAATCAACCTTGCAACCCAGGAATAAGACTACTTGATCATGGTGCACTATTTGGTGTGCTGCTGGATTGATTTGCTAGTATTTTGTTAAAAAGTTAAGTGTCTATGTTCATTAGGGATATGGGTCTGACATTTGCTGTTTTCATTGTATCTCTGCTAGGTTTTGGTGTCAAAATGATGCTGGACTCATAGAAGGAATTACAGAGGAATCCTTCCTTCTAAGTTTTTGAAATAATTTCTGTAGGATTGGTATCAGCTCTTCATTATATGTCTGCTATAATTTGGCTGTGAATTCATCTGTTCCAGAGCCTTTTCTGGTTGGTAAGGTTTTTTATCACTGATTCAATTTTAGAAGTTGTTATTGGTCTGTTCAGGATTTCAATTTCTTCCTGATTCAATTTTGGGAGGTTGTGTTTTTCCAGGAATTTGCCTATATCTTGCAAGTTTCTTAGTTTCTGTGCATAGAGTTGTTCATAATAGTCTGAGAGTTTTGTTTTGTTTTTTTTTTTTTGTATTTCTGTGAGATCAGTGGTAATGCCACATTTGTCATTTATGATTCTGTTTATTGGATCTTCTCTTTTGATCTTTATTAGTCCAGCTAGTAGTCTATCAATATTATTTATTCTTTCAAAAAATAAGATTTGGTTTCACTCATCTTTTGTATAGTTTTTCACATCTCAATTTTATTCAATTTAGCTCCGATTTTGGTTATTTCTTTTCTTGTACTAGCTTTTGGGTTGCTTTGTTCTTTTATTTCTATTTTTCTAAATGAGCTGTTATGTTGTTATTATAATTTGAACTTTTTCTAACTTCTCTATATAGGCATTTAGCACTGTTAAATTTCCTCTTAAAATTGCTTTAGCTGTGTTCCAGAGATTCTGGTGTGTAGTATCTTTGTTTTTATTAGTTACAAAGATTTTTTAACATTTCTGCCTTAATTTTATACTTTATCCAAAAACCCTTCAGAAGGAGGTTGTTTAATTTCCATGTAATTGTATGGTTTTGAGAGATCTTGGTATTGATTTTTATTTTTATTTTTATTGCACTGTTGTCTGAGAGTGTGGTTGGCATGATTTTGTTATTTTTGGAATTTGTTAAGAATTGCTTTATGGCTGAGCCTGTGGTCAATCTTAGAGTATGTGCTGTGCACAGATTAGAAGAATATAGATTCTGTTGATGGGTGGGGTATTCTGTAGATGCTTGTTAGGTCTGTCATGAATATCTTTGCTAGTTTTCTCTCTCAATGATCTAACACTGTCAGTAGGGTGTTGAAGTCTCCCAGTATTACTGTGTGGTTATCTAAGTCTCTCTGGAGATCTCTAAGAACTTGTTTTGTAAATCTGGGTGCTCTTTTGTTGGGTGCATATATATTTAGCATAGTTAAGTCTTCTTGTTTAACTCTTTATCATTATGTAATGCCCTTCTTTGTTCATAATTATTGTTGGTGTAAAGTCTGTTTTGTCTGAAATAAGAGTAGCAACTCCTGATCTTTTTGTTTTTTTTTTCTTTGCTTCATAGATCTTTCTCCTTCTCTTTACCTTAAGTCTATGGGTGTCATTGCATGTGAGATTGGCCTCTTGAAAACAGAATACAGTTGGGTCTTGCTTCTTTATCCAACTTGTCATTTTGTGTCTTTTAAGTGGTTATTTAGTCCATTTACATTCAAGTTTAATATGTGGGAATTTGATCCCGTCATTATATTGTTAGCTGGTTGTTTTGTAGACTTGGACTTGATTGCATAGTTGCCTTATAGTGCCAGTGGGCTATGTACTTAAGTGTGTTTTTGTGGTGGCAGGTAACAGTCTTTCATTTCCCTGTTTAGCACTCCCTTAAGGACCTCTTGTAAGGCAGGTCTAATGGTAAAAAATTCCCTTAGCATTTGCTTGTCTGAAAGGGATCATATTTCTCCTTTATTTATGAAACTTAGTTTGGCTCGACATGAAATTCTTGCTTGGAATTTCTTTAAGGATGTTTAATATAGGTCCTCAATCTCTTCAGGGTTGTAAGGTTTCTGCTGAAAGGTCCACTGTTAGCCTGATGAGGTTCCCTTTGTACTTGACCTACCCCTCTTCTCTAGCTGGCTTTAATTTTGTTGTTGCTGTTTTCTTTTGCACTGACTTTGGAGAATCTGATGACTATGTGCCTTGGGGATAGCCATCCATTATAGTATGTCACAGAAGTGCTCTGAATTTTCTGAATTTGCATATATACCTCTCTAGCAAGGTTCAGGAAATCTTCATGGACAATATTATCAGATATGTTTTCCAAGTTGCCCGCTGTCTCTCCATCTTTTCCAGAAATGCCAATGAATTGTAAGTTTGTACCCTTGATATAATCCCATATTTTGTAGAGATTTTTTCATTTTTTAAATTATTCTTTTTATTTTTATCTGTCTGCATTGATTTGAAGGAGCAGTCTTCAAGCTCTGAAATTTTTCACTCAGCTTGGTCTATTTTGTTATTAATGCTTCCAGTTGCATTCTGAAATGCCTGTAGTGAATTTTTCATTTCTAGAAGTTCAGTTTTGTTCTTTCTCAAAATGGTTATGTCATCCTTCAACTCTTTGACCATTTTACTTTTTTCCCTGGATTGGGTTTCAACCTTCTCCTATATCTCTGTGAGCTTCCTTGTCATTCAGTTTCTGAATTCTACATTTGTAATTTCAGCCATTTCAGTTTGGCTAGAAATCATTGCTCAAGAGCTAGTGGGGTCATTTAGAAGTAAGAAGACAGTTTGGCTTTTACAGTTGCCAGAGTTCTTGTGCTGGTTGTATCTCATCTGTGTGGGCTCATGTTTCTTTAATCTTTGGAGTTGCTCTCTTTAGGATGGTGCTTTTTTCTTTTATATCCTTTGATGCCCTTGAGGGTTTAACTGTGGTATAAGTTGGGTTTAGTGGATTGGCTTTGTTTCTGTATGCTTTCAGCAGGCCAAGGCTCAGCTCAGCACTCTTGTGCTGCATACTCTCACTCTGGGGGCTAGGACCAGGCCTGCAGCTTTGTTCCCTGACTCTTGAGTTTAAGCACCTGCTGCACTGGAGCGATGGAAGTGTTCTCAGTTCATGGGCAATAATCCTCTGATTTGTGTGGCCATCAAAAGTGCTATGGTGGGGCAGTGGTGGGCCCCCATGCATGCAGTAGTGGGGGATCTGTCTGCAAAGGTGGGTAGGCAGAGTCTGCCTGTGAAAGAGCTATAATAGTGGGCACTGGTGAATGTTTTGGCTAGGGATCTGAGGCCATGCTGCAAGCAGGTATGTCCAGAGAGAAACCCTGGGAAAAGCTGGCAAATGAGGGAGTGTTCAGATCAGACTGGCCTCATCCCATGGGCAAGATGGCCCTGTTCTGTCCAGTTCCAGCAGCTAACAAAGGCTCAATCTTCCTAGGGGATGGGAACCCATGACAGTGCTCAACTACAGCCTTTCTGGTACCAAACACTCTGGTCTTTCTCTAGGAGTTCTGTTTCATCCAGCTCTCCAGGCAGTTCTCACTGCCAGCTCAGATGTCTGTGGAGGTTGTCAGTTCTGTTTCTTCCATAGCTATGTTAACAATAAAAAAAAATTGTGGGTTTCTTTGTTTTGGTTTTTGGTTTTTAGAGACAGGGTTCTCATCATGTTGCCCAGGCTGGTCTCAAACTCCTCCTGATCTCAAGCAATCCTCCTGCCTTGACTTCCCAAAGTGCTGGGATTACAAGCATGAGTGGCAAGGCCTAATCAAAAAAGTGTGTTAAAAACAAGTTATGAAAGGTATTTGTTAAAACTAGTTGCTAGTTGCAATTGTCTGAGGCTTAGCATTCATAATTATTCTTTCTGGCCACTGATTACATAAGTTCCCTCATGCATGGAACTGACACTGTTTCACAATTTTTAAGGCAAAATAGTTTTCTCAATTTTCCTCTTAATCATCTCAATTTTAGGGTTTTGTCTGTTTTATTTCTTTTGCCTTTGTGATAGCCCTTTTATCTAAATTTTCCCATTTTCAAAATTGTTTTCAGTTTGACAATCATTCAGGTCAGGATGACACTGTGCAGGAAAGAAGTTTCTGCCTAAATGAGAGAAGTAATTACCCAGCAGAGTTACATAATTAGACAGTAAGTTTTGTTGTGTGTCATATATGTAGCTATAAGAAGATATGAGAAGAGACTAAAAATTTTAATTTATGCTTCCGTCATGTTTCTCTATGTTAAGCTTCTGACTGTCTAAGTTGGGAAGACATTTTATACACAGATAAAATCTATTTAAAGACAAAAAATTAATAACAAATGTATCCTAAAATAGCACCTGGAGCATACAAATATAGATGAAAGAAAGACCTTATTCAAGGAAGGTTTGCTCAGTCCTCTGATGGTACCTGATGTCAGGTTTATAGAATCCTTGGATCATGCTTCTTTCTTTCTGAGACAGATTGAAGGACATTACCACAGTACTACATGGATACGTAAAACACTAAGGCATACATTGAAGTTAGTGAGGTAAGATGTGGAGGCAGTAATACTCATTGATAAGAGGGTAGCTACAATCTTAACCTAAAGAATATCTCAACACATAACCTGACTAAAACTTCTGCATTAGCAATGCTTTTGCAAGACTTTGAAAACTCTTGTTGAAATGCATGAGTCAGATAGGAGTAAAAATCATTAACTCATTAACAAAATATTTATTTAATGTCCACTATACACTAGGTCCCCTGCCTGGTCTTGTTGGTACAACAATTAACAGAACTTGGTCTCTGACTTCAAAGATTTTCAAGCCTGGTAGGGAAAATGAACAAATAAATGTGCCATTACAATTTAAGGTTAACAGTGTAGGTAAAGGTTATGAGCCAAGTGTAGGTGGCTATAGAATTACAGAAGAGGGCCACCTAACTCAAAATGAAGGCTGAGTATTTGGGTCAGAATGGCTTCCAAGAGGAAATAATGTGTGAGCTTAGAGGAACAGCACAGATAAGGTTTAAATATTGGGTAAGAGATAGCTACATAAAATAATTAAAAACAGAAGGGAACTTTCAATAATAGCACATTTTACTAAATAAAGAAGTATTATATAGGTATAGAAACTAACAGACAAGCAAATCGAGAGCTACACATGGAGTCATATGAATACACACATGCAAACAAGTAAAAGTCATTTCATATTTTGGTTCCTTGGCATACCATTTAAGGTCAAGCGCACAATTTTTGGCCCTAATATTTCTTCGCAAGCTCATCTTCTACAATCCCCCTCGCAGTCCTAAACTTTCTCAATGTAGATAGTATTTTCACCAGAAAACAGAATTCTTAAGTAGTTCTAATTTTGTTTTTTTTTTGTCGGGGGGTGGGATTTATGGTTTTTAAAAAATTTCTTCGTCCTCAGGATTTTCAACTATTTAAGCCCTTATGAGTTCAGAACTCTATTTAAAAAAAAAATCACATTCAAAAATAGCACATTTAGGCCAGTCGCAGTGGCTCACACCTGTAACCCCAGTACTTTTTGGGAAGTCGAGGCTGGCGGATCACTTGAAGTTAGGGGTTCGAGACCAGCCTGGCCAACATGGTGAAACCCTGTCTCTACCAAAAAATACAAAAATTAGCCAGACATGGCGGTGTGTGTTTGTAATTCCGAGCTACTCAGGAGGCTGGGGTAAGAGAATCATTTGAACCCGAGAGGCAGTGGTTGCAGTGAGCCAAGATTGCACCACTGCACTCCAGCCTGAAGACAGAGTGAGAGCCTTTCTCAAAAAATAATAAATAAATAAATAAATAAATAAACAGCACATTTAAGGCATTAATTGTACACCTGAATGATGTTTGATATGACATTGCATTGTTCAAAGAAGAGGTGTATTGAATATCAATGTATTCTTAAGGCTTCAGAGCCATTGCATCATAAGGAGAGAGAAACTTGGAAGGATGTTTTGGCAGTGTGCTTTGCCATCTGGCTAACACTTGTACTGGAATGTGTGCTGTCAACAATTTAAATATGACAGTTGTGATGCATTTGCTTATTTTTTCTCACATGATATTAGAAAGAGAATACAAAAATCCTAATGAGATGCTATTATGCATAGCTAGAATGGCTGAGATTTAAAAGACTGGAAATGCCAAGTCTTGGCAAGAATGAGGAGCAATTGGATCCCTTATTCATGGCCAGTGAGAATGAAAATGGGTACATCCACTGTGATAAACAGTTCAGTAGTTTATTAAATTGTTAACCATACACGTACCATATGATCCCAGGTGGTCACACACACAAAAAGAAATATATGTCCATATTAATACGTTATGTGAATTTTCACAGTGACATTATTCATAACAGCTACAAACTGGAAACAATTTAGCTCTCCATCAATAGAAAAGGGATATGAATTTAAAAATTGAGTTATATCGGCCGGGCACGGTGGCTCACGCCTGTAATCCCAGCACTTTGGGAGGCCGAGGCAGGTGGATCACAAGGTCAGGAGGTCAAGACCAGCCTGGCCAATATGATGAAACTCCACCTCTACTAAAAATAAAAAAAAAATAAAATTAAAAAAATTAGCTGGGCATGGTGGTGCACACCTGTAGTCCCAGCTACTTGAGAGGCTGAGGCCGGAGAACTGCTTGAACCTGGGAGAGAGAGGTTGTGATGAGCCAAGATCGTGCCACTGCACTCCAGCCTGGGCAACAGAGGGAGACTCTGTCTCAAAAAAAAAAAAAATTGAATATATCCATACAATATACTACTACCGGTTAGCAAAAGTGTCCAGCATAAATAAATCTTAAAGGTATTATACTGAATGAAAGAAGCTAGAAACTGAGGCCTGCATATTGTATGATTCTAATTTACATGATATTCTAGAAAAGGCAGAACTATAGGGATAAAAAACAAATCAGTAGTTTACAGAGCCTGGAGTTTAGTAGAATATGTTTACTACAAAGAAGCACAGGAAACGTTCTGGGGTAATGGAAATAGTCTTCTCATAATTATAATGTTGACTGCATGGCTATATACATTTATTAAAACTCACCAAACTGTGCATGTGAAAGGGAAATTTTTATTTTGTATAATTTATACCTCAAAAGATTTTTTAAAGAAGACAGCAGCCCTGAAGTGTATATTTTCTTGCTATCTCAAATAATCTGTAAAAAAATAGCATCATAGAAAGCTGGGTGAAGTAAACCTGCAACAATTAGCTCTGTAATTTACAACCAGGTATTTTATTCTCTTCATTCCTTAGTAATAAGTCAGGTAGTTAAGGAGGCACCTCCAGTTTCTAGTCAGGATGTTTGGTAAGCAATGGGCTGGACTACTGTAGGCCTCATGACTTATTAAGAAAGAGAGCAAGAAAACATGTAGCTGCAGTATGGCATAGAATTACCATATATCAGTAATATTAAGTGTTTTTACAAATGTGGGTTGAGGTTTACAGTGGGTTGTGAAATCAATTTAGCAAGTCACAATACATCTTTTTAATTTTAAAATAGAGTGAAAGATAATTAAAAGTATAACAGTACATCACAAGTGGTAAGAGTAAGTATTGCTTTGTGGAAATTTTGGTTCAATATGCATGTGCATGTGTGTATATTGGTAGATACACATATATAATGGAAGTACATACATATGTGTATTGCATGTGTGTATAGTTAATGAGTCAATATATAAAGTATACTTCTTACTATATATTTCAGTCACAAAAGTTTAAAATTTGAATGCTAGTGCTACACATGGCAATAGATCCTTGAGTGTTGATGTGGCTGCTCCCAAACCTAATGGGATAAAAGGCAGAAAGTCTGCATCTTAGACGTGTCTGACTTGGCCAGGTCCTCATTCTGCATGACTATCAAATATATGATGTGTTTCTGTGAAGAACTACTAGAGCAAGAAGGACTAGCACCCACCAACTGATTTGTATCCTTGTTGATTTTGGCTCACTAGGGATTGGTAAGAGCCTTGCAATCCAGCAGCCCAGAAGTTTGCTTCTTAAACAGCTATTTGTCAGAACCCAGAGCTAATAAGGTTACAAGGACTAACCTAAGGACAAATGGCCAGTTGCCCCTATAGTATGAAAAGCATGAAGTTTTGCATTGTCCCTCACCATAGTTTTCTTTTGAAATTCAATATTTCTATGAGGAGACTACTAACGATACTCGATATACAGAACTTCTTGACTGGTAAGTATTAGTATATATTATACTTGCTTTTTCTGGAATGGAAGAGACCCAGTGTAGCAGAAAGGCACTTTATGTCTAAGAGATAAGAGAAATAGAAAGTCTGGCAAAAAAGATGAAAAGATGAAAAGATGGGCTGCATCAAAGCCCGCTTTCACATAATTCGTATTTTTATCCAGAGCTACTTCTACAAGCAGTTCAATTAATTTTTCCGGTGAACTAATGACTATTGTTGTTGCTTATAGTTATGGAAGCTAGCTATCTTTAAACAAAAATATATGAACCTTGTAATATATTGATTACAAGGAATATTGGATTAGCAAGTAGAGTATCTATGCAACTCCACCTCCTCATCCAACTGTGAATTATTCCAAACATGGCCCTTAATATCATCTTTAAATACGAAAGAGAACATATTCCAAGTACAGGGGAAGAACAAGCTTCCCGATGATTAAGCATTTAATTGGGTCAAAATTTTCTGATGGACACCACAATATATATTAACACATTTCTTTCTTTCATTCTCTTCCTTAAGTGAAAATCACCATTGCAGTAGCATGGAATAATAATTGTGTGAAATTCTAGTCAAAACAAATAAAAACTTTGTTTCTAGATTATCTTATTATGATGATACTGATTCAATTTATTAAAACTCTATGTTATGATTGGATTGAGTTGATGCTTATCTCCTGAATTAAAAAGTGAAATGTTCTAACACGTTTACCTATGTAACAAACCTGCACATCCTGCACAGGTAAACCAGAACTTAAAATAAAAATAAAAATAAAGATTAAGTCATTTTGCAAAAAAAATATAATAGTAAAGTGTTCTAATCATGTGTTATTCTGGGTGTACCTACCTCTATATCACTTCAAGATGACTAGTGTCACTGGTCTCATGAGACTAAGCTACCTAATAGATGGTAACCTATTTTCCTGAAATGTAAGTTCCTTCATTGCAGGGGGAGGGTCTGATCCCTCTCTGAATGCCCAGTGTCCCGGGTGTATCTGGCACAATGGAGAGGAGCAACGAATGTTTTTGAATTAATTGTTGCGACTGCTTTATATAAGTGTACTGAAGGAGAAAGAGATAAGAGGAAATGATAATATCTTAAAAATGAGTTATAGTCAAAGACAAGAGTTTTGGCCAAAATGGAAACTAGTCTGGGAAGACTGTCAAGAAAAGTGGAATATTTTGATTCTTCAGTCAAAAAAAAGGAAGGGAGTGTATAAATGGTTAACTTTTTTGTTATTACAAACTAATGTGCACTGTTTTTCAGGAGGTTCTGGAACAAGACATGCAGTTATGTTAATGTACGGAGTAGAGAAAAGCAAACGCTTGAGTCATACAACTGTGCTTTCTCCTCAGCTTGTGGCAGGCAGAGGAGGGCACTGGGGTCTAGGGCTGCTGGCAGTGACAGAAGGGACATCAACTCCTGATGTTTCTTTAATGTGTAGGCAATCATGATTCTGGATGATTCACTCATGCTATATGGACAGAGAGTTAGGTAGGAGAAGGAAAACAAATTGTGTGTGTGTGTGTGTGTGTGTGTGTGTGTGTGTGTGTATGTTTGTACTGGTCATATAGCTAGTACGAACTCCATGCATTGATTTAATTTTGATGTGTTTTATTTTCTCCAAACACTCCTAAAGGCAGTTTGGTTCCTCTGTTACCTTCTCTCCAAAGACAAACAAATAGACAAATGAAACATACAACACATCCCCTCCCCCATTGTGACAAAATGAATAACTATATCTGGACTTTTGCCTTTCAAGTTGTCTTGCAAAGTGATTGCTCAAAAATACGAGTTCTCACTGTGAAGCTGCAGGTGAATGTGGTCTTGAATTCCTAATGAGAACATGCTGCAGTCCCTTTTCAAGCAAAATCTGTCCTGTATGCAGAATGAGGATCAGCAACGTTTCTTTCTCTAGTTTTTTACAGGAAAGCAATTGAGGGTCAAGGGAGAGGGGCAATCAATGTAGAGGCTTTAGCAAGCAATTAACTCTTTCAATTCCCAGAAAGCCTTAAAGCTTACTGTCTAATAAATCATAGCTAACATTTTTTGGGTGCTTAACAAATGTCAGGTCCGTTTGTAAGTGTTCAAAATAGATGTTTTTTTTTTAAATCATCATAACTGTAATAAGTTTCTAAACTGACAACCGAACCTAGGTAGTCTGACGCAGAGCACTGGGTATAAAGCCCTGTGCATATTGCCAGATACATAAGTTTTAGGTTCAGGTAGCCATGAATTAAACTGTGGCCTTTGCCAATTGCAGGTTTGCAACTTTAGGCAGGTAACCTGATTTACTGTATTTCCTCATCTGTTAAACAGGAAAAAAAAAATACTTAGATCACAGACTTGTCAAGGTTTAAGTGAAATAAACCTCACAATTAGCATTTAGCACAGTGTCTAACACCCAGTAATTCCTCAATACATGGTAAAAATTATTATATGCAATGGAATCCAATCATATATTTATTACATAAATCTTTAAGGAACATCTGCATAGGGAATGTTGATGATGTTATATAGCTAAGTAATGGCTAACTCATAAAGGGCCTCATCCACCTTGCTCCCAAAGAGGAATATTGTGAATATATTTGCCTTTTAAAAAGATAATTCTGGCAGTATAGTACATGGAGACTGACCTTTGACACCCCCCCGCAACCCTCAAAAACAATCAGGATACTGCAACAAAAGTCCAGGGGATAAATAGGACTTGATATAAGGTAGTAGCAGTGGAACGGAGATGAGAGAATACATATGAAGTATCTTAATGGGATAGTGTTGAAGAGACCTGAGCATTGTTTGGGTATGTGGAATGAGGAGGTGGAACTAACACAGATATCACTCAGATTTCTGGTTGGAGAGATTGGGGATCATTGTTTTTATTAACTGAAATAAAGAACACAGGAAGAGGAATAGGTTTGTAAAGGAATAGCTGTACTTGGGTAAAGAAGACAAATTTTATTTTGGACAGATTGAAATAGAGTTATTTGTGGGACATCTGGTAAAAAGATGTGCAGTGGACAATTGAAAGTATAAGCTGTTGCTCTGGAAACAAATATATGGCCTGAAGAGATATATTTGGAATTTCTTAGCATATATGTTGAAATATTAGATGTGATCAGGATCAAACTAAGGCCTGCTTTTTGAGACAAGTAGGCTGAGAGCAAAGTCTTGGGACACATCCATATGTAAGAGGTAAGCAGGGTTAGGGAGAAAAAAGATGATGAAGGAAATCATTGAAAGAACACTCAGGGAAGTCAGAGAAAAAAAAGTTCAAGTGCAAAATGCCTAATTTGTTGTAGGCAAGAAGTTTAAAGTGGTCAGAGGGAGCAACATCACATATTGTAGATATCAAATAAGTTAAGAATTGAAATTTCATCATTGGATCTGGGCACATGAATGTGCAGGATATCTTCTGTAGATGTCTCTGGATACACTCTTCACCCTTCTCCACTCTGCTCTGATCTGTACATCTTCAGCAGATGTGTATGAATGGGCTTTGATTCAGGTTCAAGTACTGGGGAGTCCTTGTAGGAGTTCTGAGGGAAGGAGCAGGGTGACGTTTGAATATTTATTTCCTCGTTACCTCCTTGTGGTTAGCACATGCTGGATTTTTCCTGACACAAAGTCACAATTCCCGTCAAGTGTCCATTTCTAGATAGCTTTCTCTATTTCCAGGTTCTGGTAACTGAATCCTTCTCTTGCCCCTTCAGGTTTAAGGGTGGTAAAGCAACCCCAATGTTACTGAGGCTGGTATTTTGCAGTTGTTTTTCTACATGCTGCCCATATTTTTATAAATAATCAATGGATTAAGTTAGTATCAAATTACCAAAATTTAGGGTGGAGTTTATTTTCTTCTAATTAATACAAGGAGAAGGTTTTGATGTAGAAGTTGGGGCAAAGGCTAGACTGGATGGAAATGTAAATGTAAGGCAAAGAAATGGAAATAGTGGATACAGAAGATTCTTCTAAGGATAATAGTTAAGGAAAGTGGAGAGAGCGACTAGTACCTGGAAATGGAACTTGGAAGCTCTGGGGTTTAATAGTTTTAATGTGGGAGAGACTTTAAAATATGTATAGGCCAGAGTGTATCAGCCAGAAAATTTAGAAGGATAGATTGAAGATAAAATGAAAGGGGAAAATTACTCTTACAGCAAGATTTCAGAGGAGACAGGAAGAGGTGTAACCCAGAGCACAGGCAGAAACATTCATCTTTGAAAAAAAAGAAATTGAATCAATAGAAATAAAGGTTTATATAGATAGAAGTAAGTCCTCAGGTTAGGAGCAGAGAAATGCAGTAGTTTTTGCCTAAAAACATCTAATCACCTCTGAGATGAGTAGAGAATTGTGAAGATTTAGAATAGACAATGTGGGAAATGGAAGACGAATCTTTCCGGGAACACCTGAACAAATAACTCTGCTTTGCTGAGAGCTCGGCTGTGGTTGGAATCCATAAGTTTGTGGCTGAATCAATACTCATATTTATGGGGAAATAGCCCATTTTAATGAGCTAAGGCGGGAGTGAGGGAGTTACTAGGTTGTATTGATTTAGGTTTTGAAATTTTCAGGTAAATATTAGTTAAAATACACAGAGAGAAGGAAGTGAAGAATGCTAACATAAGAGTAGATGAAGAGACAGATCATAGGGTCAGCGATGAAGAGGGAGGAAACTGATATTTAAACAAGGCTGATGACTTGTGGAAAAAGGAGAGGCTAAAGGAAGTAGGCAGTTAGGGGAAGAAGGACATAAATATATAAAGTATATATGGGAATAGGAACAATAACATGGATGTTGGCATGTTGGTGTTCAGTGAGGCCGCCCTGAACAATGATACGGTCCAATGTCAACCAAAAGGTAAATGAATTTGATTTACAAAATATGCAATTTAGGCTGGGCATGGTGGCTCATGTCTGTAATCCCAGCACTTTGGGAGGCCGGGGGGGGGTGTGGGGCAGATCACGAGGTCAGGAGTTCGAGACCAGCCTGACCAATACGGTGAAACCCCATCTCTACTAAAAATAAAAAATTAGCCGGGCGTGGTAGTGCACGCCTGTAATCCCAGCTACTCAGGAGGCTGAGGCAGGAGAATTGCTTGAACCCGAGAGGCAGAGGTTGCAGTGAGCTGAGATTGTGCCACTGCACTCCAGCCTGCGTGACAGAGCAAAACTCTGTCTCAAAAAAAGACAAACAAACAAAAAAAACATACAATTTAGTATCCTCTTATCTTACATTTTTCTATTTTCTCCACATTGTTTTGAGACTCTTATTTACTAATTTGTATATTTTTACTATTTCCTAATTAGATACACATTTATATTAATGCTATTAATAGGAAAATGTATTTTTCCTGAATTAAGAGCTATTTATTAAAACTTAGAAACATGTTATATGCATGCTTATTAATAACATCAAGTGCCACTTTTAATAGTCCCTATGAGAGAAATATTTTACTAATATCTCTTCCTCTTTGAATTTTAAAATTGGGCAGATTATTTTATTATATATAATATTAGATGGGCTTTTTCTTCCTGCTAGCATTTTGTACCCTGCTAAGTATTAGTAATCTCTTTTGATTTATTCATGATTAATGAATGCCTGACCAATTGGTAGCATAAAGAAATGTAGCAAGTACTAGTTGAAGAGTCTCAAATATTCAATAAGATAGATGTATAATAAATGTTATTTATGTAATTCTTAGCCAGAGATTAAAGGTAGAATCTTACTGCTGAAGAAAATGTTTATTCTCTACCCTTTTTATTTTCTTCCATGTACAAGGAGTTCCATTAGTGACTTATCTGAACAGTGAATTTGGGAGAGGGAACTGAGTGTGTGCAGCTCATCCATTACCTCACTCACCCTCTTTGGGTTCTGTCTGCATGTGCTTTGCATAAAGGACATGCCCCTGAAAGCAAGGCCTCCATGTTCCATGGCTACCTATTATCTGGACAGATAAGTCTGCGTAATTCAGGAATTCAGTGTTAAGAACCATGCTTTTCCTCTCATATTAGTCATACTCTCCAATATCAGTTTTAGAAGTTATAAAGGGGTCTTTTGATGTCAATCTGCCTCACCTCTCTGCTTCTATTTCTTACTTAGTTTTGATGCTAAGAGCGGCCCTGTAAAGGCATCATGGCACAGTGGTTAAGAGCAAACTGTGAAGTTAAACTGCCTGATTTTGAATACCACTTATACCACGTACTAGCAAGGTGATTTGTAGCATTTTACTTCACTTTGGTGTCCATTTATTTCCTAAACTGTAAAATGGAGATGATAATAGCACCTATTTCATAAAGTTGTGAAGATGAAATGAGATAATACTTTTAAATGCATAGATATGTGCCTAGAACCTAGAAGTAGTCAGTGAATGCCTAGAAGTGAGTTATTATTATATCCATTTTAGAGATAAAAATCAGAAGTTCAGAAAATGTATATTACTTGCCAAAGGGCACCTGGCTAGTAGCCAGACATAGGATTCTAACCTAGCTCCTTCGGGTATCAGAACTCTGACATATTTTGCCATACCTATGTATCTTCTTAGCAAGGCCTGGTTCATCTATCTTGGTTTAGATATTGTATTTCATTACTCTCTTAGAAAAAAATGCATGAAATCAAAACATCCAATCCACTTGGAAGCAAGCCCACTTTCGTGTTGTCTCTGGTGAGAAATCCAGTGAAAATATGGATAATTGTCTCATTTATTTCCAGATGCTTGTGTGACAGCTTAAATTTACCTTCATAGTACTTAATATAGTTGTACCCTATGGTCCCTTGCCACTGCAAGTGTGGGCAGAATCAGCAGCATTTGCAACACCTGGGAACTTGATAGAAATGCAGAATCTCAGGCCCCACACCAGACCTACTGAAAAAGAATTTGCAATTAAAAAATTCAATAGATTCAGATGTATATTACTGTACGAAAAGTACTGCTTGCTATAGTCAATCAGTGCAAATTAAATGTGTTTTTGACATTACATTTTCTGTATATTTACAGTCAAATTTCAACAACTCTATCTATCCTATTTGTATGCGTGAGGATTTAGGCAAGATTTCATGTTGCCCAAGCACTTGGGCATCTAAATACTAAACTAGACACTTATTTTTAAGAAAAAGGTAAATAGTCAAAGATCAGAATTTCTGTATGGCAACTCAATCTCAAATCACCACCATTCTTAATTTCTACTGAACATTTGTGGAGTATAATTATAATTGTCTACGCTTCGAATATTACTTGAATATGTGTCATTAAAGTGTTAGGAAAATGTGAATCACTAATATAGCACATTCTTACTTTAAGAGCTCTGCTGAATGTTTCAACTATTTCTTTTAGATTTTTCAGTGAAGGAAACTATTGCTAATAATTGAGCATTTCCTGCCTTTCTCTAGCATTCAAGCAAATAAATCCATAATGGATGCTGAAATAGAAAAGTAGAGATTCTAGCTGGGGGTTGGTGGTGCTACATGACAGTTATTTTCTACAGTAAAATGATTGCATAGTTTCTCCATACATTTCTTAAAATCTCTCCGAAATTCAAATTGTAAAAACATCTTCATTAAATTATTTTTCATGAGATTTTTATTCACTGTATTAGAAAGATATTGCAACATTTGCATAATTATTTCACTGAAAATGAAAGACTGCAAATCAGTATTTCATAATCCAGTTTTTAAGTCAAAGACAGCTTGACAGCTCATTGATTTACAAATAAAGCTTAGCAACTTACAAAGTGGCATTAAAAATGACCCCAAAACACAGTTTAAAGGAAATTACCACAATAGCAAAAATATAGACTCACTAAAGTAAAGTGAGGTTGATTTCGTAACCTTTCGGAATTTTGTTTTTATCTGTTTATGAAGTTTTTAATTTTTAAAATATTTGGTAGATTTTGAACAAATTTCACATATATATAAATATAGTAATAAATGTATCGGCCAGGAGTGGTGGTTCATGCCTGTAATCCCAGCACTTTGGGAGGCTGAGGAGGACGGATCACGAGATCAGGAGTTCGAGACCAGCCTGGCCAATATAGTGAAACCCTGTCTCCACTAAAAATACAAAAATTAGCCGACATGGTGGTGGGCGCCTATAATCTCAGCTGCTCAGGAGGCTGAGGCAGGAGAATTACTTGAACCCAGGAGGCGGAGGTTGCAGTAAGCTGAGATCATGCTACTACACTCCAGCCTGGGCGACAGAGCAAGACTCCATCTCAAAAGAAGAAAATAATAAAAAATAAACATATCGATATATATATTCATATTGTAATTAATATATTAATTGCAATATTTTACAATTTTTATATATTAGAACAAGTAAATGCTAAATGTTACAGAACAATTAGTTGATAATTGTACTTCTAGACAACCAGGCTTGGTTATATGGCAGGGTTATATAGTCAAAATTAAAATCCCTTTCATCAAGAAGTATAGTCTTTAACAAAGTTAAAGGGTGAACAGTGACAAGAGCCAAAGAAACATTATATGAAAAGAAATATTTGTAAGGGGAATATAGCGTAAATTCACTGCTGAACAGAGATATATTCAGATTGTTAATGCCTTCCAAATATAGAGCATGATAAGGATTTCACATACATAACCTTATATGATTTTCCAAACACCTTGTGGATGGCACTAGCTAGACAGATGATTTTGCAGAGGAGAAAACTGAGGCTGAGAGGTTAACCAATTTGTTCAGTCATATGGCCAGCGAATGGCAGACTAAAGCCAAATTAGAATTATCTAAATCCCAATGTAGTGCATGTTTTCACTATGCTGTACTGCCTTTCCAAAGGCTAAGTGATTGTGAATAGTATCATTAGCAGGGCTTTATTTGTCAAGAACATGAGACCAGTATTTTTATGGTTCTAAAATAGTGAGTAAGTATTCGCTTACCCTCCTACACCTCCAAATCTACATAAGAATACAAAGGTTTGTTTCTATGGAAAACAGGTCACAAACCTTGCTAGGTCCTTGCAAACACCAATTAAATGCAAACATATTTACAGTTCTGCAGGGAGTATTAATATTACTTTACACAGAAAGGAAAAGTAGAAAGAGGGATGGGGAGGCTGGGTGCGGTGGCTCACGCCTGTGATCCCAGCACTTTGGGAGGCCGAGGCAGGTGGATCATCTGAGGTCAGGAGTTCGAGACCAGCCTGGGCAACATGGTGAAACCTTGTCTCTACTAAAAATTACAAAAATTAGCCAGGCCTGGTGGTGGGTGCCTGTAATCCCAGCTACTCAGGAGGCTGAGGCAGAAGAATCCCTTGAACCTTGGAGGCGGAGGTTGCAGTGAGCTGAGATCATGCCACTGCACTCTAGCCTGGTGACAAAGTGAGACTACGTCTCAAAAAAAAAGAAACAGGAATGGGGAAAGAGAATTTTAAGTGTCTATTTTGTGTTAGATGCTATTCTAGCTAGCCACATACTGATGCTATCTTATATTTTCAATAATTTCTACAGGCATCATGCAAAGTTGATAGAAAAGTTTTTGCTCTACTGATTGTGTAGATGAGCAAAGTAAGGCACAAAGGCGAAGTGACTTCTCTAAGGTCATAGAGTGAGTGGAATCAGAACTGAAAACTGACCTCTGGACTCTCAATGCACAATTTTTTCCAATATCTTCAAGATGAGTGTTTTACCAGAGCTTCTTATAATAAAAGGACAATGACAAAGGAGAATCCAACGTGCCTAGGTATTTTGAAACACCATGGTATGCGGGCCGATGACAGAATAATTAAATATTGGCATTTAGTACATATTGGTGAAATACTGTATGTAGAAGATGAAACATTCCTAGTATGTCGGCATAGAAGAATTATTTCTTTTAACAAATAGGAATGGAGCTCCTACTGGTGCTAGGCACTATTCTAGCTAGGCCCCGGGGATATATTAGTGAACACAACAAAGACCTCAAA
Organism: Homo sapiens; assembly: GCF_000001405.40. Lineage (NCBI taxonomy): Eukaryota > Metazoa > Chordata > Mammalia > Primates > Hominidae > Homo > Homo sapiens. The sequence goes on from NC_000023.11 coordinate 93,754,154, forward strand.
AAGGCTAAGCAGGGAACGGGAAGGGTGTTTGCAACCAGATACTAATCAAACAAACAAACAAACAAAAATTGGATAATCTAGATAATTCGCTTTACAATTGCAGATGGTGATAAAACTATTTAAAATGGAGTAGACTAAAAGATTTCTCAGCAGTCAAATCAATTTCACATAGGGCAATCTCTACTGATGGAATTTTTTTAAAAGCAAGCATTATTATGAAATTGTAAAAGAACATAATTGCACAGATATGTTTTAAAAAATTATTCAAAGGGAGCCCTGAAATTGGATTCTGGAAAATGGATATTCAAGACTTTCCTAGGTGCCACTTTTACTACTCACAGGCTGACTGGATTTCTAATTTTATGTGTTGAACTCACTCTTCTTGCATCTTATTGTAGATTTATTTTTATTATTGTTCAAGAAGTGTTGCCACCAAACTGGTTGTGTGAATTATTCCCTTACAACCTTATTACTAAATACTTTTAATTAAAATTCAAATACATGGCAGAATTTCTCATACCGATAAGATATACTCCCTTAAGCCAGTTCATGAAGCAAGCAGAGAAAACACAATGAAGCTGATTACAGATTATTTCTTTTAAGGGAAAATAATCATAAACAATCTCAGTTTTTCATATGATAAATTTATATATTCAGATGAACACTTCATTAGAAGATAGATTCTGAAATGCTGAAATGTTAAAACATAAGTGAATAAAATGATTGTTACCAAATGGAAGTAAAAAATAGAAAATTTGGGTCCATGTGCTATTTAGACATATGGTCATTTGAATGGAGTGAAATTTAATGTAGTTTTAATAAGTTAATGGGGCACAGAAACTGCCAGTTTATATAAATTGCCTCTAGCCCCACTCTTTTCATTCTTATATTTTGTTTATGGCATATGTAAAAGTGCCTGGAACAATATTGGTGCATAGTAAATGCTCAGTTAATAATTATTAAAACAGTTATGAACCATCTCACCTGTGTAACACTGACAGATATCCGAAAAAACAAATGGGCTTCATTCTCCCAACATGTGCTCAGTAGCAATAAGTGTAGTAATAATAATACTAGCTATTGTGTATTGAACACTAATTATTTCCCAGAAACTCATTACAGGGGTTAGATCATCCCATCCTCACAACAAACCTATGGGGTAGGTACTATAATATTCTTACCTACATTCCAAAGGTGAGGGACCTGAGAAACATAAATTAACAGTTGCAGCCTCACAGATCTAGCCTGTGAAAAGACTAGGAGTACGTAGAAAGAGCATGGGTTTATTCTATGACCTGAGTTTGAATGTATCCTCTACCACTTGTGAGTGATGCAACTTCGGGTAACTTTAACTTAATTTCTCAGAGCTCTAAGTTTGTAATCTATAAAATGGCATGACTGTCTATTTTATAGGGTTGGTGTCAGGATTAAAGTAGGCAACTGATATAAATTTCCTAAACTAATGCCTGTTATATAGTAGATGCCCAAAAAATGTTAGTTTCATTTTTCCTCTCCTTCTTCTACAACACTGCTGGTTCCCCAAGATTAAAGAAATTGAAGAAATTGGAAGAATGTATTTTTAAAACATGTATTATTGTGTTATTGAGGGCCAGACACCAAAAGGTTTGAGAGTGAAATTGATGGTGTGACTTCCACAAAGCACAGTAAAGATATTTAAGCAAACATAGTCTGGGAACAATTGACATGTTCTAAATTTCAAAATTCCCTTTCAGGAACATGATATTTGCTCCCATTAATGACTGTCAATTTATTATGGTGCTTTTTTCATATAAAACCTGTACATTGCTTATTTAATTTCTAGATTTCTGAAAATGGAATCCTGCCCCTACCCCTATTATAATTTCTATAACAGCATACAGGAAAGCTATTTTTTTTTTTTACTTATTTTGCATCTTATATACAGCCACATTGCCAAACTCTCTTATTAGATCTGATTGTTTTTCAGTTGATGCTCTTAGATTTTCAAGGTATACAATTATATCCTCTCTGCAAATTTTTTTGCTTATTTCAATAGGGATACCTCTTCATTTCAATAGTTCTGCAGAGTTTAATTGCATCTGCTGGAAATTAGCAAAATAGATCCTACTGTATAAAATAATATAAATGTGTCTCTCTGGGTGCTACTATTGCCTGTGATTTTTATTTTTAGAGGTATACTGTTCAATATTTTCCACCATGAGTAAGCATTTCCTTTATAACCAGAAAAACCCCTGTAGCTACATTTTAAATGCTGTTCAGTTTTTAATCTGGTGGTGCCAGTTGCCCTTCACAGTCCTTAACCACGTTGCTGGAGTCAACCACGATTTACTCAATATGCCCCTGTTCCTGCCTCAGTTCTCTCTTCAAGTGTAGGCAGGACATTTTTTCTCTTTTCTTTTCCTCCTGTAGATTTGAAGCAGTATGTAGTTCATTCCTTATCGAATGAACCACGGAAAACTACAACTCCCTAAGTGCAGAGCTCCCAAATCGTTTTTTTTTTTTTTTTTTTTTTGCTAGTTCTTCTTGTTATTGAATTTATGACTTCACAGCACAGAATGCAATGTGAGAAATGTAAACTTCCACCAGAAGCCAGGTTGCATTACTGGGAAGTGTAGTCCCGGAATAAATATGGACAGTGAGCTACAGACTACTGGAAAGATTTAGGTTCAGGTGGAGGTGGGGGCAGAGATGGGGGTGACTGTTAAAGAGATCTGCACCTGCACAGTAGAGGAGGTGGCTACAGCATTTGGAGTCAGGAAAGCTAATTCAATGGCCCTCACGCTTTTTACTCACATGCTTCCTAAAAGAACTGTGAAAAACTATATACCCTTTTGTATATTTTGAAGATAGCTCTTTATTTTTTTTTTTTAAATCATGAATTTAAATAGTTGCAGCAGATGTGATTTCCAGAGTTTTCTAAATGCTCTGTTGTCTTTTAGGTTTTTTTTTTAATTGCAGTATAAAGACAATAAAGTCCAGATATCTTTTTTTTTTTTCTTTTTTTTTTTTTTGAGACGGAGTCTCGCTCTGTGGCCCAGGCTGGAGTGCAGTGGCCGCCATCTTGGCTCACTGCAAACTCTGCCTCCTGGGTTCACGCCATTCTCCTGCCTCAGCCTCTCGAGTAGCTGGGACTACAGGCACCTGCCACCACGCCCGGCTAATTTGTTTTTTTGTATTTTTAGTAGAGACGGGGTTTCATCGTGTTAGCCAGGATGGTCTCGATCTCCTGATTTTTTTGTCTGTTAAGATATTTATTTTATAATCAAAATAGGCAATACAAACAAGTTGACATAACAAAGATTCATATAAATAACTGGCTATAAACTTTATGAGGAAAAATACCCGTGAGCATGGTGACTGGGCTCCTAATGCACAGGGTGGAGACCAACCAGGAGGCTCAACCAGGCGGGCTGGTGATCCGCCCGCCTTGGCCTCCCAAAGTGCTGGGATTACAGGTGTGAGCCACCGCGCCCAGCCAAGTCCAGATATCTTAAATGTAGAGCTGGTTGAAGTTTTGCATGTGCATACTGTCATGCGATTCTGCAGATACCACCTATACAGGGTATTTCCATACACTAGAAGTCTCTCTAATGCCCCTCCTAGTGAAAACACTCCAGAGGTAACCATTATTTTGAATTTTATCACAAAGAATTCATTTTTCCTGTTCTTGAACTCCATGTATGACAGTGTATAAACAGACATATCACTATTATATATATATTAAATCACTATTATTAGATATATCTTATAATAGTGTATGTATAAGATAATTACATTTATAATACAATCACAAATATATCAAAGGGAAGCTAAACACTGGAGTGGAACCTATTATTGCCCATTAAAATTAATTCAAAAGCTCTTTTTTTAACAATCAGGAATTCATAGTATTTTTTCTCCTTGAACTTGTTCTTTCATACTCTTTACTGCACAAAATTTTATTCAAATATTATTACATTATACTTTATACTTTTACTCTGGAAAGGCTTTTGTCGATCACCCTATATACTTCTTTGGAACAAATATATATACATAAATAGATATTTAATTTTTTATATATCATCTCATTATAAGGTTCTAGGCTAAATTGGGTTATTTTCATTATTTTTCATACAACGTTGATCAAAACAACCTAGACCATATAATTTTTGATTAATAAATATTAAAACTAAATATGCAATTTGAAATGCATTTCTAAGTGTAATGGCTTTTGTAATTAATGTTTATGTATTTGTATTATGTATTGTTTATAATTAAACAGTTCATCATCTAATATATCTCTTGTTTTTATAAATGTAAGTATGGAGGAAATTTACTCAGTAAGTTAGATCATAAGGCATTTTATTATAGCAATGTCACTCAATTCTTTGACTTCCTCCAGCATTATATGCTAAAAATAACATAATGATCCATCACCAAAAATTATTTTTAGTGACCTCGCAGCTAATAGTTGGTTCAGTACTTTCTCAATTTCATGAGAACAAAAAATTGGTAATTGCCTGGATTGTAAATGGATTTGTTCCAAACACTATAGTCCAACTAGACACCATTATTTCTAATTATCCTTTTGTTTGGCTTCTTAGAGGTGTTTTTTTTCCCAACAGCTTTACTGAGTCATAATGCACATACCAAAAATGTACTCATTGTCAGTGTATAATCCAATAACTTTTAACAAATTTATAGAGTTGCACAACCATCACCACAATCTAGTTTCAGAACATTTCCATCCCCCCAACGTGTTTTGCTTATGCCTATTTTTCATCAATCACTGCTCCTAAACCCAGGAGCAGAAAACCATTGTTTTGCTTTCTGCCTATATATTTACATTTTCTGGTACTATCATATAAATGTAATAATAAAATAAGTAGTACTTTGTGCCAGGCTTCTGTAACTGAATAAAATGTTTTTTGAAGTTAATCCATATTGCAGCATTCTTTGGAGGTTGTACACTCTGAGAAAATCATCAAAAATTAAGTTCTATATGGGTGAGAGTTATGTTTTTCTTTTGTGAAATGGATAAAGAGTGATGGTAGAAGGAAACTTGGCAAATGTTCAGTATTTGGAAAGAAAAAATACATATGGAAGTTGAGGTTTTGGAAATGATTTTTTTTAAAACAACCCCTACTTGTGCAATTTTGGAAAGTCTTTATGTTGTATTATTATTATCAGGGGTATATACATTCCAATTTAAAGAAAATTGGGCTAAATTATGTAGGAGTACTGTACAGAGTAGATTAGAACATAAATTTCAAAAGATGCATTGATCAGTTAGTCTCTGTGATTCAATTTCCTGATCTGTAAAATGAGCACAATAATAATATCTACCCTACACTTTTCTTGTAGGAATTGGAGAGCCCAAGGATTTTAAGGAGAGGACTGAAAATATTGTCAGAATCTGTCTGTTAGATCCCAGTCAGCAATTAGTAATACAGACCTGGCCAAGGTATTTCATTTAGTCTCAGCCTGACTCTTCTACATTGTTAGAGAATCTACATTGCCTGAGATCTTGCCTGGCATCAGTCTTAGGACCAAAGATCTCCTTCCACAGGAATTGGTCTCTGTCTTAGTCTAAATACTGGTGTAATAAAGATGTACTTGGAACTCGGAGTTCTAATATATTGGGTCCCCAAATTGGAATCTACAGTGCCTTTGAGACAGAAGGGCATTTTGCATTCAAAAGACTACAAAGCCATTAGAAATATCATCAATACAAATACTATTAATTTGGTTTCAAAAGTGAATTCAATTCAATTAAAAAACATACATGATATGCTTACATTGTTGTACAAACTCCCAACCTCTTCATCCTCCCCTACTTCTAAGGTCCCAAAGCAGCTGAATGGAGGTAAATTCTGTCACAATGATGTTGCCCAACCCAATTCATCAGTCAGTTCTTTTAGGTTTCCAATTTAGATGTGACCTGATTATTTATCAAAAATAGAGAGCCCTGAGCAGACAGAAGAATTGAGTGCCCTCTTTTAAAGAGAGGTAATAATTATACTTTCTCAATAAGTCTGAGGTATTTAGGAAACCAGGATATAGAAAAGGGATAAAATCCCCTGGTTTTCTGTAGGCAAACTGATTTTAATTTAGCGAATTTTCCAGTCATGACTGGAAGATGAACTGAAGCCTCAGTAATGATGGTGGCATTGTTGCCTAGCAAAAAGAGGGCTTACTGCGCTGCTGCAGCTGAATAGAATATCAGCATAATCACCGACCAATCAATCATCTCTGGAGGAGCTGTTGCTGTTTTCTTCTTCCAGTAGCAACAGAGGCAGAGCGGTAAGATAGATGAATAACAATTACTGTTGAAAACCTCAAAGAGGAAAACAGGACTAAATAAGTGTCTCTGATGCACATTTTCGGACTCCTGTCTTTGAAGTGGTAGATGGACAGTATTTATAACTAAGATGAATAGTTCTCTGTAATAATGCAAAAGTGACACGAACAAAATAGATCCCTTTTGCTATTACTTAGCTTGTCCCTTAAAATGATACCTGAAAAATCCATTTCCTAGTTCTTCATCCATTCTGTGCATCCCATGAAGATTGTCCAGTTAGAGTTCTTCAGTCCCTAATCAAACATTCTGGTTGTATGTGGTGTCTGGAAGAATGTCTGCTCACAATACAGATTTGGGGCATTGAAAAGGCTCTGTAGTCAAGCTCAGGAAGGCCATATAATTATTGAGAATCCTGTATCAGTACAATTTCCAAGGTTTTTTTTTTCTGTCCCTGCTCCCTAATTCTCCATCACAGATAGCATGTTACAGTGGGAGTAGAGGAAAGTATGATATCACAGTGGTGCATTTTTTTCCCGCAGATAATGAATTAATTTTATCGAAAGTATAGTTTATTTATTGGCCAGTTTCTATTAGGAAATAATAGCAGCACAAACATATGAGTATGAGAGAAAATTATTTACTCTACACCTAAACATTTTTTAAACTTTCTATTATGGAATATTTTAACTATATCCTAAAACAGAAGGAATTGTATCATGAACTTCTATGCATATATCACTCAGCTTCAATAATTATCATTTCATGGACAAAAGTTTTCTTTGTATACACCTAATTACCATCTTCACCCCTAGAATGACTTAAAGCAAATCTGAGACATCATTTAATTTTATCCATAAATATGGATGTATCTCTAAAAATAGTATTGACCCAATGTCATTATCATACATTAAAAAAGCAAGGAGAGTTCAAATTTCCCTGATTATGTCATAGATCAGTGCTTCCTAAATGTTAATGTGCATAGGAATCATCAAGGGAACTTTTTAAAAGGCAGATTCTGATTCGATAGATGTAGGATGGAGCCTGAGATTCTCTATTTTTGACAAGTTCCCAGGTGATGCCAATGTTCTGGTCCTCAGGTCACACTTGATTAGCAAGGTCATTTGTTTTTTTTTGTTTGTTTGTTTTTGTTTTTTTGTTTGTTTGTTTTTTGCAGTTTGTGTCTCAACTTTTGATATGTTAAAATTTTTTATTTAGAGATTAATGTGCCTTAAGATGTCAGAGTAACACATAACACTACTTTTGATCATATGTTTACTCAAAAAAATGTTCCAGTATATACCTGGCACTGTGCTCAGCATTGGGGAATCAGGAAAATTGGTCATATATAAAATCTTTTCATCTCTGGCCAGCTAACAGCTTTCCTAAAGGGTAGAAACAAAAGGTATATATCCATATTGAGTTTTTGCCTATCTCTTTCTTATGTACACATATTCGTGATAAGGTATGCATATTTTCCCTTTTATGAGAGGGATGGTGTATTAATTTTCTGTGACTGTAGTGAAAGGAAATTAAATTTTGGGACCCCAAGCTCATTTATCCAAAAGGAAAAGGCAAGCTGGGACCTTGCCTCCTCTTTTGGTTCCTAAATAAGGTGGCAAAGCTACATGCCTCCCCCATATTTTGCCCACAAGGAAATTCCTAGTGAGCTGTTAAAATTTCACCATGGAAATGTAAATTGATAGCTTATCTTTACAAGTGCAGTTCCCCCCACCACCCCCCTGCCCCCTGCCCACCGACACAAATGCATATCTGATTGTTCCCCTGCCCCATTTTGTCTCTGTTTATCTTATGTAAAATGCAGGTTCCCTGCATTTTTTTCTGCTCCATTTGTTTATGTTATCATACATAAAAAATGCAAATTCACTGAGCCAGACAAAGGCATGAATAACTATTTTTCCTACCCCCACTACATGAAAATTACGTACTTCTCAATTTCCCACCCTTTCCTCTTTAAATTTGGAGCCCTCAAAATCATCTTCGGAGAAAGGCATAGACCTGTCTCCTGGGAGCATCCTTAACTTTGGCAAATAAATCTCCTAAAATGATTGAGACTTCTCTCGTTATTTTTCTCGATTGACACTGTCATAACAAATTAGTATAAATTTGGTGGCTTAACATAACAAACATTTATTCTTTCACAATTTAGAGGCCAGCAATCTGAAATCAATTTCACTGGTTTGAAGTCAAGATGTCCTGTTGCCAGGGCAGCACTACGTAGGAAGACTAGGCAGAATCACTTCCTTGACTTTTCCAGTTTCTGGTGTCTTCTTGCATTCTTTGCATTACTTGCCTTGTGGCTGCTTCTCTCTAATCTCTACCTCTGACTTCACATGGCCTTCTCATCTGTGTCTGAGTGGTTCAGATGAGAAGGCCTATCAGATCTCCCTCTTCCTATCTCTTATGAAGATACTTGTGATTGGCTTTAAAGCCTATCTGGATAATCCAGAATAATGCCACCATGTAAAAATCCATAATTTAACACACATGCAAAGCCTCTTTTTCATTATAAGGTAACATTTATAGGTTCCAGAAATTCGGACCTGATATCTTTGAATGACTATTATTCAGTCTACTACATTGGGCTCTTAATTTGGATAAAAATTATGGCCATAGTACCTTTTCTAAGAGACCACATCCCCTCAAAGTTATGTAAAAGAGAAGTGGCATGACTTCATTGCTTATCCTATGGAGAATGAGGAAACCCCTTCTCCTCCCTAGATTGGGGATGCTGAGAGGGAGTAGGCGGTGTGGCCTGAGGGATAAGAGCAAAATGAGGGGTGGTGAATCCAACAATTAGATACTCATTGTGTTAGTACACTTTGTATTGATATAACAGAATATCTAAGACTGGGTAATTTATAAAGAAGAGGTTTATTTAGTTCACAGTTCCACAGGCTGGGCAGTTGAAAAGGCATGGCACCAGTATCTGCACAAGGGGAGTGAGCCCGTGAAAAGAGATCACGTGGTGAGAGAGGAAGCAAAAGAGAAGAACCAAGGAAGCCAGACTTCTCTTTTTTAACAACCACTCTTATGGGAACTAATCGATTCCCACAAGTTAGTAAGAACTAACTCACTCACCCCATAGAGAAGATGTTAATCTGTTCATGAAGGATTTAATCCCCTGACCTCCCACTAGACCCTACCTACCACCACTGCCAAATTGGGGATAAAATTTCAAGATGAGTTTTGGCAAAGACAAACTATATCCAAACCATGGCACTCATATTCCAAAGAATATGAGCTGAGTGTCACAATGAGGTTAATATTCCTAACATTAATGGTACTATGGGTGAATACAATGAATATATGTATGAAATGTAAAATTCTACTCAAAACAAAAATACTCAACCAATCATTTACAACACCTGATTAGCTTCATTATTGTAAATTGCACACATGGATAATGATCCCCCAATGTTTTATTACTATTTAATTATGACTCTGGATTTGAAAACATCATCATCATACATTCATAAGGGAGAGGGAAGTGCAAATTCATGCAATTCTTGGAATTTCTTTGATCATCTCCTTTCTTAATTGTAAAAGATCTGAGCCTGGGCACGGTAGCTCATGCCTGTACTCCTAGTGCTTTGGGAGGCCAAGGTGGGTGGATCATGAGGTCAGGAGATCGAGACCATCCTGGCCAACATGGTGAAACCTTATCTCTACTAAAAATACAAAAATTAGCTGGGTATGGTGGTGGACGCCTGTAATCCCAGCTACCTGGGAGGCTGAAGCAGGAAAATCACTTGAACTTGAACGGGGGAGTTGGAGGTTGCAGTGAGCCGAGATCATGCCACTGCACTCCAGCCTGGTGACAGAGCAAGACTCCATCTCAAAACAAAACAAAACAAATAAACAAACAAACAAAAGATCTGCAAGAAAAATGTCAATTCTATTTCTAATTAACAGACATAACCACTCCGTTTTAAAATAGAAAGACTCAGGGGTGATTTCTAGGTTGCTTTACTGGTCCTCTAATCAGATTCCAGAATATTACCAGTAATCTAGTGGTCTCCCATGTACTCCCTTTAAGTCATTGCTCTCTCCTTCAGGGTAACCTCTATTCTGACTTCTAATGGCATAGAATAATTTTGATAGTTTAATATTTTATATGAACTGAATCATGTATTTTGCATGTGACTGATTTTCCCTCAGCATTGTGACTGTGAAAATACATATTTTGGGGTTTACTTGTAGATCACTCATTATCATCTCTCTATATAGCCATTGTATGAATATATCATGATTTATTTGTCTGTATTACTGCTGACGAACATTCAGATTTTCTGTATTTTAGCTATGACATACAGTGTTATTAGGATCATTCTAGTAGATGGACTTTGGCAAACGTATATACACATATATATTGAGTATATACATAGGAGGGCAGTATCAGCTTTTATAGATACTGCTAAACTGTGTGTCCAAATGTAAATTGCCACCAGCAGTAATATAAAAGTTTTGGTTTCTCTGAGCCTTGTCAACAATTGATTTTTTTTAGCCATTCTCATGGATATATAATGCTATTGCATTGTGGTTCTAATTTATATTGCCCTGGTGACTAAGGAAGTTGGGCACTGTTTTTTGTATATGTATTGGCCATTTGGATAGCTTTTTTTTTTTAGACGGAGTTTTGCTCTTTGTTGCCCAGGCTGGAATGCGATGGTGCAATCTCGGCTCACTGCAACCTCTGCCTCCCGGATTCAAGTGATTCTCCTGCCTCAGCCTCCCGAGTAGCTGGGATTACAGGCATGCGCCACCACACCTGGCTAATTTTGTATTTTTAGTGGAGACAGGGTTTCTCCACGTTGGTCAGGCTGGTCTCGAACTCCCGACCTCAGGTGATCCGCTTGCCTCGGCCTCCCAAAATGCTGGGATTACAGGCGTGAGCCACCGTGCCCGTCTTTGGATAGCTTTTTTGTGAGGTATCTGTTTAAGTATTTTATTCATTTTTTTTTTCTACGGAGTTGTTTATTCTTTTCTCTATATAGCCTAGATAAGCCCTATGACAGCTACATGTGCTACAGGTATCTTTTTGCACTCAGTCATTTGCCCTTTCACTTTCTTCATGATGAGTTTTGATAAATAGAAGACTGTGGTGAATTTTTAATGTATGGTAATTGCTTTATGGATTATACTTACGTAGAAATACTGTATCTGAGTCAAAAGGAATTACTGAACCACAGCCTTTGCACATGCTGTTCCTATTCCCCCTTACTGAACTACTTATTTACCCTTCTTTTCTCATTTTAAGACTTTAACACAAGTCAGATTAAGACCTCACTGTTCTTTCTTCTTTGTTTCCCCCAAGTGACTACTTTCTCTAACATAGCTTTACTAGCTTTGTGATTTCTGTTTTCTTGTTATCTGAAAAAAAAGGACTGTTTCATTCTTTGTCCTCATTGTGACTCCAATGCCTAGCTTATAATAATAGCTAACATACATTGAATGCCAAGCAATGTTCTAAATTATTTAAATAAATAATTTCCCTTTAATTCTTACAACTACATGAGGTGTGTGCTATTATTATCCCCATTTTGTAGATAAGGACATTAAAGCACAGATAATTTAAAATATATTGTCCATTGGCACACACGGTTAGTAATGGGTAGATACAGGATTCAAACCTAAGTAGTGTGATTTCAGAAACATGCTCTTTGTTACTATGTTGTATGGTTATATTTAACAGTAGGCAAGTAATAAATATGTGTTCAATGAATGGATTATAATTGAAAATTCAATACCATACAAATAATATAATTAAATTTGCTTAACCTAGGTAGTATGATTTCAGAAACATACTCTTTGTTACTATGTTGTACAGTTATATTTAATAGTAAGCAAGTAATAAATATATGTTTAATGAATGAATTATAATTGAAAATTCAGTACCATACAAATAATATAATTAAATTTGCTCATTTGAAGAATGTGTTAACTGGGGTTAAGAGGTGAGGTGATTTGCCATGATCACACAGCTAATACTTGCTAAAATTACAACATAATTTCAAGTGTGTTGACTGCAATTTCACTGTTCTTACTCCTGCTCCATGTCCTGGATGTGTATTTTCAAAAAGAAACCATTTACTTCTTTGTAAAACCCTGCTAAACTCTAATGCTTTCAAAAGATAATCATGAGCATAAGCCATTTGTAGTGATAAAAACCGCCCCTTTTAGATACGTGGCATGACAGCTAAACAAATTTCATGATGAAATCAAAGACTCATGGACTTAGCTATAGAATCATATTGTTATAGCTGAGTAAACCTAACATCCTTCTGAAAAGTGAAAACTTCAAAGACTTTGAAATATCTGAATGTTTTTCATTGTGAGACCAAACTGAAATTTTCACTTTTCATGTGCTTGTTTGGCACTGTGGCTAGGTTTAAGGCAGCCTTGATGTATATTGCCCTGATCTGCTCTACTGCTCTTCTTTCTTCCCCTCCCTAGGCCAAATACTGCCCACTATTCTTGTCTAGAATGATATTAATACGTTCAGTCTGCTAAGTCTGATTTAACATAACTTAGGCATTGACAACTATGTCCTGTTTTTTATTTCGTTGTTTTATCAAATACAAACTTACATCAGGAAGGCCAAATGGAAACAGTTTTGGAAAGGGTTAACTCTGGTAAGTATGTTAAGATTTCATTAATATTTTCCCATCGATTTAATTTATTTTTAACACATTATTTATCATGCTATGTTCCGAGGCAATAGACTATACAATTCAGCAATACATCCCTGAATTATAATGAAATATCAGGAAAAGGGCATTAAGACAAAAAGGGAAATAAGCAATATAACAAGAAGTCATATGTTTTGCTCAATACAATCCAATTTTTATTGATTTCCAATTTCTTATAGTATGACAAAAGAGCAGAAGCTTACCTTTTATTATCATATATTTTACTACATCAAATAACACGATTTGACTATTGCAATTCCTGCACCTAGGAGTGTTCCTCATGTACTTTCAGAACTGAATTTGTTAAGGTGATGACTTCTACATAGGTAAACCTGTGTTTATCATCAAAGCCCTTATTGTGTTAATATTTAATCTGTTATAATATATGCATCACACAATTTTTAAAAATAAGCAAATCCAGCTTCTAAGGCTCCTGTACTTGAATTTCTCATTATTCTCTCCACTGTTTATAAGTGAAGTAATTTTCCATAGGAACACTAGGCTTCTTGTTGCTCATTCATTTACACTCATTGCCCTCTGAAGCCTATGATCTAGTGCTGAAACTAAACAGAGTAATATTTTTTTAATTATGGAAAATTTCAAACATTTGTAACAGAAGAGAGTATAATATAACGAACCCCCAAGCATACCTCACACAGCCAGCTTTTACCACTATTAATTAAAAGCCCATCTTGTTTCACTTGTAATTTTATCCTTCTCCTCTTTGGATTATTTTGAAACAAATCTCAATCATTATATCAATTTATCCATAAAATTTTCAGTGTGTGTTTCTCAGCAAAGGACCACTTTTTGTAAGAAAAGAAATGGCCAATATCATTATCTCAGCTAAAGCAGAAAATCAATTAATTATATCAATGTCCAATTGATGTTCAAGTTTCATTAAATGTTTTTTTACTTTTTGAAATAGTTGTTGGTTTGAGTCCAGATCCAAGCAGGTCCTTCAAAACGTTGTATTTGTTTTACGTGTCTCTTAAACTTCTTTTAGTCTATAAATTTTCCTTGCCCCCTTTTTTATTTCTTGCAGCTTATTGAAGAAAACAGTGATTTTTGGTTCATAGAGTTCCTGATGGCCTGGATTTTACTGATTGTATCCCTGTGGTATTCAGAAAAGCATGTCCCTCCATCTCCTGAAATGCCTGTGAACTGACAATTTAATCTAGAGGCTTCATTGGATTCAGGTTTATTTGGCTTTGTTTATTTGTTAAGAATACATAATAGGTGGTATTTAAACCTCTTTTTTCATTGTGTTAGGCTGCTTATTGAGATCAGGTGTTGTCAGAGAGCCCTTAAAATTTTTCATCTGCTTTTTATTATTTTATTATACGATTCACATTGGTGATATTATTATGTTAACTTTGATATTAATTGGTGATATTTATTTGTTTATTAACTGGCATTCTAACATTTTTAAGAAAGTTTTTTTAAGATGAACTTTTTCTGTCAACTATTTGGTTACCTGATGTACAGTTCTTCAAAGAAAGTCAGGATAAATGCTTGATTCATCTTTTTTCGTCAGTCTTTAAAATAATTAATTAATTAATGATCTTGCATCATTCAAGGATAATCATTAAGTTTTCTTAAGGAGATTCATAATAAAAATATCTTATATTTATTTAATTAGCTACCATTTCCAGTTCTTCCCATTTATTTGTGTAAATGCAAGCTTTCTTCTGGTATCATTTTCCTTCTACCTGAAGAATTTCCTTCATCATTTCTTGTAGTGTAGGTTGGCTGGTGATAAATTCTTTCAGCGTTTGTGTGCCTGAAAATGTCTTTACTTTGCCTTTACTTTTGAAAGATATTTTCACTTGGTATAGAATTCTAGCTTGAACTTTTTTTTTCCTGTAAGTACTTTAAGACGTTGCTCCACTATTTTTATGCTTGTACTGTATCCAACAAAAATCAGCTCTTGCCCTTATCTTTGTTCCTCTGTATGTACATGTCTCTTTTCCCTCTGGCTGCTTTAAGGATTTTTCTCTTTATCCCTGCTTTGAGCAATTTGATTAAGATGCAGTTTTCTTCCTGTTTCTTGTGTTTATATTTCATTTGAGATTCTGGATTCCTTGATTAGTTTTCATTGAATTTGGAAAATCTTCAGCCATTATTTATTGAAATATGATTTTCTGTCCCCCAGCACTCTCCTTTGGAAACTCCAATTACCTGAAGTTGTTCCACAGCTCACTGATTATACTTCATTCATTTATATTTTTTCTTTCTTTGTTTTGTTTCTGATATTTTTTATTGCTATGACTTCAAGTTCACTAATATTTTATCTGCAACATCTAATCTACTATTAATCCCATCCTGTTAATTTTTCATTAAAGACACTGTAGGCTTCATCTTTAGAAGTTTGATTTTGGACTTTTTAACAGCTTTTATGTCTTTACTAACTCAGGTATATAGAATGCATTTATAATAATTATTTTCATGCTCTTGTCTGCTAATTCTGAGATCAATGTCATTTCTGGGTCCGTTTCAATTGATTATTTTTTCTCATTATGAGTCATATATTCTTGCTTCTTTGCATTCTTGATAATCTTTGATTTTTTTCTTTTTTTTTTTTTTTTGTATCCCTACAGGGTATTCTTGAGCTTTGTTCTGATATATAGTTTAGTTGGGAATACTTTGATATTTTTGTTTCTTTGCTTTTTAAGATTTGCTAGGTCAAGCTAGATTAGTGCTAAGTTTAGGCCAATTTTTCTCCACTATTATGACAAGACCCTTCTGATATTCTACCAAATGCCCCCTAAATCTTGAGATTTCTGCAATCTAGCTGGTGGGAACAGAAACCATGCCCAGTCTTGTGTGTGTGTATTGGGCACTGTTGCCTCTAATCAGGTAGTTGTTTCCCTAGGCTTGGGTAGTTTTCTTATACACATGATCAGCACATATCTGGATGCTCAGAGAGTCTCTCTACATATGTCTGGATTTCTCTATCTGTGCAACTCTTTCCTCTCTAGTACTTTATTCTGTGGAATTTAGCTATTTTGGTAGAAATTAGCCATCTTGGTCTCTCTGGTCTCTAAATTCTATTGACTCAATTAGGAAGCCTCACAGGCTCCATCTGGGTTCTAAGTCACTGTATCATGAACTAAAAGCTCACACAAGGTGGTAATCTTTGGCGTTTATAGGGATTGCCTTGTTTGTTTTCTCTCTGTGTGATCATTCTCTATCATTGCTTGATGTCCAGTGTACTGAAAACCATCAATGCGTTTATTTTGTGTTTTCATTATTTCAAGCAGAAGAGTAAATCCAGTTTCTGTTATTTAATCTTGGTTAAAAGTTAAATTCAGTTTATTATGTATATAAATATATGTATGTAATATGTATAATTATGGACTTTTAACATATTTGATATGTTTCAAATATGTATATTAGTTTTAATACTCAAATTGTCCCATTTTGGTTGGGGAAAACACCCTACTAGATGGCATTTGACAGACTCCAGGAGTCCTTGCTTTCTTTTCAACAATGTTAGAAATGCTTGTTCCGCAGTGCTGTAAAGAAATAGCACTTGAACATATATTTAATTTTCTCAGCAAGGCCATTTTTACTTTCTGCACAAAGGGTACACTCACCAGCAGTTTTACCATGAGAGTACACTGAACAAAGGAGACAGGGTCATTTATAACTTGACATGTCCAGGTTCCATTGGCTGGAACGGGACCTCATATTCTGTCCTAATTGGCTAGCAACTTAGAACTTTTCAAAAGAGGCAAAGGCAGAGGAGAACAAAGGAAAGAGGAAGTAACTTGTGGAATGCTGAGAAAGGTAAAAACACTTCCAAATAAGGAAGAGGAACAGGATATGACCTAATGCTTGCTTGGACCAGTATAATAAGCATGCCAGGGCAAATATTTAGGCTAAATTCTGGGGGCTAAGAATACAAAGTACATTGATTGATTTATTATGGCTAGCAGATATCTAGGAATGTTAGCACAGGTCTTTGAATAAATTTTGCTTCTAAGAGAAGTTATTATTTATTCCTAATTAGGGAGGAAAGTCTCTTTAAAGAGGAACCTCTACTTTACTTTTTACAACAAGATGTTTCAGGCTCATTCTGTACATTTCCTGCGTTAAGTCAGTCATTTCTACAAAAATTCAGGAGGCCTGTTCTGAAGAAGAAAGAGAAAAGAATAACCCAGACCTGAGATACTGAAAAAGAAAACTACATATAACGTCAGAAAATGTTCTAGACTTATTGGAACACATCTGGAGAATACCCAAAAGCTCAACAGGCAAACCTCAGGCCTGTCACACTTTTTATCATGCTTCTCACTGCCCACGTCCTGCCCCACCAACACACACACGCACATACACATGCCTACACACACTCACACACCATTCATATCAAACCAAAAATAAATCTTTATTATTAATTGCTCTGGATATTGGGAGCTTTATTAGTCCGTTTTCACACTGCTATGAAAAAATGCCCGAGACTGGGTAATTTATAAAGAAAAGAGGTTTAATTGGCTCACTATTCTTCATGGTTGGGGAGGCCTCAGGAAACTTAGAATCATGGTGGAAGGCACCTCTTCACAGGGTGGCATGAGAAAGAATGAGTGCCAGCAGAGGAAATGCCAGACACTTATAAAACCATCAGATCTTGTGAGAACTCACTCACTATCACAAGAACAGCATGGGGAAAACTGCTCCCATGATTCAATTACTTCCCAACAGGTCCCTCCCATGACATGTGGGAATTACTGGGATTACAATTCAAGATGTGATTTGGATAGGGACACAGCCAAACCATATCAGGGGCAATGGAAAAGAATATCAAATATTGACAATTTAGAGCATTAAATATTCAACTTTCATTTCAGAGATTGGACTCCTAGTCACTACTTTTATTATCGGTCTTCTAATATAAGTGGGGAAAAATTCATAAAAGAGAAAAAGTGTAACACATTTAAATTCTGTGTCTCTAAATTGCTCAACTTTTAATATTTCAGAAGAAAACAACATAGAAAAATGAAATCCATAAATAATCTATTCAAACTTTTGTTTTCAAAAAATATTTTTGACTTGTATCTTTAGCAAAAAGTTACTACAGTTAGTAAAGGGAAACAGATATGATTGTCTCATTTTTCCTTCTTTCTTTCTCCCAGGATCATTATTTTGGAAAGTTTGTAAGTGAAAAACAAAAGCTAGTGAGGCAAGAAAATAGCACTGATTGGTATGTGAAGGAGGAGATCAAGTAATCCTTGATAATCAAAAAGTCATGTTGCCCATTGGATAATGCAGGCTCAAAAGAATGTTTGAACAAGCTTCTTCATGTGAATCTCTGGTTCTCATGCCTTATCTTACATTTGGAAGAATATTGTTTGTGCCATAACGAGAAAGATCTCTTGGGAAGGGAAAAAGCAGTTTAATACTTGTGACTATTGAACATTGAGACATATCTAGTACACAACTGTGATATACCAGATTATA
This sequence comes from Homo sapiens, assembly GCF_000001405.40. Taxonomy (NCBI): domain Eukaryota; kingdom Metazoa; phylum Chordata; class Mammalia; order Primates; family Hominidae; genus Homo; species Homo sapiens. The sequence continues at coordinate 93,772,604 of NC_000023.11, forward strand.
AGTCATAAACCATTAGTTAACCTTAATCTCTTTTTCATATTCCAATTTTAGATTGCTACATTATCCATGCCAGCAATGATCTCTTTCATTTAAAACCCTTGCTATTTAGAAAATTAATCCCATATCCTCCACATTTCGTCTCTCTATCTACTGGGGTAAAGGTATGGCCAATCAGGGATAATATATCCCTCTCCAAAAACCTCTGTCATAACCTGATCATTGTTTATGTTAATCTATATTCAGGTAATTTTGATACAAGAAATATTAATTCAGGATTACAATTAGGATTTTGAATCAAAAGAAAATTCCTTTGAGTATATCTCAGTAATCATAATATAAATAGAATCACAACCATGTTTTACTAAATTATTATTTTATATGAGTAACATATATTCAATGTAAAAATGTAGGAAATAGAAATAAGCAAGAAAAATAAATTAAATTGAAATCACACACAAAGTCTTTACTGTAAGGTAACTATAGGTAAGATATTGAAGAATACTCTTCCAAACTTTTTCTTATGAAAATATAATCATCTTTTATTTGATTCAAAATCGGCATTATTTTTGAAACATTTATCTTGTTCTGAAGTGATTTTTGATCTTTTAATTAAAAAATAAAAGCCATATATATACATAATTAAAATTCAAATAAGATACTAAGACATAAAATGAAAATTATAAGTCGATCCAGGCCTATATAGCCATTAACATTTTTTAAACATATCAATAATATTTTATAAATTACCAGCATATACGCCCACATGCATACATATATTCCTTGAGAAAATGGGATCATACTAAACCTACTATTCGATACCTTTGCTTTTTAAAATTAATAATAATATTAATCATCACCTTAGAGATACTTCCTTATCAGTATGTAATATTTTCCTTACTCTTTCTTCACTTTTACGAGCACTGATATTCATTCTCTTGGATTATATGCATGCAAAGAAGGACTTAACAACTCATGGAAAAGTAATTTAAACTCCTTCAGTGATAAAAAAAAAAAAATGTTTCTCTGGTAAGTTGGATAAACTACCAGCAGAATAACATGGAGAGTAGTGTTTCCAATGAAATCATTAATTAGAAATATGCAGGCAAAATTATAATAAGAGTATTAAACTGTTTGAGAAACATAAAAGCAGATTGCCAAATTATTGTGAATCTTTTTGCATGTCCTTACTGAATGGGATTTATGTTACTTTCATTTATTTCATTTATCCTCCACACTGCTGTGCTATTAGTCTTTGAGCATGCATATGCTGTGGAACATCCAAATTATTAAGTTTCTGTTTTCTCCTTATCTATTTATTTACTTATTTATCTAATCTATAACCACATCTACTCATATAGGAACCCACCTAGTCTCAGAACAATAAAAAAAATGCCTCTCTGGTTTATTAGGGAGAAAGGAGATCTTCAGTTGTAAGTGTGAACCCAAAATAAGGATTGCACCTGATTGTACTTTTGTTCTTTCGTTTGGATCTGATCTGGTGATTATTTTAATAGCAGGTAGAATTCACTGTTCTCCTCAGGTGGAGGAAGTGTTTATGGTGGCAGAGAGGACATAAGAGAAATATGCCAGTGCACAACAAAAAAAAAAACAGAATTTTGTTCCTCACAAAGCCTATTGATTACACCTATTCACTTCCCTGGTAAGTGATGAATAATTTCATTTCTAGCACTGTACTAAATATCTCTTTGTGTATGTGAAAGAAGTTGTAACCACTTCAATTTCACTTTTCACTGAGACCTCTTGAATTGTAGATACTTCTAAATAGCAATAATTGAACCATGTCTGTTTCTAAATGTAATGTGCATCATTGCTGCAATAACCTGAAGTGGAAGAATGAATGGTTGACAGAACTGATAAGCCAATAAGAATAAGAAAAATATCTAGTTTCAGAGTTTTATTTCTGTTCCTCAGTTTTAATCTGTGTGTATTCTATATCTAAAGTAAATATCCAGGGCTCTCGTCAAAATGCAAAGCACTCAGAAAAGAGTGGAAAATTTTTAGGCATGTTCTGTAGCATTTTGGATGTCATCATGTTCTTTCTTACTCCTGAGGGCTTTGAGTCAATTGCGCATTGAGGTACTTATCCCATTTTCTCTTGTTCTAAGAATTTCTTCTGGTGTCACTCAACCTCTCCCGGATGCCCTTTTAAAACTTTATTCTTGTCAATATCTTTATCTCATTCAAATTGTCAGGACCTGGCTCAGTGACTGCTTGGGGCCCACAGTTCCTTAGGTTTTGGATTTTCAGGCATTATTTGAAAATAAGCCCGTTCACATCCTATATCTGGGCTGCTGGCAGGTTCATGATCATCTTCACAGTTCAGACAGTGAGACTCCCCCTCTTTATTATCCCTTAAACCGATGCCATGTGTTCATCCTTCCTAATTTCCTTAAATCCTGAGTTTTCTATTTTGAATTTGTCAGACTCTATTCTCCATATTTCTACCATGTTTTTCTGCGGCTGCTCTCTTTGACATTTCACATCAACTAACTAAGGACCATGTGGGTTTTAGTAAACTCATCTCCCTCTAGATCAATCCATAAAACGATGTAACTCTGGAATTTGAAATCAGATTTCCTTGAACACTTGAAAGGATAATAATGGATATTATTGGATGGAATGGAATAAAGGATATTCACCATGTGAGAGGCTTAACCAGAACCTGAAATATGTGCATTCCCAGGGGTAAAAGGCAGCGTTATATTTTCAATGCAATAAAATATTAGGGTCAGATATCTTGGAATAATGACTTTCTGGCAAGACTGTACAGTGAACCACATTTAAGCTATAAGGTTTCAGATGAAGAATCCAAATTCTGTAGTCAGTTAAATGTATGCATTACAGAAGCACTTCTCACTGCATTTCTAATAGGACTATTCCAGTTCTTTTGCTACAAAGGAAAGATTTAAAAAACCTGAAATTCACCAAGTACGCGGCGTTTTTTTTGTTTGTTTGTTTGTTTAATTTTATTTTTGGAAAATCGGGGAAGAGCTCATTGAATTTTTCTATTTAGGAAATGGTCTCTCCACTTGCTTTACATTTGATGTAGTACTGAATGTCAAATTTCAGATTAGTTATTTAGGTTTAATCTTTCAAAGTATACTTATTTTCATTATATATTTTTAATTGTTCTGAGAACTGAATAAAATTCTTATGAGCAGCCAAGTATGTACGGATAAATGAAATATCTAGGATTTGCTTTAAATAATCCAGCAAGTAAAAACGGGGGTGTGGATGAAATAATATGTAACAGAGTTGATAAATATTCAAGGTGGGTGTTAAGTGTGTGGTGGTTCATTGTAATCTTTCCTCTACTTTTGTGTATGTTTGAAAATTTCCATAGTAAAAGCATAAAAAGCTTGAGCATTATTCTGCATATAACCAGAGTATCTCTGACAGTAGCTAAAGTGGTATGTTTAACTTTTTTGAGTAAACCTTTGTTTTGTTTTTTGGTTTTTTTTGAGACAGAGTCTCACTCTGCTGCCCAGGCTGGAGTGCAATTGCATGATCTCAGCTCACCACAACCTCCGCCTCCCGGGTTCAAGTGATTCTCTTGCCTCGGCCTCCCGAGTAGCTGGGACTACAGGCGCGTGCCACTATGCCTGGCTAAATTTTGTATTTTTAGTAGAGACAGGGTTTCACCGTGTTAGCCAGCTGGTCTCGATCTCCTGACCTCGTCATCTGCCCACCTCAGCCTCCCAAAGTGCTGGGATTACAGGCATGAGCCACTGCACCCGGCAAAACTTTCTTAGTGTCAAGGTTACAAACAATCTGCTTAATTAGCAAGATTGCAAAAGCCTGAGTGGGATTTTCTTCCATGAAATATCTTGCTTATGTAAATCATTAGCACATGACTAAAGTGAGAAGAAACTGTAAAATAGCATTTATATAGCTGGTATTTCCAAAACTGGCCTTGAAATTTTTGCTGTAGGCCAGTGGAAAGTATTTTTTCCATATAGTGTGATCCTGATTACACTTTTGTTTTAAAAAAGAAGGGGCCGGCTGAGAATAAAAATTTAAACTTTTTTTTTTTTTGAGAAAAAGTAGGTAGAGGGTATCTTGCTTGAAATACTAGTTGTGCCTAAGTTGGAGTTTTCAGAAGAGTTCCCTGGTTGTAATTTTATTACCATAAAAGAATGAGAATCACTAAGGCAAAGTCTTTTCTTCAGTATGTGTCAGATTCTGCTGTTTGTCTCTTTTGTTCTTTATATACTTTGATAATACATCACTCTCTTTTGAACACTCTTTATTCATCCCTGGAACAATTCTAATTTATAATAATCCTCAGAGGTGTTGATGCAGTCAATATCGAAGAATAGATTGTCCCAGACATTCCTATTGCAGCCTTTGGGGATACTCTAATTAGATTACCAAGAACCTTTCAAAATAGAAGCTCATCTTTAGTCTCCAAACTTGCTGCTTTTCAAGGAAGTTGTTTTTGCACTTTTCGGTTTCTTTTTTGTGGTGTCTTACTACCTGTAACAGTTCCACTGCTAAAAAACATCATCGATAAGATTCCGTTGATGTCCGAAGATTATTTTGATGGATTGCACTAGAAATAACCCCCTTTCATCTGCATCCTTACATGATACTTTGTTAATAGTCAGGAAGCTGTTATCTTTTAGAGTTAACACCAAGTGACTGATTTGCTCTATCTGGTCAAATAACAGAATTTTTAATCTTATGACTTAGCTAAATATTTTTGGAATTCCTCAAGTTTTCTAGTGAACCACCAGGTTTACTTTTTTTTTCCTAGAAATTTAAAAGATCTTTTTTTGTTGTTGTTCATTTTGTAAAGCAAGTCTACATGCTATAAATTCAGAGGACATGAGGAATAATATTTTGAAAATTGATTTTAGCCAAATATATAAAATACAACTTCACAGAAAGGTTTTCCAGTTAGGGGGAAGAAAGGACTAAAAGACTGTGGGCATTTTTCACTTCCTGATTTATGAGGGGCGCAGGATTGATCCAGGGACTTTCACCTTTGCTCATTTCACCCTCACTATGGGCAAGAGAATGCAAATTTACCTCTAACTTTTGTTTTGTTTTGTTTACCATTTTGTGGCTCATTATTTACCTACAAGAAAATTCATCTGCCAGGCATGGTGGCTGGAGCCTGTAATCCTAGCATTTTGGGAGGCCGAGTCGGGCAGATTGCTTGAGTCCAGGAGTTCCAGAGCAGCCTGGACAATACAGTAAAACACTTTCTCTACAAAATAAAAATACAAAAAAAATATTAGATGGGCATGGTGGTGCACACCTGTATTCTCAGCTACTCAGGAGGGAAGCTGAGGTGGAAGGATCATTAGAGCCTGGAAGTTTGATGCTGCAGTGAGCCAACAACGCACCACTGCATTCTAGCCAGAAGGACAAAGGGAGACTCTGTCTCAAAACTAAAATAAAATAAATTAAAAATAAAATTCATCAATTTTAAGTGCACAATTTAATGAATTTTTGTGATTGTATGCAACTGTATGATTACCATAATGATCATGCGATAGAATTTTTTTCTTCAGGCTAAGAAGTTTCCAGTGCCCCTTTTCACTATGTCCAATTCCCCTACACCCCCTGTCCCCACCCCAGGTAACCATTGATCTGTTTTCTGGAACTATCGTTTTGCCTCTTATACGATTTCAAATACATGAAATCATAGTCTTTTGTGTTTGATTTCTTTCACTTTGCATAATGATTTTGAGATTTATCTATAGTATTGCTACCATCAATATTTCATTTATTTTTGATTCTGAGTAGCATGCCAAGGTATGAATATACTACAATTTCTTTATCACTTTACCAGTTGAGCTTCATTTATTGGCTATCATAGATAATATGAATATTCATACATAAATAATTCTGTGGCCGTGTTTTCATTCCTCATGGTTAATACCAAGTAGGGGAATTGCTAGGTAGTTTGCTTAACTTCATAAGGTGTTGCCATACTGTTTTTCATTAAGGTTTCACCATTTTCCATTTTCAACAATAGTGAATGAGAGTTACAGTTACTCTACATCTTTGCCAAAACTTGGCATTTTCAGTCTTTTTAAATTTGAAGCATTCTGGTAGGTGTGTTAATGTATCTCATTGGGGTTTTAATGTGCATTTTCTGGTGACTACTGATATTGCACATCCTTCCAAGGGATTATTATTCATTTATATATTTTCTTTTTAGGAGTGTCCATTTAAATATTTTGCCTATTTTTAATTATGTTGTCTGCCTTCTTATCTCTGATGCTGATAACTGCATTAGCATCCCATTGTATAGAATCAGTCTCTATATTAATCTGTTTTCACGCTGCTAATAAAGATATATCCAAGACTGGACAATTTACAAAAGAAACAGATTTAATGGACTTACAGTTTCATATGACTGGGGAGGCCTCACAATCATGGCAGAAGGCAAGGAGGAGCAAAGCACGTCTTACATGCGTGGCAGCAGGCAAAGAGAGAGCCTGTGCAGGGAAACTCCCATTTGTAAAACCATCAGATCTCATGAGGCTCATTCACTATCATGAGAACAGCACAGAAAAGACCCACCCCCATAATTCAATAACCTCCCACCAGGTTCCTCCCACTACACATGGGAATTGTGGGAGTTACAATTCAAAATGAGATTTGTAAGGGGACACAGCCAAACCATATCAGTCTCCTACTGATGGACATTGAAATGGTTTTGAGTATTTTTACTGTTATTAGCAGGATTTAAATTACTGAAGTACCTTTCATTATTTTTGTATTTTGGTATACATTACCAAATTTCTCTTAAAAATGCTTTATTTATTTGCTTGTTTTTCTTTCACAAGGGTCATTCTAACCTTCCAACAATCATGCTTTCCTTTTTTTTTTGCAAAGAATACATCATAAGCATCTTTTCAGTTTAATAGGTATATATCTAGATACGAAATTTTGATGGGTGCTTAGCCATTCATTGTATAGATATGAGATAATTTATTTAACCAATTACCTTTAGATAGATATTTAGATTGTTTCCACTTTTTCACTATTACCAACAGCACCAGAATGAGCATTCTTGTTCATACATATTTTTCCACTTGTTTAATTTTTTAGGATGAATGCCTTTTGATACATATTCTTTATTATGTACATATATATGTACATATTCATTTGACAGACTCTCACTCTGTCACCCAGGCTAGAGTGCAGTGGCACGATCTCGATCTCACTGCAGCCTCAACCTCCCAGGCTCAAGTGATCCTCCCACTTTAACCTCCTGAGTAGTTGGGACTACAGGTGCGTGCCACCATGCTTGGCTATTTTTATTATTATTTTTTGTAGAGACAGGGTCTCACCATGTTGCCCTGGCTGGTCTCAAACTTCTGGGCTCAAGCAATCTGCCAGCCTCGGTCTCCCAAAGTGCTGGGATTACAGGCTTGAGCCACCAAGCCTGGACCCCTTTATTTTATATTAAAATGTTTTATATTTGTTTAATGATTTCCTTGGCTTATAATCATTCATTTACATTACTACAGCCTCTGTAAAAACCTGTCAAAAAGGAAACAATAACATTGTTTTATGGCAGAAAATATTGGAAATATTGATAAATAATAAGCAAAATATTGTCACCCAGGGAAGCGTCATAGTGTTGTACCAGCTTCATTATAGGAGATGCTGAGCAAGACCTTTGGCCTTTATAATATTCTTTCCAGAAAATCATGAAGTTTGGTAGAATTATGACCTCCTTAGACCCTCAAGATTTACTTTTTAATAAAATGTGGGCCATCTTAAATTAGTTTATGCAGAATTCTTTTAAAAGATAAGCAAAAATGATTGGGAAGATTGTTTCCAATAAAATAACAACTGGAATGAAATTAGAGTCAGATAATTTATAAAAGAATTATATTAGGTTCATTTCTCTAATTGTTAAAATGCATTGGATTAATTGAATTTCTGCTGTAACGTTTCTTCTTTATTAGATCAGAATTGACCAGAATTCATAGAAGTAGACAATAATAAGAATACTTTCATTAGCAAAAGACAAAAATATACTTGTAATTATCAAGGACAAGTTAGAATATTTTGTTTTGGTGAATATCTAGTTAAGATAATTTTTAAAAATTACTTTGTGTATAAATAGCATCAAAGCTTAATAAGGAAAGGGCTTTTCAAAAGTCTTTTTAGTTTTAATTAACTTATGCTTGCATTGAAGTCTAGCTACATTGTGGGTTTAGTAGAGTGGAACTATTTTTGAATATCTGCCTGCTAGTTGCATGGTCATATTGACTTTCTGTGGTCCCTTAAGATATCCTCTTTGCTGTCTCTTCGCTGCTCAGGGCCCATTTTAAAGCCTCATCTGTTCAAATTAGAATAACATGTTCCATGACATCTTTTACACAGGCAAAATTTATCTAATCTTCTTTTTCTGGCTTCCTCAGAGATTCCATTAGCATTTTTCACTAATTAGCAGTAGATGGGGTTAAGTTAATCAGATAAATTAATTTCTGCTACAGTCTTAAGGAGTTAGTGAGTTGTCCCACCCAAGAAGATAAGGATTGCCTCAACCAAACTAAAATGTACTAATATAGGTGAAAAGTACTTCTTCAAAGTGTGAAATTTAAGACAAAGAGAAGGTATTTCTAGGACCTCTATTGCTTCTCCCATCATACTACTGTTATTGTTTATAACAGAGCCTGTTTTAAAACTGGATCTGTTCAGTTATTGGGGATCCTTCATTGCTGGTCCTGTCTCTTAGCCCAGTGAATCTATCATAATCTTAGCAGGGAAATTTGTGGTCTGCTATACATAAGGTGAGCAGTTCCAATTTGCTCTTATTATTGCAAAATAATTATTTAATATGTCTATATAGATCTGGAGAATGTATTAAATTTATGATCAGGTGGAATCTTGACTGGGTTTAAATACTGATAGCCAACAAAGACACTCATTTTCTAGAAATGTTTGAATATTGTACAAATACATTCTGGTTCTCCTTTTGGGAAATTACAACACTTTTGTGAAAACCATACTTTACATTTCCATGGGACTTGACAGTATATTGTATTTTCATAAGCATTCTTTAATTTGAAGTTCACAATAGGTCAGTGAGTCAGACAAAACACAAACTCTCATTCCCACATAACAGATAGAAACACTGAATTGATTTGTCCAAGTCTTCCCAGCCATTTATTGGTAAAACTTATGTCCTCTGTCCATTCAGTGTCATTCAACATGTTAAGTGACCAGCAGATGTGAGATTATTACATTCTGATACATAAAGAGTTTCTCAAGGGAGGATGCTTGATTTCATTTCCTCTCCCTTTTCTACATCCAAAGGAAGAAAGTTCTTGGTAAGAATCATGGCAAACCAAGTTTTTACAGTCATATCTATTGGGTAAATTTTTAAAAAATCAACTAGTTATCCTGATTCTTTTGATACCACATATTCAGAGATTTGGGAATATATAAATTATCGATTTACTTTCATCCATTTTAACCTAAAATAGATTCTGCATTTGTCTAAGACCTCTGCACAGTCACTTTGAAGTGGAGATGTTTCAAGGATTAATCTGTGAGGTGTTACTTTAGTCTACAAACATTTGTTGAACAGCTTCTGGTAGCAAGAAAATAAAACAATGTAATGGGGCAGAAAATGATGGGGCTGGGTACAGGATTGGAGGTTATTTTAGGTAGGATGGATTGGGATGGTCTCTTGGAAAAAATGATATTTTACCCGAGCTCTGAGTGATGCAAAGTGAGGACAGTATTACAAGCAGGTGGAAGAGCAAGCACAAAGGCTCTGAGGCAAAGGCCAGTTTGGTGTGTTCATGAAACAGAAGGGCAGTGTGACTGGAGCATAAAGGGCAAGGAAAGAATGGTGTGATATAGAGTCAGAGAAGGGAGGTAGTGGACAGATTACGTAGGGACATATTTGGGTCTTATTTCAAGTGCAATAGAAAGTCACTGCATGATTTTAAAGGAGTGTTTTGGGAGGGAAAATATTATTTGGAAATTATTTGCCCTTATCACCCTTTTGTCTTAAATGAAAAGAAACTTCCTAATTCTTGTGGAGTTAGAGTTAGGGTTTAGGATGTAGAATGTGGTGCCACCATAAACTTGGCCTACTTGACCCTAGGTACCTACTTCTCTACCAACACCGATATTGGTGATCCTAGCTTAATTTTCCCTGCATATAGGGCATTTCTCAATGTATGTTTCTGAAATGTCTAAGGTCACTCTGGTGGACTTTTTTTAGTAGTATGATTATCTCCTGGAAGTAAGCACAGTGAATCCTTATCTTTGGAGTAGAGGAGGGTACACTCAGTGAGGAGTAGGAAGGGAGTGTTAGTAGCTACTTTATTCTTTGGTTCTAAATATAGGTATATATACACACATCATATATATATATATGTATATACATGCATCATATATATGTATATATGTATTTATGTATATACACGCACACATATATATATATATATATGTTCTTTGTGAAAGAATTCTGTGAACACATTTTTAGCCTATCAGACACAATTGTATGCATAATGTAATTTTAACTCCTAACCACATTACTCAAAGAGTTTCTATTAAGCCTGTACCTTAACTTTAAGTTTAAATTTCACTAGTTCAAAAACTCTTTTACCAAAAGGATGAAAGTGTCTAAATATCAGTTATAATGGACAAAATGTTTCTTTGACTATCTTGAGATAAAAAGGTACCCTTCTCTACCATAAAGACAACATTTCTCCTTTCACATTCTTTAAAGATTTGCTTTGTAGAACATGAAACCTTTTTCATCCTAGAATCTAATGCCTAAGAGGTATTGAAATTTAAGAGACACACACATGCACATATGCATACACACACACACACTCACACACACACACACACACACACACTTCTTTCTAAGTGCTTTCAAATTGCTTTCTTCTTTGGATTCCGATCATTAGCGAGGGGCACAGAAAAAGTCTCGGATGGCCAGAGGGAAATGCAATACTTTAGAAGAAAGGATTCACTTTGGGCTTAACTCTCTAGTTTGGTCTAATTTTATTTGACATTTTTGTCCATCACAGTATGAGAGTCCTTTTTTTTTTTTTTTTTTTTCCAAGAATGAAAGAACAGTTTGTTTCTTCAAGGCTGCTGCTCTTTTCTTTGCTGTTCAAAAGGAAACTAAAGTTTCCTTTTTATTCTTCTTTTTTCTTAGCCTCCAAGTGTTAGGCTTACCAAGGGTGGAGATTGATAGCCGTAGGAGTTTAAGAAATGTCTTTAATTCACAAACTGCTCTGTAGTTGCGGTTGTTCAACCTTAGTGATGAGCTAGAGTTAATACTTCTCTCATTTTTTTTTATGTGGGTAAAGAAATTACTCACGGATTTGCCATCTTCTACTTCAAGGATATTTTAGTTCAGATGGATAGGATATATTGGTGAGGAGGGAAGAAGAGAAGGCATGCCTCTTAAAGAATCAATAATCCTTTCTTCTAGAAGCCTGGAGAGAGAGAGATCTCTGTAGTCAGACCATAGCTATTTGTGAAATGATGAAAAGAGATTGAACAGTTGCTGAGTGCTGCTAGGTGCCGAACACTATTCTAGACATTTTACATATGCTGCATCATTCTCACAACAATTTTATAAATTAGATAGTACTATCTTCCATTAACCGAGACTTAAATAATTTCGGTAATTTAATCAGCATTATACTGTTAGTGAGTTTCAGACCTTGAATTTTAACACTAGTCTGCTCATTCTCTTTTCCACAGAATTAATACTTTCTTTTTCAGGGATGGTTAAAAATGCAGCAACTAGCAGGCCTGTACATTATGTCATTTCTAATTACCAGTGTCTATATTTGGTAATAGGGAACATTAAACATACTAGGTAAAATGTTAAATGTTGCACTTTCACACTAAATTGGTACCTAGTTGAAGTGATGGACTTCTTTTCACCTAGAATTAGGTATTAGGTATCAGGGTGGGGTTAGATCACAGAAACAACAGTGGTTATGACATTCATTCATTCATTCATTCAGCTAGTCAGCACTCCACTATGTACCGGGAATGTGGAGATTAGCCAAACAGAAATGGCCCCTACTCTCATTTAGTTAAAGTCTCCTAGGGATAAGACAATAATAAAATAACCATACATTGTGATAAGTGCTATGAAAAAGAGTTGCATGGCATAATAAAAACATAAAATAGGGGGGAAGTTCTTAAGGAAGTCCAGAAATGTTTCCCTGAGGAAGTGACATTTGAACCTGAGGAAAGGGTAGGCAAAGAAAGGTGTTACTATATAGAAGTGAACAGGATCTGGGGGTCAATATTCTAGGCAGAGAAAATAGCTTATGTGTAGAGATTCAGATAGAGCATGAAGAGAGATGACATGTAGATGGGCACAGAGGCCACACTACGGAGGGCTATATAGGCCACAATACAAATTTAGATCTTTATCCTGAGAACAATGGGAAGTCTTTGGAGTCTATGAGTCTATTAGAAAGTAATAAAAGAAGAGCTGCTCAAACAATGAAACGTATATTACTTTTGGACTTCAGATGGACATACAGATACCTCACAGGTAGAACGGCATGATATCACCCAGGATTACTTAAGGGGAGCATACTTTTTCAAGTCTATCCTTACATGCATGTTGAAAATAACAGGATTTTTTTTAGCATTTTTGAGACAGTACGTGATTTACTGAATCTGTAAAAGCGTGGTTGACAGTGGGGAAATGTGTGATTGATAGTCTCATTATATTTTCCAGTGAAGCCCATTGAATCTAGGTGACATGTAAGTAAAATATAAGTAAGTGGTACAACATTCCATTAGGAAGAAAAGAATAAACTCAACCTGGCCAGGCGCGGTGGCTCACGCCTGTAATCCCAGCATTTTTGGGAGGCCGAGGCAAGTGGATCACTTGAGGTCAGGAGTTCGAGACCAGCCTGGCCAACATGGTGAAACCCCGTCTCTACTAAAAAAAGTACAAAAGTTAGCTGGGCGTGGTGGTGCATGCCTGTAATTCCAGCTACTCAGGAGGTTGAGGCAGGAGAATCGCTTGAACCCAGGAGGCGGAGGTTGCAGTGAGCCAAGATTGCACCACTGCACTCCAGCCTTGGTGATGGAGCGAGACTCTGTTTCAAAAAAAAAAAGGAAAAAATTTAAAAAAGAGTAAATTCAACCAAATGACAGCAAAGTGAGCCCAGTGAACTGTCTCATATGTTATCTAAACATCATATTATAGCTAAATCAACAATCATTGATGGTATAGTTTCCATTCTTGACTACTATTCATACAGAATAAAAAACTGCCATATGCCATTACAGTATTTTTAATTTAATTTAATTTAACTTAATTTATTTTTAGTTACCGATTTTTGTTTAATTTTTGTGGGCTCATAGTAGCTGTACATGAGACCCTACTCTTACAAAGACATTTCAAACAATCCAATTGCACCCTGTAAGTTATTTTAAAATGTACAATTAAGTTATTATTGACTATAGTCATGCTGTTGTGCTATCAATAGTAGGTCTTATACATTCTTTCTATTTTTTTTGTACCTACTGACCATTCCCACCTACCCCCTGACCCTCCCATAACCCTTAGCAGCTGCTAGAAACTATCCCTCTAATCATTGGAGTAAATTGAAATTTCAGACAATGAAACAGTAGAGATGGAAAATAGCATTTGTCAGCTAGTTTATCTAGGCATATAGTGAGCTATGTAGCATAACAGTTGAGTTTGAAGACTCTGGAACCAATTGTTTAGATTTGAGTTGTGGCTTTCTTGCCATGAGACCTTCATAAGTTACTTTACTTCTCTGTGCATCAGTTTCCTTCCTTGTAAAATAGGATTTACCTCATAGTGTTATTGTGAGGATGAAATTAATTAACAAAGATAAAACATTTAGAATAATGCTTGACACACAGTAAACACTAAGTATAACTATTATTATTTGAATTTAAGGTATAGTCTAAGATTATCTAAAACATGAAATAACTGAGCTACTGAACTGTGTGACTTTTGTTTCATTTTGAGAGGCTTTGTGTGAATGCAAGTTGTGTTTCTTAGTATTTCATATGATAAGATGTTCAGAAGCAGTAAAAGATATTTTGTCTCATTTTGTTGTCAGTTTTATCATATGACCTTAGAAAATACATTTATGTTGCTAGTTTGGAACTTTCCTGTTTGTCACAATAAATTGAATTTTTCAATTATTTGATATTCTTTTACAAGACTGTGGTGTTAACTTTCTTTTTTAAATTTTACTCTGCCTTTGGAAATAAAAGGGCCTGAATGCATAATATATTTTGGTTATGCTTAGCTGGACAAATTGCCTGAATGCTGATTGACTTCATGAATATTAACATTCATATTCAATAGATTTTTCTTCTTAAATAGGGACAGTTTGACTTTGTTACAATTTACTACAAATGAGGATCATTTGATGCTTATATCAGATATGAAACATTCTAATATTGAAAGGAGAAGGGCTAGCGAATTTGACATGAGGGAATAATATCAATAAAACCATCAAAGAATGACCACGTGAAGAGTCAGAAAATTATAATTTCGTAAAGAGGGAACATGTTGCTGCTGAGAAACAGTCTTGTCAATTGAAAGCATACCAGCCATTGATTATGTCTCTAATACTTTTTGGTTAACTGTTGCACAAAAATGAACTTTATTATTTTCAGCCTAGAGGAACAGATTATCACTGCAGTTAGTGTCCTATTATGGCATGTGTGGTTTACTCGCCCTGAGAGGGGGTTGTATGCCAACCTGTGAGTCAGCTGTTCCTGGTCATGAGAACTGGAGGCACTAGAAGCAAACCACCTTACCTTGAATTACTTGGCTTGGGTTGGTGAGTGAATTTTAGGGTTTTAAGTTGCTACTCCACACATGGTCAAAACCTCACATTATCAGAAATGCTGTTATAAATAATACTCATAACCAATATTCCTTGGTTTTGGAGAGGCTGATTACACAATCTATCTTTCAATTTTTAATCCTACCAAATTGGTGTGCTTTGAAATGAGTGTTTCTATTTTGCTTAGATACATAATCACTTAGATTCATAATGAATCAGTTGCCTCCTTGGCAGTGGAACCAAGCCAATGGATCATATATGTGCTTTGTTGCAATCAGTTTTGTTACTGAGTGTTAATAAATAAGAAATACATTCCCAACGTTGATTTTACAGGATGAGCTTCAGTACATAAAAAGTGTTCAGGAAAGATTGAAAGGTTCCTTGCTAGTACTAGCAGTGGATACATTAGGCAGATTAAAATCCAGATGCCATTAAACAGCAGAGATAGTTTGATTTTATAAAGCATCTGCTCTTCTTTCTGCCCATAACTGCTATAGTCATTATAATGATAGAATTACTGCTATTCCTAGTTCACAAAATGTTTTGACTTTTCTCTTTACAAGTAGCTTTATTAAAATATAATTCACATGCCATACAATTTACCATTTTAAAGTGTATAGTTCAGTTATTTTTAGTATATTCACAGTTATACAAACATCCTTACTATTTCCAGTACATTTTCATCACCCCCAAAAGAAACCTGTACCTCTCAATTCTCCCTTCCACTATCCCCTTGCAACTACTAATATACTTTTTGCCTCTAAAGATTTGTCTATTTTGGACACATTATATAAATGGAATTATACAACATGTGGCCTTTTATGACTGGCTTCTTTCACTTAACATAATGTTTTCAAGGTTCATCCATATTATAGCATGTATCAATACTTCATTTTTTTATTGCTAAATAATAAAATTGGTTGATGAGCATTGGGTTCTTTTTACCTTTTGGTTATTATGAATAATGCTGCTATAAACATTCATGTACACATTTTTGTGTGTACGTATTTTATTTCCTTTAGGGATATATGTACGAGTGGGAATTCCTGGCTTCCATGATAATTCCTGTTTAAAGTTTACTGGAGCTTACAGTTTTCCAATTTAAAAAAATTTTCTAATAAGATCATTACAACAACTTGTTTAAGACTATGTGCCAATTAGTTATCATGCCCATTTTTATACACATGGTTTCTAGAATCTGGAGCCATGGTGTTACTTTCTCAAGTTAGGAGAGCTAATAAGTGGGCAAGCTGGGACTGTGAACCAAGGTTTCTGACCATCCAGTGTAAACTTTCAGATAAGTGCTCTCATTATACCTAGAATGCCTTATTTTCTTTAATGAAAGTCAGATCCATTACCATCTAAGGTAATGTGTACAGAGCTTAAGATTCTAAGGGTCAGTTTTGCCATTAACAAATTACTTCCAAGGCCCTTCCCAGCTCTGTCAGTACCCAAATCTCTGCCAAAACTTGACGACTGGGTAGCATGAGGTACTGAAAAGTGACAGATCTGGGTTTAGGTATTAGATCCACTGTTTACTAGCCACCTTGGGGACACCGGTTTTCTAGTCTCAACTTCACAAATAATTTTCTGTGCAATTTGCCTAAACTCAAACTCTCTGAGGCTCAGAACCCAGTCATTTATGTTTAAAATAGTCACCATACCTATATCACAAGGTTCTTGTAAAAGTCTAATGAAGTAAAGCATGCAATTTGTCTAGCACAGTGCTAAGCACAAAAAGTAGATTAGTAAAACTCTGTATATATGCTCAGGAAGAGATATATAGATCTACATATTCACACTTCTCATTCCATCTCTTCCTCCAAACCTGGAGATTATCTACCATATCAATATATGCTTAAAACCATTTTGGAAATGAAATAAATATTGAAATTGGTTAATTTGGCAATTAGCAATGCAGAATGTTTTCAGTAAAGATGAAATGCTCTTTCCCATAAAAAAGACAAGCTAATTGATAATAACTTGTTTGCTAACTTACATCCCTCTTAGTCCTGTACCAAGTACTTTACCGTCTCTTGCCTATATACTTAGGTCTCTCCAATTTACAGCTCAGAAGCAACCGCTAAATCAAACACTTTCAGCATCTTGAAAGGACCACCTTTTTAAAAGCTCATTTTCTTTGAACATGTGCAATAGCAGCAAAGCTAGTTGTTAATAACGATTTTAAGCCAAGTGATCACAACAGGATCTCTATGCAGATACAAACTGAGGCACTATATCAATGATAGCAGATTATGTAGCTTTATCTTCTATCACATTTTATAACACTTGCTACATTAAAGATATATTCATAATGACTCTGGAGCAAGTTGAAAAGCAAACAAAATTTTTTTTTCTGTGTTTATTATATGACTTCACCTATACCTTCCAGAAGCATTTTGCTTATTGGTATGATTTTCCATACATTTGGAGGTGTGGATATCCATTTATGCACAAAGTTACTTATGTTTACATAAAACTTGAGACTAATTAAAATACAAAGTTATTAGAATAAATACAAATAGTATGAATAAGTGCAAGTCCATTTACTGGAGGCCTACATTTGACAGCGAGTGTTCTTAGTTCTATATATACAGTATTGTATACAGTTTCCTCTCATCTGCATTTTCACTTTCTTCAGCTTCAGGTTCCAGCGGTCAACTGTGGTCCAAAAATAGGCAAGTACAGCACAATAAGATTTTTTGAGAGAGTGACCATATTCAAATAACTTTTATTACAGTATATTGCTATAATTGTTCTATTTTATTATTAATTATTAATCTCTTACTATGTCTAATTGACAAATTAAATTTTATCATGTATATGAATGTGTAGAAAAAAGCATAGTATATATAGGGTTCAGTACTTTCTGCAGTTTCAGGCATCCACTAGTGGTTTTGGAACATATCCCCTATGAATAAAGTTGTCTACTCTCTATACATTTAAAACAGTGCACTGACATTTTGAAATGAGTATTTTCTGGTTTCATTCACGTTCGAATTTCTGTGTGTTGCTGCAAAGGTTTCACACTGGAATCATGAACTTTTCAGAATTTCAGACCAAATTTAAACATACATTTTTAAAATGAGGTCAGTTTGCCTATCTTTATTCTTTGGCTTAGCTGTTCACATCTGAATACAAAAAGTGAAGGCATTTCAATACTTCTAACTTCTCTCAGAAATAAATTATTACACAGACTCAAAAATCAGCTCCCTATTTCCAAAATGGGTGGAATATTTTATAAAGAAAGGTTATCAAAATGTTTTATGACAATTCTTTTGTTCTGCTGGGTTTATCAATTTGAAACCAGAATGTGTTAGGGAAAGCGTGCTTTTCTCCTCTTATTCAGATAGGTGTAAAATGTTATCATCATAGGACTGCCTGAGGCAGTGGTGATAGGGCACCAGCCAGTCGCTACATTTTAGGGTAAATCACATTTTCTTCTCCATAACCCTGTGGGCTTGATTAGAAACACTCTTCAAATGTGGGAAGAATCAAACTCCACAGTTCTCATGAGAACAAATGATACAATATCCTAATCCTCAACAAAGGAAGCTTCGAAAAATCTCCTCACCCTGTTACAATCTGGCCCCTTTTAGTTTAGTTTCAATTATTCAGAATAACAATCACCGATACCACTTATTTTAAGATATCTTCAGCTCTAATAAAATTCCATAATTTCTATTGAGTGATATATTGTTAGAAGTGTTCAGAATATTTATGACATTAGAATCTAATGTGTAAATGAAGTAGACAGAGAAATAATTAAGGCTGATTCTCAATTTCTCTTAAGAGTATTAAGTAGAAAAAAAATTTTTACTACTAAATGGCAGAAAAAAACAATGTTTAGAATGAAATTAAATCAATGAAAAAGGGCAGAATGAGGGTTATTTTAATGACATTATTTGATTCTAACTGCGCTTTAGCTTTCATAAACATGGTCTCCGCCTTACACAGCCTCACTTTTCCTTTCAGTCTGTTTTCCCAATGTGTTCACCCGCAGCTTTTATACAGCAAACCTATTTTCTCATTAAATGTGTGACTTGAATCGCTGACTCAGACAATAGTACCGGAAGTAAATTATCTGGATAAATGTTCAGATTAAACACTGATTTGAGGGCTGTCAACTGCATGCATGTATAATTTCCTCCCTGAGGACTCAAGTGTTAATTCCCTTTATTATTATTAGTCCTTTGAGTGCTCAGTGGGAAACTAAATTTAATTCCAGATACGCATTAGGCCTCTATTTCTCATTTGTTTTCTTACTTTTAATAAAAGTTTATTAGCTTTCACTTTTTCTTAAGAAAAGTGAAAAAGTCATGTTCACATGACCATTTTTAATCTCAAAAAGAAAAATATTTTTCAATGCCATTGCCATTACTGTTTTGCTCTACTCCCTGAACTAATGAAATTTAATGTTCTAAAATGTCATATAAATTCATAGGTCCTTTGGATGCTAATGCATAGAATAATTCTGTACCTTTCCTTAAGGACAAATTATTTATTTCTTACTTAAGTAACAGTGATGTAGAGTCAAGAAATCACCCCTTAGATTAAATTTAACATATTTTATTATTGATGACTTTAAAATTAGTTGATTTGTGATAATAAATGTCCACCTTAAAGCAAAAATTGACATGGATTTAAGGTACAAATAAAACTAAAATGCCAATGGGTAGTGTGTTGTAGCAGAAAACCAGAATAAGGAAATCTAAGTGACTTTAGGCAAAGCATTTTACATTCCTAGATTTCTGTTTCCTAATCTGCAAAATCAAGGATCTGGATTAGATGATGGATTTCTAAGGTACTTCTGGCCATGACATTCTAAGCAATATAACAAAAGTATACTGTGGCTATGAGATAGCAAAACTGGCTAGTTCCAAAGAATTTGATTATTTTTATTATTGTAGCTATGAGTCTAATATCTTGCTCTTTTAATATGAAGTATGTTAAGGGAAATTAGATTATTTGTTACTGATAAATACGGCTTGTTACAATTTTAAAAAACAGTATTATTCCACTTACTTTCAGCAGTATCAAATCTCTAGAATAGAATTACAAGCGGCTAGAAAATGGCCTCCCTACACTTTACTCTTCAAAGGAGAAACTGTGCTCTCATGAACCTACTTTTAAAAAATATTTCTTCTCTTTATACATTCCCCTAACTTTTTAATTTGAAAAAATCCAAACCTGCAGAAAAGTTGAAAGAATAGAACAAGTATCCACATTATCTCTCTCACCTAGATTCACCAGTTGCTAACAGATACACACACACACACACACACACATACACATACACATACACAAACACACTCCCCATACACAAACACACAAGTTGCTGACATCATGGAACTTTACCCCCTAATACTTCAACGTCATGTATTCCCCAGGAAAAATAACTTTCACTTACATAACCACAAAATCATTAGCATATCCAAGAAATTTAAATGTGCATACAAATATTACCTACTATATCAACCATGTTTAAATGTCCCCAATATTAGTCTATTAATGGTCTTTATAGTTAATTTTAATTGATTTAAAACATAATAAAAACATCAATGATTTTAAGGTTCAAGCCAATTATTTTGTAAAAATGCTACACACTGGATTTGTCTGTTTCCTCATTATTAAATTCAGGTTAAACATTTTTAGTAAGATGACTACATAGGTGATATTGTGTATTTGTATAACATCAGGAAACACATAATGACAATTTGACCCATTATTGGTGATGCTTAATTTGATTGGTCACCTAGATAATGTCTACCTCCAAAAGTACCTTTCTCTCTTGTAAACGTACCTTCCCCTCAGAAATAAATAAGTGAACTGGGGGGTGATAATTTAAGGCCATGTGAATATATTGTTTCCCAACATCCTTTTTCTCAATAGTGAAGCTAAACTAAAATTAGAATGCATTAATGACCCTTGTCTGAATTAGTCATTACATTGTGGTTGCAAAATGGTGATTAATTCTATTGTTTTGTCAATATTTATTAGCTTGAATTTTTCTTTAAAAAAGCTTCCTTTTAAAAGCTTTCCTATGAAAGAAAATTTCAAAGATACATAAAATAGAAGAATATAATGAATCCCCATATATTCATCATCCAGCCTCAAGAGTTACTGACATTTTGCCAGTTTTGTTTCATTGAAGTTTTGTGTTGGCGTGTTTATTTTTCTGGAGTATTTTAAAGCAATTTCCAGAGATCATATATTTTCACCATAATGTACTTCAGCCTATTTTTATAAAACACACACAATTTAACTAAACTCTATTATCTGTTTTCGTATTAGATTAGAAGTAAGCAATTTAGAATATAGGGAGATGTTGGTGACAAGCAACATGAGAGCAATAAGTTTAGCAGCTCATAGTAAAATAGTACAATCAATGAAAAGGTAGACATGCCATATGGTTGAATGCTAGAGTATAATATTGCATGTTTATGATGATAACCCTGATTTATCCAGAAGAAAGTTGTGTTTAGTGTTTGATAACTTTTGTATAAGAAGACAAGTGCAAGTATAATTGATTTTATAAAGCCCTGCAGACAGAAATTCATAAAAATACTTAATAAAAAATTTACAATTAGTACAGGGTTTTGCACTTGAATGGGTAACCTTTAGTACTTAGGAAATTAACCCATAATGCCCTATAAATGAGACAGCATTGTGCATTAAAAAGTATAAATATAACATAGATTTATGTTAAGCCCTGATACCTAACATGGAAATAAAATTTTCAAATAGGGATATAAAACATGTGAATATCTGAATCACAAAACTTGTCATTTAACTGTAAATACTCCCCAGCTATCAGTAGTCAGAGTTATACTAGATGGATTTAGGGCTGACTGAATCTGTTGGTAGGTCTAGATCATTTAATAGTGTGAAACTCAGAAGCTAACTGTCAGAATATCTAGGTGTTAAGACAGACCAAGCCAAGCCTCAACTGAATGGAAGAGCCATAAACAGGAGTTAAGCTGATAGGCCATGTATATGCTTTAAAAAATTCTTCACATAGAGGTCTTTATAACTCAATCCTTAAAGTAAAATGTCTAGTGACATACTATTGAAGATGAGCAAAAACTCATCATCCAGTACTTTACAACAAAATGGGAGTGCTTCCTCTAAGACTTTTTCCTGAACTGATGCCCATTTCCAGAAATGAAAACATGCTGACTTTTTGAAAGTGCTATATGTGGCTTTAAAAGTCTTTTTTTTTTTTTTTTCTGAGTCGGAGTCTTGCTCTGTGGCCCAGGCTGGAGTGCAATGGTGCAATCAGCTCACTGCAACTTTGGCCTCCCGGGTTCAAGCAATTCTTCTGCCTCAGCCTCCTGAGCAGCTGGGATTACAGGCACATATGACCATGCCTGGGTAATTTTTGTATTTTTAGTATTTTAGTAGAGACGGGGTTCCATCATATTGGCCAGGCTGGCCTCAAACTCCTGACCTCGTGATCCGCCCATCTTGGCCTCCCAAAGTGCTGGGATTACAGGTGTGAGCCACCTTGCCTGGCCCAAAAGTCCATCTTATAAGTAACAAAGTGATGTTGGAACCTTGCTCCATTGTAGAATTAAAACTGTGGGATAACACAAAGGTGGCCAATAATTTGGTATTTGGAATATTAAACAAAGAAGAAAGATCAGAAGGAGCTGGGGAAATCCTATACTGCAGTTTTCTTCTGAATTAAAAAAAAAAAGTTAATTAACATTTTGGCCCAGGGTGTTTAGATTCCCTCCCCTTTTTAAAAACAAATAAGTTACTTTCAGGAAATTTACACCAAATGGGAAGCGTTATTAGAAGAGAAAGATAGCTTCATTTGTCCCAAGTCATTACAACCATTTTGCTGGTGAATTGGAGTGATTTTCTGAGAAAAGTGGAAAAAGCCACTTAACTGTAGGTTACTCTGAGGATGGAAACTAAGTTGATTTCCTCTTGAGAATGGAAGAGCCATGACAGGAATTTGAAATAAGAGAGGGGCATTTCAAAATTTACAATTTTGAAAGTGAAGAACTATTCAATTTTGAGCAACAAGATTTTATAGCCATACTATCGTTTGTCTGATTAAAATGGATAAGATCATGAAAGTTGAAGAGACAAGGTATCATCTTTCTGCCTGTTGAAATCTGTGACAGCATAGGTAAGATAAGAGAAAGGCTGATGAGATGGTAAGGTCAATGACGTTTATGGTAGAGCATCCTGGAGCCTGATAGATGAATAGAATATAAAATACAGGAAGTGATTTTAAAATATGGCTAAAACTTCTAAAGGGAAATAGTTTTAAAGTGAGTCCTGCAGACCCGTAGCGTGGAAAGAGTGAAGAACAAGGTTTGTGGCAACCAGTATTTGTCAGAAACCATAGCGTCTCCTGAAGGAAGTGTGGAGCATGTAGGTTTGGGTAAGTATTTTTCTCCTGGTTAATGAATATAAAATTGGAATACTTTCTGGGAACATCCTTACTACCTGTAATATACACAGGTGTGTCTTGCTTGTGTTCAATGCTGCTCTATTAAAATTAATGTTTCATTTACTTAGATTTATACACTACAGGGAAGAAATGAAACACAAACTTAAAATCATTGGCAGAAATCTCTGTGTGTATTAAAATCTGTTGTGCATTTCACCATTTTAAATTTAGTTTTTTCTAATGATAAATGTAATCTACACAGTCACTGTGCAAAATTTTTAAGCGTTAAGATGTATGTAGAAATAGAAAAGTAAAAGAAAAGCAAATCCCACCCCTCAGAAATATAACACTTTTTTGGCATATTTTCTTCTAGTCTATTTTTTCTTAATTTTGGAAGAAACATATTCCAGACACGGGAAAGTAAAGAGGATAATAGATTGCCTTATACTCAACCACTGAGTTGTAGCAAATGTTAAGACTGCCACATCAAGTTCAGATTCTTTAAAAAAAGAAATAGTCACTTTGGGGAGGTGGTGGCAGGATCTCTTGAGGTTAGGGGTTCAAGACCAGTCTGGGCAACAAAGCGAAACACTGTCTCTACAAAATATACAAAAATAAAAATAAATAACTGGGCATGGTGGCTTGCACCTGTGGTCCCAGCTACTCGGGAGGCTGAGGCGGGAAGATCCCTTGGAACTGGAAGTTGGAGGCTGCAGTGAGCTATGATCATTCTACTGCACTCCAACCTGCACAGCAGAGTGAGACCACACGTTTTTTGTTTGTTTGTGTTTGCTTTTATTTTTTTTTTTAAAAGAAAGAAATGACATTTCACCAGGGAAATTAACAGCACTCCTGGAACCATTACCTTCCCTTCCTCTCCACAGTAATTACCATCTTGAAGGTCATTTGTATCTTTTTTGTGTTTTTATACTTTTACTATATATGTATATATTTATAAATGATTCAAAGTATTGTTTTGTGTGTTTTTAAATTTTGCATGAATTATTTCACACTTTTCAAAAAAAAGTGACTTTTGAAACTCACTTTTTCCATTCAATGTTATGTTTTTAAA
Organism: Homo sapiens; assembly: GCF_000001405.40. Classification (NCBI taxonomy): domain Eukaryota; kingdom Metazoa; phylum Chordata; class Mammalia; order Primates; family Hominidae; genus Homo; species Homo sapiens. The sequence continues at coordinate 93,796,920 of NC_000023.11, forward strand.
AGATTGTCCATGTTGATAAATGTAGACCTACCTGATTCATTTTAATTGCCAAGCAATATTCCATTGCATGAATATGCCATCGTTTATTTATCCATTTTCCTATCAATAGACACTTCAGTTATTTCCATTAAAACTTTAAAAAGTGTTTTAGTGAAAATCCTTATCCATATATCCTCATAAATATAGATGAAATTTCTCTAGGGTGCAGAGATAGAAGCAGACTTGCCAGGTCGTAAGTTATTACTTGTTTATCTTTATTAGATATCACCAAATCATCCTCCAAAGTGGTTATAACATTTCCTACTCCCGTCAATAATGTACTAGAGTTCCACTTTTCCTACATAGTCGTGAAGACTTGTCCTTAATCTTTTATAATTTTGCCAATCTGATGACTGTAAACTGATATATGACTCCATTTATTTTCCTTGATTTCTAATATGGCTGTGCATCTTTTAAGTCATGTATTTGACAATCTGGTTTCCTTTCTTGTTAATTGTTCTGTTCATTTGTCTGAGTAGTTTGACTCTTATGATTTGTAATATTTAACATATTATTGACACTATTTTTTGTCAGTTTTATTTGCTGCAGATATATTCTCCCAGCCTATCTCTTCCCATTTATCTTAGCTTATGGTATATTCTGATGTATAGATGCGTTTAGTTTTAATGTACTTGAAGCAGAGATGATGGTGAGCAAAATAACTTTGAAATATTGATAGTTCACATATTTAGTTGCTCATTTATCAAGTATTTGTTAAGCATCTACTATGTGTCAAGCACTATTACAAGTTCTACGTATACACAAAGAACCAAACCTTCAAAGCCCTTGAACTCTGGAAGGCTGAGACAGGAGAACTGCTTGAACCTGGGAGGCGGAGGTTGCAGTGAGCCGAGATCGCGCCATTGCACTCCAGCCTGGGCAACAAGAGCGAAACTTGGTCTAAAAAAAAAAAAAAAAAAAAAAAAGAAAGCCTTTGAACTCTTGAACTCATGGAAATTAATATTAGTCGGTGAAATGAGCAAAGAAAAAGCAAATGCACATTTACATAATATTATGTCACAGTAGTAAGTGCAAAGAGAAATAAAGCTGGTTCAGGGGGTATAGAATGAAAGGGAGTGGTGGACTATTTAAATAGGGCGGTTAGGGATTACCCTTTTAAGAAGTAATAATAAAACAAAGAGCTGAATGAAGAGATGAAATGAATGACGTCTGTGAGTAAACCCTTCCAAGACAATTCTACATGGATAGGCACATGTAGAAGTCTTGAAATTACAGAGTTATCAGGGTGTTTGAGCAAAATCCAGGAAGCCATTGTGGCTGCAGTGAAGTGAGTGAGGGGTAGATGATATGAGAAAGGTAAAGGTTAGCAGGATGGAAACTAAAGATTGAGTGAATACTGATCTCCATTAGACTTTTTGTTGTTGTTGTAGCTTTTTTTCTCGTTCCACATTTTTACAGATGAGCTGGATCAATTTAAATCGCTCAGACTAAAATGGACATCTACCATTCTGTGACCTATGTGGTAGTATTACCACTATTTTTTTTAGATAAGAAAACAGAAAAGTGAAGCAACTCACCCAAAATAATAGAACAAGGGGATTTGTGCCTAGGCCTTTTCACTATTATGTCCTAGTTCCACTAAGGAATAAAGGACAATGCTAGTGGTTCTTCAACATTAGAGTGCATAATAGTTACCTATGGTATTTGTTTAAACTGCAAATTACTAAGCCCCATCTCAAGAGATTCAGATTCATTAGATCTGTAGTGGGTTTGAGGAGTCTGCATTTTACTAAGAACCACAATCTCACCTCATGATATATGATGCAGGTATTCCAGGGACCACATATTGAGAAAAGCTGGCTACGCCAATAAGTCAGATTTGGATCTAGAAGTTTTATACAGAAGGAATAGTTGTAAGGCAAGATCCAAATTAATGATGAGATGGCAGAGGTAAAAATCAGTTAGATTGAAAAACGCAAATGGGCGGAGATTAGTCTGGAAGTAAATGTCAGAGAACCCCCTAAAGATAGCTGAGCTAACTAAGGAGAGTTTCGAAAACATTTGTGGAAATCATAATCATTTGGGAAGCTTTAAACATATGTAGATTCCCAGAGTTCACCCTAAATACTTTTTAACAATCTCAGAGAGACGAAAGGGAGTGCTAGAAAGGAACCCAAGTACTCTGGATATCAGCCAAGGACTAAAATCCATTAGGATTAGCAGTCAACCATTGAGAGACTGGGCTGTAGCACATAAAAATCCAGCCATGAGATACAGATACAGCTCAAGAAAGTCAGAATCACAAAGGACAGAGTCAAGCCCACTAGGGCTAGAATAAGACCGCAGCAGGAGTGACCTGAAGCTGTCAGAGATCTTTTGAAATAGGAGCTTAAGTGCTGAGGTAGGATTGAGTCGTTATGAGAAAAAAAATAATAAACCCATTCGCTGGGAATAGAAGAGGCTAGGATGGGGAAGAGGCAAGCTAACCAAAATGATTCATTTAATTTCTCTTTATGCTTTATGATAAGCTGAAAACATGTTTTTTACTTTTACTCATTCATTCTTCTGCTGAAAGGAGATAACAAAAAAGAGAGTTTTTCCTGATTGACATTTTTATTTGATTTCATGCAAGCATCATTATATTAACATGCTAGTATCTCTTTCAACAATAATCTTTACTCCCTTTGTTTTTATTTGCAGGTTTGGGTGGGGATAAATGGATCAAACTGTGAGTATTACTGTGAGAGTTTTTATTTTGACACAGCCTGCACTGTACCATTCAGCATCCTAAGGATGTGGACTGTTTTTTACATCAATATAATGTTGCAGCCTTCCCCTCCTTTCTCTTTACCCCTCTTTCTGGATTCTTCCATATTTATCTCATTCTTTTTATTCCATGGTAATTGTACTGTTTCCTTCAGTTTATTTAAAACTTTTCAATGCGTAGGTATGTTTGGCATACAGTGTGAACATGTAAAAAATTGAATGTATGGAAATGAAAAAGAGTAACACTTATTATAATGTAGCTACATGTTTATAAAATCTAAGAACTAAAAGCTAGTGGGGGTCCAAAGAGCAACAAAGATTATTTGCAGCTGTTTTGGGAGTTTATTTTAATGTTGGATTTTCTGTTGTTTTTGTTGCTCTTTTGAATTGTCACCTGCAAACGCAGTCCCGTTGAAACAGATCCAGGGTATCATAACCACGCAACACTTACATTAGAATAATAACCAACTCTCCCTTGTTTTGAGTTCTATTCTACCCTTATTTCCACTCAAGTCTCATTTTAAAATTCATAATCTAAACATATCTTCAGGATCTTATTTTCAATATAAATAACAATAGATATTAACATAGTCAATCAGATTTTTCACATGATGCCCAAGAGAAAATTCTAATGTTGAAAATGTTTTTTCATTACATTTTAATGAGGAAATAGTGCAAGAAAGTTTTGTATACTGGGATTTTACCAAAATAAGTATTGCAGGATCCTGTGCCTAACCAGAATGACAATCTAAATGTAAAAATCCATAGCTTGGTGCTTTCTCCCCAGAGAATAACTCCGCCGTCCCTTGGTAGATACGCGGCCAATGCTGCAGTTTCCCTATTGAATTGTGGGATTATTAAGTGGGCATGTGGCCAAGTCAAGGCAAGAAACTCATTTGGCAAAGGGCAGAAGAGAGGCCTCTTCTGTTTAATAGAATGCTTGGGGTTTTTTTGTTTTGTTTTGTTTTGTTTTGTTTTGTTTTGTTTTGTTGCTTCTCCTTTCCCAGAGGTAGCTACTACAGCTGTGGATTTTTGACTCATTTGCTACAGTTTCAAAGAACTGTGTCCATAACAAAATCCACCATCTTTCCCTCTGAAGTGGTTCAAGTGGTTCTTTCTTCTCTTGTTTCTAATTTTAATGACTGTTACCACACAGTAATTAGGGGTTCCTGGGCAGCTGTTTTTGCTTGACAGCTATTTTTGTCTCCTAGAAACAATGGATTAAATAATCCTGTCTCCCTGGATTTGAAAATTAGATTTCATAATCCCAAGAGAAGATGTAGAATATTTACATCTATTACTTTAAATGTCAGCTTTTGGAAGTGTTATTTATATACAATAAAACACAGCCATTTTAAGGGTACAGTTTGAAGTGTTTTGACAAATGTATTTACCCATGTAACCACCATCCCCATCATGACTTAGGACATTTTCATCAACCCTAAAACTTCCCTCAAGACCCTTTGCAGTCCCCCATTTCCTACTGCAGGCAACATTCTATCATTCTAGATTAGTTTGACCTCTTCTTAATTGTAATATAAAAGAGAATCTTATCCATGTATACTCTGGTGTCCATCTTCTTTTGCTCAGCATAATGATTGTTGGCACTATCCATGCTATAGCATGTGCCAGTAGTACATTATTTGCTGTTGCTGAAGAGTAAACCATTACATAATTATATCACATATTATTTTTTCTATCTTCTTGTTCATGAGCATTTGACTGTTTCCAGAATTTCGCTACTATAAGTTGCCATGAACATTCACTTACAAGTCTCTCTGTGGACATAATGTTTGCATTTCTCTTGGGTAAATATCTAAAAATGGAATTGCCAGATTACAGGGTAAGTGCATGCTTAACTTTATAACAAATGTCAAAATTATTTTTCAAAGTGGTTGTAGCATTTCATACTCCTACCTGCAATGAATAAGATTTCCAGTTGCTCCACATCTTTACCAACACCTGGTTTTGTCCGTTGTTTTGCTTTATAATTTTTAGTGGCGTTTAGTGGTACCTCATTGTGTTTTAAGTTGACATTTCCCTGATGAATAGATTCTTAACATATTTTCATTTATTAATTGGTCATCCATATATTTTCTTAGATGAGGTGTCTGTTAGTTTTTAATTAGGTTGCTTATCTACTTTTTATTAGGTTGTATAATTTATATATACTGATACAATTCTTTTGTCATATACATACTACGTATTTTTCCCTCCTCCTTTTCACATACCTTGTCTTTTTCATATTCTTAACAATGTCTTTCAAATAACAAATGTGTAAACAAAAGCTCTCTGAAAAGGAATTTAGAAGAAAGATATTTTATTGCAATGAACACTTTGCAAACCAGGAAGACACAGCATTCAGTGTAAAATGAAGGTGATTTCCAGAGAACAAGGAGATGCTTTGGGTTTTATAACAGAAGTTCCTGCCCAGGTTCCCAATAAGGTCCATTTATGCAAATGAGGGATTGAAACTTACTTAGTTATGATTGGTCAGCACAACTAAGCACTGATTGGTTGATACAGTTGGATCCTGACTGGCTGGGGTAGGTAAGCTCTGATTGATTGGTTTCCAAGTCCCAAATTAGATGTCTCTGTCAGATGTTTGTTTCAATAATCCAGTTGTGGGGGATGTTCTGGCAGCAGTTTTATCTTGGCACTAACAAACAACATAAACTGGTTCAGATTAATTGTAGAAAGGGAGGTCCTGTGATACTTTCACAACATCTTTCTGAGAACACAGAATATGTGACCAATACCTCACCCAGCCATGGCTCTCTACTTCTGTTTAAATTTTGAGCTCCTCAGTTAGCCATGTGGAGTCCATTTTGTCTGCCCCTGGTGTTTCATGGTATCTTATTGTAGTATTAATTAGACATTCCCCTAATGAATAGCTTCTCAATATATTTTCACTTACTAATTGGTCATCCATATGTTTTCTTATATAAACTGTTATATTTTAATTGGGTTTCATGTCTACTTTTCATTAAATTGCATGATTTATTTATATATAATTATACAAGTGTTTTGTCAGATATATACCACACATATTTACATGCCCTCATATACCTTGTCTTTTTTATTTTCTTAATGTCTTTCAAATAACTGATGTTTTAAAATTTTGATTAAGTCCAGCTTATCATTTTTTATAAATAGTACTTTATAAATCCTTTATATGTCTAATAAAATTTGCCTATTCCAAAGCTGTGAATATTTTTTCTATATTTACTTCTAGCTAGCTTTTATTGTCTGTGAATCCTTTTTGAATTTATTTTTTATGTATGATGTAAGGGTTGAGAATTTTTTTCCAAACTGACTTCGATATATTTTTTAAAACATGCAATTTTTTTCAAATGTAAAATATGTTTAGTGAAGATAATTTGGAAAACAAAGAAAATCATAAAGGGAAAATAAATGCCTATAATTTCAAAGCCTCAAAAAACAACTGTTCATAGTTATCTGTTTTGCTTTAATCATTTTTCTTCTGCTTATATATGTGTACAGTTTTTATCATTAAGGGAAGCATCGGATTCTTTGTGTTATTCTGTAGCCTAAATTTTGCAATAGGAAATATATTGTTTTTCTGTATTAATAATGGTTCCTCTATGGCATGCTTTTTAATGGCTGGGCTGCATTGTATTTCATCATATGGATATTCTAGTATTTATTCTACCACTTCTTGATTTTTATGCATTTGGGTTATTTCATTTATCTATTGATTTATTTTTGCCATTATAAATAATAGTGTGATTAACTTTGAATTTTTTAAATAAACTTTACTTCTATAACAGAAAAATTGCAACTATATTACATGTACCCACAGATTCCCCTATTATTATCATTCTACATTAGAATGAAACACGTTGCAATTAATGAACCAACTATGGATTTTTATTAACTAAAATTCCTACTTTATTCAGATTTATCTATTTATTTTTTCCTAATTCTTTTTTTGTTCCAGGATGTCATCTAGAGTATCATGTTACATTTAGTCGTCAGTTTCTAGTTAGGCTGCTCTAGGGTGTGGTAGGTTCTCAGAATTTTCTTGTTTTTGATGGCCTTGACGGTTTCCATCTATTGGGATGTCTGATGTCTTTCTCATGATTAGACTGGGATGTGCTTTCTTGGGAGGAAGATCATGGAGGTAAAGTGCCATTCTTATTATATCATGCCAGGAGTACATATTATCAACATGATTTATGACTGCTAATGTTGACCTTGATAGACTGGCTGAACTGTAAGCTTTCTCCATTGTAAAATTCTTCTTCTTTTCCCTGTTCTATACTGTATTTATTTGAAAAAAAAAAAAGCCACTCTTTACATCCCACACTTAAGAGACAGAGAATATGAATCTTTTTAATATAAACTTTTGCCTATTTTTTTCTTAAAATTAGTTTCTAGAAATAAAATTGCTTGGTTTAACATTTGGGCGTCTTTAATGATACTATCAATTATTTCATTAAAAATGATATAAGATCAGAGAAAAGATAGAACACCACAAAATGTGGAATTTAAGAGAAAAAGATCCATTTTCTCTTCTTTCATCCACAACACTTTGGTGTATATCCTTCCAAATTCTATATACTCATGTCACGTGTACACACATCTAAACCCACATGCACACAGATGACTTCGCACACTGTACACACTCCACATATACCCTCCACATCCTGCAAACTTTGCACATTGCTCACATTCACACAGGGTTTTTGAAAACATATTGCTTTGCAATTACTTTTTCATTTGCTACTAAAGCAGTAGATTGCATTACTTAAAAATGTAGGCTATGGAGCCAGACCACCTGGGTTTTAATCCAGGTTCTGCCTTTTGCTACCTGTGTGACCTTGGGCAATTTACTTAACTTCCCTGCGTCTGAAATTTATCATAAAGCCATTAGGAGATGATTAAATGAGAACATACATAGAGAACTTAGAACAGTGCCAGAAGTAAAGCACACTCTCCATGAATATTTTAGCTATTTTTATTATTGTCATCTTTTCATGTAATTACATAGGATCTTACCTTATTCTTTCCAGTGACAGCATATTATACCATTAGAAAAATATGCTAATTTATATAACAAATCTTCTATGGATTTGGATGCCTTATTTGTTTTAAACTAGATTTTGAAATTAAAATAATATCAACGCATTATTAAAATAAACTGTAACTCAAATCATCTAAGTAATCTAAAATTTAAAGTAAACTCATTATACTTTTTTCACTCCCCAGAGGTAAACACTTTTAAAGAGTTTCTGTATTTTAGTCTTACTAGTGGTAACCATTATAAATTTAAATAAGTCTTTATTTCTCTTTCTCAATGTATAAGTTTTAAACAGTCGATGTCGACTATCCACTGTGAAAGGTTGCAATTTGCTGTGCTTACACAAACTCTCCACTTCCATGGTGACACCATGGAGAAGGAAATGTACTCTTCCGTCTGTCACACAACAATGTCACAAGCATGGAAAAGGGCTATGGACATATTAATTTATTTCCACATATATTTACTTATTCTAGGTCATACAAAGCTGACAGTGTTTTTTACATTTTTGTTATTTATAATATATATTATCAAACCTACCTGGAGAAAGACTGTACCAGTTTATCTTCCAACCAGCAGTTTACAAGAGTGCCTATTTCCCTGCATTCTTGCCAATAGTCATATATGATAATTTTTTTAAAAAATGCCTATTTGGTAGATGACTGATGATACCAGATTTTTGTGCTTACTCGATTACTAGTGAAGTTGAACATAATTTTATTCTTTAACTGGAAATGCAATATACCATAATGATTAAAAGCCAGCTCAGGAATAAGAGACCTGGACTCAGCTACCAACACTCTGTGATCTAAGGCAAGTGAGCTCACCCTTCTGAGGCTCGGTTTACTCATATGTCAAATGTGGATGATTACACTATACTCATCATAGGATTATTGTGAGGACCAAATGGGAAAATTCTTATACTTATGAGCACAATGTTTTGCATATCATAAGGTTTAAGTAGACATTGATTCTTGTTAGTTTGTGTGTATTGTTTTATTCCATCACTTTTTCATGTCATTTACTGACTTCTCATGTTTTATTGACTTGAAATAGCTCTTAAAATACTTAAGTTATTAAACCTTTGTCACAAACGTTGCACCCTTTTTTTTCCTGGTTTGTAGTTTGCCATTTATTTTTGTTCATAATGCCTTGACATCAAAATATTTAAAGATGATATAATCATAGCTATTGTATGCCTTTATGGATTCTGCCTTTAATGTTCTGCCAAGAATTACCTTTCCCAGTCTAGGTTTTACACACCTATGTATATGTTCTTATATTTTAGTTTAATTTTTTAACATATAAGTATTTAATTCATCTGGAATTCATGATTTAGAGAGGTTAATGTTACCTCCTTTATCAATGAACAGCTAGCTTTTCTAACACTATTGATTGAATAATTGATCCTCATCTCAATGATGTGAAATACCGATTTTATTGTATAAGAATTTATAATAAATATATAGATCCTATCTTGATTTTTTTACTCAGTTCAATTTCTGTCTTTTTCTTGCCATATCCAGTTCATTTTCATTTAGCATATCTCATAAAGCAAGTGACCTTCAGCACTATTCTTTCTAATATTAACCTGGTTAATATGACATGCTTATTTTTCCATATGCATTTTAAAGTCATTTGTTGAATTAAAAAACATGTCATAGGGTTTTGATTAAATGTATACATAAATCTAGGAATAATTTTTATCTTTATAAAATTGAATCTTCTCATGTAGGGGCACTGTGTCTCTTTCTCTTTGTTCAATTTTACTTGTTCCTTCGTCTGAATCTAAATGAAAACTTAAACTCCACACACCAACTGTCAAACCCTTCCAGACTCAATAGCAAACACTTCTGGGCCCATTTCAGCTACTATTCTTTTAACGAAGCTTTCTCCAACTTCTCTGATTAAACAAGATAGTGAATTTCATGAAACACTAAATTTGTTTAGAATCAGAGACTGTGTGGTTTAGTAGATGTCTGATACATTTTAGGTGTGTCTGAACTACAATATGTCCTGTACTACACAAATTACCCTAAATGGAATGCTTTCTTTTGGAAACTTGTATATAGGACATCTTATATATATTCAAGAGGAAAACTGAGTCCAGAAACTGCATTCAAGTTGTGCTGCCTCTGACTACGTAATCTTGACAAGCTATATAATCTTTCTGACCTTTGTATATTCATCTATGGAAAATAAGAGGAAAGATTTTAAAAATACCTACTTCACTGGATTAAAGTATGACGTCCTATAGAAATATAAGTTTTTATCTTTTTATTCTTCATCTCTTATGAGAAACTTTTGATCTCTAAGCATTTTGTACAATTTGTAAAAATAGTGAACATATCTGGATTTTTCTTGTATAGTACCGCAGATCCTTGAATAACATTGTTTTGTTCAACATGGTTTCATTGATAATGCTGATGAGAGAAAAAAAAACAAAAACAATTTCTGACTGGGGCCACCGTCTGCATGGAGTTCCCACAGTCTACTCATCTGCTGGGTTTTCTGCAGGTACTCTGGTTTCCTCCCACATCCCAAATATATACTTGTTAGGGTAACTGGGATGTCTGACATGGTCCCAGTGTGTGTAAGCGTGGGTGTATGTGAATGCGCCCTATGATAGAATGATGTCCTGCCCAGGGGTGGTTCCCTACTGGCTTCCTGAGCTGACAGATAGACCTCCCGTGACCCTAAAGTGGAAAAAGCAGGTAAATAATGATCTGACTGATTTTTTATTCATTGTTCTTAAATGTAGGTATACCGCACATTTATTTCAATAATATATTTCAATAATTGTGACAAACACAATTAGAAGAAATTTGGGTCTTTATCTAGGAGTTTACTGATACTTTTGTTACCAGAGATATGCTGTAAGAACTTAACTCTTGTTTGTATTCATTAGCCTATGGTAAGATTGGTTTGGTTATATGTCATTTTCCTTAAAGTCGCAGTTTCCAAGAACCTATCAACCACATTAGGTGAGGACTTATTGTACTGGTAAACTCTGGTAGACTGAGTTTAGATAATGAAAATATATAAAGAAATTAAATATATTCATTTAAGATAAACTAAATAGTCAAACATATAAATATAGGTTATATAACAGAATAAGAACATTTTCCAGATAAAGCACTTGTTACAATATATACAAATCTCAGGCTTGTACTCTTTAGATTCAAAAAATTATTTTCAACGTAAATATTTGTTTTGCTTTTGGCAAAAAATGAGTTTTCATTGTAGCAAAAGCCATGTGCCTTGTGGATTAGTTAAGAAGGTGAAATATGTTTAAAGTGAACTGCTGGTCATTAATTTTTCTGTGGTCCTGTATTTTAGTTATCTAACAATCTTTCTGAAACTTCAAGAATAAAATGACTTTGTAGTAGCCAAAATGATAATATTCAAACATTCAAGATGTATTTTATTTTGCTATTTAAAAATAGAATCTAATTGCTTCACAGACTATATAAAAATTAAAAATAAAATTTTAAATGGAAATAATGCATAATGTTGCCACTATAATACAATTATGACTTTTCTATACTAATTACTCATTTTTCTGCATGTTAGAATTAATAAGATGGCAAATGTAATATTTTATTTGCTAAGTATCTCTTTAATGTGAATGTTTGAAGCCTTCAAATAGTATTGACTTAATATCTGATGTTAGGTAGAGTCACTTTGGAAAAATTTTCAGTCAAAAAAAGGAGTTAATGATGGACTTTTTGTCTGGCATCACTACAATAATTCAAAAAAATCCTTGATTGTTTTGATTGTGTAGATCTAGCTTGTGAAACTTAGATGCTAAATTTATATATATATGACCACAGGTAAGTTACACTGATTATTTTGAAACTTTTAAAATGCTGAACCAATTTGCTAAGGTTTGTCGTAAAGCTCTGTCCTACAAGATTTACCCTGCTGGGCAAGCTACAAAATATTGGACCAATTGGACTTTTCAGCTGGGCTTTCTATCTTTTCTACTGTACTGCTTTTGCATTAAATAAATAAATAGGGACTATAAACACAGGTGGAGGAGGTGCAGGTGCAGCTATAAATCAGGAAACAAGGATAAGGGAACCAAATACTGTGGGAAATTTAAAAAATACAGAAAATGAAAAGAAGGCTAAAATGAGACTCACAGTAAAAAGAGAGGAAGCAAATAAGAATAAATAATAAAATACAATAAAATAGGAAAAGGAAAACATAAAACAAAGAATAACATTGTTATTTAGGTAGCTCATTATTGTCAAGTTATTTTTGAAAGTAATTTTTCATGGACAATGAATTTTCAAAATATTTTCATTTGGTTCGTGATGGTTCATGGTAACTAATATCATACAGGTTGCTTCTCAGAACAATGTAATTTGAGGCTTTGAAAGACTACTGTGAACTATATTCTGCCTACTCATTTTTTTTATTTATGAAGCTACATTTTAATTAGTATTTTTTCACTTACAACTTTATAATGTGTACATCTGTTCACTGACATCAAAAAGCTTTTCTTTTAGAAAGTATTTTTTACTTCAAAACAATGTTTTTTTACAAATTTTAGAAATTATTTTTTCCCCAAAATATAAGCTGTCTTGAATCAAGCTGTTTCATATTTTATATTTAGTGAATCAGCCCATTATGAATGAAAATGCTTTGCTACGTTTAACTACACTTTGAAGCCTCCCTTTAATTAGGTGGGCCTGTGTTCATCATTTCTACAGAGTTAGTCGACTAACATTGCACTAGACCAAAAAATAAAGCAACTCATAGTAGAAAAATATCTGGCTCAGGAAAGAAAAATGGGATGTCTTCTATCAATGCCTGTTACTAAGGTTGAGCAATTAAAGGATTACATTATTATTCATTACTAAGGCTGCTGAGTTCCTGCACTCTCACCTCCAAGTGGGAAGAGGCAGCCAGCCCTTTGTGAACCCTCGTTTCATTTTTATTTTGTTTTGTTTGTTTTTCTTTGCTATAAAGAAGCCAAAGATCCCTGCAGGCCAGTTGGTGAGTTTACCTTTTACTCTCTAATAACAGAGGACTCCTGTTTACTTCTGTCCATGCTACCTCCTCTCCATTAACCTCAATTCTTTCACAATGATACATATCTCTTTTCATCTAGGGTCATGGGTATGTCTTTGATTATTCAACAATAACATCACTTTTCTTATTTTTGTTATATTTTCACAGTTCTTTTATTCTGTTTTATTTAACCCTTAGTGCAATTGTAGAGTGCATACTCTTTCAGGTTCTATTTCTATCACTTTACAAATATTAACTCTTTTGCCTTATTTTGAAGGCCCCTGCTTGACTTGGTATTTCATTCTCATGCTGGTATTTATACTTCCTTGTTTCAGTAATACCTTCTGCGATAAAAAGTGGATTCTTGACTGCTTTACCAAGGAAATTATCAGACAGAAGAAGATGAGAGACATAATCTGAAATGGAAGATAATAGGGTTGTTTTCTATTGTTTCAGTTACTAATAACTACTTTCATTTTTTCCTGTGATGTAGATATATGGTACTGATAGATAATATTAATGGTTATCATTTATATAGTGCTTTATGTTTTAAGCACTTTACAAATATGGTATTTGATTCTGACCACAACCATCCAACTCAATTTAGCTATTATCAATCTCCAGTTATAAATGGGACAACTGAGGCTCAAGGTTAAGCAACTAGAGCTGGGATTTTAATCCTCTTCTCCAAATACCAAAGCCCATGTTCCTTCCATTTATACTAAAATGCTTTTAACAGATGTGAAAACTGGGGTACAAAGAGAAACGAACATTTACTGAGTGACAACTCCAAGCATACATTTTCTCAATTAACCCTCTTAACTTTATGTGTTAAGCATAGGTGACTTGCCAAAAGCATAAAATAAGGGACAAAGACAGTTTTCTAAATCATACTTGTTCATTTTCAAACCCGGGTAGTGTTTTGACTATGCTAGAGCCTCAGAAAAGGAACTGGGCACATAAAATGAGTTTAGGGGTTTGATGGATTTTTTTTATTTTAAAAATTATGTATTCGTTTTAAAATATATTGCAAAGATACAACTAGCATATCACTTTTGGTATTTTGTTGATATCATTTCCTAGAACAAGTATGAGGTTTTCAAAGTTAGGTTTTTTTAAAAAAAGTATTAAGATAATAGTTCACATAGTGTAGAGATAAGGCAGAAATTGCGAAGATGCTATTCACATGACTGAAGTCTGGGAAACACTGCATTATATTAGGCCACATTTTACAGATGAATACATGGAAAGAAGGTTAATGACTTGCCCAAAGTTACGAGACTGACTTACAAAGAGACTAAGGAGAGGTTTACCCGTAGGTGGATCTTGAAATAAATGGACATAGAGGAAAAAGATTGGTATGGCAATGTCCAGAGCTATTCCCAAAGTACAGAAGATGGGTTCCCTTCTCTCTAGTGCCTGAATTGGATGTGGTGGTATGAGGGTGAACCTGTATTGCCTCAGTAACTGGCAGCAAAGACTTTTTTCTTCCATAAAGAGGCAATGGCAGGTAAGAAAGTCATAATTCCTCCCATCCCTCCCTTTCTCCTTCTATTTCCCCTTTCTTCTCTTCCCCTGAAGCTGGCATTCTTGTCTCCTTTATGATGTTCTTGATATTCAGGGTGATTTGATTTGATTTGTCTGCAAATGTTGGCTAGGATCAGGAGGGAGGATGAGGCAGTGTTACTTGTCATGGGGCTTTATACATTCCATTTCTTCTTCCCTTTGGCCATCCCTGACAATGCCATCCAGACAGTGATAATGCCTGTGCTATGGCAGAAAACTAAGGCACTTTTAGTGTGTTTGTGCTCAGGAAAGAACAAGGTAACAGAACTTAAGGAAGGATAGGTTATATGCCCAAAAAACATTCAAAGGGAGAGGGTTTGTGAACAGATTGATTGCAATTAAGAGCAAATAATTCAGAATTAAAATGAAAACAGCTATGCAAGTTAACAACACTTTTGAGCAGTTTTATGGCAGATAATAAATTGTCTGGGCAACTATTGCAACAGAGGAAGGTTAACCTTTATTTAAGGATGAACCATTCCTAACAAAGTTCTCAATTAGTTTTGCCCAAACTTTCCAGCAGTATCAAGTATGGGTTTGTAAATCTATTTTTTCTTCAGTGCATCTGGAAATAACAACCTAGAAAACTCAAGGGTTATTTTTTCATGTGAAAACAACAGTATGTGTTAGGGCCAGTTTCAGCCCATGACAAAATTGTGAAGCAGCAAAGTTCAGCTTAAGAGATTGACCTCCCACTCGTTATCCAGGAGCCTCATTCAGCAGAGCCTTTTTCAGTCTGAGAGAACAGAATCTGACAAGGTCAGTCACATTTAAAGTGTGAACCACTTAATGTGTTAATTATCCTTGAGGAATTTGCATTTTAATAGAAAATCTACTAAAAAGAACAATGCTTAACACAAAACATTGAATTTGTGATAAGTTGATCAGAGCCAGTATAAGGGAAAGTGTGTGTGTGTCTGTGTGTGCGTATGTGTGTGTGTGTGTGTGTGTGTGTGTGTGTGATTGTTACTGCAGAAGAGGTTTACTCTCTACTGGTTATTGAGGATAAACAATGTTGAATGATTGGGCTTAATTTACAGAGTGTCCTTTCTATTCAAGACCCACTTCAGAAACACACCAGACAGAAACAATGTCACAAGCTTTAAATAATATTAATACTAATAGTTAATATTTGTTAAGGACTTACTGTGCCAGGCATTGTCCTAATAAATCTATTAACTCATTTAATCTTCACGTAGGAAGTAGGAGCTATCATTTTCATACATGGAAATGGTGGGCCTGAAAGGCTAAGTAACTTACCCTAGGTCATGCAGTCAGTAACTGGTGGAGCTAGCAAATGTTGCATTTAGACTTTTAGAAGCATACAGTACTTTATATATCATTTAAGTAGAAGAGAACTGATATATTCTAGATAGAACAAGTAACTTGTTTAGGAGTACCATGTAAGTTGGTGGAAAAGCTAGATTTATAATGAACCTTGGTTTCCTGATTTTCAGTGTATCCCACATTCTCTGTTGCTTATGAATTTGGTATTTCCTCCTATTTCTCGTTTCTATGTTTCTCTTGTTTCAGAATGCAAAATTTGGTTTGTAAAGGTAGAAAATAAAGAAGTCAGATGTTGCAACTGCTACTAGTACAAGAGTAACTCTAATTACAAGAGTAACTAGCCAGAAAGCAATAGGAAGTGCCATGAGAAAGGTGTAATTTGTACAGGAGGGCTGAATTAACATGAAGATGGAGGATCCAGAAAACTTCCGTGAAGTAGAACTGGATGGTATTTGAGCCAGAGTACTACATAACCAGATCTCCCTTCACTTTAGGAATTCTAAGTGTAAAGTAGTATGTAGGATACAATAGAGCTGCTATAGAAGCAGAAAGTAAAGAGAATAGTTCTGAAGCTATTAGGGTAGCAAAGGTAGGAGCTGGTAGCCAGAAGAAAAGATGAAGTCAACAGTAGAGATTTTGGAGACCACTACATAGAAACAGATGGGATTCCCAAGGTGAGGGTTGGGGCCAGACTTAGGTAAGAAGCGAGAGAGAGAGAGAGCGCGAGAGAGAGAGTCAGAGCAAGAACATAATTGAACCTAGGAAAACAAGATACTGTACTATTTTTTATAATAAACTTAATAAGTTTCTAATGCTTTGCACTTTCATATGCATGATCCATGTATTCCTAGAACCTTTCTTCAATACAGTTTGCCTGAATTTTACAGGTGCAGCTAATAAGGGTCTCTGTGACACTGAAACCCCTCTTTACTCATTTCACTACTCAACACTACCAACTAGCTACTTTTTATATCGCAGCAACCTTTTTAAAACCTTTTCCTTAAATCTGACTCTCAGAGACTACAATTTAGCACAAAAACCCTTCAGTATGGATATTTGAGTGAGGGTATTAACCCAAGACAGAACAACTATGTATTATTCTCAGCCTAATCACAAGTAAGAGACAAAGCTTGGACTCAAACAAAAGCGATATAGGCTTTTTTTTTTTCACTTACAGATTTTAATGTAATACAGAGTTATTATCTCAGAGTTAAACATTTGAAGTTGGATTAGTCACACCTTCTCTGTCTCATCAAGATAAGTGGGCCCAGTGCCTATGGTATCTCTGCTAAGAAGCAACCACTTTGCATTTTACACAGTAGAATCAGAGCCAGCCTTCCACGAAAAATTAAAAAATGTTATTGACTGCACAGCCCCCTCCCCTTTTTTTTGATAGACTTCCTTTTAACCTTTGACAGAAGTAGGATTCAGAAGGTGGGTAATAACAAACTCCTCTGAGCTAAAGGAGCATGTTCTAACGCAATGCAAGGAAGCTAAGAATTTTGACAAAAGGTTAAAGGTATGGCTAACTAGAATAACCAATTTAGAATTAAGTGGAAACTATAGAGTTGAAAAATGCAATTGACATACTGAAGTATGAATCAGAGTCTCTTAATAGTGTAGTTGATCAAGCAGAAGAAAGAATTGGTGAGCATGAAGACAGCCTATTTTAAAATTCACAGTAAGAGGAGAAAAAAGAAGAAAGAATAAAAAACAATTAAGCATGCCTACCAGATCTAGAAAATAGCCTCAAATGGGCAAAGGTAAGAGTTATTGGCCTTGAAAAGGATGTAGAGAAAGAGATGAGGAAGAAAGATTTTTTAAAGGCATAATATCAGAGAACTTCTCAAATGTAAAGAAAGATATCAACATTCACGTTCCAGAAGGTTATTATAACACCAAACAGGTTTCACTCAAAAGATGACTATGTCAAGGCATTTAGTAATCAAACTCCCAAAGGTCAAGGATAAAGAAAGAATCCTAGAAGCAGCAAAAGAAAAGAAATGAGTAATATACAATGGAGCTCCAATATATGTGGCAGCAAAATTCTCAGTGGATACCTTACAGGTCAGCAGAGGGTGGCATGGTATATTTAAA
Source organism: Homo sapiens (assembly GCF_000001405.40). Lineage (NCBI taxonomy): Eukaryota > Metazoa > Chordata > Mammalia > Primates > Hominidae > Homo > Homo sapiens. Next base: position 93,814,699 of record NC_000023.11, read on the forward strand.
GTGCTGATGAAAAAATACTTTTACCCTAGAATAGTATATCAAGCAAAAATATCCTTTAAGTATGATAGAGAAATAAAGACCTTCCCAGACAAATAAAAGCTGAGGGATTTTATCAACACCAGATGTGTCCTACAAGAAATGCTAAAGGGAGTTTTTCAATCTCAAGGGAAAGGATGTTAATGAGCAATATGAAATCATCTGAAGGCACAAAACTCAGTGCTAATAGTAAGCACACAAAAAAACGCAGAATAGGTTAACACTGTAACTGTGGTGTATAAGTTACTCTTGACTTAAGTAGAAAGACTAAATGATGAACCAATAAAAATAATAAATACAATAACTTTTCAAGACAAAGATAGTACAGTAAAACATAAATAGGAAAAAAAAGTTTAAAAGTGGAGTGGAGTGGGGGGCAAAATTAATGTGTAGAGTTTTAATTAGATTTTTGGGTATGTGTTTATGCAATCAGTATTAAGTTGTCATCAGTTTAAAATAATGGATTATATATAGTATTTCCAAGCCTCATGGTTACCTCCAATCAAGAAACATACAATGGATGCAGAAAAAATAAAAATCAAGAAATTAAATTATACCACCAGATAAAACCACCTTCACTAAAAGGAAAGCAGCAAGGAAGGAAAGAAGGAAGAGAAGACCACAAAACAATAAGAAAGCAAATAACAACCTGGCAAGAGTAAGTCCTGACTTATCAACAATAACATTGAGTGTAAATGGGCTAAACTCTCCAATGAAAAGACATACAGAGGCTGAATGGATGAAAAAACAACATCCATTGACCTGTTGCCTACAGGAAAAGCACTTCACCTATAAAGATACACATTGGCTGAAAATAAAGGGATGTAAAATTATATTCCATGCCAATGGAAATGAAAGAAGAGTAGCAGTAGCTATACTTAGACAAAGTAGATTTCAAGACAAAAACTGTAAGAAGAGACAAAATAAATAAATAAATAAATATATATATATATATATATATAAAACGATAAAGTGGTCAATTCAGTTAGAGGATATGACAATATATGTGCATTCAACACTGGAGCACCAGATATATAAAGCAAATATAATAAGAGCTAAAGGGAAAGAACCCAATAACAATAATAGCTAGAAACTTTAACATCCCACTTTCAGCATTGGACAGATTTTCCAGACAGAAAATTAACAAGGAAGCATCAGAATTAATCTGCACTATAGAATAAATGGACCTAACAGATATTTACAGATCATTTCATCCAATGGCTGCAGAATACACATTTTTCTCCTCAGTGCATGAATCATTCCTAAAGATAGACCATATGTTAGGTCACAAAATAAGTCTTAAAATATTTTTTAAAAATGGAAATTATATAAAGCATCTCCTCTGACTGTAATGAAATAAAACTTGAAATTATTAGCAGGAGCAATTTTGGAAACTATACAAACACATTAAAATTAAACAATATGCTTCTGAATGACCAGGGGTTTAATGAATAAATAAGAAGGAAATTGAAAAATGTTTTGAAACAAATGGTAATGGAAACACAACATTCCAAAAACAATGGAATACAGGGAAAGCAGTACTAAGAGGGAAATTTATAACTATAATTGTTTATATCAGAAAAGAAGAAAAACTTCAAATAAATAACCTAGTAATGTCTCTTAAAAAACTAGAAAAGCAAGAACAAACCAAACCAAAAATTATTTCAAGAAAATAAATAATAATGATCAGAGCAGAAATAAATTAATTTGAAATGAAAAAGCAATAAAAAAAATCAATGAAACAAAAAGTTGGCTTTTTTAAAAAGATAAGCCAAATTGACAAAACTTTAACTAGATTAAAAAAAACTAAATCTATGAGATAAGACCCAAATAAAATCAGAGATGAAAAAGGAGGCATTACAAATGGGTCTGAAGAAATTCCAAAGATCATTATTGGCTACTATGAGCAAGTATATGTGGTGGGGAGATGGTTTCAGGATGAAATTATTCCACCTCAGATCATCAGGCATTAGATTCTCATAAGGTGCATGCAACCTAGATTCCTCACACAGCACAGTTCACAATAGGGATTGTGCTCCTATGAGAATCTAATGCTGCTGCTGATCTGACAGGAGGTGGAGCTCAGGCAATAATGCTAACTTGCCTACTGCTCACCTCCTGCTGTGTTGCCTGGTTCCCATCAGGCCACCGACTGATACCAATCCATGGCCCAGGGTTTAGGGAGCCCTGAGCTAGATGAAACAGATACAATCCTAGAAATGTACAACCCACAAGATTGAACCATAAATAAATCCAAAACCTGAACAGGTCAATAACAAGGAACAGGATAAAAGCTGTAATAAAAATACCTCAGTAAAGAAAAGCCTGAGAACCGATGACTTCACTGCTGAACTCAACCAAACATTCAAGGTAGAATTAGTATCAATACTATAAAAACTGTTCCAAAAAATAGAGTATGGAATACTTCCAAACTCATTCTATGAGGCCAGTATTACCGTGTTACCAAAACGAGACAAAGACACATCAAAAAAGAAAAACTACAGACAAATATCTCTGATGAATATTGATGCAAAAATCTTCAACAAAATACAGCAAGACGAATTCAACAATACATTAGAAAGACCATTCCTCATGACCAAGTGGGATTTATCCCTTGGATGCAAGGATAGTTCAATATATGCAAGTCAATCAATGTGATACATCCTATCAAGAAAATAAAGAACAATAACTATATCATCATTTTAATTGATGTTAAAAAAGCATTTAATAAAGTTTAAATATCCCATTATGATAAAAACCCCAAAATAACTACAGATGGAAGGAACAGACCTCAACATAATAAAAGCCATATATGACAGACTGACAGCTAGTATATTGAATGGGAAAAAATGGAAATCCTTTCTTCCTATATATGGAACATGGCAAGGATGCCCACTTCCTCTACTGTTATTCAACATGGTACTAAATTTTCTAGCTAGATAAATTAGACCAGAGAAAGATACAGAGATCCAATGGTAAAGGAAGTCAAGTTATTCTTGTTTGCAGATGATATGATATTTTTTATTTTTAGCATCCCAAAGATTCCACCAAAAAACTCTTAGAACTGATATATTCAGTAAAGTTGCACAATATGTAATCAACATACAAAAATTCTGTAGCATTTCTATGTGCCAACAATGAAAAATCTGAAGATAAAATTTAAAAATGAATCCCATTTACAATAGCCACAAATAAATTTCAATATCTAGGAATTAACTTAACCAAAGATGTTAAAGATCTCAAACAATGAAGACTCTGAAATGCTGATGAAAGAAATTGAAGAGGATACAAAAAGATGGAAAGATATTTCATGTTCATGTATTGGAAGAATCAATAATGTTAAAATGTCCATACTAACCAAAGTAATCTATGGATTCAAAGCAATTCCTATCAAAATACCAATAACATTCTTCACATAACTATAAAAAGCAATCCTGTAACTTATATGAAATCACAAAAGACCCAAAATAGACAATGCTATTCTGAGCAAAAAGAACAAAATTGGAGGAATTACATTACCTGACTTCAAATTAAACTACAGAATGATAGTAATCAAAACAGCATGGTACTGGCATAAAAATCAGACACGTAGACCAATAAAACAGAATAGAGAACCCAGAAACAAATGTACACACCTAGAATGAACTCATTTTCAACAAAGGTGCCAAGAACATACTTTGGAGAAAAGATAATCTCTTCAATAAATGAGTCTGGGAAAACTGGATGTTCATATTCAGAATAATGAAATTTGACCACTATGTCTTGCCTTAGACAAAAATTAAATCAAATTGGAATAAAGACTCCAAACTAAATTGAATTCATCAAACTATAAAACTACTACAATAAAACATCAGGGAAACTCTCCAGGATATTGGTGTGGCCAAAAATTTATTGAGCAATATCACACAAGCACAGGGAACCAAAGAAAAAGTAGACAAATCTGATCACATCAAGTAAAAATGCTTCTTCACAGCAAAGGAAACAATCAACAAAGTGAAGAGACAACCCACAGAATGGGAGGAAATATTTGCAAACTTCCCATCTGACAAGGGATTAATAACCATAATATATAAGGAGGACAGATAACTCTGTAGGAAGAAAATCTAATAATCTGATGGAAAAATGTGCTAAATATTTGAATAAATATTTCTCAAAAGAAGACATAAAAATGTCAGTCATATGGAAAGGTGCTTAACATCATTGATCATCAGATAAATGCACATTGAAAGCAAAATGAGATGTCATCTCACCACAGTTAAAATAGCTCTGTGCAAATGTCAGGCAATAAATGCTGGTGATGATGAGGAGAAAAGGGAACCCTTGTACACTGTTGTTGGAAATTTAAATTAGTGCAATCACTGTGGAGAAGGGTTTGGAGATGTCTCAAAATGCTAAAAATAAAGCTACCACATGATCCCACAATCCCACTGCTGGGTATATTCCCAAAAGAAAAGAAATCAGTACATGAGGGAGATATCTTTACTCCCATGTTTATTCTAGCACTCTTCACAATAGCTAAGATTTGGAAGCAACCTAAGTGTCCATCAACAGATAAATGGATACAAAAATTTTTAGTACGCATACTCAATGGAGTCCCATTCAGCAATAAAAAGGAATGAGATACAGTGGTTTGCAATAACATGGATGGAACTGAAAATTATTATGTTAAGTGAAATAAGCCAGAAAGACAAATATCACATGTTCTTACTCATTTGTGTGATCTAAAAATCAAAATAATTGAACTAAAAGATAGAGAGCAAAAGAATAGTTACCAGAGTCTGGAAAGGGTAGTGTGCGGTTGGGGGCCAATGGGGATGGTTAATGGGTACAAAAAATACTTAGAAAGAATGAATAAGACCTAGCATTTGATATCACAACAGTAGCACTATAGTCAATAATAATTTAATTGTACATTTAAAATAATTAAAAAAGTGTATTTGGATTGTTTGTAACACAAAGGATAAATGGTTGAGGTGATGGAGGTAAGACTTTCCATGATGTGATTGTTACTCTTTGCATGCCTCTACCAAAATGTCTCATGTGCTTCATAAATATATACACCTACTGTTTCCCAAAAATAATTAAAAAAAAAACACTGTAGTTGTTCTTATGCATCACAAGAAGAGTCAGTCTAAGGTCACCTTGATGTGTTAAATATGAATTAGCTGTCCTTCCAGTGCCTTCTAGTATTCATTTGTGGTTGGATGTGTCATGGGGGACAAAAGAAAGGTGGCAAATAGTTTCACACCAGGATCAAAATTGATATGGCATTGATGAGATGATTGTACTCTGCATTTATTACATGTGAATATATTTACTAAACTCTTGCCTCTGTCCTGAAAAGCAATGACTACTGGGAAAATTTTTGCATTCTTTCAGTAGGTGAGTGTGGCGATTAATCAGTGTTGCTAATGCAATTCTAAAACCTTCTTTGAAAGACTTGTAATTTTTTTTTCTATGCAGCCAGTATCTAATCAATCAGTGAGTCCATGATGAGTCATGAAACACATTTGTTGACTAATAAAGTCTTGTGTTCTGTGCCAATGAATTTAGCTGTGCCACCACTGTTTCAATAGCCAGCCATGAGATATTACTCTGAAACGTGGAATTTATTATTGGAAAGAGACAATATCAATCTAATTATCCTGCTGCCTTTCAGCAGGTGCATCTTGCTATTCGGCAAGCATATCCAACTGTATTGATTCCAAGCGTATATCCATCTTAGCCTTAAACTCATTTACACTGCCTACTCTGAATGTAATATGTACTGTGATGTTCCCAACACCAATATCTTTCTTGGAGATGGCACATTTCCTGAACTTAAGTGTAGCCTGCATTTTTCCTTGCATGACATCCAGACCTGTCCTTTCCATATTGTCTAAAAAATGAATAGTCACTTGTTCAGGTACTAGATATTTTTGTTAATTTGATATTTGTAAAGGGGGGAAGGTTAACTCAAAGAAAGAAAGCACTGAATGTTCTGACAGAAAGCTATAAATGAAAGAGCTATTTGAATTCAGGGTTTTGATGGCAATAATTATATTTAGTAAGAACTAATCACTTTCAGATTTTCAAAAAAACCAAATGGATGCTTTCCAAAAATAGCTGATTGCTTATAAAAGTATAAATATTTTCCCCGTATATGAGAAGACCAATTGTGGGTTTTGCCTCCTTTATAAATTGGTTAAATTAACAGTCTTACTTACATCATGAGGAAGTAGATGAATGGTTTAACCTCTACCACCAAGAAGATTTAGTTGCAATTTCAAGTGATAGGATGTTATTACATCTGGCATTCATAAATTTAACTTTTAAAAATGGGATTTTAAAGGAATGTACAGAAGCAAAATTATGCTAATCATAATCTCATCTCCTTTTAGAAGCTGCAGAGGTCATGCAATATCTTACAGTGACTCTGGAGCATCATTTTGCACTCCAGTGATTATTGTGGCAGGTAATTGAGAGCTTTTTAAAAAATCCTTTTTGCTTCTGCTATGCAGTTAATTTCACTATTTTTGGCTGACACTGTATTTAGCAAACCAGTTTGGTATTAGACTAATGTGAAAAACTTGATGGGTTAGTTATCTTGAAACTGCAAAAGGACAGACTCTAATTTTCACGTTATTTGCCTCTCTTAGAGTTGTAGTAGATTAATCACGGAGAAACAGGTTTTCCACAAACACCTAGCAATTGGCAAGCAATATTATTTTCTATCACAAAATTTGCTTTGAGCGTTTTACATCTAGGGATTATACTGGGGGATTAACATAAGGGCCCCACTGGTATGGTGCCTAGAAGCCATGAGTTCAACGAGTATTAGTGAAATTGTTTAGTGAATTGAAATGTCTGATAAGACACACAAAGAGACATGATGAGTTATTTCTGCGTGACTGTATTTACACAGCTTCCAAATCCAGCCCTAATTGTCCACCTGTGCTTCTTTCCTGTATTTGCATTTTCTAGCAGTATTTTGTCATGCAGATTGCCTACCATCACTTCAAATAAAGAACAGTGAAGGAGCCCATTATTGTTCTCCAAAACCAGCAGCTATCAAAAGTGTGCTGTCCTCTTGATTGCACAGATTTCTTGTTTTTTATAGGTTGAAAATCTTGGAGTTGTCATTTAACATTAGACTTTATTATCCATTTTGATTCTCCTGAACCACCCTCCATGCCTCAACATTTATCGTTTTCTATCCTATATTGCCAGCTGAATCCCTATTCATTTATTCATGGCTCAGTTCATACTTCACCTCTTTTGAGAGTCTTTTCTTGTCTTCTCAATGCTCATTCTCAGTCATATGTCTCTTCTTTATTCTCCCATAGTATCTTGAGCATATCCAGATTACAGTTTTGTGATCATTGTGGTATCCCAGCAGTGATTCTGTTATATAGTAGTTACTCAATAAATGCTTGTTAAATGATGAAATGTGTTAGCCTTTTATCTTTAACTACATTATAAGGCCAGGAAAGCCTTATTCTCTTTAGTATTTCCCATAGTACTGGGTACACAATATATGCTTACTAAATATGTAAGGCCATTTTTAAGGCCATAACTGTAATGCTGCCATTGACTAGAATCAAGACTCCTGTATAATATATACAATGATGAGTCTTAAAATATTACTCAGTGGAAATACTAATCTTAGTGGGAGAATAGACGTTTGGTGGCCAGTGTTTCTCTTTATATTGTCAAGAATGTATAGTGAGTAGGTTATAGTGGAAAACTGAAACCACCGTTTAAGTAATTGTTCTCTTTATTGTGAGATAAAAGTCATATCCCCTGCTTTCTGTGGAGAAGAGCCTAAATGTTGAATGGCTGGATCTACAAAAAACGATTGTGTTAAAATTTGTAACAGATAATGTATAAAATGCCAGAAAGGCAATTCATCCTGCATACTTTTAGAACATCTTGCATTGTGTACATCTACCGAATCACTGTTAAGAATACTGTGCATGAAAATTGTTACAGTTCGTTATCAGCATTATTGCTTTGGGGCAACAAATATATACACATTTTCATCATTCAGTCAGTTCCAATAAGAATCTCAGACATTTTCAATCTTAGAACAATTTTGCTTGGTGTTGTCCAATACAGGATGTTTGCATATGACATTTTGTTTCAATTGTTCATGAAGAAAGTGACTCTTTATGCTGTGATTATTGAACTGATATTGTTGGTATCCAGTCCTCCAAGAAATAAACCATGATAAAAGTAATCTTAGATTTATTAAGATGGTTTAAAATGGCAGCCAGAGGTTCAATGTTGAATAAATATTATATAACCAGGTCAATCCAATGATGTATGCTGCATTCTTTTATGTGAAAACAAAGTACTAAGTATAAAGTGATGAAAAGAAGTTATATTCAGTATTCTTCTAGGAAAATTAGTGAACTTCATAAAAAAATGGATCAGCAATTGACCATGAGATGAAGTATTTCGCTACCTGTTGTACTGCCAGGGAAATAGTCCTTTTTATCAAAAGGCAAATGAAGACAATGCAGGCATAAACTCCCTCTGGCTCCCAGAGTTGTACCCTTCATTTTTGTAACATAGAATTAGCTTATGTTCATACGTTTTCTGATGGGCAGAATACATAAATAAACTATAAATATTTCTTGAGCTTCAATGCAAAGGGCAAGACCTGTGTGTATGCTTAAATAAAAAATTTTTTGAATGATTTTTACATGCATGTTTTGATATTTTCTAATCTTTTTTTTTTTTTTTTTTTTTTTTTTTTTTTGAGACGGAGTCTCGCTCTGTCGCCCAGGCTGGAGTGCAGTGGCGGGATCTCGGCTCACTGCAAGCTCCGCCTCCCGGGTTCACGTCATTCTCCTGCCTCAGCCTCCCAAGTAGCTGGGACTACAGGCGCGCGCCACTACGCCCGGCTAATTTTTTGTATTTTTAGTAGAGACGGGGTTTCACCGTTTTAGCCGGGATGGTCTCGATCTCCTGACCTCGTGATCCGCCCGCCTCGGCCTCCCAAAGTGCTGGGATTACAGGCGTGAGCCACCGCGCCCGGCTGATATTTTCTAATCTTAAATAACAGTTTTTAAAATAACTGAAAAAATATCTTTTGGGACTTTAACTTTTTTCACTCCATTTTAGTTCTATTTCTAAAGCCATGATTTTTAAAGCCTGTATTTTCGTGTACTCTCATATTAGACTAGTGCCACTGCCACCATAGATAAATGAGTTGACCTTGTTGATTCTCCTGCCTGTCTCAGGGTATTGAAAGCCCAGCTGAGTGCAATTACAAGCAATATTACTACCTTGGCAGGAGCTGTCAGAACTCACACTGGTGGTTGGATGCTGGATATGTGTATGCTGAATGACATTCGCAGAAACAGAGGATATTTCCAATCATCTTTAAAGAAGGGAGACAGTCATAAACATCTAATAGCCTTTGTTTCCATGAAATGTACGAACAGTTCAAACAAAGCATATTTTATATAGTATATATGTGTGTGTGTATGCTTCAAATAAAGTATATTTTATATATATACACATATACGTGTGTATTTGTGTATGTGTATATATATACCCACACATAATCATGTGTCAGTCATATAGTCACATTTTGGTCAGTGACAGACCACATATATGACAGTGGTCCCATACATTATCGTGGAGCTGAAACATTCCTATTGCCTAGTGACATAACCCTTATCATAACATCATAGCACAACACATTAATAACATGTTTATGGTGATGCTGGTGTAAATAAACCAGCACTGTCAGTTGTACAAAAGTATAGCACAAACTATTATGTACAGTGTAAAATACTTGATAGTGATAATAAATAAATACGTTATTGGTTTATATATTTACTATGCCATACTTGTAATGTTATTTTAAAGTATACTTCTTATTGAAAAATTAAAAGTTAACTGTAAATCAGCTTCAGGCAGGTCCTTCAGGAGGTATTCCAGAAGACATTGTTATCATAGGAGGTGATAGTTCCATTTGTGATATTGCCCCTGAAGAATTTTTAGTGGAACAAGATTTGGAGAGGGAAGACAGTAATATTGATGATCCTGTCCCTGTGTAGGCCTAGGCTCATGTGTGTGTTTGTGTCTCAGTTTTAAACAAAAAAGCTTAAAAAGTAAAAAACAAAAATTTAAAAGTAGAAAAAAAGCATATAGAATAAGGATACAGAAATATAAAGTATTTTGTACAGCTGTGCAATGTGTGTGCTTTAAGTGTTATTGCAAAAGAGTAAAAAACAAAAAAATTATAGTAAGCAAAGATTAGTTTGTTATGGAAGAAAGAATTTTTAAAATAAATTTAGTACAGCCTAAGTCTAAGGTTTTATAAAGTCTGCAGGAGTGTACAGTAATGTCCTAGGCCTTTACACATTTGTTAATTCCAAAAGAACTATATATTTGCTTGATTTCACTCACTAGTCACTCACTGACTCACCCAGAGCAACTTCCAGTCTTGCCAGATCCATTCATGGTAAGTGCCCTATACAGATGTACCATTTTTAATATATTTTAAAAATATTTTATATTTTTAATATATTTGAGATGTTTTTAGTGGTACATGTCTATAGTCCCAGCTACTTAGGAGGCTGAGGTGGGAGTATCCTTTGAGCCTGGGAGGTCAAGGTTGCAGTGAGCTATGATTGTGCCACTGCACCCCAGTCTGGGCAACAGAGCAAAACCCTGTCTCATAAAATAAAACTAAATAATATAATAAAAATAGAGCCATTCCACTCTTAGGTTTTTATCCCAAATCAATAAAAGTGTATGTCCATACAAACACTTGTACATGAATATTCATACAGCTTTTTTTTTGTAATCCAAAAACTAAAAACATCTCACCAAATATAGGACATCAGTACCTGAGAGGTTAATATCTGAGGCTGAATGGTAACTTGGATCAGCAAGGCAATTTATTGGTAGTTTCAGGTAGACAAGTTAATCTAAAAGTATAAATGAGTTGAGTCCTTATTTCTAATTAGGGAGTGGGGATATGCAACTCTTTCCAAAGATGCTGTTGAGCCATTCCCTGGTGGGGTTTTCTTGTGAAGAAGCTATACTGCATGATCATAGCACAGCCTCCATCTGGACATATGACATATCATATGTTCATTATGATGTGGAAGAATACATAGTAACCTCACCCACTTTGGGAAATATATAAGTAGGAGTATGTACAAATTCTTTTTACCTAGAGTCACGTTTCATAAATATGACACAAAAATGATAACATAAAAATGGTTCTTCTAGAGTCATTTTTTAGTTAACTGCTTCAGGGATATTTGTATTATCCTCACTATAAAAGATATTCTTCATTTTTTTTCAAATGTTAATAAACATCATACTACTTGCTAAACAAAGTCTTCTTTTACGTATGGTAAATAATCTAAATTTTATTTGCCAATCCTGTGGTTTCCTTGTATTCAAACATCCATTTGGACTTCTTCTGGAATTGTTAAATGCACATGTATTAAACATATAATTTGACACTCTTGACGTATAGTCAGTGATGAAACCACCAGCAAAATCAACATAATGAATACATCTAACCACCAAAAAAAGTTTACATTTAGTAACCCTTTGTCATCCTTCTACCCTAACTTTCACAGGTAACCACTGACCTGCTTTCTGTCATTACAGAATAGTTTGCATTTTCTAGAGTTTAAAATCAATGGAATCATGAAGTATTTACTCCTTGTATCTTTCTTCTTTCAGTAAGCATAATTATTTGAAGTTCATTCATGTTGTAACCTGCATCTACAGTTCTTTCATTTTTATTGCTGAGTTATTCCATTATATTGTACAGTATTCCAACCTGTACTTCATACCTTTTTATATATTCTCTGGAAATTTGAGATGTTTTTAGTTTTTGGATTACAAAAAAAAAAAAAGCTATGTGAATATTCATGTACAAGTCTTTGTATGGACATACACTTTTATTGATTTGGGATAAAAACCTAAGAGCGGAATGGCTCTATTTTTATTATACTATTTAGTTTTATTTCATGAGGCAGGGTTTTGCTCTGTTGCCCAGACTGGGGTGCAGTGGCACAATCATAGCTCCCTGCAACCTTGACCTTCCAGGCTCAAAAGATGCTCCCACCTCAGCCTCCTAAGTAGCTGGGACTATAGACATGTACCACCATGCCAGTTTTTCTATTTTGTTTTTGTTTTTTTGTAGAGATGGAGAGGTCTCACTATGTTGCCCAGGCTAGTCTCAAACACCTGGGTTCAATCGATCCTCCCACGTAGGCCTCCCAAAATCCTGGGATTACAGGATTGAGCAACGTTTCCTGGCTACTTTTTAAAGATATGTAAAGCCACTTGGTCTTGTACCATTACTGAAAAGACTACCCTTTCTCCACTGAAAGGGCTCTGCATTGTGTCAAAATTAAGTTGTTCACACATGCGGAGGTCTATATCTGTACTATTCTGCTCCACATATCTAGTTTTATATCAATAGAACAATGTCTTGATTATAGTAGCTTTATAACTCTTGAAATAAGACAGTGTTTTTGCTCCAATTTTGTTATTTTTCAAAGTTATTTTAGCTATTATGGGTTCTTTGTATTTCCATATGAATTTCAGAATCAGTTTGTCATTTTCTACAAAAATTCATCTGGGATTTTAATTGGAATTTTGTTGAATCTGTGGTACCATTCAGGAAGAATATTAACAATATTAAGTATTGTTAACAGTATATCATTAATTTAACAGTCTTAATAATACTGAGTCTTTCAACCCACACACACAGTATACTTCCCTGTTTATTAAGAATTTCTTTCTTTTTTTAAAAAATATGTCAAAGCATGTTTATTAAAGTACTAATGAGACCAAAGCCATACTGACTAAAAACAATTTTTCATTTAAACCTTTTTTTGTATAAATTTATGGAGTACATGTAAAATTTTGTTACCTGTATATAATGCATAGTGATCCAGTCAGAATATTTATGGTGTCCGTCAACCAAGTGAAACCATTTTTGTTAGTTATTGTCATCCTATTCTACTATCAAACATTGAATTTATTCCTTCTGTCTAACCATATGTTTGTATCCTTTAATCCACTTCTCTTCATTCTCCCTTCTCCCCAAAACTCACCCTTTCCAGTCTCTGTTATCTATCTTTCCACTTTCTACATCCATGTGATCAAATATTTTAGCTCCCACATATAAGTGACAACATATGATATTTGACTTTTTGTGCCTGGCTTATTTCACCTAAGATAATGGCCTCCAGTTCCATCCATATTGCTGAAAATTACATGGTTTCAGATATGTGTTGACGTTTTCAGCATACCAGTTTTTCATGTCTATTGTTTTATTGTTTTCTATTTCATTAATTTCCAAGCTGATCTTAAGTTGTTTTTCTTATATTTACTTTAGAATTAATTCATTCTACTTATTCTAGTATCTTAAGGTAGAAGTGAGGTACTTGATTGGAAAACTTTCTTCTTTTCTAATATAGGCATTTGGTGTTATAATCCTCCCCTCTAAGTACGGACTTAGTGGCATTTCACAAATATTGGTATGTTGTATTCATTTTAATTTATTCCACAATGCTCCTTAGTGTAAATGTAATTTCAACCTTTGCTCATGGGTAATTTAGAAGCATGGTACATTGTGATACTTGAATTCAGGATTTTCCAGATAATTTTTTTTATTGATTTCTAACTTAATTTCACTGTCATCAGAGAGCATAATTTATATGACTTAAATCAATTCAAATTCATTGAGACTTGTTTTATCACCCAGAATATGGTGTATCTTGGTCACCGTCCATGTGGATTTGAAAATAATGTGTATTTCGCTATTTTTGGCTGAAGTATTCCATAAATATTGACAGCATCAAACTGATTTATTGTATTGTTCATCTACTATATCCTTGCTGATTTTCTGTCTACTTTTTCTACCAATTATAAAGAGATAAGTATTGAAATCTCTGACTGTAGTCATGGATTTGTCTATTTCTCTTTGGTTTTCTATCAGTTTTTTGCTTTATCCATTTTGGTACTTATTGTTAGGCACATACAAGTTTAGTTTGTTATTACTCTTTGATGGATTGATGACTATAATATTATGAAGTAACCTTCCTTATACTTGGTAATATCCTTTGCTCTGAAATCTGTGGCTGATATTAATATAGCCACTTCATCTGTTTTAATGAATGTTAATATAACTTTTTCTTAAATCACTTGTGGATTGAACTGTGTCTCCACAAAAAGGTAGGTTGAATTCCCAACCCCCAAAACCTCAGAGTATGACCTTATTTGAAAATAGGGGCCAGGCATGGTGGCTTATGCCTGTCATCTCAGCAGTTTGGGAAGCCAAGGCGTGAGGATTGCTTGAAGCCAGAAGCTTGAGACCAGACTGGAAAACATAGCAAGACCCCTATCTCTAAAAAAAAATAGCCAGGCTGAGTGGTGCATACCTGTAATCCTAGTTACTTGGAAGGCAGAGATAGGAGTAGGGCTTGAGCCCAGGAGTTCAGTGTTATGGTGAGCTATGATCATGCCACTGCACTTGAACCTGGGTGACAGAGCAAGACCTCATATCTAAAAACAAAAAAAGAAAAAAGAAAACAGGATCTTTATAGTGTTAAAATGAGGTCGTTATGGTGGGCCCTGATCCAATATAACTGGTGGCAAAAATCACAATTACTTTTGCACCAACCTAATATAATCATATGGCCTTTTTAAATGCCATTTAGGGGACAAATCATATAATTGAATTAAGTCTTCCACATTTTAATATACACATGTATTCAGCTTGGTAGGAATGCCTGGGAGCAAATGTCCTATATTTCAGAAAGATCAGTCTGTCCTTGAACCTGTCCTTGGCAGAACTGAAAAAGTAAAATTATGTTTTCCTCTCTGGTCATTGTCATTATAGCAATCTCTCCATCCTTTATTCTTCCCACTGCCGTATGTGAAAGGAGGTAGTTCTTTATCTATGTGATAAAATTTCAAAAGCAATTGGAAGTCCTAAATAGGGGTAGGTGTAGTTGGGAAGCATTGGACAGTTGGTCAATGAGGGAGAATTCAAAAATAAAGTGACGGGAATGGGGCAGAAGGCAAATTTGATTTGATTTTAAAGTTAACTATAATGTACTCTTGCCCATTCTATCATATGATTTAGAAACTGGTTAGCATTGAACTAATCGTAGACTTGAGTTGCTTAATAATAGAATTAAATATGTGCAAAGTGCTTTTTATCTTAAAAAAATTTGCATTAGTTATTTAAACTTTTCTGAGTTTGAATATTAAAAGATTGAACCAGTTATCTTTTTGTTTTTCATTGGTTGCAATGGCTAGATTCAAAGCAAAATTCTAAGACATTTGAGAAACACTGTCCTTGCAGGGCCTCTGGAATGGGATAAACTATTAGTTGTTAGAATCTGGTTGGATATGAGGGACAAAACCAGAAGCTTCTGTACATGATTTCCAGGCTCATCTAAAGACTTCAAATTTTTTTTCAAAATGGTGGGCAACATTTAGCTTTTCATAGTAGAAGTCATTATTTTATGACCTTTCAAAGGAGTACTATTTTTAAGGCTTATTCTGGCACTAAAAATATATAACAAAGCAGATAATGAGTGCCAACAATATAAAACCTTGAAATCTAGAAAAGCAGTAAAACTAAGTTTTGAGTTTTCAGCTGTCAAGAATATATAACGTCTGAAGCAAAAATATTGACAATTATCTTGGCAGCAATCTGTCACAGGTATATATAAACATTAGTCTACTCTTTCAAAATTCAAAAATGCCATTTCTGTGTAGCAGTTAAGGAAATCACTAATTAATTGTATGCACACGTACACTCACTCACATATACATAGGGATCTCTTTTAATCCGTTATCTTGAGTTTGTTGTTTCATTTCACATGTATTTTTGCAATCTGGAAGAGTTTATAGATACACAATATATTACTTTAAATTATGATGTTAGTAATAAACTTTAGCAACTCTTAAATTAGCCTGTGTTACTTCCATTGCTAAGGCATAAAGACAAGCCCATGGAGAAGTTAGAAAATACATAAGGCTAAGTGAATTTAAAGTCAGAAAATAAATGCTTTATTTATTTTCTTTAAAAAAAAGCTATCTGATGGAATTTGCAGGATGTGTTATTTAGGACAAGATTTGACAAGGGACAATAGGTTTTCACTGAACTTAAAATATTTCTTTTTGAGTAGGTCACTGGTTGGTGTAATGCTATTTTTATGTAGGGGCTGTTGAGCTACATTCTCACATTTTCTGAGGCAAAAGGAGTCATTTAGTGCGTTGAAGTATGGATACGTCATTCCAATGGCCTGAAAGATTCCTGCACTTTTTGAAAACAGTTTAGTCTGTGAAACTACCCACACGATTAACATCCACAGTACAATGCTGTACTACATGTTTTGTAGATATTATTTTCTTTAATCCTAGTGAAAACCTTTAGAAGTACAATTGATTCTCGTTATTCAGAGTAGTTGTGTTCTGTAAAGTTAATACAAACACTGAAATTAGTGAATACAGAACTATTGTTCCAATGCAGAATACAGGGTCAGATTCCTGCAAACCTCAGGTCACAACATTTTCATCAGCTGATCAATACATAACATTATTTATTTGTGTTTTTGTTAAAATACGCTTTATTTCATACATATTGTTAATTCATTAACATTGAACTCATGGCCAATAGCACTGTAACTCAGGCCTGAATGAAGCTTTTTAACAGAGGTATTTTCTCTCTAAGATACATTACAGCCTTCTTTTGCTTAGGGACACTAGACATCACTTCATCACTAAGCTTGGGGGACATTTTAAAGTAGTGAAATAACCAACAGAAAATACAAAATGTGGAAAATGTGGCAGTAAATAGACTACAAAAAGGACACCTTTTTACATGATGACAGCTAATACAAGAAGGCAGACTGTTGCCTCATTGAACCATAGCTTAGGACATGTTGGCAGTTGAGTCAAATTTTCTTCCACTCTGCATATGTTGATAAATGACTGTGAAAGCACTGTGAGTATTGATTATGCAGTTGCAAATATATTTTAGTGAGGTGTGCACATACTGAATGTGTGAATAATGAGGATCAACTGTAGATATAAATGATTTCCATGGAAATGCAAAGACAGAAAGGATGAATAACTCAGTTCTATCATGACGTAGACCAAGACACAAATTTAGCATTTTAGATTTTAATGACAAGGAAGAATTCAACTTAAAGTGTTTGGCAGTGCCACAGAACTATGCATGGTATTATATATAAATGCCACAAACTCCCATACCACCTTTAAGTTTCTTTTGAATAGTTCAGTGTTTAAATAATTTATTCCCTGAGTATGATCTGTCATTGTAAAAAGAATGACTAATCTTTTCTCAAAGGGTAGTACAATTTTAATTCTTTGATATGAGATTAAACACTAAGGGTTTAGTGAAAATTTTACACTTCAACTTTGTAAAGGACATATTATTTTTGATACATTAATATTATATTGGATAATTTCACAGTTCTTGTGCACTTACAAGATTACCTTTATAATATTTTCTTCTTCTACTTTTTTTTTTTAATTGCTGACACAGGGTCTACCTCTGCCACCCAGGCTAGAGTGCAGTGGGATGATCATAGCTCACTCTAACTTCAAACTCCTGGACTCATGCCATCTTCTCTCCTCAGTCTCCCGAGTAGCTTGGAGTACAGACATGCACCACCAAACCCAGCAAATTAAAAAAAAAAAATTGTAGAGATGGGGTGTTGCTATGTTGCCTTGATTAGTCTCAAACTCCTGACAGCAAGCGATACTTCCACTCTGGCCTCCCAAATTGCTGGGATTACAGTCATAAGCCACTGTGACTGGCTGTTTATACTATTTTCCTAATAAATTAAATGTCTATATCACACTCAATGAAAAAAAAGCTTTCTTACTTTATCTTAATCTAATATTATACATATCTGTCAAAGGCACCATTCTATGTGCTTTGACCCTTAGCAAATGTGATGTTACTAACATAATACCTATATATTTGTATTTTGTGTAGAAATAGGTTTGTTTTTATCATTTACTTATCATAAGTAACATGCAGTAAAAATATAGTTATACCAATTAAACTCAGCACATGTAAAGTTTTTAAATTTCCGTAAGAGGGAATCTATGAAAATCCTCAAACACTGCCCTAGCTGTTGTTCTAGATTAGTCTTTTGTAAAGAAATGTTAATAAGTCATAAAATAGATGAAACTGTATTTTAACAATTTTTGTGCCCCATCTTGACCTATCGTGGATGCGACAATAAGAGAAATACTCAGAAGTGGGAAACCAGGTAGAAGATTATTAAGGCTTTATAATTATTAATCTGAATAAACCTATCTTGAATAATTTAGGAATGAACTGAATAATTTAAATTGAACTGCATTTTTCTACTTAGAGTACCATTATCAGTGACAATTTATATTAGAGTTTGCACTTCAGTGCTTTTAAAATCATTTTCAATCTACCCAAACATCATTTCCCTGAACTAACCATGAATGCTGTCACAGTAAATTTGAAAACATTTCTTAAAAGACTGGCTTCTTTGCTGTTGTGTTATGTATAATTTGCATTTGGCAATCACTACCTGCTCATCATTAATATATTATATCATAAAAAAGAATGACCATGACTTACCCTATTTTTTTCTGTATGTTTCAAATCTCATTTGTTTTATGAGACATTGTATTATCAGAATCAGAAACTATGGGGTCTGGGAGGGGACTTTTTACATAGATTAATCATCTTCAGCCAAATCCACAGCTGCATTAGTGTAGGACTTGTTTAAGAGGGGCTGGCTCATTAATAAACCACCCAAAGGGCTGATGCCTATAACTTTCTTCTTCAACTTTGAGCAAATAGAAGAAACCTATGACAACACTACTTGAAGAATGGCCCTCAGTAAAATAAATAATTCAATAAATGACTTTGACATTGACATTGCACTACAGAATTTTTTTAGCACTTTCCTGAGTTTTTCTTGGTATCTTATTATTTTTTCCTACTTTGGGAATTTATGACAGTCAATTCTATAATCTTGTCCAAAGACTGAGAAATTCTATGTGACTACAAACAGACAAATTAATTCAATGTAATGATGCAGAGAAAGATGTGAATGAGGATAGGAGAGATTATTCATTCAAGACCTTATGTTTCTGAAATCTCCTCATTCCACTCTTTTTCCTCACCCCTTGCCCACCTCAGTGCAATCATAAAGATACGCATACTAAACAGAATTACCCGATTTCACAGTCTAATATAAAAGGAAATACTCACATAGACATGGTCAGATTCTTATTCCTTGTACCATAGACTGAATTTTCCATCTTACAGTGCAGTGTTTCTCAACCCTTTTATTCATTATCTCCTCCCTGAAAAGGCTATTTACATACTTTCTGTAATTGTTTCACCATGCACCATGAATTTTTAATACCACAGATGTACTATATATCTTTTTTATCATATATACTGTGGCCATTTAGAGGGTCACAAACCATTGTACTATCAAATATTTTTGCCCCTCAAGAATCAATTATTGCCCCCTTTGAGGAGATAGTGCCCCTGTTGAAAATGTACGTTACAGTGTTTTTCATGCCTTAATCACTGTGATAAAGCCTTGCACTTTGTAGTTACAGACCCCCTGATACCAGTTTAAGATTTCTGGTTCCTAGGTTCCTATGCTGCTCTTATTAAGTATCATTAACCCTCTCTTACCAATTTGAAGCATTACCCAAACCACCACAATTATGCACAATTCTAGTGTACATGTACTTGCCATGAGTGCACATTCAAACATTTTGATGACTTACAATTGTTTATATTGGAAGCAGAAAATACTGCAAAATAAATATATTTGCTGGAAAATGTTGATAAACAGCTGGATGTTTTTTGAAGTTCTAATTTATGTTCTCATATAGCCATGGTTATCACATGAGCTCATTATGAGCATGAACTATTGTCTTTGTGCCCCCATTAAATTATTTTTAGAAAACTACCAAGCAAAATAATCTGATTGGTATAATAACCAATCAGATTTCATGTTTGTTTTCTATTACAAACAGTAGAGTGTTTCTCTCTCTGTTGAGACAAAGTAGCTTAAAAGGTTACAAAATGACATTCATGTTGAATATTCATTATGTTAGTTCAAATGTAATACTCAACCAGAAAGCAATACTTGAAACCAAGTAGAATCCAAGCTTTGTAATTGCTCCCAGGAAAGCAATGCCTTAGAGATGACTAAGAATATTAATACTAAAGAATGAAAGCTGGAAATGACAGTTTGTGGAATTCTAATTAAATCTTATGTAAATGTATCTGGATCCATGTTTTACACTGTTTAGATGTATATGTGAAGGGGAAACGATGTGCTAGATACTACATTTTCATTTAGACTAGTAACTCTTATAATAAAGTCAAAGCTCAACAGACGAGTAAAAATTCGTACCTGGGCTATAGCAAGTTTTTTGTTTTATTTTACTCTAACAAATTCTGAGTTCTTGTGAAAGGTGTTTTAAAGAATTAATCTAAAATATTTTTATCTAGTAAAACAGTCAGTACACAGCTTTCAAGTGTTGTTTTGAAGAATAACTATTTCATTAAATTATCTGGAGTTTTAAGATGAAATAACATAAAATCACATTTTCTCTTTGGGTGAATTATTCAAATCTGTCATATCATGAGAATGATTTTTACTTTTTAAAAACCCTTAGTACATCATTCAAATATCCAACATTTAGGCAATTACTCATCATATTTAAAACTTTATGTTATATTGACATGGTTTTGTCATTTGATTAATTAATGACAAAATCAAGAAAGTATATAAGTATATTTTGTCATTAGGTTCATTCTGAAGACAATCGGATTTGTCATTTTATCTTGTAATTTAAAAAACAGATAATTACCTACTGAAAATATGTATAGGCTTGTACTTATTTAGATATATATGCATTTGTATTTTTATTGAGAAATAAAGTGTCATTACAATACCTGCACATATATCAAGTATATAATTAAATACGTTTAACACATGTATAACTATGAAACTATAACCACAATCAAGATAGTAAATATATTCATGACTTCTCAAAACGTTTCTGGGTGCTACTTTGTAATCTTTCCTTCCTGTCTCTTCACCCCTCATGCCTGGGTAACTACTGACCTGCTTTCTGACATTTTAGCTTGGCATTCACGTTCTAGAGTTCCATACACATGGAATCATGTAGTATGTACTTTTTCTTGCCTTCGTTCATTCAGCAAAATGAATTTGAGATTCTTTCGTGTTATTCTATGTCTCAATAATTTATTACTTTTTATTGCTGAGTAGTATTCTATTATGGGGCTGTAACAAAATGTATTTCTCTATTGACCTGATAGTGGACCTAAAGGTAGTTTCCAGTCATTACGCTACTACAAATAAAACTGAGTAAATGTTTACAAGTATTTGTATGAGCATGTATATTTTTTTCTGTTGGATAAATACCTAGCTGTGGAATGGCTAATTGTATGGTAGGTGAGTCATTAACTCTTTACAAAACTGACAAATTGTTTTTCAAAGTGGTTATGTCATTTTAAATTTTCAGCAGCGTTGGAGAGATTGTCATCAACACTTGGTATGGTAAGTTGGTGTATTAGAGTTCTTTAGAGAAACAGAGGCAATGGGATATATGAGAGGGGATTTATGAGAGAATTGTCTCACAGGATCACACAGGCAAAGAAGTCCCACCCCATGATAGGGCATCTGCAAGCTGGAGAACTAGAAAAGCTGACAGTGTGGCTCAGTGCAGTTACAAAAGCCACAGAGCCAGGGAAGTCTGACAGTACAAACCCTAGCCTGAGGCTGAAGGCCCAAGAGCCCCCAGGAGGCCACCGGTGCCAAGTCTCAGAGTCCAAAAGCCAAAGAACCTAGAGTCATATGTCCAAGGCAGGAGAGAAAAATGTATCCCATTCCAAAAGGGAATGAGAAAGCAGAGAAAGAGAATCCCCCTTCTTCTGATTGTTTTTCCCAACAGGGCCCACAGCCTATTTGATTGTACCTTCTCACATTGGGGGTGTGTCTACTCACACACCAATCAACCTTGGAAACAGCCTCACAAAGACAGAGACAGTGCTTCACCGGCCATCCAGGCATGCCTCAATTCAGTCAAGTTGACACTTAAAATTAACCACCATGGTTGGTCAGTCTTTTTAATATTAGGCATTCTAATATGTGTGTATCTCATTTTAGTATTAATTTGCATTTTCCTAGTAAAGAATTATGTTGAGTATTTTTTTAACTTTTAGTTTCAGAGATACATGTTCAAGTTGGTTGTATAGATAAGTTACATGTCACAGGGGATTAGTGTACAGATTATTTTGTCACCCAGATAATAAGCATAGTATTGATGGGTAGTTTTTTGATCCTCACCCTCCTCCCACCCTCCACACCCTCCACCCTCAAGTAGGCCACAGTGATATTGCTCCCTTCTTTGTGTCCATGTGTTACTCAATGTTTAGTTCCCACTTATAAGTGAGAATCTGCTATATTTTGTTGTTTTAGTGAGTTAATTTGCTTAGGATAATGGCCTCTAGCTCAATCCATGTTGCAAAAAAGGATATCATCTCCTTTTTATGGCCATGTAGTATTCCATGGTGTATACGTACCACATTGAAAAATAATTATCATTATTTTATTTTATTTTGATTTATTTTTTTTTGTTTTTATTTGAATAGCTTTTGGGGTGCAAGTGGATTTTTTGTTACGTGAATGAATTATACAGTGATGAATCCTGAGATTTTAGTGCACTTGTCACCCAAGTAGTGTACATTGCACCTGAATATAGGTTTTTATCCCTAGCCCCTCTCCCCCTTCTCTAAAATCCATTATATCACTCAGTATGCCTTTGTGTACTCACAGCTTAGCTCCCCGTTATAAGTGAGAATGTATGGTTTTTGGTTTTTCACTCCTGTGTTACTTCACTTAGAATAATGGCCTCCAGCTCCATCCAATTTGCTGCGAAAAACATTATTTTGCTCCTGTTTATGGCTCAGTAGTATTTCATGGTGTATATATACCACATTTTCTTTATCCACTCATTAGTCAATGGGCATTTAGGTTGGTTCCACATCTTTGTAACTGTGAATTGTACCGCTATAAACATACATGTGCAAGTGTCTTTTTCATACAATAACTTCTTTTCCTTTGGGTAGATACCCAGAAGTGGGCTTGCTGGATCAAATAGTACCTCTACTTTTAGCTCGTTTAGGAATCTCCATACGGTTTTCCATAGAGGTTGTACTAGTTTACATTCCCACCAGCAGTGTATAAGCATTCCCTTTTCCCAACATTTATGCCAACATCTATCATCTATTGTTTTTTGACTTTTTGATAATGGCCATTCTTGAAGGAGTACGGTGGTATCTCATTGTGGTTTTAGTTTGCATTTCCCTGATTATTAGTTATACTGAGAACTTTTTCATGTTTGTTGGCCATTTGCATATATGTTTTTAGAAATGTCTATTCATGTCCCTTGCACCTTTTTTTTTTTTTTTTTTGAGACAGAGTCTCTGTAGCCCAGGCTGGAGTGCAGTGGCATGATCTTGGCTCACTGCAAGTTCCGCCTCCCGGGTTCATGCCATTCTCCTGTCTCAGCCTCCCGAGTAGCTGGGACTACAGGCACCCACCACCAAGCCCGGCTAATTTTTTGTATTTTTATTAGAGATGGGGTTTCACCATTTTAGCCAGGATGGTCTCGATCTCCTGACCCCGTGATCTGCCCACCTCGGCCTCCCAAAGTGCTGGAATTACAGGCGGGAGCCACCGAGCCTGGCCCCTTTGCCCACATTTTAATAGGATTATTGCTTTATTTCTTGTTGATTTGTCTGATTTCCTCATAGATTCCAGATACTAGGCCTTTGCCAGATGCATAGTTTGCAAATATTTTATCCCATTCTATGGGTTGTCTACTCTGATTATTTCTTTTGCTGTGCAGAAGCTTTTTAGTTTAATTAGCTCCTATTTATTCATTTTTGTTTTTGTTGCATTTGCCTTTGGGGTCTTAACCATGAATTATTTGCCTATGTCAATATCTAGAAAAGTTTTTCCCACGTTGACTTCTAGAATTTTTATGGTTTCAGGTCTTATATTTAAGTCTTTGATCCATCTTGAGCTTATTTTTGTATAAGGTGAGAGATAGGGATCCAGTTCATTCTTCCACATGTGGCTTGCCAGTTTTTCATTTAATAAATAGAGTGTCCATTCCCCAATTTACGTTTCTGTATGCGTTGTTGGAGGCCAGTTTGCTGTACATATCTGGCTTTGTTTCTGGGTTTTCTATTCTGTTCCATTAGACTATGTGCCTACTTTTATGAAAGTACCATGCTATTTTGGTAACTATAGTCTTGTAGTATAATTTCAAGTCCAGTAATGTGATGCCTCCAGATTTGCTTTTCTTGTTTAGGATTGTGGTGATAGTTAATATTGAGTGTCAACTTGATTGGACAGAAGGATGCAAATTATTGTTCCTGGGTGTGTCTGTGAGGGTGTAGCCAAAGGAGATTAACATTTGAGTCAGTGGACTGGAAAAGGCAGACCCACCCTCAATCTAGGTGGGCACAATCTAATCAGCTGCCCCGACGCCAGAATAAAAGCAGGCAGAAAAATATGAAAAGACTAGACTGATTTAGTCTTCTGGCCTACATCTTTCTCCCGTGCTGGATGCTTCCTGCCCTTGAACATCAGACTCCAAGTTCTTCAGGTTTTGAACTCTTAGACTTACACCAGTGGTTTGCCAGGGGCTTTCAGGACTTTGGCCACAGACAGAAGGCTGCACTCTTGGCTTCCCTCTTTTTGAGGCTTTTGGACTCAGAAGCCAATACTGGCTTCTTTCTTTCCCAGCCTGCAGATGGCCTATTGTGGGACTTTACCTTGTGATTGTGGGAGTCAATTCTCCTTAATAAACTCCCCTTCATATATATATATATATATATACACATATGTGTGTGTGTGTGTTTGTGTGTTTGTGTGTATGTGTGTGTGTGTATATATATACACACATACATATACATATATATATATATATGAAAGGGAGTTCTAGACATAGTTCTAGAAGTCCTAGCCAGAGTAATCAAGCAAGAGAAAGAAAGAAAAGGCATCCAAATTGGAACATATATACATATATATATGTATATCCTATTTGTTCTGTCCCTCTAGAGAGCCCTGACTAATACTGCTTGCTTTGGCTATTCAGACTCTTTTTTGATTCCATATGAATTTTCAGATTGTTTTTCTATTTCTGTGAGAAAAGATATTGGTATTTTGATGGGAATTGCATTGACCCTGCAGATTGCTTTGGGCAGTGTGGTCGTTTTCACAATATTGATTCTTCCAAACCATGAATATAGGATATGTTTCCATTTGTGTCACCTATGATTTTTTTCAGCAGTGTTTTGTAGTTCTTCTTGTAGAGACCTTTCACCTCCTTGGTTTAGTATATTCCTAGGTATTTAATATTTTTTGTACCTGTTGTAAATGAGATTGCATTCTTGATTTGTTTCTCAGCTTAGTTGGTGGTGGTTTATAGCAGTGCTACTGATTTATGTACATGGATTTGTAACCTGAGACTTTACTGTATTTGTTTATCAAATTTAGGAGTCTTTTGGAAGAATCTAGGATTTTCTAAGTATACGATCATATAATCTGCAAACAGGGATACTTTGACTCCCTCTTTTCCAATTTGGATGCCTTTTATTTCTTTCTCTTGCTTGATTACTCTGGCTAGGACTTCTAGAACTATGTTGAATAGTATTGGTGAAAGTGGTTATTTTTTACTTGTTTCTGTTCTCAGGGGTTTGCTTTCAACGTTTCCCCATTCAATATGTTGTTTTCTGTGACTTTGTCGTATACAGCTTCTATTAGTTTGAGGTAAGTCCCTTATACGCCTAGTTTGTTTACAGTTTTTACCCTAAATGGATGCTTGATTTTGTTGAATGCTTTCTCTGCATTTTTTGGGATGATCATATCATTTTTGTTTTTAATTTTGTTTATGTGATGTGTCACATTCCATGTCTTTGCTACTGGGAATAGTGTTGCTATGCACATTCAAGAGCATGTGTCTTTTTGTAGAATGATTTTTCTTTCTTTTGGGTGTACACTCCATAATGGGATTGCTGGGTCAAATGATAGCTCTGTTTTAAGTTCTTTGAGAAATATCCAGATTGCTTTCCACAATAGCTGAACTAATTTACATTCCTATCAGCAGAGTATAAGTACTCTTTTTTTCCTCCACAGCCTCATCAGCATCTGTTGTTTTTTGACTTTTTAATAATAGTGTTTCTGACTGATGTGAGATGCCATTTCATTGTGTTTTTTATTTACATTTCTCTGATAATTAGTGATGCTGAGCATATTTTCATATGTTTGTTTGTCACTTGTATGTCTTCTTCTGAGAAGTGTTTGTTCATGTCCTTTGCCCATTTTTAAGTGGGGTTATTTGGTTTTTGCATGTTGATTTGTTTAACTTTACTATAGATTCTGGATATTATGCCTTTGTCTGATGCATAGTTTGCAAATACTTTCTCCCATTCTGTGAATGTCTGTTTGCTCGGTTTTTGTTTTGTTTTGTTTTATCTGCAGAAGCTCTTTAGTTTAATTACATTCCATTTGTCTATTTTTGCTTTTGATGCAATCGCTTTTGGGAATGTAGCCATAAATTATTTGCCAAGATCTATGTCAGGAACAGTATTTCCTAGGTTGTCTTTGTGAATCTGTATACTTTGAGGCCTTATATTTAAATCTTTAATGTGTTTTGAGTTAATGTTTTGTATGTAGTGAAAGATGGGGTAAAGCTTAAATCTTCTGCATATGGCTAGCCAGTTATCACAGCATTATTTATTTAATAGGGAGTCCTTTCCTCATTGCTTGTTTTGGTCAGACTTACCGAAGATCAGGTGGTTGTAGGTGTCTGGCTTTATTTCCGAGTTTTTATTCTGTTCCATTGGTCTATGTGCCTTTTCTTATACCAGTACCAAGCTGTTTTGGTTATTGTGGCTTTATAGCATAGTTTGAAATCAGGTTTCTGTGATGTCTTTGGCTTTGTTCTTTTTGCTTAGTTCTAATTGCTTTTGCTATTTAGGCTATTTTTTGATTCCATATAAACTTTAGAATATTTTTTTTTCTAATTCTCTGAAGAATGCCATTAGAAGTGTGATAAGAATAGCATTAAATCTGTAAATTGCTTTGGGCAGTATGGCCATTTTTATGATATTGATTCTTCCAATCTATAAGCATATAAGCATGGAATACTTTTCCATTTATTTGTGTCATCTCTGATTTCTTTCAGTGGTGTTTTTTTACTTCTCTTGTAGAGATCTTTCACCTCTTTGGTTATCTGTATCTCTAGGTATTTTATTTTCTTTGTTACTATTATAAGAAATAATGAATAAGACCTAGTATTTACTGGCACAACAGGGTAAGCATATTCAAAAATAATATAATTGTACATTTTTAAATAACTGAAGGTTATTTAAATACTAGATTAGTTAATTAAATAACTAAAGGTTATTTATATTACTAAAGGTTATTTGAGATCATGTTCTTGATTACACTCTCAACTTGGATGCTGTTGGCGTACAGAAATGCTGCTGATTTTTGTTCATTGATTTTGTATTCTGAAAGATTCCTATAGTAATTTATTAATACGAGGAGCCTCTTGGCAGAGTCTTTAGGGTTTTCTAACTATAGAATCATATTGTGAGTAAATAAGGGATAATTTGACTATTTTATTTTTCCTATTTGGGTGCCTTTTATTTCTTTGTCTTGCCTAATTACTGTGGCTAGGACTTCTAGTACTATTCTGAATAGGAGTGGTGGGTTTGGGCATCCTTGTCTTGTTCCAGGAACTACTATGAACAACTCTAGGCACACGTATTAGAAAATCTGGAAGATATGCAAATTCCTGGAAAAGCACTGTCTCCCAAGATTGAATCAGGAAGAGATCGATACCCTTAATAGACCAATATTAACTTCTGAAATTGAGTCAGTAATACATTTAAAAAAACTACCAACCAAAAAAATCTCCCGGACCAGAGGGATTCACAGCCAAATTCTATCAGACATGCAAAGAAGAGCTTATATCAATCCAACTGCAACTATTTGAAAAAAATCAAAGAGGAGAGGGCTCTTTCCTAACTCATTATATGAAGCCTGCATCTGTCTGATACCATAACCTGGCAGACAAAATGAAAAAACAAAATTTAAGACCAAAATACTTGATGAATATAGATGCAAAAATCCTCAACAAAATACTAGCCAACTAATTCCAGCAGCACATCAAAAAGTTAATATACCATGATCAAGTTGGCTTTATTCCTGGGAGGCAAGGTTGGTGCAATGTATCAAAATAAAGAAATGTGATTCACTTCATAAACACACTCAAAAGCAAAAACCGTACAATCATCTCAATTGCTGTAGAGAATCTTTGATAAAATCCAACATCCCTTTATGATAAAAATGTTCAACAAACTAGGAATGACAGGAACATACCTCAAAATACTAAGAGCCTTCTGTGACAAGTCCACAGCTAACATCATGCTGAGTGGGTACAAGCCCTCAAACATTCCCCTTGTTAATTCTTCAGTGAAGTCCAGAATAATATACAAAATATAAACGTCCCTGATACCTTATGGTCATTAAAATAATTATTGTCAGATATAGGTTAAGTATGTGAATGACCACTGGAGAATATGCATTTAAAAGATTTATATGTTATAAAAATATTTTAAGTCTCTTGGAATTGTCCCACATTTGTCAGTTTTACATTACATTCCACATTGGAATGACTTATTTTAATCAGAATTCGATGGATGAAGCACAGTACTGAGGTATTAAATGTTAATGATATGACTACTCTGTTTTATTGTTTTAGTTGAAAAATGAATTGACTTAACATAAAATAATTTAATTAAAGTTGTGTAAGATCCCCGATGCATGTTCTTTCTTTATTGCCCTTGCATGACTAAACTGAGCATAGCTCTTACTATATATGTTGTATTAATATCTGCTAAATTGATCTAAGATGAGATTTCAGATGATTCATGAAGAAGGGACTGAAAGTTGGAGAGTTCTTGTATCTCCCCATCAAGACCCTCAAAGTGAAAATAAAACACAATTCCATGAAGATAATACAGAAACAAATTTTCTGTATGCAAGCTTAGAATTTTAAAAATTGTAGAGAAAACATAAGCAGGCTGCCCCTTATATTTCTGATAAGTGAAGGATGCTGTGTGCACAACAAACTGTACCGTGGTTTAGTAATTTGAGAGGTATGAATAATATTAATTTTCAAAGGACAAAAAGTCAGGCTTGACAAAAATAACTTGATTATAGATGGATGTTTAAGATGGAGACTATCTTGCAAAATGCAGCTCATACAGTATAAAGAATGCCAAATAAATTTCTTAGTCTGATTGTTTATAACAATTAGCACTGCAGAATGAGAAATGTGCATGTTGCTCCCTTACGTATAAAGGTGAAAAGGTCATTCAAAGGGTCAAGGTTTTAAACAAAAGTTAAACCACAATCTATGAATTTTAAAAAATCACATTAACTAATGTTCAGTATTCAGTAAATTGTTGAGAAAAGTAACTTGGGCACCTCATTCCCATAGAAATCTTCATATCCCTTCCCATTTCCCTAGTAGCCAGCACTCTGCTCCTGAGCATCTCATCCAAACCATTGTTTCTGGGCCTCCTTGCCTCAGCCCCCGATACCTTTGGGTTCCTTTTTTGATGGCCTCTACCTTCACTTAAGGATACCAATAAGGTTCTAATTCTGCAATTGCAGCCTGCTTGGACCAGGAAATAAAGCTGCTCAATCTGCTGAAGTAGGGCTGTCAGAGTGCCTCCAAGCACATGCCTGCTTATTTTATTTAATTAAAAAAATCTACAAATGCAAGCTAAACGTTTGATACACATGGCCATAAAAATGGGAAAAATAGACAATAGGGAATGCAAATGGGAAAAGGTAAGTGTTGAAGAAACTATGGGGTATTTTGCCCACTACCTGGATGTTGGATTCATTTATACTCCAAACCTCAGCATATATACCTATATATATGCACAACATACCTATGTAACAAATTTACACATGTACCCACAATTGTAAAATAAAAGCTGAGGAAAAGAAAATGACAAGATGATTCTAAATCACACGCAAATGTAAGTAACCTACAATAGAAACAACTTTGCAAAACAACAAAGTTGTTGGAATAACATAACCTGATTTCAAGTGCTATTATGATTGTGCCACTGGCACTCCAGCCTGGACAACAGACCGAGATATTGTCTGTAAAAATAAAATTTAAAAAAGAGTCATTATAAAGATAAATTAATCAAATATGCTTTATCTGTTATTAATATAGCTACTCTCGTTCTCTTTTGATTTGTGTTAGCATGGTGCATCTACTACCCTTCTTTTACTTTTAACCAATTTGTGTCTTTTATTTTTAAATTGGGTTTCCTGTAGACAGTATCTAATGGATCTTCTGTTTTTTATCTGAACTGACAATCCCTGACTTTTATTTGCGGTGTGTAGATCATTTTTATTTAATACATTTATTTATATGGATTGGTTTAAAACTCCCTTCTTACTATTTGTTTTCTATCTTATTGCTAGTTCTTTATTAAAACTTTCCACTTTTCCTGTTTCCTGTTTATTTTTTTTTATGATTCTGTTTTATGCTGTTATTTTGGCTTATCAAATATAATGGTTTGTTTTGTTATTTTCTTGGTTTCTATAAAGTTAAAGTATACTTATTTAACTTATCACAGTCAAATTTCAAGTGATATCATATCATTGCAGGTATATTTTTACTTTATAATGGTATTCTTGCACACCTCCTCCTGATATCCATACTATTTTTGTCATATGTTTTACTTTTACTTGCGTTATAAACCTCATACTACATTGCTATTAGTTTTCTTTAACCTAATATTATCTTTTGAAGAAACCTAAATATTAGGAAAAATGTTGTATATTCACCCATGTGGTTACTAATTCCAGTGCTCTTCATTTTTATACATAGATCCATACTTTCCTGTAGTATTATTTTCCTCCTGCACAAAGTCCTCCCTTTCAGTTGTTTTTTTTTTTTTTGATATGGATCTGGAGGTGATGAATTCTTTCACACTTTTCATACCTTAAAAAGTGCTTATTTCACTTTCATTTTTGAAAGATATTTTGTCTAGATATAGAAGTCTTTGTTGACAGTGCTTTTATTTTAGTACTTTAATAATCTTGCTCCAAAACCTTTATGTTTTTGTCATTTTCAACAAGAAATTTGCCTTTGTCCTTCCGTTTTCTTCCTTTCTGGATGGAATATTTTGCTTGTTGCTCACTGATTTGAACATATTCTCTTTACTACTAGTTTTGAGCAATGTAATTATTATTTGTCATGTAGTTTTCTTCATGTTTTATGTGCTTCGGTTTCATTGAATTTCTTAGAACTGAGGGTTCCTATTTGTAAAGAGCTGAACTTTTATTTCAAAAATTTTATATTAAATCCTAAATGCCCAGTACCTCGGGACATGACTGTATTTGTTTTTAGAGCCGTTAAATGAGGTGACTACATTAAAACTAGGCTGATAGGGTAGGATTTAATCCAATCTGGCTGAAATTCTTATAAGAAGTGAAAATTTGGATTCACAAAGAGACTGAATGAATGTGTGCACACAGAGGAAAGGCCATATGAAAACAGTTAGAAGGTGGTCATCTGGAAGCCAAGGAGACAGACCAGAAAAACCAAGCCTACTAACACTTTCATCTTTAACTTCTAGCCTCTAGAATTTTCATAAAATAAATCTCTGTTGTTTAAACCACCTAGCCTGTTGTATTTTTATTATTGGCAGACCTAGAAAACTAATAGAATACTTATAATCAATTTTGGAGAACTTTCAGTTATTATGTTTTCAAATATTTTTCTTCTGCCCTTATTTATCTCCTTTCTTTCAAGCACTCTAATTACATGTGTATAAGTGAACTTCGTGTTGTCCTATGGCTCACAGATACTCTATTTTTCAAAACTCACTTTTCTTTTTGTGTTAAATCTTGGATAATTTTTATTGCTATATTTACTAAGTCACTAATCTTTCTTCTGCAGTGTCTAATCGATTAATTCTATCAGTATGTTTCATCTCACACGTGGTAATTTCTTTTATTCATGTTTTAATGAATTTATTTACTTTGCATTTGTATATATACATAATATTTTATATATTTATGGGGTACATGTGAGTATTTGTCACATGCATAGATTGTGTAATGATTAAGTCAAGGTATTTGGTGTATATATTGCCTTATGTATTTACCATATCTACTGGGAAACTTTCAAGTCTTCTTTTCTAGCTACTTTAAAATATATAATATATTGTTGCTATCTATAGTTGCCCTACTCTGCTATTAAACATTAGAATTCATTTCTTGTATATAACTGTATGTGTGTGCCCATTAGCCAACCTCTCTTCATGCCTCCCTCCTATTCACACACCCTTCACTTTTCTCAGTCTCTGGTATCTATTATTTTCTTCTTTTCCTCCATGACATCAACTATTTTAGGTCCCACATATGAGTGAGAACGTGTAGTATTTCACTTTCTGTGCCTGGCTCATTTGACTTAACATAATGACCTCCAGTTCCATCTATGTTGCTGTAAATGACATGATTTTATTCTTTCTTGTGGACGAATAGTATTCTATTGTGCATATATACCACACTTTATTTATTCATCCGTTGATCATCACTTAGGTTGATTCCATATCTTTGCTATTTTGAATAGTGCTGCAATAAACATGTAAGTATGAGTATTCCTTTGATATACTAACTTCTCTACCTTTGGATAGATACCTAGTAGTAGGATTGCTGGATCAAAGAGTACTTCTATTTTTAGTTATTTGCTTATTTGTTTTTATTCTTTTGTCTTTATTTTTGTTTGACTAGGTTATTTCAAAAGATTTGTCTTCAAATCTGGGATTCTTTCTTCTCCTTGATCTAGTCTATTGTCAAAACTTTTAAATATATGTTGTATCTTATTCAATGAATTATTTAGTTTTGGAATTTCTGTTTAGATTTTTTTAATTTTTAAGAACTTTTATTTTTTTATATAGATTTAGGGAGTACAAGTGCAGATGTTTTACATTCATATACTATGTAGTGGTGAAGTCTGGGCTTTTAATGTTCCCATCACCCAAACAGTGAACACTGCACCCAATAGGTAATTTTTCAACCCTCACCACCCATCCAAGGTTCTACTTCTGGTTCTTTTTTTAATGATATCTATTTCTTTGTTAAATTTCTTATTCATATTCTAAATTATTTTTCTGATTTCTTCGTATTGTTTTCCAGTCTTCTTTGTACCTCATTTAACTTATTTAAAAACAATATTTTAAATTCTTTTTATGGGAATTCATAAATTTGTGTTTTACTGGGGTCTGTTGCTGGAGAATTACTGTGCTCTTTTGGAGGTATCATACTTCCTTGCTTTTTCATGTTCCCTGTGTCCTTACATTGTTATCTGTGCATCTGGCATAACAGCTGCTTCTTCCAGTTTTTTGAGTTTGCATTCATAAGGGAAGATTTTTTTTCCTGAAGATATATCTATTGCATTGATTGGGTAGAACACTTTGGCTTTGATTCTGGGTGCATACAGTAGAGTAGTCTCTGTGTAATTTCTGTGACTCTACATAGCATTAGTGCTATCTGTGATTTCCTTAGTGGCTGAGGGCATGGTTATTAGTGGTGGCTCTTGTGAAGTATTCCTGGGGACCGAGATGCCAGGCGGGCCTGTCTTGGATTCCTGTGGTTGCAGTGGTGGGCTGAATGTGCCTATCTTTAGACCATAGAGAGGGGTACCCTAGCATTGTTGTTAGCAGGTCCAGGCTTGAATCCCATTGTTCTTGGGCCTCTAAGTGGCTTGCACAGATGCCAGTAGTGGCAGTGGTAGGCTAGGTGAATGGGCAGGTTTTGGGGCCTCTGAGTAACCAACATGTCAGGGCTGATAGCAGTGGCAATGGTAGAATGACCCTCTGGGTCATAAGCAGCATACACTGGTGTTGGCAGTGACTGCAATAAGCTGGAATGGCAAGTTTCCAGGCTCGCAGGTGGTGCATCCAGGCAGGTGCCAGCTTTGGCTGTAGCAACAGGATAGGTAGGCCCTACCTCAGGCCTCTAGGAGAAGTGCTCATGTGCCATTGGTGATGAACTAGGCTGGGAAATTCCCAGGGCCCTGGACTATGTGCTCTGGGATTGGGGGTACGGGTAAAGCTAGATTGGGCAGACTGTCTTCAGGCCACTGGTGGTATTTTCAGGTGCCTGCTATGGTAGGCAAGGTTCGGGGCAATCCCAAGACTCCTGGCAGAATATGGTAACAGTCACATTATGGCCCTGGCACGTGGGAGGGTGGGGCCACATTCAGTAGCAGCAACCTAGGCTGGAAGGTAAGGATTATAAGCTTTCCTTTTGCCTCAGTCCTTGTGGCAGCGGCTTGCACCTTGCTCATGCCTCATCCCCTGCAGTGGTGACCTGAACCTTGCTCATGCCTTAGCCCTATCACTGCTGGGCCCCAGGACCTTGCAATCAGTTGTGAGCTAGGCTTTCAAAATGGCACCATGTTGTAGTTTCTTAGGACTTGTGGGAGGGAGTGGTAGAGCAGTAGCACTGTGCAATTTCTCAGCAACACCCTATGTTAGTTTCAAGGCCCATCTGGTTCTAGGGACTCTCCTGTAGTTAAAAAGGCAGGAGCCCATGGTGAAAATGTGAACCACTGAGAAATCTCTTCTTTACCCTTTCTATTCATTGGGGAGTTTCTCCTGGATACCAGTCAATTCTGACTAAGCAGGCTACATCACTTTCCTCTCCTTCCTTGCTTTAGGTATTTCCTGTTACTTTTCTGTTGAATACCAGTTTTCTCTCTTGGGTGATGTATTTGAAGTGTAATTATTTACCCCCTATTTTCTTTTTTCTTAGTGAAGGTGGTGAGTATGAGATGCATCTAGTCATCCATCTCGAAGCCCCTTCTTTATTTTATATATTTTTAAATTTTTTGAGATGAGATCTCGCTATGTTGTCCAGACTAATCTCAAGCTCCTGGGGTCAGGCAATCCTTCTGTCTCTGCCTTTCAAGTAGCTGAGACTACAGGCAAGTGCCACCACACCCACTCACACTATAGTTTCTTTTTGTATCTTTCTAACATAAACACACATGCATTTGAATGTTCATCACAGCACTATTCACAGTAGCAAAGACATGGAATCAACCTAGATGTCCATCAATAGTAGATTGGATAAAGAAAACGTAGTATATTTATACCATGGAATACTATGAAGCTATAATAAAGAATGAGATCGTGTCCTTTGCAGCAACATGGATGGAGCTGGAGGCCATTATCCTAAGAGAATTAACGTAGGGACAAAAAACCAAATACAACATGCTCTCACTTATAAGTGGGAGCTAAACATTGAGTACACATGGACACAAAGAAGAAAATAATGGACACTGGGGGCCTATTGGAGGGTGGAGGGTGGGGGGATGAAGAAGATTGAAAAACTACATATCAGGTATTATGCTGACTACCTGGGTGACAAAGTTATCTGTACACCAAAACCCCACAACACGCAATTTACCCATGTAACAAACCTGCATGTGTACTCCTTGAACCTAAAATATAAATTGAAAAGAATAGTGAATTGAAATATAAATTAGGTCTGTTTAGAAAAAATGTTATGAAAGTTTTAAAATAGCAAAAAAACACTTTCAGCATATTAAATCTAATGTAATGTAATGGTAATAAACCATTACCTTGGTTTAAATCAATTTTAATTATGAAGAATATTTTCTTTTGCACATAATTATCTATATACATTATATATGCATGCTTTTCAAAATGAAATCTATTGAAACAGCAATATTTTAACAAATTTAAAGTACTTTTCATATTTCTAACTTATTGAAGCTCCTTTAAAGATAGTTAATTAAGAAGTACAGTCTAATTTTTAAGTATAGTTGTGATATCAACAATACTAAGAAAAAAGCCATCTAAATTCTTAAAGATTGTATTACCTATGAATCTTCACTATGTCTGTAGTGATGTGATTATTGCTGAATTGGATGTGACTGAGGAACTTTACCCATTTTTGTTTCTGCACTGGATTATGATGGCCCATTGAGTAAAAGAACTAGTACTGTTTCATTCCTGCCATTCTTTGGCCTATGGAAAAACTGAGTTTTGTGAAAAGCCAATCATACCAAAGCAATTAAATTTCTATCCACAAGTGACAGCCACATAGACAAATGAGAATGAGTGATTCCACCTACTTAAATTCTATTCAGCACAATATTTTTATTCAACACCTAGAAAAGTATGTTATAATATATTGGTGTTTAGGGGATAGCTTACCTTTAAACAGGCAAATAAGATAGAACAATGACATAGCATCTTTACTGGAATTAAGAGATGGGCTTTTACATGTATTGTTATCACCTGGGTCCCCTCTTCAGATGCAATCATACCGGAAAGATCCAGGAAATGTATTTTAAGTTGTTACTTTATTTGCTTTTTCTTTGTTTCCGTCTTTAAATATATCCCTTGGTTGGTCCCATAGGTTGCCAGTACTTAGGCAGAATGTGTACAAACAGCTTCAGCTCCACCACTGAATACAGCTCAGGATCTAGTGGTCCAGTAAGAAGTTAGGACACCTATGTGCTTTCCAAACTTCCACTGCCTTTCCAATCCCCTGAATGTTTTAGCTGCCACCTAGTACCTGGGATACAGAGACCATGAGGATTATGCTTAGTTATTTGTGTGGTTCCTAAACTTCAGCACTTTTATTCCACTCTTATTTTTACCCACTTTATAATGCTACATACCTTCATACTACAATCAATCAATTCTACTCAGCTACTTACAATTCTACTCCCCTCTTATGCCTTGGGCTTTTTCTTCAGCCAGTCAGGAGGCCCAATTAAACTACCAACTTCTACTAACTCTCCTGAAATTAGATTCTGTCCACAGGCCATGGGCCTTTGTCTGAATTACAAATATCTCCCAAAGCTTAGACAGGATTACCCTTTTGGTATGATATCTTGTCCCCAAAGAACAGAAGTAGCCTGTACAGGGATGAAGAGTAAACATGATCTATGAACACAAGAAGACAGACTTCGTTTTGCCAAGCCAACTCAGATAACAGTA
Organism: Homo sapiens; assembly: GCF_000001405.40. Classification (NCBI taxonomy): domain Eukaryota; kingdom Metazoa; phylum Chordata; class Mammalia; order Primates; family Hominidae; genus Homo; species Homo sapiens. The sequence continues at coordinate 93,851,951 of NC_000023.11, forward strand.
ATAGCACTGTTATCCACTATTAATAATTACTAAAATGCTACTTAAATAAACCAAGATTTCCTTTAGAAACTGCCGTAGCATAAATGTATGTTAGTCAGCTTTATAATATACATTAGCTATTTTCAATAAAAATAATATATTGTTACTTTTTTATGATTTTGACACTGTTGAGTATTTACTATGTGCCTGGAATATTGCTAAGTGTTTTAAGTGACTTGACTCATTTGAGCTTTACAATAATTCTTTCTGATAAATACAGTTATGTTAATGAAACCAAATCACAGAAAAGAATCAAACAGCTAGTAAATAGTACACCCAAGATAACAATCCAGATGGCCTAGTTCTAGAGCACATTTTCTTAATGTGCTCTACAACTAGGCCATGCCATCTCTCTACCAACTGTATTACTAAGAAATAAAAATTTATGACATTAACTTACAGAATAGTCTCTGAGCATGTAAGTTGACATCCTACATGCATATTTTACTATAGTAACAATAATGGTGTAAAAATATCATCTACCATTTATAGAGCATTAACCATGTGCTAGGCACTATTAGATGGCATTACATATGTACTTCAGTTAATTAACACGACAGCTCTACAAGATAACTATATTATTAACTTTACTTTACAGTTGAAAATACAAAGAGGAAAAACGACCAGCACAAGATTACAACCCTAAATAGAAGTGGAATTGGGCTTCAAATTCAGACCTGTGCATACATCATGTTAGTTAATTATTTTTTTCTTTTCATTTTGAATGGTTGACTACTGGCAATATAAAAAATACTTTATTCTGAGAAGCTATAGTATATCATTAAGCTGATTAGCATAATTTTATGCTATAGGCTTTCCTCAAGGGAGTAGTGTTTATATATGAATAGGTATTATTAACACTGGGAAATAATGCTGTAACATAAATAATGCAAATTTAACATTTGGCCTTATGTTATTTTAAATATTTATATGACTAATGTGTATATATGTGCTGATAAGGATGACATGCTTTTGATATCAAAGACAATTCGGTGAAAATATTCTACTTAAAGTATAACTGCCACTATTGCATTGTTTTGATTCTACATTTTAAAACGCATATGATTTTTTTAAATGGTAAATTTTCTAAAAATTCTTTGAATAATCTCATCTTTTCCTTGGCACTTTATAAGGGACATGGTTAGAAATAGATTTTTTTAATGCCAGCTTTTATTTTAAACACAAAGGGCACATGTGTAGAATTGTTACATAGGCTTATTGGGCTTAGGTAGTGAGCATAGTACCCAGTAGGTGGTTTTTTCAACTGATGCTCCCCTTTTTCCGTCCCTCCTCTAGAGTACCCAGTGTTGATTGTTCCCATGTTTATGACCATGTGTGCTAAATGTTTAGTTCCCACTTGTAAGTGAGAATATAAAGTATTTGTTATTTTGTTCCTACATTAATTTTCTTAGGATCATGGATGGCCTCCAGCTCGATTCTTGTTGCTGCAAAGTACATTATCTCATTCTTTATTATGGCTGCATAATATTCCCTGGCATACATGTACCTCATTTTCATTATCCAATCCACCATTGATGGGTATCTAGGTTGATTTCACGTCTTTGCTTTCCAAATGGTGCAGGGATGAACATACATGTGTCTATTTGGTAGAATAATCTATATTCTTTTGGGCATGTGATTTTTATTTCTATTGCAATGTGGTCTAAGAGTGTGCTTGGTACAATTTTAGGGTTTTTAAATCTATTGAGACTTACTTTATGACCAAGCATGTGGTCAACCTTAGAATGTTCCATGTGCAAATGAGAAGAAGGTGCAATCTGTGGTTGATGTGTGTAGTGTTCCATAGATGTCTGTCAGATTCAATTGATAAAGTGTCAAGTGTAAATTCAGATTTTTTGTGTGAGTTTTCCACCTTGATGATCTGTCTAATGCTGTCAGTGGGGTGTTGAAGTCTCCCAGTATTATTGTGTAGTTGTCTTAAGTCTTTTCATAGGCCAAGAAGAACTTGTTTTATAAATCTGGGTACTCCAATATTGGGTGCATATATATTTAGTCTAGTTAAGGTTTCCAGTTGGAATAAAAGAGTCTGTACTCTTTATCATTTTATAATGCCCTTCTTCATGATTGTTCATTTTTATTAGTTTAAAGTCTGTTTTATTCAATGTAAGAATAGCAATTCCTGCTCTTTTTTTGTTTTCCATTTGTAAGGTAGGTATTTCTCTGTTCTTTTACTTAGAGCCTGCGGGTGTCGTTACATGTCAGATAGGTCTCTTGTAGACAACAGATGGTTGAGTGCTGTGTTATTATCCAGCCTGACATTCTGTGTCTTTTAAGTGGTGTGTTTCACTTATTTCCATAAAATATTAGGGGTAGTATGTGTGATTTTGATTCTGTCATCATGTTATTGGCTAGTTGTTATGTAGACTAGATTGTGTACTTGCTTTATAGTGCCTGGAGGCTATGCGCTTGAGTGTGTTTTTGCCGTAACAGATGCCATTCATTTGAATCCATGTTTAGCAATCTCGTAAGGACCTCTTGTAATGTTGGTCTAGCTGAAATGTATTCCTTCAGTGTTTGCTTATCTGAAAAGGATTTTATTTCTGGTTCACTTATGAAGCTTAGTTTGGCAGGAATGAAATTCTTAGATGGAACTTCTTTTCTTGAAGATACTCAAAATAGGCCCTGAATCTTCCAGCTTGTAAATTTTCTGCTGAGTGGTCTGCTGCTGGCCTGATTGGGTTCCCTTTGTACGTGACTAGACTCTTCTCTCTAGTTTATTTTAAGACTTTTTAAAATTTAATGTTGACCTGGTGAATCTGATGACTATTTGCCTTGGAGATGGTCATTTTTGTGTAGTATCTTCCTGGGGTTCTCTGTATTTGTTAAATCTGCATGTCAGCCTCTCTAGCAAGACTAGGGAAATTTTTGTAGATTATATTTTCAAATATATTTTCCAATATATTTTCCAAGTTGCTTATTCTCTCTCCTTCCCTCTCAGAAATACCAATGATCATAGATTCGGTCTGTTTCATAATTTCATATTATTCAAATGTTTTGTTCATTTTTCTTAATTATTTTTTTTCCTTATTTTTGTCTGATGAAGTTGATTTAGAGAATAGGTCTTCAAGCTCTGAAATTCTTTCCTCAGCTTGGTCTATTCAGCTATTAATACTTGTGATAGTATTATAAAATTTCTGTGGTGAGTTTTTTAGCTCTAGAAGTTCAGTTTTGTTCTTTCTGAAAATGGCTACTTTTTCTTTCATCTCTTGGATCATTTTATTGGATTCCATGTATTGAGCTTAAACTTTCTTCCAAATCTCAATAAGTTGCCTTGCTGTTCAGATTCTGAATTCTATCTGTCATTTTGATAATTTCTGTCTGGTTAAGAACTATTGCTGGGGAACTAGTCTACTTGTTTTGACATAAGGAGGCACTCTGGGTTTTGGGATTGTCAGAGTCCTTATGCTGATTCTTTCTCATATGGGAGGGTTGATATTCTTTAACTGTGGTATACATTGAGTATAGTTAGTTAGTTGGCTTCATTTCTAGATGCTTTCAGAGGGCCTGGGCCCTGAATAGAATCTTTATGTGTGAGCGAGTTTTTGCACTTGCTTTCACAGGTGTATGTTTTAGTGGGATAAATTTTTGGTATTATAGTTTGCATTGCAATCCAGTAGATGGGCTTGAGTAATAACTGGTAGCTATTTTAATAACGAAATGTGTGGCACTATTGTACTTCCTTACATTCACAGTCATGCTCTGTGATTGAGTAGGACAGAGTTTGCCTCCTTACCAGGTACCCCCCTGGGCCTTGGAGGGGCCCCTCCAATTACTGGCATAGTGCCAGTGGCTTTGTTGTTGTTGTTGTTAGCTGTTCTGGGTTGCAGTGCCTCCTAGGGCAGAGGCTGTGGTAGGGAGATATGCCACACTTTCTATGGACTGGCCCTGTGGAGGGAGGCACACCCCACTCTGGCCCCGGCCCAGAGGCCTACACATCCAATCCCCCTCAGTGCTCTGGTTGTGGGGGCTCAACCCCCTCTGGAGTGCCAGCCACAAATCTTGGCTCTATACTCCCGAGCTGCATACTGTAGCTCTGGAGTACTGGGGCTTCCCATGGCTGGGGTTTGGGTTCCAGCTGTGGTGAGGTATCTGATGTGCTCCCAGGTAATCAGAGACAGTTCTTAGGTGCAGCAATGACTCAGGCTGGGCTACCACCTGCACCATGCATCTGTTCCTGTAGGGTGGCTAGGCATTGGCCCTGGGAGGGGCCGGTGGGCAGGAGGGCTTGCAGAGCAGTTGTGCCCCAGTCCTGGTGGGAGCTGACTCCACTCTATCCTGGCTCAGAGGTCAGCTGGGGCCCACACCTCCCAGAGGGAGATGGGGAGCCCTAGGGGATGAGCATCTGTGGCTGTTCTCCACTCAAGCTTCCCAGCACACAAAAGCTCCCAGGCTTTATGCCATTTGAAGGCCTGTCTCTACCTGCTTCCAGAAGAGATCCCACTGCCAGCTCACACATCCATGAGAGATGTGGGGTCTCCTGTAGCTAGGATCTCATGGGTCTATGGTGAGATTGAACTGTTTCTCAGTTCACTCACTCACCCCTTACCCTTGAGCCATTCGAGGCTGGGAACTAACCCTGGCATTTAGGCACCCCATGGAGGTTTCCCAGCTTCCTCTCTCTTCACTGTTGGCCTCAGTATTTCTTTTTCATCCACTCTGAGCCTTTTTTTCTGAATGTTTGCCCAAATAATGGTGGTTTACTCAATAATTTTGTCTCTCTCAGTGGGAACGGTGCTTCCTGGATGCATCTTGTCAGCCATCTTGTCCCCTCTGGAAATAGGTTTATTGAGAGAAGCAAGAGCCTACTGTCATATCACCAATGTTATTTTCTCTTTTAATTTTTTTTGAAAAGGAGAGTCAGGCCAAAGATTCTCCAAAAACCCTTCATTTCTAAATGTGATTAATGATCTATTCATTATCTATGAATATTTATCATCTACAGAATTTGCCCAAATAAGAGACATATAGTTCTTTTTACTACTTACTGAGCAGAGACACTTACTTCCTGTAGGAAAGTAGGAATCTCAAAGGTTGAAAAAATATATGTTTTTCCAGGAATATGGTATGCTAATAAAAAGCAGTTATGTAGGGCTTTCCAATAGAAAATTTACTAAAAGCAACAACTTTCACCATCACCTAACACCTTTTACATAGTTAGAATTTTCAGTCACATTGGTTTAAAGTGGAAAATAAAACAAGCCTGGTGTGAAAGAAGTTGGATAGTCCACTGTACAAGATCCCTTGATGTATTATTTCTTAACTCATGCCACTGAGAGTGATTTTGTTGAGCAAGAGGAACAAAAAATAACTTAAACTTCATTTACTTCTGAGACGGCAACATATCTACATATTAAAACTAAAAAGTTGTAAACATCATTTCTCACAAATTATAGTTTAGAAAGAAGTGCAGATGCTGTTACAATGAGTTTGCTGTTAACTCTCTGAGAGCAAAGTGGCAATATTTGCCAACTTTGAGGATATTTCATGACAACCTTATACTAATCTTTTATTTCATTTACATAAGGTGTTATTTGCAATAAGTGTTCTTTCCACTGAAAATGTTTGTATACCACTAACTTTTTAACAGCCTACCCTCTCTATAACATAGGAGTGCCTTGCCATTATGTTATGGAATAGTAGCATTTCCCCTGCTATAAAATGTGCTGTTTTAGAACAGATATTTTAAAAAGAGTGAAAATAAATATAAGTAAATTTTTTTTCTGAGTTTCTTTGGACAAAAGTTTATCTATAATACTAAAAACTATAATCTTTCAATGATTTATAAATTTATAAATAAAATTACATTACAAGAAGGTGAGAATGAACATAAAACATGAATGAGCATACATAAACTTAGATGCATAAAAAGTTTTAAATATATAAATAATTAATACTCTTGTGCATGATGAGCTTTGAACCCGAACAAGATTGTTATCGAAGAGAATACAGGAGCCACATTAGAACATTACTCATTACAGTTGAGAATTTAGTATAAAAAGTTTACCTGAGCCTCTTCCCAAGGGAATTTCAATTCAGTGGTGAATTGAGAAATCTCTAACAACCAACACTTTTTCAAAAAAAAAAGAAATGAAACCCTGATTTCTGATTTGCATTCTACCTTGGTTGATTTCAGACTAACCATAAGCTGTCACAGAAAACAATTTGAGAACACATGTGTACATTTGGGCTCATGCAAGCTAATATGAGGTACTTCATGTGCACCACTAGCTCAGGTTTTTTAGTAGAAGTATCAAAAGAAACTTGCCCAAACATAGTCTTGCCTCTGAAGGCATGGATTCTGAAAACAATACTGGAATGAGGCTTACTGCCAATGCTTTAATTCAAGCTTCATGATTTCTTGCTTTAACTATTACCATAATCTTCTCATTGATCTTGTCTCCAGTCTCTCCCTTCTAATTTATCCTCAACTCTGCTACTGCCAGAGGGATAGTTCTGAAATACAGATTTCTTCACATCACTCACTCCTTCAGTTCCTCAGAGGATTAAGTTCAAATCATGTGTGGCAATCAGATCTCTTCATGAAAGGCATAGCATTTTTTTCTAGATTTTCTAGTTTGTGTGCATAAAGGTAAAAATAGCAGTCTCTGATAGTTAATTGTATTTCTGTGGGGTCAGTGGAAACATCCCCTTTGTAATTTTTAATTGTGTTTATTTAAATCTTTTTTTTCTTTATTAGTCCAGCTAGCCATCTATTTTATTAATTTTTTCAAAGAATGAAGTCATGGATTCATTGATCTTTCTATGGTTCTTTGTGTTTCAATTTCTTTCAGATCAGCTCTGAATTTGTTTATATATTGTCTTCTGCTCGCTTTGGAATTGGTTTGCTCTTGGTTCTCTAGTTCTTCTAGTTGTGACATAAGGTTGTTAATTTGAGATCTTTCTAACTTTTTGATGTGGTCGTTTAGTGCTAGAAGCTTACTTCTTAACATTGCATTAGCTGTGTCCCAGAGATTCTGGTATGTTGTATCTTTGTTCCCATTAGTTTCAAATAATTTATTGATTTCTGCCTTAGTTTTGTTATTTAGCCAAAAGTCATTCAGAAGAAGGTTGTTTAATTTCCATGTAATTGTATGGTTTTGAGTAATTTTCTTAGTGCTCATTTCTATTTTTATTGTGCCATGGTCCAACAGTGTAGTTGTTATAATTTTTTTTTCATTTTTTGAGTATTGTTTTGTGTCTCATTGTTTGGTCAGTTCTATAAAAGCACTGGAAAATAACTTCCCACAAACTTGTTGAATGGTTTTGACTGAAAGGCTGATAGTAATATGGACAATGAAGTCCAGGCTGAGGTGGTCTCAGATGGAGATGAGAAATATCTAGGGAACTGGAGCAAAAGTGACTCTTGCTCTGCTTTAGCAAAGAGACTCGTGGCATTTTGCCCCTGCCCTATAGATCTGTGAAACTTTAAACATGAGAGAGATGATTAAGGGTATCTAGCAGAAGAAATTTCTAAGCAGCAAAGTGTTCAAGATGTGACCTTTTTCTGAAAGTTATCAGTCATATGCATTCACAAAAAGATGGTTTGAAACTGGAACTTATGTTTTAACGGGAAGAAGAGCATAAAGGCTTGAAAAATTTACAGCCTGACCATGTGCTATAAAAGAAAAAACCCATTTTCTAGGGGGGGGTTTCAAACATGCTGCATAAATTTGCATAAGTAACAAGGAGTTGAATGTTAATAGTCAAGACAATGGGGAAGATGTCTTCAGTACATGTCAGAGGCCTTCACAGCAGCCCCTCTTATCACAGGTCTGGAGGAAAGGTAAAAATAGTTTTCTGGGCCAGGCCTAGGGCCCTGCTGCTCTGTGCAGCCTCTGCATCCCAGCTACTCCAGCTTCAGCTGTGTCTAAAAGGGACCAAGGTACAGCTTGGGCAGTTGCTTCAGAGGGTGCAAGCCCCAAGCCTGGGTGGCTTCCACATGACATTGGGCCTGTGGGTGCATAGAAGGCAAGAACTGATACTTGGGAACCTCTGCCTAGATTTCAGAGGAGGCATGGAAAGGCCTGGATGTCCAGGCAGAAGTTTGTTGCAGGGGTGAAGCCCTCCTGGAGAACCTCTGCTAGGGCAGTGCAGAGGGGAAATGTGGGATTGGAGTCCCCAAACAGTGTCCCCTCTGTCCCCTCTGGGGCACTATCTAGTGGAGCTGTGAGAAAACAGTCATCATCCTCCAGACCCTAGAATGGTAAATCCACCAACAGCTTGCATCACACACCTGGAAAAGCCACAGGCACTCAATGCCAGCCTATGAAAGCAGCCACAGGGGATGTACCCTGCAGTGCCACAGGGGCAGAGCTGCGCAAAGCTGTGGGAGCCCACCCCTTGCATCAGAATGCCCTGGATGTGAGATGTGAAGTCAAAGGAAATCATTTCAGAGAAGTAATATTTAATGACTGCCCCACTGGGTTTCAGACTTTCATGGGGCCTGTGGCCCTTTTGTTTTGGTTAATTTCTTCCATTTGAAATGATAATATTTACCCAATGCCTGTACCTTCATTGCATCTTGGAAGTACTTAACTTGTTTTTGATTTTACAGGCTCATAGATGGAAAGGACTTTTTCTCAAATGAAACTTTGGACTTGGACTTTTGGGTTAAGGTTGGAATGAGTTAATACTTTGGGGAACTGTTGGGAAAGCAAGATTGGCTTTGAAATGTAAAAAGGATATGAGGTTTGGAAGGGGCCAAGGGCAGAAAGATATGGTTTGACTCTTTGTTCCCACCCAAATCTCCTCTAGAATTGTAATATCCATGTGTCAAGGGAGGAATCAGGTGGGAGGTGATTGGATCATGGTGGCAGTTTTCCCCTTGGTGTTTTTATGATAGTGAGGGAGTTCTTACAAGATATTATAGTTTAAAAGTGGCAGTTTCCCCTGCTCTCTCTCTCTTTCTTGTGGCGATGTAAGATGTGCCTTCCTTCCCCTTCACCTTCTGCCATGATTGTAAGTTCCCTGAGGCCTCCCCAGCCAGGCAGAACTGTGAGTCAATTAAACATTTTTTGTTTATAAATTACCCAGTCTCAGGTAGTATCTTTATAGCACTGTGGAAACAGATTAATACACCTGCCATCTCTTATCATTAGAAAAATGAAAATCAAAACCACAGTGAGATACCCATTTAATAATACCCAAAGGAGGTTTAATTGACTCACAGTTTTGCATGTCTGGGGAGACCAAGCAGAATACATGAATAATACAATGGGTATTATTAAAAAGTCAAAAAATAACAGATGCTGGTGAGGTTGTGGAGAAAAAGGAACAGTTCTACATTGCTGGTGGGAGTGTAAATTCATTTAGTCATTGTGAAAAGCAGTGTAGCAATTACTCCAAAACTTAAAACAGAATTACGATTTGACCTAGCAATTTCATGATTGGGTATATACCCAAAGGAATATAAACCATTTTACCATAAAGACACATGCATATGTATGTTCACTGTGGCACTATTCACAATAGTGAAGACATAGAATCAACCTAAATGTACATCAATAGTAGACTGGATAAAGTAAATGTAATAAATATACACCATGGAATACTATGTAACCATAAAAAGAACAAGATTATGTCCTTTGCAGCAACATGGATGGAGCTGGAGGTCATTATCCTATGTAAACCAACACAGGAACAAAAAACAAAATATCACATATTCTACTTATAAGTGGGGTCTAAACAATGAGAACAGATGGCTACTAGGAGGTGAACAACAGACACTGGGGCCTACTTGAGGGTGTATGGTGGTAAGAGGAAGAAGTTCAGAAAAAATACCTATTGCCCAGGTGATTAAATTATCTGTAACACCAAACTCTCATGACACACAGTTTAGCTATGTAACAAACTTGCCCGTGTACCTGTGAACCTAAAATAAAAGTTAAAAAAGGAAAAACACACACACACAAAATAAATCATAGAAATAATAGTATGGATATATTTTTTAAAATATAAAGCCCTTAAATTAAAATTAAAAAAAGAAAGACTGAGTAAATGCTTTCCAAATATTAGTCTGTAGACTAGCTGCCTCAATATTATTTATGAAGCTTTGTAAAAAGCAGATTCTAGAATCCTTGCATAGATCTACTGCGTTAATTGCATCAGATTGTGGGGGTAGTACTCATAAATCTGTATTTTTAAAGTGCCACAGATTAATCTGTTGCCATAACCAGATTTGGGACTCCAGGGGAAGGTGACAAATGTTGGTGTTGTTAACAAGTACTTAAATTCTTCATTAGAAACTTGCTATCTGGATGGCTTTGGGTAAGTTATATGACCACTACGTGCCTTAGTTTCATGATGGTGACAATGATATCTACATCATAATGCTGTTAAAATGACTAAATTTCATAGCACTTTACACAATTAGTCACTCATACATGCTAATCTACCTTTACCCCATATATGCACATTTTTACTTTGAGTCAGTCATTTCTTTCCATTCTTATCTCTAACTATTCTGCTCTACCTCTGTGATTAACCCACTTCAAACCCACTTTCCCTCACTAGCCCAGTGGTGCAAGTTCAACTGCCCATAAAGGCCAGGAACCTAACAGGATTGAGTAAATTAAAATGAAGAAGCCTATCCAAATATTTTTTATGTGGGAAAGTGAATTTATTGTTATAAATTTTATTTTTCAAGAGTAGTAAGACTTTAAGATGTTTTTAAGGTAAAATATCCCATTAAGAAATATGGTGAATAGTCTATCAATGGAACAATGGCTAAAGAAAATGTGGTATACATACACAATATAATACTACTCAGCCATAAAAAGAATGAAATCCTGTCATTTTCACCAACATAGATGGAACTGGAGGTCATTATATTAAGTGTAATATGCCAGGCACTGAAAGACAAATATCACATGTTGTTATTTATATGTGGGAGATAAATAAGTTGATCTCATGGAGGTAGAAGTTTGAATGATGGTTACCAGAGGCTAAGAAATATGTGTGGGGAGGGGAATGAAGAAAGGTTGGTTAATGGGTACAAAAATTCAGTTATATAGAAGGAATGAACTCTATTGTTTACTAGTATATTAGGGTGGCTATAGTTAATAATGTGTTGTATATTTTGAAAAATCTAAAAGATTCAAAATGTTCCCAACACAAAGAAATACATTTTTAAAGGGACAGATATACAAATCACCCTCAATTAATTTTTACACATTTTATACATGTATCAAATAGTCACATGTACCTCACAAATATATATAATTATTATGTATCAATAAAATATTGTGGATGAATTCAGAAATAAAAAGAAAAAAAATTTTCTCTGGTCCAAGCAAAACACATATGAGCTGAGTTCAGCGCCCCCTGGACTTCTAGTTTCTGACTTTGAGTCCAGTTTCACCATTATCATTGTGACCCAGATGGTGTGTCTGACCACATCGCCGAAGACAAAAAAATCACCTGGATAGTGAGAGTTTTGTGTAGCTCTGATGTTAACGTCCTCTTTTGGGGGAATTGTAACCATAACCATTTTTACCAGATTTCCCTGCACTTTTCTCCATTTCAGTTTCACATTCCTCTCCTTTCACCAGTCAGAATGCTGCTTGAGATTTGACTTGAGTGTTAGTGGTCTGTGACTTCTCTTTGTCTTTGGTGATTATTGATAAATGGTTGGCCATCATTTTTATTACTATTGTAATGGACATTCTTTTTAAATTGCCTTACCTCCATTCATATAACTATCTTTTGAACAATGATATTTATTTTAATGTTAAAAACCTTAATGTAGTGTTGGTACAACCGGCTTGGGGCTTAGAAAAAAAGGAAAGTTGAATCTCTAACTCACTTGCAATGCCTAAATGAATGTTAGATCAATAATTTAGTTAAACTTAAAAGCTTCTGCACAGCAAAATAAATAATCAGCAGAGTTAACAGAAAACCCACAGGGTGGGAGAAAATCTTCACAATGTATACATCTGACAAACGAGTAATACTCAGAATCTACAAGAACTCAAACAAATCAGCAAGAAAACAAACAAAAAAGCCCCCAAAAACAATCCCATCAGAAGTGGGCTAAGGACATGAATAGCCAATTCTCAAAAGAAGATATACAAATGGCCAAGAAACATGTGGAGAAATGCTCAGCATCACTAATTATCAGGGAAGTGCAAATCAAAACCACAAAGCGATAGCACCTCACTTCTCCAAGAATGGCCATATTCAAAAAATCAAAAAATAATACACATTGACAGGGATGTGGTGAAAGGGGAAAACTTTTGCACTGTTGGTGGGAATGGAAATTAGTAAAACCACTATCAAAAACAGAACTAAAAGTGGATCTACCATTATATCCAGCAATCCCAGTACTAGGTATCTATCCAGAAGAAAAGAAGTCATTATACAAAAAAGATAGTTGCACACGCATTTTTATAGCAGCATAATTTGCAATTGCAAAAATATGGAACCAACCCATATGCCCATCAATCAACAAGTGGATAAAGCAGATTCTAGAAGTGGATCTAGAAAATGGATAAAGTGGATAAAGAAAATGTGATATATATACACCATGGAATACTACTCAGCCATAAGAAGGAACAAAATAATGGCATTCACAGAAATGTGAACGGAACTGGAGACTGTTATTCTAAGTGAGGTAACACAGGAATGGGAAACCAAACATTGTATGTTCTCTCATATGTGGAAGCTAACCTATGAGGACACAAAGGCATAAGAATAATACATTGGATTCTGAGGACTCAGAGGAATGGGTGATGGAGGTCTAGGGATAAAAAATCTACACTTTGGGTACATAGTACACTGCTCGGGTGATGAATGCACCAAAATCTCAGAAATCACCACTGAAGAACTTACACATGTAAAAAACACCACCTGTTCCACAAAAGCCTATTGAAATAAGAAAACCAAAAATTAAAAAAGCAAAGTCATAAGAGGAAAAGATGTTGTATTCATTAATATCAGCGACCCCAAAATTACAGTGGCTTAAGCAAGATAATAGTTTAACTCTGATGTGCCAGTCTGAGTTAAAGCAACCAAAAGCTGATAGGGCAGCTTCAGTGCTAAGAACGCAGGTTTCTTCTGTCTTTACTTCCATCATTTCTAAAGGCATTTCCCTGACCCTCATAGATGAAGACCTCATGAGCTGGATCTGTATTCCAGCCAGCAGGACAATAGAGAATGGGATTGGAAGGCACAACCTGGAATTTGCCCACATTGCTTCCTCTTAAATCTCTTTTTCTCAGTCTCAATGTCACACCTAGCTACAAAGGAGACTGGAAAATGTAGTCTTCATTTGGGATTCTCTTGATCTCAGCTCAGATTTAGGGGTTTTATTACTAAAGAAAGAAGGGCCAAATAGATGTAGAAGAACAACTAACAGTATCTGCTATAGGGATTAACTTAGGACTGATAGGGAAACAAAAGAAAAACAACCCTGCAAAGATAAGAGTTGGTATCCAGCTGATGGACTCATCATTATAAAAGTCTGGGAGGAGGAACTGGGATTCCAGAGAGGTTCTCATAGCAGAGATAAATGCCTTTGTTCATCTTGTTGCTTTTGTTCATGTGCTTCCAGACGGGAAGAATCACCAACACAAACACATGGCAAACAGGAAGAGGATGAAGACCTCTCATCTCTTGGCACCAGGATGAAGGAAATACCCTCAGTCATGGCCCTGGTTACAAAGATCCTAGGATTCAGCTTCTCCAGAAATCTGAATGCCTTTGGATTAAACATCCTGGGAGTTGGACAAAGATCCTAGGATTCAGCTTCTCCAGAAATCTGAATGCCTTTGGATTAAATGTCCTGGGAGTTGGACATGGCTGTGTGGTAATATAACTTCTAGTCTCCTCTTTGAGCTTACCACTGAGCACTGAGCTCATGGGGCAATTCTCCTGTCTTTGTTCCTTCAACTCCTTCTTTACTCAAATTCATGCTTTCCAATTTTGTCCTTTGACAGCATGGATGGACTAAAGTTGTGGAATGTTCTGGGGCTAGTGGAGGCTAGATTCAAATCCTGGCTCTGCTCCTTTCTTCTTGTGTGTGCGATCTTGGACAAGATACCTAACGCCTGTGAGCCTTAGTTTCTAGTTCTATAAAAAGAGTACAAATAACAGTTCCTCCATCGCAAAGTTGTCATGTGAATTAAATGTATTCAAAGCCAAAAAAGAAAAAAATAAAGAATGTAAACATCAAACAGGAACCTTTATTCAATCAAAATGTAATATAAAGGATTAGATTCATTTTTCTGTCTAAAACAACTGAAAAACTAACAAAATAAGTAAAACAGAGACAATGAAAGGCATTGATCATCAGGTACTGAAAGACAGTGGTTTCTACAAATGTAGTGAGCTCTGTGATTGCCCCAGTCTAGTGCTTTACAGGGAAGTACAGGCAAGGGGAACACAATCAGAATCCAATACATACCCTGAGTTGAGGAGACAAAGAATGAGTCCAGGAAAACCAAGACAGCTAGAGTTTGCAATGCAGAGTGCTGGTGAGGAGAAAGATAAAAGGATGATAGGGAACAGTACTCAGTTCTTGCAGAGTCAGTTATTTTGCCTATTTCTACCAGCTAGAGTAAAAAGGCACATAAGTCATGGCACATTGATTACAATACTAAGAGTTGACTCACCTAGTACTTGGAAAAAAAGAAAAAACATAATCCCAGACTAAATTACACTTCTAGTTCTGCCTAATTAAGCTTAAAAACAAGACCCCAAAAGATCAAAATGTGTCTAATTCATTTAATTATATTCCAGACCAAAGCTCAATAATATTTTTTAAAATACAAAAATATACATCATTAAAAAGAAATATTAACAATGTCTGACATGTAATAAAAATTACCAGATATGAAAAGAAATACAAAGATATAACCCATAATTAGGATAAAACACAATCAATTCCACACCAGAAATGACTCAGATGATAAAACTAGCAGATAAGAATATTCAGTTAACAAGACTATTCTGTATCTTCAAGAAGTTATAGGAAAGGCTGCATATGTTAAGTAGAGAAATAGAAGAAACATGTTTTAAAAGGGCCCTATTTGACCTGCTAATGATAAAAACTACAATGTCTGAAATGATTAAAATGTGCTGCATGGGGTTGAATGTATATTAATATTTGGAAGAAAATATCAGTTAACCTGAAGACATAGCAATAGAAACCATTAAAAATAAAAGAGATTAAAAGATGGAAAAATTAACACAATATCAATGAGCTGTGACATAGTTTTAAGCAGCCGAATAAATGTGCAAATGGAGTCCATAAAAGAAGTAGGGCAGAAAAATTGCTTGGTGAATTAATGGTTAAAATGCTGCAAATTTTATGCAAATTCTACTCTCAGAGATCAAAGAATCTCAACAAACTCTAAACAAAAATAACAACTCTGGCCAAGATGGCTAGATTAGAAGCAGCTACAGTCCATGGCTCTCACGAAGAGGAAAGAAAACAGCAAGTGAATTCTGCACCTTCAACTGAAGTATCCAGGCTCTTGCATTGGGACTGATTAATTGGACAGCTTGACCCATGGAGAATGAGGAAAAGCTGAGCGGGGCGATGGCCCACCTGGGAGTGGCACAGAGCCAGGGGAGCTCCCATCCCCAGCGAAAGGAGGTGGTGAGTAATTGTGTGACCCCACCTGGGAAACCACACTTAGCACACGGATCTTTGCAACATGCAGGTAAGGAGATCCCCTCGTGAGCCCACACCATCAGGGTCTTGGATCCGAAGACAGAGCTGTGCAGTCTCAGCAGAGCAGCCACTTGGGCACCCACAGAGATCCGGGAATTGGTTTGCATACTTTGGCCCTAAGAATTCTGTCAAGGTGGCAGATCCATCTGTGCATTCCCCTAGGAAGGGGGCTAAATCTCAGGAGCCTAGTGGTGTCATTCTATGGGTGCCATTCTCATAGCATCTAGCAAAGTTAAGACTCACTGGCTTGGAATTCCAGCCAGCCAGTGACAGCAGCTGGAGACTGCCTGAGATGGACCAAGTTCCCAGAAGGAGGGGTGGCCACCATCTCTGTGGTTTGAGTCGGCCGTTCTAGTCCGCCAGCTCTGGGGAGTCCAGGTGGTCCAGACTGGGAGGAGTTCCCCACAATGCAACCAGATCATGGCCAGGCTGCTTCTTTAAGTGGGACCCTGATTCATTCCTTCTCATTGGGCGAGACCTCCCTGTGGGAATTTCAGCAACACCAGCTAGAGTTATACAACAGAACTCTGATCTCTCCCCTGGATGGAGCCCCTGGAGGGGAGAGGTGGCCGCCATTTCTGTGGTTCAGCCAACTTAGTCTTTCCATCATGCTGGCTCTGGAGAGTCCAAGTGGTCCGGACTGGACTGGGAAAAGGAAAATGTGCTCAGTCTGCAGGTTGTCTTGGTGAACGTGTAACTCAGCTTGGTCCAGGACCACGATCAGGGACCAATCAGGAGCTGAAATGATAAATCACAGAGGCTGCTCAGCTTGGCCCAGGACCTATTAGAAGCTGAAGTGAAAGTTTGGCCCAAGACCAATCAGGCGCTGAAGTGATGATTCATAGAAGCCGGACTTATAGTCCTAAGAAAGGAAAGGAAAGTGCCCATCGGAACCCACTGGAGCCCACCGTGCCCATGCCCACAAAAGGAGAAAAAACTTTTTTCGGGAGGCCACTGACTATACAAAGGATAAAGGCATTTTCTATGCCAGGCCTTGTTCCCTTATCTGAGTGAGCTGGAGGTTTGTGCAAGTTTTTATCCAAATGGGCCAGAATGGCCCAAGGTTTTTTGTATCTGTGCAGCTGTGGGCATGTCTCCAGGCACAACATCCTGTTCTAGTTCCCTTATCTGTGCCTGCAGCTTGAATTTTTTTTCCCAGACTGCTTTTTATGTTATGTGGGGAAGAGGCACTGACCCATGGGCTCGGGGCTCTTTGGGACTCTTCCCTTGTTATCCACCTAAGGCAAGCTACCTAACTCCTTTCATTTCCCCCCCACTCAGGAGTGGAGACCTTAACTTCTATTAGGGAGATTCGGCATTGATCTTTCTGGCTACTTCCTGCTGGAAAGGGGAGTTGTGTAGGGAACAGCAGCTAGGATTGTTTTTGAGGTTGGTTTAAGGGTCCTCAGAAGAAAGGTGCATTCACGCATGGTTCCATTTGCATCACCATTTGGAGCTTGATAGCCTCTATGTGAAAAGAAACAATTTGGGTTATTAGAGGACATGTATTAAAATAAGACAAGGGGGGTAAGGACAGCTTAAAAATCTTGAAGCTGCTGATACATTTCGATAACTAGTGGCTACAGTTATGCTTGCTAAGATCTGGGTGCATGGGACTTAGCTTTGGTCAGATTTCTTAATTTTATCCTTCCAAAGAGACTTTTGGGTTATGGGCACTCGATTTATTCCTATTACCCAGCAGGATCTGCAGGATAATTGCTTAGACTAGAATATTGATCCAGATTTTTACATTACACATCTCTTTCTGTCTCCTCTGAGCCATAGCTGGAGATTGCTGGTTGGCTCACAGGAAGAAGCATGGTTATTTTAAAATGTAAGCAAAAAGTTAAAAATAACTGATGACACTGGAAGTTAATGATAGATGTATAAGTTTTAAAACACAATTTTCTCTCTCTCCAGTCCTCATTTTTGTTAAAAACAACTTATTGGCCGGACGCAGTGGCTCATGCCTGTAGTCCTAGCACTTTGGGAGGCCAAGGCGGGTGAATCACGAGGTCAGGAGATCGAGACCATCCTGGCTAAAATGGTGAAACCCCGTCTCTACTGAAAATACAAAAAAATTAGCCAGGCATGGTGGCAGGTGCCTGTAGTCCCAGCTACTCAGGAGGCTGAGGCAGGAGAACGGTGTGAACATGGGAGGCGGAGCTTGCAGTGAGCCGAGATCTCGCCACTGCACTCTAGCCTGGGCAACAGCGAGACTGTGTCTCAAAAAAAAAAAAAAAAAAAAAAAAAAAAAAAAAAAACAACTTATGATAGAACTGTATAGACAGGTATGAGGCCAGTTTTCTCAAGGGGGTTCTACTGGCTCTGCAAGTCGAGGTTAATTGCTTAAAGGGAAATACACCTTTCTAGTCAAAGCCTTGGAAAAACAACCAGTTTTTCCAATTGTGTTTTGTTGCAAAAGAAAATGGATTCTTGTTGCACTGATGCAAACAACTATATTGTTTAATTCAAGAGTACTCATAACTGGTTTCCAAATTATAGAAGAACTAGGCAGAGGAAAACAAACATGTTCCAAATCTTGATCACAGGAGTATAACTTGCCTAGTCGTTAAAATCTTTTAAGAGTCTCCTTGACTCTGAAAAATAAAATAAGGATCAGCAGTGTTCCAAGCAAAAGTCAAAAACTTGCTTCTGTCTTTTATTAGTTTAGTCCATTTCATGAACATTTGTTTTGCTTGATATTCATAAACATTTTAGCTTTTCATGAGTTCTGTACATTTTTCTGTTATGAGAAACCTGCATTTGAGAGAACCTGTTAAAATCCCACAGTTAGATTATAAACCATCTTTTGAAGAGAATTAAAACAAGACAATGATTGTCTCTAAATGACAAAATGCCCAATTTGGATATAGTCAGAAACACAATTGACAAAGAAATTTGGTTATTTTTGTGGTTTACAGTAACCCAACATAACAACCTTAATTGTGATTGATAGCACATATTTAGACATTAGAGCCTTAGACATCCCATATGGTTTTGGAGCACAGGTTAATATTAGTGACCAAAATATAACCTGAAGAATATTAGACATAACCTTGGCAATCCCATGCACCTAAACATATTAAATAATCTTGTTTACTTCTCTTCCGGATGTTCCAGGGACCCTCTGCAGCACACAAAAGCTAGGCATAAGGTAAGACAAACTTGAAACTGAAATTTGATTTTGGGAGAATATGTTGGAGGTTTAAAACACTTGATATCATTAAATAGAATTTTAGATTACCATAAGTCACTTCTTTTGCCAAAATGATGACTTAAGAATTTGAAAAAGCAAAAACCTTCATTAGCCCTTATTATTACATGAAAATCCTGCTCAAGAGAGAGAAAGCTAAATTTCACCCTTGCATTAGTTTACTATTAATGTTAACCTCAATTTTAATGAAACTTTATATACAATTCTATTGAATCTTAACCAGTTTGATCACGAGGTAAGATTTTTCACAAACCTTTTATAACCCTCTTGAATTTAGTCAATACATTCACACACAGAACTTGTTTTGCAAGATTAATTTTTACAATTTTTTTTTCACAATTTGCTTAAACCTTCTTTATTTTATCTAACTTAAGACAATTCTTGGCCAAGTGTGGTGGCTCACACCTGTAATCCCAGCACTTTGGGAGGCCGAGGCAGGCGGATCACCTGAGGTCGGGAGTTTGAGACCCGCCTGACCAACATGGAGAAACCCTGTCTCTACTAAAAATACAAAATTAGCCGGGCGTGGTGGTGCGTGCCTGTAGTCCCAGCTACTTGGGAAGCTGAGGCAGGAGAATCACTTGAACCTGGGAGGCGGAGGTTGCAGTGAGCGGAGATCGTGCCATTGCACTCCCACCTGGGCAGCAAGAGCAAAACTCTGGCTCAAAAAAAAAAAAAAAAAAAAGGACAATTCTTCATCTGTAGGCAAAATGTATATTTCCATGCCTTTTTATAAACTTTTACTATGAACACGTTTTACTGTTTTGCATACCTTGGGGGTAAATTTACTTCCAGTAGTTTTAATTACATATTATAATGGTAATTCTTAGCAATTCTTCACTTGATTGTAAAACCTGGTAAGTTGTTTTAATTATGTGCTAGGTGCAGATAAAGTTTGACTCTTTCCAGCATAGTTAGGGGCATGGATACTTCTATATATCTCCCTTTTATGTTTTCCCAAGGAGTCCCAGGCCACCAGAAGTTATTCTGGGGCCTTTTATGCACGCACTGAGAGGGGCAAGACAGAGTGGAGAAAAGTAATTTAGTTGACTTAGAAAAAATCCTTTTCCAGAGAAACAAGATTTTGAAGAGAAAAACATACAGGACTTTTGAATATATTCATAGCTTGGATATCCACTCTTAATTAAGCTGAGCACACTTTGAAAAAATTCTTTTTCATTAATTAAAACTCTAGAGAAGGTAAACACTGATTCTTATCATTTCTTTTACCGATTTACACCACTATCTGTTCGCAATCATGTTCAGGTTCTCTAGTTGACTCTGGGAAAGTGGCTGGGTTCAGGCAAGGGCAGGTTTTTTCTTTTACTGGACTGCAGATCCCTCTAGCAGCAAAGCTTGATATTTGACGAGGCAATTGTTTATTAGCCAGAGACTTCCCTTAAAGGACAGCAGCTCTGCTATACTCTGTGGGGTGCAAACAGTGAAGTTCTTACCCATGGTTAACCCACTGGCTGTTGAGCTGGACCTCAAGCCTCAGCCAAAACTCCCAGGACTATTTCCTTCCTTTCTGATACATATAGATTAAATACCTTCCCTATGAGAAGACTGAGGGCGGATGCTTTAAGTAGGGCTTGCTTTAGCTGGTTTAAGGCTTTTATGTTTTAGGTTCCCAAGTTAGGGAATGAGTTCTAGATGCTTAAGCTTCTTTTGTGAGGTGTTGTAAAGAATGAGCTATTTCACTGTACCCAGGTACCCACAGTCTTCAAAATTCAGTAATGCCCAAGAATCCCCTTAACTGTTAAAATGGACTTAATTATTTCCTCATCTGGTGTTTTGATTCCTTCTGACCAGACTAGACCTAGGTGCTTTACTGAAGTTTGACAAAACTGAGCTTTAGATGTTGAGACCCTATATTCCCTTTCAGCTAAGAAATTGAGAGCCTTAGTACCTTCTTGAGACCACCTCAGTTGGGGTACGGAGAACAGTATTATTTAGATATTGCAAAGTTTCAACTTGAGGGTGAGAAAACTTGAAATGTCTTTACACAGAACCTGTTTCAGCAACTTCTTTTTGATATCGGGGGCTTCCTGAGTAATGAACCTTTTTTTTTTTCTTTTTTATTGAATTGGGAGACAGGAGTGTGTTTCACTGAAGCTCTTCTCTGCCTTTCCAAAAAGGCAGGGGAATCTTCTTCTGGTTTCTGGTTCAACAAGAACAGTTTAGCGTAATTAAGAGGTTTGGTTCTGGTTCTTTGCGAGCCTTTTAAAATGCAGATCAGAAAGTGTTTCTTTTCCACTTATCTATGTGATTACTAGGGCTCCAATTAGGGTTTTCAAGGGGCACTGTTTCTCTTTCTGTTGGGAATGGGGATCCTGTCTCTTTTTCACCTTCTTTTATTTTAGACTTCTTCCTTTAAGACTTTTAGACTGGCTATAGGAGATATGCTGTTTATCACCTAATGTTTCTGCTGCCTGTAAGGCTGCCTGCTTTTCTGCAACAGTTAGGGTTTGGCTTAAAAGTAGCATAGCATCTCTCCATGTTAGATTAAACGCTTGCGTTAAATTTTGAAAAGCCTCTTTATGTTTATCAGAGTCATCAGAGAACTTGCCTAGGTCCCCCTAAGGTCCTGAAATGAGAAGGGAACTTGAATCCTAGTGACACCATGCCCATCAGGCATTTCTTGGGGGGGCAACAGCAAAGTTGGCAATTTCTTGAGTGGCACAACCAGAGGAGCTAATGATTTGGCTATTGGGAGCCCCTAAGAAGTGGGTCAGGTAGGGAACCCAGAAGTTGCATTTTAGGGTTCCCCAATGGTTTGTCTCTCTGACTTTGGGTAATCATCCTTTGTAGGCTTGCTTGACATGGCTGCTAAAAGGGCAGGGTCAACTGTACAATACTTACAAAGATTCGAGTTTTCCCAAAAAGCAAAAAAAGCCTGTACATAGGAAACCTTGGAGCACTTGCCCTCCCACTTACAGAAAATATCTAGTTGTTGAATAGTATAGAAATCAAGACTTCCCTCAGAAAGCCAGGTTTGTTCATCCCCAAGATGGGAACAAGGCCATGCCCCTGTGCAATAGAATATAAGCCAGAAGTCTCAGGGTCAAAGGCGTTCCAGTGATTCAAAATGCACTCAAGGGGAGTACTAACTGCAGATGGTTTGTTACTCATCTAGAAGGAGAAAGGGAGACAAGGTGTCCCTTATTCCTCTTCCTCCCATTTGTGTGACCCAGGGTGGAGAGAAAGAGAGAAAGTGTGTCCCCCTTCTCCTCCTTCCCCCTCTCCTCTGGGTCTCAGCAACCATCATAAGTGCCTCCCTATGGATACAAGTGTGACCTTTTATCCATGGTCCCAGAAAAGCTAGTCAGTAGGATTTCAAAACCTGTTCAAAACCTTACCATTCTGTCCTGCTGGATTCCTAGATCCACCTAGCCCAGAAGGCTCCCACGGTACCCCAGAGGCTTGGGAGAGATTATGTAGTAGTTGGACCTGGGCAAGAGTTTTAAATGGAGGGAGTGTCCTAACACCATTTCTGGCTTCCCTTGCTATGGCTCCAGCAAAAAATCAAAATCCCATAGAATGGGACTGAATAAATTCTAAATGTAAAATTCATTTTCTGTTTAAATTCCAATGTAATTGAATGCAAAACAGCTGCCTCAAAGAGTGTAAAAATTGAATGGCTGCCTCTCCTTTGATGGGGACAGTATTGAAGCTAAAATCTGTCTTATCAAAATGTCTTCCTCCTGACTGTTGAAAGTGGAGTTTTTCTGTCTACAAAGAGGACATGGGGTCTGATCACTGATAGAAGACCAAAAATGGAAAAGAATTGGGAGACTGGAAGTCTGGGAGAGAGAACGGACACGGCTCCCTACGGAGAAAAAAATCCCATTCCACTAGGTGGCACTGTAGGGTTAGAAATGTTAGGTAAACACTTCAAATTCTTTTCAGGCAAAAATTAGAGAGTTTTGGGGTTTGATAGGCTGTCCCTATAGCATGCCCCCCAGCATAAGAAAATTAACTTATCTCATAAAGGAACTGTTTAAATTTATTGGAAAATGATGAACTCTTATACGAAGAGAGAAACAATCCAAATGGAGCGGGGGATAGTCACTCGGGGTGAAGTATCCTCCCATACGATGCTATAAATGTCCATCATTGAGGGATAAAAGGGACCTTACTAGGTAAATACTTAAACGAAAATCTTGAATTCCCCCTGTTTCTAGGAAATCAGAAAAACAATAACTCTTCGAATTACATTCCTTATTACTAAGAAACCAACTGACTCTACCCAGCAAGACTATATTTCTAGGTTGCAAAAACACCTGCAACATTGTATACGATGGGATAGGAGACTCGATAGCCGTGAGAGGAAAGAAGGAAAATTCGATAGGAAAAGACTGGAAATCCTTGTGCCGACACCCTGACAGGCTGTCAAGGACTGGAGTTAGTCTACAGACCTTCAGATAATACTGGGGTGTAGCCCCAGCCAGAAATCTTCAGTCGCCCTAGGACCTTCTTCCAATCCCACGTGACGACTTAGGCCCTCCATGGAAGGAAACTAGATTGGAATAGACAAGAAGTCTCAGAAATGAAAGTAAAGAGTTAACATTAAAGGTCCACTCTTATTCATCCTTTTAATGAATTATCTTCTTCCCAGTCAATACACTAAGATGTAAGTCTTTCGTTGTCTGAGATAATGCCTGGAGTTCTTGGTCCTACCTCCAAGACGATTAAGGAGAGTGGACACAAAGGTGAGGTTAGAGTGAAAGTTTAATAAGTGAAAGAAAAAAGCTCTCTGTCAGCAGCGAGGGGGTCTCAAATGGGAGTACCCACTATGAGGCTGGGGTCAAGGGATTTTATGAATTGGGAAGAGAAAAAGATATGCTTAGTCTGCGGGCTGCCTTGGCAAATACATGACTCAGCTTGGCCTGGGACCTTGGTCCAGGAACAATCAGGAGCTGAAGTGATGAATCATAGAAGCCAGACTTATAGTCCTAACAAAGGAAAGTAGAGTGCCCACCGGAACCCACTGGAGCCCACTGTGCCCATGCCCACAAAAGGAGAAGAAACTTTTCCTGGGACTCCACTGACTATGCAAAGGACAAAGGCATTTCCATACCAGGCCTTGTTCCCTTGTCTGAGTGAGCTCTGGAGGTTTGTACAAGTTTTTATCCACATGGGCTAAAGGTTTTTTCTATCTGCAGCCATGGGCATGCAGCCAGGCACAATACCCTGTGCTAGTTTCCTTATCTGTGCTTGCAGCTTGAATTTTTTTCCCGGGCTGCTTTTTATGTTATGTGGGAATGAGACACTGACCAATGGGCCATGGGCTCTCCAGGACCCTTCCCTTGTTATCTACCTAAGAAAGCTATCTAATCTCCTTTGGGAGATTTTAATACCCCACTGACAATATTAGACAGAGCAGCAAGATAGAAAATTAACAAAGATATCCAGGATCTGAGCTCAGCTCTGGATCAGCTGGACCTGATAGGTATCTACAGAACTCTCTACTCAAAACCAACAGAATATACATTCTTCTCATTGCCACATGACAC
Organism: Homo sapiens; assembly: GCF_000001405.40. Classification (NCBI taxonomy): domain Eukaryota; kingdom Metazoa; phylum Chordata; class Mammalia; order Primates; family Hominidae; genus Homo; species Homo sapiens. The sequence continues at coordinate 93,876,417 of NC_000023.11, forward strand.
TTACTCTAAAATTGATCATATAATTGGGAGTAAAACACTCCTCAGCAAAGGCAAAAGAACAGAAATCATAACAGTGTCTCAGACCACAGCACAATCAAATTAGAACTCACGATGAAGAAACACACTCAAAACCACACAACTACATGGCAATTGAACAACCTGCTCCTGAATGACTACTGGGTAAATAAAGAAATTAAGGCAGAAATCAAGACGTTATTTAAAGGTAATGAGAACAAATAGACAATGCACCAGAATCTCTGGAATGCAGCTAAAGCAGTGTTAAGAGGAAAATTCATAGCACTAAATGCCCACATCAAAAAGCTAGAAAGATCTCAAGTTGACAACCTAACATCACAACTAAAAGAACTAGAGAAACAAAAGTAAACAAATGCCAATGCAAGTAGAAGAAAGGACATAACCAAAATCAAAGTATAACTGAAGGTAATGGAGACAGTAAAAACCCTTCAAAAAATCAACAAATCTGGGAGCTGATTTTCCAGAAAAAATTAATAAAATAGATAGACCCCTAGCTAGACTAATAAAGAAAAGAGAGAGGAATCAAATAGATACAATCAGAAGTGATAAGAGGGATATTACCACTGAGGCCACAGGAATACGACCAACCATCAGAGAATACTATAAACACATCTATGCAAAGAAACTAGAAAATCTAAGAAGAAACGGATACATTCCTGGACACATACACCCTCTGAAGACAGAACTAGGATGAAATTGAATCCCTGAATAACAATAACAAGTTCTGAAATTGAGGCAGTAATAAACAATCTACTAACCAAAAAAAGCTCAGGACCAGGCAAATTCACAGTTGAATTCTTTGAAAGGCACAAAGAAGAGCTGGTACCATTTCTACTGAAAGTATTCCAAACAATTGAAAAGGAGGAACTCCTCCCTAAGTCATTTTATGAGGTCAGAATCATCCTATACGAAAACCTGACAAAGATAAAACAAAAAAGAAAACTTTAGACCAATATGCCTGATGAATATCAATGCAAAAATCCTCAATAAAATAGTTTCAAACCAAATGCAGCAGCACTTCAAAAAGCTTATCTACCATGATCAAATTTTCTTCATCCTCGGGATGCAAGGTTGGTTCTACATACACAAATCAATAAATCTCATTTGTCACATAAACAGATCTAAGGACAAAATCCACATGATTATCTCAATAAACACAGAAAAGGCCTTTGATAAAATTTAATGATCTTCATGTTTAAAACTCTCAAAAACTAGGTATTGAAGGAACTTATCTCAAAATAATGAGAGCCATATATGAGAAACCCACAGCCAATATCCTACTGAATGGGCAAAAGTTGGAAGCATTCCCCTTGAAAAAAGGCACAGGAAAAGGGTGCCCTCTCTCACTACTTTTATCCAACAAATTATTGGAATTTCTGGCCAAGGCAATCAGGCAAGAGAAAAAAAACAAAGGGTATTCAAATAAGAAGTGAGGAAGTCAAATTATCTTCGTTTGCAGGTGACATAATCCTATGTCTAGAAAACTCCATTGTCTCAGGCTAAAAGTTTCTAAAGCTGATAATCAACTTCAGCAAAGTCTCAGGATACAAAATCAATGTGCAAAAATTGCTAGCATTTCTATACACCAACAACAGGCAAGCAGAGAGCCAAATCATGAATGAATTTTCATCCACAATTGCTACAAAGAGAATAAAATACCCAGGAATACAGCTAACAAGGGAAGCAAAGGACCTCTTCAAGGAGAACTGCAAACCATTGTTAGGAAATCAGAGAGGACATGAATAAATGGAAAAACATACCATGCTCATAGATAGGAAGAATCAATATCATAAAAATGGCCATAGTGCACAAAGCAATTTATAGATTCAATTTTATTCCCATTAAACTACCATTAACATTCTTCACAGAATGAGAAAAAAACTATTTTAAAATTTATATGGAACCAAAGAAAAAAAATAGAGCCTAAATAGCCAAAACAATTCTAAGCAAAAAGAACAAAGCTGGAGGCATTATGCTACCTGACTTTAAACTGTACTACCAGGCTACAGTAACCAAAACAGCATGGTCCTAGTACAAAAACAGACACATAAGCCAATGGAACAGAATAGAGAACTCAGAAATAAGACCACACACCTACAACAATCTGATCTTTGACAAACCTGACAGAAACAAGCAATGGGGAAGCGATTCCCTATCTAATAATGGTGCTCAGAGAACTGGCTAGCCATATGCCAAAAATTGAAACTAGACCTTTTCCTTACACTTTATACAAAAATTATCTCAAGATGGATTAAAGACTTAAATGTATAACCCAAAACTATAAAACTCCTAGAAGAAATTCTAGGCAATACCATGCAGGACATAGGCACCAACAAAGATTTCATGATGAAGATGTCAAAAGTAATTGCAACAAAAGCAAAAATTGACACATTGGATCTAATTAAACTAAAGAGCTTCTGCACAGCAAAGAAACTATCATCAGAATGAACAGACAACCTACAGAACGGTAGAAAAAATTTGCAGTCTCTCCATTGGGCAAAGGGCTTATATTCAGAGTCTACAAGTAACTTAAACAAATTTCCATGAAAAAAAATACATCCCCATTAAAAAATGAGCAAGGACATGAACAGGCACTTCTCAAAAGAAGCCATTTATGTGGCCAACAAACATATGAAAAAAATCTCAACATCACCTATCGTTAGAGAAATGCAAATCAAAACCACAATGAGATACCAACTCATGCCAGTTGGAATGACAATTATTAAAAAGTCAAGAAACAACAGATGCTGGCGGGGTTGCATAGAAAAAGGAACATTTTTACACTCTTGGTGGTAGTGTAAATTAGTTCAACCATTGTGGATGACAATGTGATGATTTCTCAAAGATCTAGAAGCAGAAATACCATTTGACCTAGCAATCCCATTACTGGGTATATACCCAAGAAAATATAAATCATTCTATTATAAAGATACATGCACATATATGTTCATTGCAGCACTTTTTACAATAGCAAAGACATGGAATCAACCCAAATGCCCATCAATGATAGACTGTATAAAGAAAATGTGGTACTTATACACCAAGGAATGCTATGCAGCCAAGGAAAGAATGAGATCACGTCCTTTGCAGAGACATGGATGGAGCTGTAAGCCATTATCTTCAGCAAACTAATGCAGAAACAGAAAACCAAACATTGCATATTCTCTCTTATGCATGTGAGTTGAATGATAGGAAGACATGGACACATGGCGGGGAGCAACACACACTGCAGCCTGTTGGGTGCTGCTGGACGAGGGAGAGTGTCAGTAAGAATAGCTAATGGATACCGAGCTTAATACTTAGGTGATGGGTTGTTAGGTGCAGCAAACCACCATGGCACAGGTTTACCTATGTAACAAACCTGGTCGTCCTGCGCATGTACCCCAGAACCTAAAATAAAAGTTGAAGAAAAAAAGAAACACAAGAAACATGAAAAATACTACACTGAGATACACCAAAATCAAATTGCTTAAAAGCAGTGGTGAGAAAATCTTAAGAGCTGCCTGGGGTAAGAGATTCCAATTTCCATCAGAAACAGTATAAGCAAGCAGAGAGTGGAGGAACATCTTTAAAGTACTGAAATAAAATTTTCAATCTATGCTTCTGAGCCAAATGAAATTTCTTTCAAAAGCAAAGGTGAAATAACAGTTTTTCAGATATACGACAGCTGAAATAACTAATCCCACCACACATGCACTTCAAGATGTGTTAAATGAAGTTCTTCAGGCCAAAGGATAATGATACCAGACATACATCTGGATCTACACAAAGGAATAAAGGGCAGCAGAAATGGTAACTCTATGGGTAAAAAACAAGACAATATTTGTCGAATTATTTGTTTTTTTTATAAAAGGTAATTGATTGTTAATGCAAAAATAACAACAATATACTGTGGGGTTATACTTAAAGTGTATGCCAATTGCAAGGAGCTTAAGAGGAAAGAGATGGAAATTTATTGTTGTAAGATACCTTGAGTAAACATGAAGTGGTATAATATCTCTTAAATGTGACAAGTGAAAATAATATACCATAAAACCTACAGCAACCCTTAAACTAACAAAGCAAAGAGTTATATTAATAAGCTAACAAGGGATATAAAGTGGAATCTTAAAAATTACTCAGTTAATCTAAAAGGAGGCAGAAAAATAAGATACAAGGAGCAAAAGAAAAGCTAGAACAAATGGAAAATTAATAGCAAGAAGGTAGATTTAAACCACTTACAAAGTGAATTTAAGTAGGAAAAGGACAACTTTTTTAAGACATGGTACTGTAACACATTGAGATCCATTTAGAAAATGTAAAACAAACAAATCAAACCTCCAATTCATACCTCCTACTATAAACAAAATTAACTCAAAATGGATTATGGATTATAGGCTGAAATCAAAATTCTATAACTACAAAACCTCTAGATGAAAACGTTGGAGAAAATTCTTGCAACATTGGGTTAGGCAAGAATTTTTAAATATAACACCAAATACACAACCCATAATAGAAAATAATGATATATTGGTCTTCATCAAAATTAAAAACTCCTGCTTTTAGAAGTTTAGAAAACTGCTTTTTATTCATTAAGAAAATGAAAAGAAATATTGTAGTCTGAGAGATAAAAGATTTGTATCTAGAAGATAAAAAGGACTCTCAAAACTTGAGAAAACTACCAAGTTTTTTAAAATGGGCAAAAAGTTTGAACACATTTTATTAAAAAAATACAGATGGTAATATGCACATGAAAAGCAGCTCAATATTATTTTTTAGGAAAGTGCAAATTAAATCCACAACGTGATATTACACATCAGGCTACAATTAAAAAGACTGACCACACTAGATTATGGAGGAACTGGAACTCTCACATACTGCTAGTTTGGCTATAAAATGATACAAACACTTTGGAAAGATTTTGGTAGTTTCTTACATATTAAGCATACATCTGCATTATTATTCTGACATTCCACTTTTAGATATTTACCCAAAAGAAATGACAGCATATATCTATAACCAAAAACTGGAAACAACCCAAATGTGTATCAACATGTGATTGAATAAATGTTTTATATCCATACAATGAAATACAAGTCAGCAATACAAATAAATAAATGATTGATACTCACAACATAAATGAATCTCAAAATAATTGTGCTTAGTTAAAGTATTCAGGCAAAAATACTATTTACATAAAAATATTTACATATTATTACATAAAAATTACATATTACATATTACTTATATATTACATATTTATATTTACAAAAAAAAGAAAATTCAAACTGATCTTTAGTGACAGAAAGGTCAGTAGTTGCTTGAGAATAGAAAATAGAGGGGCAGGAAGGGAGAATACAATGAGGCACCTGGAAAATTTTGTGAGTGTTGATTATGTTCACTATTTTGATTGTGGAGAGTATTCCACAGGTGTATACATATTTCAAAACTTATCGAAATTGTACATTTAAAAGCATGCAGTTTTGTCTCCTGGCAGGGAGCGTGAAAAATAAAAATAAAAGTGTGCAGTTTATTGTAGGTAATTTATGCCTCAATAAACCTATTACAACAAAACAAGTAAACAAAAAGTACTAGAAAGAGGCATTCCTTTTTTTTTTTTTCCACTTGGTTTAAGGAAAGATGCTGTAAGGTTTAGATGCCATAAAATAAAATACTATAAAATTAATAAATACAAACTAAAAACTTATTTAACTGGAAAATACCATTTGAGTGTCAAATGACACACTGAAAAATATTTGTTGGTTAGAATAAATTTTCCTTAAAGAGCTCTTGTAAATCAAAAATCACAATTTGAATAATCCAACAGAGAAACAATGAGGTAAGGGGGTGCTCAGGCAATTGCAAAAATACCAACAGAAAATAAATATTTTAAAATGTACTTGTCATCAATTATTAATAAATAAAATAAAATCAAAACTAATTATAAGCTACCATTTAATCACTCTAAATAAAGTTTAATATTTTTTTTTGGTGAGGATATATGTAAATGAGCATTCATACTATTTATTTAATTATATATTGATTCAACCTTCCTGGATGGTAATCTGTCCACATATTACAACATAAATGAACATTTTTCCTTCCATTTCCACTGCTGTAAAGTAGGTCTATAGGTATAGTCACAAGAGTACATTAGTATATATGTGCAAGGGTTGTTCTATTATTTGTAATGGTAAAAGCTGTAAATAACTTTTCTGAAAATGGGTGATTGATTACATAAATTATAGTATACTCATAAAATCAAATTCTAACAGACTTTGAAAGAAATCAGAACCATCTATATATACTGGTGCAGAAATATTTTCACAATACATTATGTGAAAAAAATCAATTTATATAATAATCTGGATGGGACAATTACATTTATATTACATATTTCTATATGAACATATTTTATCTATGTATACACACCAAGTCTGTCTGTCTGTATATCTATCATCTACCTTGTATATGTCCTTGTGCATATGTGTGTATATATAATATTTATGTTTTTAATATGCATATATTATCTAGCACAACACATACATTGTTTGCACTATGTTTCTCTAAGGAGTGTGACAGGGAGCTGAATAGAACTTTTACATTTTATTTTATACTCTGTGTATTGCTTCCATTTTCTGTCATGAGCATTATTATTATAACAAAATATATTAATAAAATATTGTCAGATTTATTTTAATAAAAGTTTTATATTACATCTGTTACTTAAACATCACAGCAAAAATACAGAACTTTTTTATTATTATTATACATTAAGTTTTAGGGTACATGTGCACAATGTGCAGGTCTGTTACATATGTATACATGTGCCATCTTGGTGGGCTGCACCCATTAACTCGTCATTTAACATTAGGTATATCTCCTAATGCTATCCATCCCCTCTCCCCCCACCTCACAACAGGCCCCAGTGTGTGATGTTCCCCTTCCTGTGATCATGTGTTCTCATTGTTCAATTCCCACCTATGAGTGAAAACATGTGGTGTTTGGTTTTTTGTCCTTGCGATAGTTTGCTGAGAAGGATGGTTTCCAGCTTCATCCATGTCCCTACAAAGGACATGAACTCATCATTTTTTATAGCTGCATAGTATTCCATGGTGTATGTGTGCCACATTTTCTTAATCCAGTCTATCATTGTTGGACATTTGGCTTGGTTCCAAGTCTTTGCTATTGTGAATAGTGCCACAATAAATATACGTGTGCATGTGTCTTTATAGCAGCATGATTTATAATCCTTTGGGTATATACCCAGTAATGGGATGGCTGGGTCAAATGGTATTTCTAGTTCTAGATCCCTGAGGAATCCCCACACTGACTTCCACAATGATTGAACTAGTTTACAGTCCCACCAACAGTGTAAAAGTGTTCCTATTTCTCCACATCCTCTCCAGCACCTGTTGTTTCCTGACTTTTTAATGATTGCCATTCTAACTGGTATGAGATGGTATCTCATTGTGGTTTTGATTTGCATTTCTCTGATGGCCAGTGATGATGAGCAGTTTTTCGTGTGTCTGTTGGCTGCATAAATGTCTTCTTTTGAGAAGTGTCTGTTCATATCCTTTGCCCACTTGTTGATGGGGTTGTTTGTTTTTTTCTTGTAAATTTGTTTGAGTTCATTGTAGATTCTGGATATTAGCCCTTTGTCAGATGAGTAGGTTGCAAAAATTTTCTCCCATTCTGTAGGTTGCCTGTTCACTCTGATGGTAGTTTCTTTTGCTGTGCAGAAGCTCTTTAGTTTAATTAGATCCCATTTGACAATTTTGGCTTTTGTTGCCATTGCTTTTGGTGTTTTAGACATGAAGTCCTTGCCCATGCCTATGCCTGAATGGTATTGCCTAGGTTTTCTTCTAGGGTTTTTATGGTTTTAGGTCTAACATTTAAGTCTTTAATCCATCTTGAATTAATTGTTGTATAAGGTGTAAGGAAGGGATCCAGTTTCAGCTTTCTACATATGGCTAGCCAGTTTTCATTCATTCCATCATTTATTCACTATCACAACACCATTTATTAAATAGAGAATCCTTTCCCCATTGCTTGTTTTTGTCAGGTTTGTCAAAGATCAGATAGTTGTAGATATGTGGCATTATTTCTGAGGGCTCTGTTCTGTTCCGTTGATCTATGTCTCTGTTTTGGTACCAGTACGATGCTGTTTTGGTTACTGTAGCCTTGTAGTATAGTTTGAAGTCAGGTAGCATGATGCCTCCAGCTTTGTTCTTTTGGCTTAGGATTGACTTGGTGATGCGGGCTCTTTTTTGGTTCTGTATGAACTTTAAAGTAGTTTTTTCCAATTCTGTGAAGAAAGTCATTGGTAGCTTGATGGGGATGGCATTGAATCTATAAATTACCTTGGGCAGTATGGCCATTTTGATGATATTGATTCTTCCTACCTGTGAGCATGGAATGTTCTTCTATTTGTTTGTATCCTCTTTTATTTCATTGAGCAGTGGTCTGTAGTTCTCCTTGAAGAGGTCCTTCACATCCCTTGTAAGTTGCTCATGATTTGACTCTCTGTTTGTCTGTTATTGGTGTATAAGAATGCTTGTGATTTTTGCATGTTGATTTTGTATCCTGAGAAGTTGCTTATCAGCTTGAGGAGATTTTGAGCTGAGATGATGGGGTTTTCTAGATATACAATCATGTCATCTGTAAACAGGGACAATTTGACTTCCTCTTTTCTTAATTGAATACCGTTTATTTCTTTCTCCTGCCTGATTGCCCTGGCCAGAACTTCCAACAGTATGTTGAATAGGAGTGGTGAGAGAGGGCATCCCTGTCTTGTGCCAGTTTTCAAAGGGAATGCTTCCACTTTTTGCCCATTCAGTATGATATTGGCTGTGGGTTTGTCATAAATAGCTCTTATTATTTTGAGATACGTCCCATCAATACCTAATTTACTGAGAGTTTTTAGCATGAAGGGCTGTTGAATTTTGTCAAAGGCCTTTTCTGCATCTATTGAGATAATCATGTGGTTTTTGTCTTTGGTTCTGTTTATATGCTGGATTACATTTATTGATTTGCATACGTTGCACCAGCCTTGCATCCCAGGGATGAAGCCCACTTGATCATGGTGGATAAGCTTTTTGATGTGCTGCTGGATTCAGTTTGCCAGTATTTTATTGAGGATTTTTGCATCGATGTGCATCAGGGATATTGGTCTAAAATTCTCTTTTTTTGTTGTGTCTCTGCCAGGCTTTGGTATCAGGATGATGCTGGCCTCATAAAATGAATTAGGGAGGATTCCCTCTTTTCCTATTGATTGGAATAGTTTCAGAAGGAATGGTACCAGCTCCTCCTTGTACCTCTGGTGGAATTCAGCTGTGAATCCATCTGGTCCTGGACTTTTTTGGTTGGTAAGCTATTAATTATTGCCTCAATTTCAGAGCCTGTTATTGGTCTATTCAGAGATTCAACTTCTTCCTGATTTAGTCTTGGGAAAGTGTATGGGTCGAGGAATTTATCCATTTCTTCCAGATTTTCTAGTTTATTTGTGTAGAGGTGATTATAGTATTCTCTTATGGTAGTTTGTATTTCTGTGGGATCGGTGGTGATATCCCCTTTATCATTTTTTATTGCATTTATTTGATTCTTCTCTCTTTTCTTCTTTGTTAGTCTTGCTAGCGGTCTATCAATTTTGTTGATCTTTTCAAAAAACCAGCTCCTAGATTCATTGAGTTTTTAAAGGGTTTTTTGTGTCTCTATTTCCTTCAGTTCTGCTCTGATCTTAATTATTTCTTGCCTTCTGCTAGCTTTTGAATGTGTTTGCTCTTGCTTCTCTAGTTCTTTTAATTGTGATATTAGCATGTCAATTTTAGATCTTTCCTGCTTTCTCTTGTGGGCATTTAGTGCTATAAATTTCCCTGTACACACTGCTTTGAATGTGTCCCAGAGATTCTGGTATGTTGTGTCTTTGTTCTCACTGGTTTCAAAGAACATCTTTATTTCTGCCTTCATTTCATTATGTACTCAGTAGTCATTCAGGAGCAGGTTGTTCAGTTTCCATGTAATTGAGTGGTTTTGAGTGAGTTTCTTAATCCTGAGTTCTAGTTTGATTGCACTGTGGTCTGAGAGACAGTTTGTTATAATTTCTGTTCTTTTACATTTGCTGAGGAGTGCTTTACTTCCAAGTATGTGGTCAATTTTGGAATAGGTGTGGTGTGGTGCTGAAAAGAATGTATATTCTGTTGATTTGGGGTGGAGAGTTCTGCAGATGTCTATTAGGTCCGCTTGGTGCAGAGCTGAGTTCAATTCCTGGATATCCTTGTTAACTTTCTGTCTCGTTGATCTGTCTAATGTTGACACTAGGGTGTTAAAGTCTCCCATTATTATTGTGTGGGAGTCTAAGTCTCTTTGTAGGTCTCTAAGGACTTTCTTTATGAATCTTGGTGCTCCTGTATTGGGTGCATATATATTTAGGATAGTTAGCTCTTCTTATTGAATTGATCCCTTTACCATTATGCAATGGCCTTCTTTGTCTCTTTTGATCTTTGTTGGTTTAAAGTTTGTTTTATCAGAGGCTAGGATTGCAACCCCTGCCTTTTTTTGTTTTCCATTTGCTTGGTGGGTCTTTCTCCATCCCTTTATTTTGAGCCTATGTGTGTCTCTGCACGTGAGATGGGTTTCCTGAATACAGCACACTGATGGGTCTTGACTCTTTATCCAATTTGCCAGTCTGTGTCTTTTAATTGGAGCATTTAGCCCATTTACATAGAGCTTTCAAGTGTAACAGTCATCAGTTTTAATGTATACTTGTGAACTTATTTTGACATTTGGAGAGCTACATCATCCTATTTTTTTTTATTTGGCTTTACATGATATTCATCTCCTCCTTACATATCTTTAGTCCACATATAAGTAAATGGATTTAATATTATCAGGTGTAAACCAATGTGCCACTGATTCTGAAAATACACATCTGCAGAGTTTTTCTATTATAATGAGCTAATAGCAATGCCAAATTAGGTTTCAATGACTCAATAAAAATATGAAACATAAAATGTATTATGTATTTTACCCATATAGCCACAGGAAAATTTCAAAAGGTACAAATGGCACCTATATTTAAAATGACCAGTATTCCACTGAATAAACTTTTCTAAAAGAATTATTTGGTCAGAGCCACATGATTATCATTGGAGCTATCTTGGTGAAAACATGGAATTATGGCCAGGTGGAATGTGTCATTTTGATAATATATAAAATAGAGTAAATAAATGATAGAAATCAAACTAGCTTATGCCTAGCTGAAGAACCAGGCAAAAGAACTTGAAATAGAACTTGGAAGTTTGGGAGGAAAGTGAAGTAGTTATCCAGATAATGTTAGAATGGTACTCAGATAGCTAACTCAGTTATCTACTGCACCTTATTGTTTAGTAGACAGCCTGTATGAAAAATGTCATAACATCATCAAACGTGCACATCTGTTTTATGAATTGTGGAAAAAGAAATGAAACAGAAGACTCTGGTACAGTATGGAAAGATAGAATACTTAAAGTAAGAAGAAGAAAAGAATAAATGAACAGTTTTGACAGACAAAAGTTAAGATTGTCTATTCTTCTTGGTAATAAATCAAACATTGGAAATTATAGAAACCTAAAAAGATACTCCAGGGAGAAGAAAATAAATTGGTGGATCAAATGTAGAGCCACACAAATGCTGGTCTTTAATTTTAATCACTACTTAATTAGTGATCTTATCCCTAGGGTTTGAATGTACTGGCTAACTTTAAATTCATACCTCTTTATGCTTTGCTTTTCTATTAGCCATAAAAAAACTGTTGTGTTATTTCCTTTAAAAATACAAAGTTATCATGTGAACCTACTCTAGTTTAAAAGTGTAAGCTGTGAATAATATATTATCTCCATATGGTAGCAAAATGCCTTTGAACTCTTAAACATTAATGCACCACACATTTTCAATACATGTTGCCTGACTCTCCAGATAATATGTATGTAATTATACTGAAGTTCCATTTGATCTTATTAACACTTTGTTATTTTAATTTGAATGATTGTTATAATCATCAATTTGATAAAGGTACCTAATTTTTATTCTGTCATTCTCCTTTAATAACTTAAGGTCTAGTTATTGAAAAGGGTAGCTATCTGTATTAGTCCATTTTCATGCTGCTGATAAAAACATACCTGAGACTGGGAAGAAAAGAGGTTTAATAGACTTACAGTTCCAAATGGCTGGGGAGGCCTCTCAATCATGGCTGAAAGCAAGGAGGAGCAAGTCACGTCATACATGGATGGCAGCAGGCAAAGAGAGAGCTTGTGCAGGGAAACTTCTGTTTTTTAACACCATCAGATCTCATGAGACTCATTCACTATCATGAGAACAGTGCAGGAAAGACCTCCTCTCATAATTCATCACCTCCCTACCAGGTTCCTCCCACAACACATGGAAATTGTGAGAGTTGCAATTCAAGATGAGATTGGGTGGGAACACAGTGAAACCATATAACCATCTAACAAAAAAAATAAATGAAATGTGATATATTGAATAATTATTTGTAATTTAATTTTGAAATGGCCCTCAGTCACTTCTCTGTTAAAGTTGAAGTGCTCACAACATTCATTGGAATCTGCTAAGGAACTATTTATTTGAAAAGAAAGCTAAGGTTCACAGGTAACTATGGTCACACACTTGTGGGCTTTTGTTGTACATGTGCCATTTGCCTAAGGAATTGAAGAGGTTACAGGTATATGTTTAAGATTATATTTTTTTCACTGATAATGCCTTCCAAATGATATTGCCCTCTCATAAAAATTACTTTGTTTTTTTTAGCTTGTGGTTAATAATTTATATAGAAGTAACAGAAATAATTTTTCTTTTTCTTTTCAATTCATTTTTTTTTCCCATGGTGTTACAGAGAAAGCAAAATATTTTTGTGGCTAAAGTCAACAGGATGTGAATGCTGATTCTTGTGACATGTCAAACTTTGGTCCAGTAATTCTAGAGTCTGATGCCATTTGAACTTATTATTTATTATTTATGTATTGCCAAAGTGTCTCTAATGAGTCAAGAAAAAGTTATACAAAGAAGTGAAAGAAGACTACTAATTAACTTAATGAAAATGATGGTTTAACAAAAAATATAGATAAGGAAAATATAGTTTCCTGAAGAGTAAAAAGCATCTTTGCATGTTAGCTGTGGCAATACAGGTACTGTGTTAATTTTCAAGCTGATTTCTTATAGTTTTGTTTGTTTGCCTGCTCTTGGTCATTAAGACAAACTTGCTTCTACCTAATAGGCTGCAGTTTTTATCTTTGTGCTAGGTTTCTATTTTCATGTCATGCTCTGAAGAACTTGACTAAGACTCTTCCCAAGTAGTCTTCTTGGTACTTACAACAACCTTGAGCATAACCACGGGCCCCATATGGAGAAATGTTTAAATTTCTCCCTCTTAACATTTTGCTTCATGTCAAATTTATAAGTTATCCATTTTTATGGAATTTTCATTTAAAAAGCTTGTCTTAACTTTTTGTACTTTTCATTCCCACTGCCAACTTTGTGGTCAGACTCCCATAACCTTTATTTTAAATTTTAATTTTTCATGGGTACATAGTAGGTGTATATATTTATGGAGTACATGAGATGTTTTGACACAGGCATGCAATGTGAAATAAGCACAATTATTGAAGAATGGGGTATCTGTCCTCCCAATAATTCATCCATTGAGTTTCAAACAATCCAAGTATACTATTTAAGTTATTTTAAAATGTACAGTTATTACTGACTACTGTCACCCTGCTGTGCTATCAAATAATAGGTCTTATTCTTTCTATTTTTCTGTACCCATTGACCATCGCCACTGCCTCTCCAGCTCACTACTACTCTTCCCAGCCTCTGGTAATCATGTTTCTACTCTCAATATCTATGAGTTCAATTGTTTTTGTTTTCAAATCACACAAATAAATGAAAACATACAATGATTGTCTTTCTGTGCCTGGCTTAGTTCGCTTAGCATAATAATCTCCAGGTCCATCCCTGTTGTTGCAAATGACCAAATATCATTCTTTTTTATGGCTAAATAATACTTCATTGTATATATCTACCACATTTTAAAAAATCATTCATCTGTTGATGAACACTTAGGTAGCTTCCAAATCGTAGCTATTGTAAACAGCGCTGCAACAAACATTGGAACGCAGACATCTCTTTAATCTCATTACTTGTTATTTGTCTGTTCAGGTTTTGTATTTCTTCCTGGTTAAATCTTGGTGGGTTGTATGTATTTAGGAATTTGTTAATTTCTTCTAGATTTTCCAATTTATTGACACGAAGTTACTTATAGTAGCCACTAATGATCCTTTGAGTTTCTGCAGTATCAGTTGTAATGTCTCCTTTTTCATTTCTGATTTCATATAATTGGATAGTCTCTCTTTTTTCCTTAGTCTGGCTAAATGTTTGCCTACTTTGTTTAAATTTTCAAAAAACTAACTTTTTGTTTCATTGATCATTTGTATTTTTTATTTCAATGTCATTTATTTACGTTCTGATCTTTATTATTTACTTTCTTCTACTAATTTTGGATTTGGTTTGATATTGTTTTTTCTAATTCTTTAAGATGCATTATCAGATTATTTAAAGTTGTTCCTTTTTTGATGTAGGCACTTATGGCCATAAAATTTCCTCTTAGTACTGCTTTTTGCTGTATCCTTTAGGATTTGGTATGCTATGTTTCCATTAGCATTTGTTACTAGAAACTATTCAATTTCCTTTTTAATTTCTTCATTGACTCACTGGTAATTAAATAGCGTATTGTTTAATTACCATGTATTTGTATAGTTTCCAAAATTCCTCTTGTTATTAATTTATAGTTTTATTCCTTTGTGGTCAGAAAAGATGCTTGATGTAATTTCAGTTTTTTAATGTGACAAAACAGATGGTCTAGCATTAAGAATAATCCACGTGCTGAGAAAAAGATGTGTATTCTGAAGCCATTGCCTGAAAGGTTCTGTAAATATCTATTAGATCCATATCAAATATCTAATTAGATATTTGGATCATATTAAGTCTGATGATTCTTTGTTGATTTTCTGTCTGGAAGATCTATCCAATGCTGAAAGTGGGGTGTTGAAGTCTCCAGCTATTACTATATTGTGGTCTATTTCTCTCTTTATCTTTAATTATATTTCCTTTATATATCAGAGTGATCCACTGTTGGGTACGTATGTATTCACATTGTTATGTTCTCTTGGAAAATTGACCCCTTTATCATTATATAGTGACTTTTTTGTCTCTTCTTATAGGTTTTGTCTTGAAATCTATTTTGTCTGATATAAATATGGTGACTCCTGCTCTTCATTGGTTTCCTTTAGCATGGATTACTTTTTTATCCTTTTATTTTCAGTTGATGTGTGTCTTTATAGGTAAAATGTGTTCTTTGTAGACAACAGATCAATGGGTCTGGTTTTCTTCATCCTTTCAGCTAGGCTATGACTTTTAATTGATAAGTTTAGTTCATTTACATTCATTATTATCATCAATAAGTAAGGGCCTACCCATGCCATTTTGTTATTTTGTTCTCTGGTTGTTTTGTGGTCTTCTCTTACCTTTTTTTTATTCTTATCTTCCTCTGGTGAAGATGATTTTCTCTGGTGATATGATTTAGTTTCTTGCTTTTTATTTTTTGTGTATTCATTGTATGATTTTTGGGTTTCAGTTACCATGAGGCTTGCAAATACTATCTTATAAACCATTATTTTAACCTGATAACAAACTTAAACCTATTTACATAAAAAACAAGCAAAAGGAAAATAAAAACTCTACACCTTAACTTCATACCTCTGTCTTTTAACTTCTTGTTGTTTCCATTTCTATTTATATCTATTACTGACTACGTCTAGAGAAGTTATTGTAGTTGTTATTTTTGATTGGTTCCTTGTTTAGTGTTTCTATTTTGGATAAGAGTAGTTTACACACCATAGTTGCAGTGATATAATACACTATGTCTTTCTGTGTACTTATGATTACCAGTAAGTTTTTTTACCTTTAAGCAAATATTTATTGTTTATAAATGCCTTTTTCCTTCTGATTGAAGTACTTGTTTTAACATTTCTTTTAGGACAGGTTTGGTATTGATGAAATCCCTGTTTCTGTTTGTCTGGAATAGTCCATTTTTCTCCTTCATGTTCAGAGGATGTTTTTGCCAGATACACTATTATATGGTAAAAGGTATTTTTCCTTCATCAATTTAAATATGTCATGCTACTCCCTTCTGGCCTGTAAGGTTTCTAGTGAAAACTTTGATGCTGGATATATTCAAGCTCCACTGTATGTTATTCCTTTCTTTTCTCTTGCTGCTTTTAGGATCCTTTCTGTATCTTTGACTTTTGGGAATTTGATTATTAAATGCCTTGATGTAGTCTTCTTTGGGTTAAAACTGCTTGGTATTCTATAACATTATTATACTTGGGTATTCATATCTCTCTCTAGATTTATGAAGTTATCTGTTATTATCCCTTTGAATAAAGTTTCTGCCTCTATCCCTTTCTCTAACCCCTTTTTAAGGCCGATTTTCCCTTTTGAGGTTATTTTCTAAATCCTGTAGTTGTCCTTCACTGTTTTTTATTCTTTTGTCTTTTGTCTTCTCTGACTGTGTATTTTCAAATAGCCTTTCTTCAATTTCGCTAATTATTATTCTTGATGCATCTTTCATCTTTTGAGTTTCTGATTCATTCTTTTTCATTATTTTAATCTTTTTGTTAGATTTATCTGATAGGATTCTGAATTCCTTCTCTGTGCTATCTTGAATTTCTTTGAGTTTCCTCAGCATAGCTATTTTGAATTATCTGTGTGAAAGGCCACATATCTTTGTTTCTCCAGTATTGACCTCTGGTGCCTTATTTATTTCTTTTGGTGAGGTCATGTTTTCCTGGAAAATGTTAATGCTAGTAGATGTTCTTCGGTGTATGGGCATTGAAGAGTTAGCTATTTACTGTAGTCTTCACTATCTGGGCTTATTTGCAGCTGTCCTTCATTGGAAGGCTTTCCAGATATTTGAAAGGACTTGGGTATTGTTTTCTAAGCTGCTTTTTCTTTAGGGGATACCCAAGCTCAGTAATGCTGTGGTTCTTGCAGACTCATAGATGTACCATCTTGATGGTCTTGGGCAAGATGTGGGAGAATTTTCTGGATGCCAAGTAGACACACTTGTTCTCTTTCCTTATTTTCTCCAAAACAAATCGTGTCCCTCTCTCTGTTCAGAGACACCTAAAGTTGGGGATGGATCTATACAAGAACCCTATGGCTACTACCACTCTGACTGCACTGGGTCAGACTTGAAGCCAGCACAGCACTGAGTCTCACCCAAGGCCTGCTCTAATCACTCCCTCATCACTGCCTTTGTTTACTCAAGGCCCTGTGGCTCTACAATAAGCAGGTGGCAAAGCCAGCCAGGCCTGTGTCCTTCACTTTAGGACTGTGAGTTCCCCCAGGCCACACGTTGGTCCAGAGGTGCTGCCAGGGAGTCAAGGACTAGAGGCAAAAACCTTAGAAGTCTATCTAGTATTCTATTGTATTGTGGCTGAGCTGGCACTCAAACCACAAGACACAGGCTTTCCCAACTCAGAGGAGCCTCACCCTGTAGCCACTGCTAACCAAGGCCATAAGGAGTACTGCCAGACTATTACAAACGTTACCTTAAGGGTCAAGATCTCTTAAGTCAGCTTGTGGTGAATGCTTTTTGGCCTGGGATTCATCCTTCCAGACAGTGGGCTCCCCTCTGGTCTTGGGCAGCTGCAGAAATGCTGTTCAAGAGTCAAGTTTTAAGAGTCAGGGACCTCAGGAGCCCACTTGATGCTGTACCCCCATATAGTGATGTTTGTACCTGAGGTAAAAGGCAAAGTCCCCTTTACTTTTTCCTCTGCTTTTCTCAAGCAGAAAGAGTTTTGCTCCATAGCCACCATAGCTGGTAGTGTGCTGAGTCTCATCTGAAACCAACAAGTCTCAGAGGCTCACCAAAGCCCTCCACGTAGTACCTGGGTATGGCTGCTGGCTTTTCAGGACCCAAGGGCTCTTGAGTTAGCAGGTGATAAAAGCTGGCAGGACTGTGTCCTTCCCTTAAAGGCAGCCAGTTTACTTCTGGCCCAGGGTATGTCTAGAAGTGTCAGCTGGGAGCTAAGGCCTGCAATGGGTGCATCGTGACTCTGACTAGTGCCCTATCTTACTGTGGCTGAGCTGTTATCCAAGATGCAAGACAAAGTTCTCCCAACTCTTCTCCCTCCTCTCCTCATGCGGAATGAAGGGGTCTCTTTTGGAGCTGCAAGCTCTGAAGCCTGGGGTTAAAAGATGGGCAATACCAGCACCCCCTTGGCTTCCCCATTTGATGTCTCAGTGTATCTCATTCCCCCCACCCCCCAGTCCACTGTCTCTAAGTATTGTTCAGCCCTAGGACTAGCCTAAGAGTTGCGGTCCTTATGGCCTAGTCTGACTCTCAAGTTTACCTAGAGACTGAGAGCACTTTGCCCCTCAGTGGCAAGTTTTGCACACAGTCAGTTTTGGACCACTGAGATTAATGATTTTCCTCTGGCTAGGGCTGGTTTAAATGTTTCCCCTGTGGGCAGGCATCAGCTGAGTTTCATCTTGTTTTTCTTTCTGCTCTAACAGAACAGCACAGAGCTCAGAGCCTCACAATTGTGTTTTTTTCTCCCCCAGCGCCCAGAAATGCTTTCTGCAACACACCACTGCTGCAGGGGGATGAAGGAGATGGTGTTAGTGATCCAGGACTGTTTTTTGCTATCTCTTCAGTGCCTCTTTCAAAGATATGAAGTTAAAACCAAATACTGTGAGTGCCCACCTGGCTCACCTGATTTTGGGTTCTAATGATTTTTTTTTTTTCTGTGTAGACAGTTGTTAACTTGGTGTCCTTGTATAAAGGATGATTGATGGGGTTTTCTATTCTTCATTCTTACCATCTTGCTCTGCCTCCCAATCTGTAACCTTTATTTTTTTAACAGACCATTGCAATAGTTTTCTTATTGGCTTTCTAGTTTTTATTTATTTGTCTTACCTATTTCTGTATTGATTATGGGACTCTCTTGTTCAACATTCTTCTGTAGATCTCCCATTGCATCCTAAATTAAGTGTAGATACCGGTCACTCAAATTCACATCTTTGCATGATATTGGTCCATTCTAATTCCTCTACCTTGCCTTTTTCTACCCTCATAACTTGCTAACAATCCAGCCAAAATAGAATATATATTACTACTCACTTATACTGCGTACATTTTCACTTCTGAAACTCTCATCACTCTTGTTCTTCCTACCTGGAAATGGCCATAAACCTTTTCATTGCCACCTCTCAGACTTCTCTACATCCCTAAATTCTTATACAAAATTGAACTATACATTTTATATAAGAAATATAAAAAATATTTTTTCTCAAATCTTACAAATGGGCACAACTATTTTTCCTCAAATCTCCTAGACCTTTGTATATTTTTAACAGCACTTATCACATTTTACCTTGTAATGTGTTTGTATTACTTCACTACATAGAATAACAACAATAATAGGTAACATTTATTGAGCAATTAGTGTGTGCCAAGAAGTGGATTGAGAACTTTACATGGATTATTTTACTTATTCTTACCAAATTTCTGTTAGGTAGGCCCTATTATTATTACCAGTTTAAAAATAATGAAATACCAAGAAGTAAAATTGTAAATTAGATCCTGGTGAGGCTGTTTGTGTTCCTCTAGATGAGCACTGCATATTTGACTTATTTCTTGTGGAAATGTGACTACATTGAAAAGACGTATTCTTTGTTATATATTCATGTGTAATCCATTCAAGTGAATTGGAGCCGCATACCTCTGAATTAAAGTTTCTTCATTACGTACTTTGCATTTTATTTTTAATATTTCTTTTATAATTGGCCTTTATGTCATTCTTGTTAATTGATAAAGCAAACTACCTCTGTTTTTTATATGTGAACATTCTTTTCAATAGGGATATATTCTGAAATTTGATGATTTCTCCATAGATTATTTAATTGACTCTATATAGTGTAAAATACATTTCAAAGCATTGCAGTTTTGGTAAGGCCTAATTAAGTGGGATGCTTGACCTTAGGTAGTGACATAAATAACTAATTCTTTTATGAGTACATCTTTTGTCTTTATTTTGTCAAACACTGGATACTAAATCAATGGCATTCAAATAAAATTATGAAAATAAGTACAAAAGTGTGTATTGTCATTGTTGAATATTCCTCAATGAAAAAGCATCATCCTTGGTAATTACATTCCTGTAATAAAAAAATTGCAGCTATATTTACAGCTAAATAAAATAGGATATTTTATTAGTATTCTTTAGAAGTCATATGTTATTTTCCATATCAACATGTTACATATTCAACAGCATGAGAAATAAGCCGATAGTAGATTTTTTTATGAATATCAAAAAAGTTACAAGCTAGAAGCTGGAATGGAAAAATTTGAGAGCATAATTTTCTTTATTGTTTGCTGAATACTTCTGAAAGCACATTTTACAAATGGGAGAATAGGCACCTTCAGAGGTATAATGAGAGGTCCAGTGTGGTGGGGGTGATCAGGAGTAGACGTGCTTTGAGGAAACTTTTAAAAGTTTCAAGTATTCACTGTAGATGAGGGAAATTTCACGCCCATAAGTGAAGCCAACCTAATCTGTCTTCTGAGCCTGTATTTGATTTATCTTCCTCTCTGCTTTTAGGATCACTTTGACATTTTCAGTTGTTTTAGAGGCTTTGATGCTTTCAAAACAATTATTGAGCAGTAGAAAGAGAAGTCTGGATTCACAGATATCCTCAGTGCCCTTGCAGCACACAAACATTTAAGAAAGATACTTCTTATGGTGAGTTAATCAATTTACTTAATTTAAATAAATGCTTCACTAAGGGTAAATTTCTTTTTATACTAAAAACAAATAATCATTTCCATTTTCTCTGTTTTATCTCTGTGTGCTTACATTTTATCAGTAAAATGGGATTACTCAATCCTTTGAGTACCTACCTCACAGGATTGTTTCAAGGACTGATTCAGGCAAAGCTTTATTGAAGTGCCTGGCACACAGCAAGTCCTCATTATTGTGCCTTTTATAACAATAATAATTTGGGTGGATAGTTTGCTTAGTGCCTCTTTGACAATGCAATATTATTTACCTTATTCCTTTTTAACATGAACTTTGCTTTTACTCAAATCCTGCGATGCCTCAGACCAATGTACTATCCTTCTACACTCATCCCCAAATGATAGAGCATGCTCTAAGTTCATACATACCATACGATATTAGCTTAAAATTTCTTACTCTTTGTCTCCCTGGATTTTGCTTTTTCCCCAAAGCCTTCCATTTCTCAATTGCCTCTGTTTGGGAGCATTTGGCTGTGGATATATGCAGTTAACTGCCCTTGGTTCAGGATGTAGTTTAGTCATTTTCTGACCAGATTTCTAACCTCTTAAACTCCTTTGAGATTCTCTTTTGGCTGATTCAGAACAGCTTTGATTTAAGCTCATCTGCGGATTTCATATGTAGACTGCTGGCATTTTCTGAATTTAAAATGAATTTGTTCATTGAGACTGAACGTTTTGTAGGGCTTAGTTCACTTGGTTTGAGTTTTGTTTCAATGAAATACAAGTGGAGGATTCATTCCCCGGGAGGGCTAGTTAGCTTCGTTGTACTCCTAGCAGAAGCCTGAGTTTCCAGACCCTAGAGGCAAACGGTGTCATAAACTTTGTTGCAGACTGAGCCCCAGAGCCTGGTCATTGACAGAGCTCCTAAATATTTGGTATTAAGCTGTTTCTTTCATTATATAGCATATATACACTTGAGCCATGAAGTGGTGAAGACCAAAGATCAATCTGAACTGGGTGAGACCGTGTCTGCCAACTAGAATCAAGAACACACGCACTGTATCAATATGGAAAATGTAAATTTTTGATGACATATTCTGTTTAACTAAAGAAAACTCCATGTTAAAACATGGATGCATGTAACTGCATATACTTGTCAATTTTTTCTCAATACTTGTTTTACTCTTGTGAAGATAGCACTTTAATCCTAAATGAGCATGTAACGTGTGACAGATCCTATATCAGTTTTAATAATTGAAGCAGATAGTAATAACTAGATTATTGACATTTTTGAGTCATGTGTTCAGCTATTGCTTCAAACTTGCTCAAATTATACTTGGAATTTTATAGTGTTTTATTTATTATATACTCTTCTTGTAATAATGTGGTAATCTAGTTTCCAGAATCATGCAAATAGTTACAGATTTTGATTTTTCAAAATAACAGTTTTAAAGAATTGAGAATTTAAGCTTTTTTTGAGGAACTATTTTTTCAAAATTCTCCATGTATTTTTGTTTCAAATAATATTAACTCATTTTTAAAAGCCAAAATTAGTGTACCACAGACTCCCTATATCTGTTTATAATCTTACTAGAAATAGTGATGTGACTTTTTGCTTTTTAAATATAAAGTGAAGACATTATCTATGAAATATTTAAAATAAATATTAGCCCGTCATTATAAATTTTATCATTTCAATATTCAAATTGAGTTTGTTTAACCGGAAGATTATATAGATTACCTATGTGTGTAATTCTGTCTACTTGATTACTGAACTCCTAAAATGTATGATCTCTTCAGAAAAAAGTCAGCAGCAAAGCATCCATTGTTCTTTCCTTACTATTCATGAATAAAAATCTTTCCTACTGTATTTGCCTGGTGATCTGGTTGAAAGTACCTAGAGGAAAACCTAAATGTCACAACTTATTTCTCTGCACTATGCTGACAGCCTAAAAAAAGTGGTAACTAAGCAACTTCCTGTTTTCTCTTTATACCCCAACCGATCTCCTCTAGGACCTAGCATCTAGGTTATTTGAGTTAAAGGTCTTTAATCTCTTATTTCCCCACAGCAATCTACCAAGCCGCTCTTGTTTTTTTATGACACTACTTTCATTATCCTTTCTTTTTTCTGTCAAAAGTTTCAGCCCCACTTTACCACCCTCCCAACTTGTGATATGGGAACTTGGGACAAGGTTAAAGTTGATGGAACCTGGCAGTGAAGAATAAGGTGAGCCTCAGATCTTTTTCACACTGAGAAAATCATGTTGATTTTTTTCCTTACAAACCAGGGGTAGCCAAAATAGGTAGCATTTTGTTGAGCATTTTTGGTAATATTTGGTGGTATATTTAAGACAATTATTTTCTTAATTTTAGTGTTTTATTTGCTTTATTTTGACTTCATTTTCATATGTTACAGTGCCTGCAAGTAAAACAAATAAAAAGACCTGGTATCTCTAAGAAAGAAAAGACTACAATGTCCTTTTGTAATACCAGCTCATAATGATCCTCAGTCAAGGAAGATGGAGTGATCACCTTCATTGCTTGGAGAGTCCCTGCTGTTCATAGTATGAAAGTATATGAATGTTTAGTGTGGGGAATCTTTGATGGCTTGGGTTTCTTTAAGATTGGTTTTGTAATGATTAAAATGATATACTAAGTATTCTCTTTACAACTTATGAAGATGAAAATCAAAATGTATAAACTATAGAAGCAATAATTAAAAGCATGGTGTTAGGAAATTTAAGCCCACATATGACTTAGCTATGATGTGCTCTAGTTTCTTCAATATTGTGAACAGACAGAACCAGTTTTTACCTTGCATCCATTACCCTTTACCTTGTGTCTGTTATCCTGCCTTCCCCTGAAAGCCAGTAAGCTAGAAAGAATACTATACAACCTGCTGTCTATACTTTTTTTTTTTACCAGCCATTATTTAACCCAATGCAGTCTAGCTCTTGCTCCTGTGAAACTGCTCTCACTATAAAGCTATAAAGGTCACCAGTGACCACTTAATTGATAGCTGAAATGACATCTGGTTTTAAGCGCTGCTCCATCATGCATTAGGTTTATGATCTTTGGCAATTTAGCTTTTTGTGCCTTAGTTTTATTTTCTGTAAAATGGGAATAATAATGGTACGTACTCATAGTTGTTTTTGTTGTTGTTGTTGTTTGTTTGTTTTTAGATACAGGGTCTCACTTTGTTGCCCAGGCTGGCATGTGCAATAATAGTGGTGCAATTATTCAAGGCACTGTTAGTGGTGTAATCATAGCTCACTGCTGCCTCAAATTCCTGGGCTCAAGAGATGCATCCACATCAGCTTCCCAAGCAGCGAAGACTACAGGCACATGCCACCTTGCCCAGCTAACTTTTAAATTTTTTGTAGAGGTAGGGTCTCATTGCCATCTTGCCCAGGCTGGTCTCAAACTCCTGGGCTCAAGCGAACCACCTGTCTCAGTCTCCCAAAGTACAAGTGTGATCACAGTCTTAATGTAAGATTAAATATGATAATGTATGTCTAGGACTTCACACAGTTTCTGGCATAATTTATGTTAGCTATTATTGTTCCTCCCCTTTCTTGACATTGCTCTGATGCTCCAAACTATTAATCCCTTTTCTTTTTGAAACTCCTCTAGTTCTCTTTTCTTGGTTTATGTTAAACTACTCTTTTCTGACACATTTTCTGTTGTGCTGGTTATTATCCATTTTTCTTGAAGGCTTCTGTTTCTCCAACCGTTTTGACATTAATATCAAGATAAATCTGCATTAATATCTTGGCTCTACCACTTAAAAGTTTGATAAACTTAGGCAAGTTACTTGACCTGCCTGAACCTTAGTTTCTGCAACTGTAAAATTGGAATTTAATGGTGCCCTCCTTCAAAATTTGTTAGATAGATTATTAATCTATTAATAAATTTAACAAGTATTTATTGAGGGCTTACTCTGCAGCATACATTGCTCCGGGTACAGTGGATACAATCAAGTAGAATTGACCTTTTTGTTTCTTTAAGGAACTTATATTCTAGTGTAGGGAAGATAATATAAGCAAATGTGTAAGATAAATTAAGCTTGACATAAGGACTAAAAAGAAAGGAAACTGGTAATATGCTAGAGAGTTGCTGGCACTCAATGCCAGCTGGTGAAAGCAGCCACAGGGTCTGTACCCTGCAGAATCACAGAAGTGGAGCTGCCCAAGACCTTGGGAGCCCACCCTTTTCATCACCATGCCCTGGATATGAGACATGGAGTCAAAAATGATTCTTTTGGAGATTTATGATTTAATGAGTGCCCTGTCAAGTTTCAGACTTGCATGGGGCCTGTGGCCCCTTCGTTTTGTCCAATTTCTCCAGGTTGGAATGGGAACATTTACCCAATGCCTGTACCCCCTTTGTATCTTGAAAGTAACTAACTTTTTTTTTTTTTTTTAAACAGACTCGTAGGTGGAAGGGTTTTGACCTTGTATCAAATGAGACTTCAGGCTTAAACTTCTGAGTTAGTGCTGGAATGAGTTAAGACTTTGGAGGACTTTTGGGAAGGCATGATTGTTTTTGAAATGTCAGAAGGACATGAGATTTGGGACGGGCCAAGGGTGGAATGATATGGTTAGATTCCGTGTTCCCACACAAATCTCATCTCAAGTTGTAATCCCCATGCGTCAAGGGAGGGAACTGGTGGGAGGTGATTGCATCTTGGGGGCTGTTTCCCCCATGCTATGCTTATGATAGTGAGGGATTTCTCACAATATCTGATTGTTTAAAAGTGGCACTTCCCCCTTCACTCTTTCTCTCTTCTGCCACCAAGTAAAAACATGCCTTGTTTCTTCTTTGCCTTCTGCCATGATTGTAAGTTTCCAGAGGCCTCCCAAGCCATATGGAACTATGAGTTAATTAAACCTCTTTTCTTTGTAAATTATCCAGTATTGGGTAGTACTTTATAGCAGTGTGAAACATACTAATACACTCCACTATCTGTTTTTGTTTCCTTTGTCAAAGATCAGCTGGCTGTAAGTATTTGGCTTTATTTTTGGAATATCTATTCTATTCCGTTGGACTACATGCCTATTTTTATACCAGCACCATGCTGTTTTGGTAACTATAGCCTTGTAGTATAGTTTTAAGTTGGGTAATGTGATGCTTTCAGGTTTGTTCTTTTTGCTTAGTCTTGCTTTGGCTATGTAGGCTCTTTTTTGTTTCTATATAAATTTTAGAATTTCTTTTCTAGCTCTGTGAGGAATAATGATAGTATTTTGATGGAAATTGCATAGAATTTATAGACTGCTTTTGGCAGTATGGTCATTTTCACACTATTGAATCTACCCATCAGTGAGTGTAGGATGTGTTTCTATTTGTTTATGTCATCTATTATTTCTTTCAGCAGTGTTTTGCAGTTTTTCCTGTAGGGATCTTTTACCTCCTTAGTTAGGTATATTCTTAAGTATTTTTTTGCAGCCTTTGTAAAAGAAATTGAGTTATTGATTTGATTCTCAGCTTGGTCACTGCTGATGTATAGAAGTGCTACTGATTTGTGTACATTGATTTTGTAACCTGAGACATTACTAAATTTATTTTTCAGATCTAGGAGCTTTTTGAACATGTCTTTAGGGTTTTCTAGGTGTACAATCATATCTTTGGCAAACAGCAACAGTTTGACTGCCTTTTTAACTATTTGGATGTCCTTTATTTATTTCTTTTGTCTGATTGCTGTAACTAGAGCTTCCAGTACTATTTTGAATAGAAGTGGTGAGAATGGGCCTCTTGTCTTGTTGTAGTTTTCAGGAGGAATGCTTTCAACTTTTCCCTGTTCAATATAATGTTGACTTTGGATTCATCAAAGATGACATACCTTAAGGTATGTCACGTCTATGCTGATTTGCTGAGGGCTTTAATAATAAAGGGATGGTGGATTTTGTCAAATGCTTTTTCTGCATCTATTGAGATGATCACATGATATTTGTTTTTAATTTTGTTTATGTGATGTATCACAACAATTGACTCATGTATGTTAAATCAATCCTGCATCCCTGGTATAAAACCCACTTGATCATGGTCGATTATCCTTTTGATATGCTGTTGGACTTGGTTAGGTTGTATTTTGTTGAGAATTTTTGCATCTGTGTTCATTAGGAATATTGGTTTGTATTTTTTTGTTGTTTTTGTTATGTTTTTTCCTGGTTTCAGTATTAGGGTGATCCTGGCTTCACAGAATAATTTAGGGATAATTCTGTATTTCCCTGTCTTTTGCAATAATTTCAGTAGAACTGCTACTTAGTACCAATTATTTAAATGTCTGATATAATTCAGCTGTGAGTCCATCTAGTCCTGGACTTTTTTTTTGTTGGCAAGTTCTTTTTTATTACTGTTTCAGTATTACAGCTTGTTATTTGTCTGTTCAGAGTTTCTATTTCTTCCTGGTTTAATTTAGGAAGGTTGTACATTTCCAGGAATTTATTAATCTCTTTTAGGTTTTCTAGTTTGTGCACATAAATGTCTTCATAGTAGTCTTGAATAATCTATTGTATTTCTGTGGTATTGGCTGTAATATCACCCTTTTTATTTCTAATTGAGCTTATTTGGATCTTCTCTCTTCTCTTCATGGTTTATCTTGCTAATGGTCTATTGATTTTGTTTATTCTTTCAAAGAACCAATATTTTGTTTTATTTATTTTGTGTATTTTTGTTTTAATTTTATTTAGTTCTGCTCTGATCTTTGTTATTTCCCATTTTTTTCTGCAGTGTTTGGGTTTGGTTTGTTCTTCTTTCTCTAGTTCATTGATGTGTGAGCTTAGATTGTCTATTTGTGCTCTCTCAGACTTTTTGATGTAAACATTTAATGCTATGAACTCTCCTTTTAGCACCACTTTTGCTGTATCTCAGAAGTTTTGATAGGTTGTGTCACTATTATCATTCAATTCAAAGAATTTTTTAATGCCCATCTTGATTTTATTGTTGACTCAAAGATCATTCTGGAGCAGGTTATTTAATTTCCATGTATTTGCATAGTTTTGAGGGTTCCTTTTTGAGTTAATTTCCAGTTTTATTCCAACATGGTCTGAGAGAGTACTTGATATAATTTATATTTTCTTACATTTATTGAGACTTGTTTTGTGGCCTATTATATGGTCTATCTTGGAGAATGTTCCATGTACAGATGAAGATAATGTATATTCTGCAGTTGTTGGGTAGAATGTTCTGCAAATGTATGTCAAGTCTATTTGTTCTAGGGTATAGTTTAAGTCTATTGTTTCTTTATTGATTTTTGGTCTTAATGATCTATCTAGTATTGTCAGTGGAGTACTGAAGTTCCTCACTATTATTGTGTCATTGTCTATCTGATTCCTTAGGTCTAGTAGTAATTGCTTTATAAATTTGTGAGCTACAGTGTTAAGTGCATATATATTTAGCATTGTGACATTTTCCTATTGAACTAATCCTTTTATCATTATATAATGTTACTCCTTTGTTAAGTGTTGTTGCTTTAAAGTCTGTTTTTTCTGATACAAGAATAGCTACTCCTACCAGGTTTTGTTTTATATTTGCATGGATTATCTCTTTCTACCCCTTAACCTTGTTTATGTGAGTTCTGATATATTAGTTGAGTCTCTTGAAGACAGAAGATACTTGGTTTGTGGGTTTTTATCCATTCTGCTATTCTGTGTTTTATAAATGGAGATTTAGGCCATTTACATTCAAAGTTAGTATTGAGATGTGAGGTACTGATCTATTCACCATGCTAGTTTCTACCTGAATTCTTTTTGTTGTTGTTGTTGTGTTTTTAGGTCTTGTGCTATTCATGCTTTAAGGAGGTTCTATTCTGAGGTTTTGTTTCAAGATTTAAAACTCGTTTCAGCATTTCTTGCAGTGCTGGCTTGGTAGTGGTAAGTTGTCTCAACATTTATTTGTCTGAAAAAGACTTAATCTCTTCTTTATTTACGAAGCTTAGTTCCAATGGATACAAAATTCTTGGCTAATAATTATTTTGTTTAAGGAGACTAAAGATGGGACCCTAATTCCTTCTGGCTTGTAAGTTTTCTGCTGAAACATCTGCTGTTAATCTGATAGGTTTTCCTTTATAGCTTACCTGATGCTTTTGCCCCACAGCTCTTAAAATTCTTTTTTTCATCTTGACTTTAGATAACCTGATGAGTACATGCCTAGGTGATGATCTTTTTATGATGAATTTCCCGGGTATTATTTGAGCTTCTTGTATTTGGATGTCTAGATCCCCAGCAATGCCAGGGTAGCTTTCCTTGATTTTTCCCTAAAATAAGTTTTTCAAACTTTTAGATTTCTCTTCTTTTTCAGGAACACCAGTTATTCTTAGGTTTGGTCATATAATCCCAAACTTCTTGGAGGCTTTGTTAATTTTTAAATTATTTTTTCTATGTCTTTGTTGATTGGATTGATTTGGAAGCCTTGTCTTTAAGCTCTGAAGTTTTATCTTCTACTGGTTAGATTCTATTGCTAAAACTCTTCAGTGTATTTTGCATTTTTCTAAGTGTGTCTTTTGTTTCCAGAAGTTGTGATGGTCTTTTCTTGATGATATATACTTCTCTGGATACTTTTTATCCATATCCTATAATTAAAAGAAATTATTTCATTTGGTTTTCACCTTTTTCAGGAACCTCCTTCAGTAGCTTAATAATCAACATTCTGATAATTTTTTATCTGGCAATTCAGAAATATTTTTGGTTTGGATCCATCACTGAAGAGCTAGTGTAATATTTTGGGGGTGCTATAAAAACTTGTCTTGTCATATTACCAGAATTACTTTAGTTCTAATTTAGGTAGACTATTTCAGTGGAAAGATCTGAAACTCAAGAGCTGCTGTTCAGAATTTTGTCCCTTGATTTGGTGCTACCCAACTCACCCTAGGGATGGGGCTTCTTGACAGCCAGAATGCCAGTGATTTTTAGTGCCCTTCTGGGTCCAGCCACCCAGCGAGGCTACAAGGCTCTGGGCAGGTACCAAAGAATGTCTTCAAAGAGTCCTTTGATGTAATCCATCTTCACATCTCCCAGCTGTGGATACCAGCACCTGATCTGGTGGAGGTGGCAGGGGAGTGAAGTGGACTCTGTGGGACTCCTTGGTTATAGTTTTGTTCAGTGTGCTGGTTTTCTTGAATACTGGTTATACTAGCAGTGAAGTTGTCCTGTGGACAGACTCAGGACCTCTGTTGCAGGAGGCGGAATTAGTTGTTGTTGTTTTTTTTCTTTGGAGCAGGTCGTTCTATTATGTATTGCTGTAATCACTTGAATGGGTTGGCTTCCAGCCAGGAGGTGGTGCTTTCAAGGGGGATTAAAATTATTTTATTTTTTCTTTCCAATTTTGATGCCATTTATTTCTTTCTCTTGTCTGATTGCTCTAGCTTGGACTCCAGTACTATGTTGAATAGCAGTAGTAAAAGTGGGCATCCTTGTCTTGTTCCAGATCTTAAAGTCTTTAAGTTTTTCCATACTTAGTATGAAAGTAGCTGCCAGTCTGTCATTTATGGCTTTTATTGTGTTGAGGTATGTTCATTCTATACCCAATTTTTTGAATAGTTTGTCCGTGAATGGATGTTGAATTATATCAAATGCTTTTTTTTTTTTAAACATCAGTTGAAATGATCATATAGTTTTGTCCTTCTTTCTGTTTACATAATGTATCACATTGACTGAACCATACTTTTATCCCTGGGATAAATCCAACTTGGTCAAGATGAATAATCTTTTTAATATGTTGTTGAATTCACATTACTAGCATTTTGGTGAGGATTTTTGCATCAATGTTCATTAGGGATATTGGCCTGTAGTTTCCTTTTTTGATTTGTCTTTTTCTGATTTTGGTATCAGGGTAATACTGGTCTCAGAATGAGTTTTGAAGTATTCCCTCTCCACCTATTTTTTAGAATAGTTTGAGTAAGATTTGTATTGGTTCTTCTTTAAAAGTTTGGTAAAATGCAGCAGTGAAGCCATAGAGTCTTCAGCTTTTCTTTACTGGGATACTTTTTATTCTGGTTTTTCTCTCATTGCTTGTTATTAGTCTCTTCAGGTTTTGAATTTCTTCATGGTTCAATCTTGATAGGTTGTATGTTCCCAGGAATTTATTTCTTCTAGGTTTTCTAATTTATTGGCATATAATTGTTTATATTAGTCTCAAATAATCTTTTGAATTTGTGGAGTATTAGTTGTAATGTATCCTTTTAATCTCTGACTTTGAGTTTTCTATTTTTTTTCTTAGTCTAGATAAAGGTTTGTCATTTTGGTTATCTTTTCAAAAAGTGAACTTTTTGTCTCAATAATTTTTTGTACTATTGTTTTGTTTTAATATCAATAATTTTTTATATGATAGTTATTAGTTGTTTTCTTCTACTTATATTGATTTGGCTTGCTCGTTCTTTTCTAGTTCTTTAAGATGAATCAGTAGGTTGTTTATTTGAAGTATTTCTACTTTTTAAATGTAGTCACTTATTGCTATAAACTTTTATCTTAGTACTGCTTTTACTGTATCCCTTTCGCTTTAGTATGTTTTGTTCTAACTTTTATTTGTTTCAAGAAATTATTCTCTTTTCTCCCTTGGCCCACTGATCATTCAAGAACATATTGTTCAACTTCCTTGTGTTTGTATACTTTGCAAAGTTTCTGTTATTATTGATTTCCAGTTTTATTTCATTGTGGTCAGAGAAGATGCTTGATATTATTTCAATTTTTTGAACGTTTTAAGACTTGTTTTGTGACCTAACATGTGGTCTCTTTTTGAGAATGATTCATGTGCTGTGGAAAATAATGTGTATTTTGCAGCTAATGGATAAAATGTTCTGTAAATATCTATTAGGTCCATTTGGTCTATAGTGCAGATTAAATCCCATGTTTCTTTATTGATTTCCTGTCCGGATGTTCTGTGTAATGCTGAAAGTGGGATGTCTCTAGCTATTATTGTGTTGAGGTCTATCTCTCTCTTTAGCTCTAGTAAGTGCTTTATATATCAGGATGCTTTCTTATTGAGTGTGTACATATTTACATTTGTTATATTCTTGTGCTGAATTGACTGCTTTATCATTATATACAGACATTCTTTGTCTCTTTTTATAGCTTTTGTCTTGAAATTTATTTTGTCTGACATAAGTATAGCTAATCCTGCTTTTTTTTGGTTTCCATTAGCATGGGATGTCTTTTCCATCCCTTAATTTTCAGCCTGTGTGTGTCTTTACAGGTAACGTGTATTTCTTGTAGGCAACAGATCAATGAGTCTTGCTTTTTTTTTTTAATCCATTCAGCCATTCTATGCCATTTCATTGCAGAGTTTAGTCCATTTACATTCAATGCTATTATTGATAAATAAGGACTTGTTCCTGCCATTATTTTATTTGCCTTCTGGTTGTTTTGTAGTATTCTCTTCCTTCTTTCCTTCCTTCCTGTCTTCTTTTTAATGAAGGTGATATTCTTTATGGTAGTATGTTTTAATTTCTTGCTTTTTATTTTTTCTGCATCCATTGAATGTTTTTTTTTGATATGAAGTTACCATGAGGCTTGCAAATAACATCTTATGACTCATTATTTTAAACTGATCACAATTTAATACTGATTGCAAAAATGAAAAAACTATAATAACTACCCAGGAAGCATAGAGAAAACTAATAAAAACTATACACTTTAACTTCATCCTCTCTGCTTTTTAACTTTTTGTTGTTTTTATTTATGTCTTGTTATACTGTCTATGTCTTGAAAAGTTGTTGTAGTTATTTTTGATAGGCTCATCTTTTTTCTTCCTACTCAAGACACAAGTAGTTTACACACCTCAATTACAGTGTCATAATGTTCTATACTTACCATTACCAGTGAATTTTTTTACCTTTAGACAATTTCTTATTGCTCATTAATATCCTTTTCTTTTATGGTGAAGAACTCTCTTTAGCATTTCTTGTAGTATAATTTTGGTGTTGGTGAAATCCTTTGGCTTTTATTTGTCTGGAAAATTCTTTTTCTCTCCTTAATATTTGAAGGATATATTCACTGAATATACTATTCTGGGATAAAAGATTTTTCTTCAGTACTTTAAATATGTCATGCCACTTTCTCTTGGCTTGTAAGGTTTTCACTGAGAAGTCTGCTGCCAGATATATTGAAGCTCCTTTGTATGTTATTTGTTTCTTTTCTCTTGCTTCTTTAAGGATCCATTTTAAATCTTTGACCTTTGGTAGTTTGATTATTATATATCTTGAGGTAGTCTTATTTGGGTTAAATCTGCTTGGTAGAAAAGTCTCTTATTTTGGAGATGAGGAAACCCAAGCTCATGGAGATCAGTACTTTCTTAACATCATATAGCTTGTTATTATGATTTGAACAGAATCTCTAGATTTTAATTTTTATATCCATTTTGCTCTACTCTACCCTTTATAAATACTGATTGGCTACTTTTTAAAATGTTTTGTGTTTACATAAAAATTAATTTAAAACTACAGAGAGTTGGCTGGACATGGTGGCTCACGCCTGTAATCCCAGCATTTTGGGAGGCCGAGGCAGGCGGATCATGAGGTCAGGAGATCGAGACCATTCTGGCTAACACGGTGAAACCCCATCTCTACTAAAAAAAAAAAAAAAAAAAAAATACAAAAAATTAGCCAGGCCTGGTGGCGGGCACCTGTAGTCCCACCTACTCAGGAGGCTGAGGCAGGAGAATGGCGTGAACCCGGGAGGCAGAGCTTGCAGTGACCGGAGATCACGCCACTGCACTCCAGCCTGGGTGACAGAGCGAGACTCCACCTCAAAAAAAAAAAAAAAAATTACAGAGAGTTGCCACTTACTCCGTTTTTCCTGTGGTTTTCCCTGTGATACACTGTTAGAAAAAGATTGGCATTATTTACATTTTCATTAGTGTGGAATAATTGTTACAATATATGAATCAATATTTATTCATTATTATTAAAGTCCATAATCTACATCAGAGCTCACTCTTTGTTTTGTATATCCTGTGTGTATTGACAAATAAATATGTGTCCACCATTACTGTGACATACAGAATAGTACCACTGCCCTAAAACTCTTCTATGTTCCATCTATTTATTCCTCCCTTTCTCCCCACATATCCCTGCCAACCACTGATCTCCATGGTTTTACCTTTTTGAGACTATTATATGAATATTATGCGGTTGGAATCATATAGTATATAGCTTTTTCGGATTGACTTTTTTTCACTTGGCTATATGCTTTTAAGGTTATTCTAAGTGTTTTCTTGTCTTACTAGTGCATATTTTATCACTAAATAATAGGCCACTGTATGGATATGCCATACCTTGTTTATCAACAAGGTGTGATCTATGGAAGGACATCTTGGTTGCTTCCAAGTTCTGCCAATTATAAATAAAGCTGCTGTAAACATTTGTGTGTGTATTTTTTTCTTGTGTGTGCGGACATAACATTCATTGCAACTCATTTGGGAAAATACCAAGGAGTGTGATTGCTAAATCCGAACTGTCTTCCAAAGTGGCTGTACTGTTCTGTATTCCCACCAACAATGAATGCACATTTCCGTTGTCCCACATCTTAAACAATATTTGGTGTTGCCAGTGATTTGTATTTTAGCCATTCTGATCAGTCTTTAGTTGTATCAAGTTGTTGTTTTAATGTTTAATTCCCTAATAACACATGATTTTGATCACTTTTATATGTTCTTATTTGTTATCCGTATATCTTTAGTAAAGTGTCCAGATCTTTTAAACATTTCTTATTGGGGTTGTTTTCTTATTATTAAATTTTTTTAAAAGTATAGCTTTTACATATAAGTTCATTGTGGTTTTCATATGAATTTCCCTAATGACTTAATTAGGTTTTGAATTTTAGTCTTTTACCTCATTCTCTTTATGTCTATACCCTTTATATACTCTAACAAATGAAAAATCGGCATCAGTTGCTTAAGAAAACATTCTTGAATATCACCATCTTTAAGAACAAACATCAACATAGAACAACCATTTTATGAGTCATAAGTCAAGTGCTATACTAAAGACTCCTATTTTTCCCCCTGTAGTTTGATATAGCCTTAACTATTTAAAAGTTTTCACACGTGAGATATCTTTATTAATAATGTCAAATGGACACATCTAGGGGAACAACACACACTGGAGCCTCTCAAGGTGGGGGAGGAAGAACATCAGAAAGAATACCTAATAGATTTCGGGTTTAATACCTAGATGATCAGTTGATCTGTTCAATGAACCACCATGGCACACATTTACCTTTTGTAACAAACCTGCACCATCCTGCACATGTACCCAGGAACTTAAAATAAAGGTTGAAAAAAAATGTCAATTGGAAATGCTTGGAGTAAAGGTCATGTTATCAGATGGTTATGATGTTTTTACTGTTGCAAGTCACTGAAATTGAATCATGAAGTACTATATTTTGAAAGACTAACAAAGGACTCAAGGGTGGCACCACAAAAAAAAAAAAACTATAACAAATGATTTTGATCACAGCATAGTATTTAAGAACTAGGTACATTTGTGTGGCTTTGGAATAATGTATCTGAAAAAACATATTTAAAAGGTTTTGAGTGACAAAAATCATAACCACTGACATTTGGAAAGCTGCTATTTTATGCCCTTTATTCTTCATAGAATAAAGCTGAGTTGAGAATATGTGTTTATCACCATAGCCATTCTACCATTCATAAAAAATGGACTTATAAAGTACAACACATTGATTATCTTCCAAAGCAAAAGCATCTCTTTTCTGTGGTAGCCTATTATGTTTGTATTCAGGAAAAACAAATCCAAACAATAAAAGAACAGTTTCTCAAGAACAGCGCTATATGAAACTGTCCTTGATGGATCCTCTTTTTCTCTGTGCCCTCTAAAGGAGCACAGAACTACCCCAGATGATACAAATGGAACTTGTCTGCATGGACACAGAGGAAGGCTCTGAAAGCATAAGCATCTCCAGAAGAGGATAAAAAAACGACATATTTTAAAACACATATTTAATGCTATTTCTCAAAGTTGCTTTTTTTTGACTCTTTACATCAGATTTTATTGAGCTAAACTAAGATCAGTTTATATATTTCAGATTGGCCAGAGAAAGTCATATTACTTTTATTAACATTAAATATCAAGAACACACACACAAACACAAGTGGCTTAAATTTATATAAGGTTTGAGTCATAGGGCTCAATTTACGGAGGAAATTGTAGAAATATCCTACATAGTTTCTGAAAAATATTGCATTGAAAAGATAGTTCAGGACATATTTTTCATTGTGGTTCTTAAATCTAAAACTGTAAAACCATTAAAATAGTTTAGATTACTTTAAAATAAGAAGACAAAAACATAAGAAAGTTAGCAAATGTGGCAAAATTTGTCAAAGTATATATAAATAAATATACATTTCAGGAAATGGAATGCATTTAAAAGAACTTAGTAAGTTAAATTATTTTTCTTTTTAAGCTTTTCTTTCCTAACTTTAATGATCTTATTCTGTACATTTCCATATTTTGTAATATAGTTGCAGTGCTGGATATCACTTTACAGTTTTTACGGTATTACGAAAGCTTTTATTCTTGCTTTTTATGGTCAATATTTTGAGGAAGCACATTTCAGACTCTGTTTTCTT
The DNA here is from genome assembly GCF_000001405.40 of Homo sapiens. Classification (NCBI taxonomy): domain Eukaryota; kingdom Metazoa; phylum Chordata; class Mammalia; order Primates; family Hominidae; genus Homo; species Homo sapiens. The sequence continues at coordinate 93,912,868 of NC_000023.11, forward strand.
CAGTAATGTGTGCCCTGTTAGATTTGAAAAAGTACCAATATTATCTTTGATTTTATGATGTCATATTCTGTTAGAAAAAGATTGGCATTGCAGTTTCTGGCTCATAGTAAGTGATACAGATATTTTGGAATGCATAAAGGAATGCATTCTAAAGTGAATGCATGCATGAATAAATCACTGCAGGTAAGGTCATAAGAGAAACTTAAATGCTATTTTCAGAAATGATTCTTGGGAAAACAATTTAAGCATATGAGATAGTATTGAAGTGAGGCAAAAGCAATATTTTTATTCCAATATGAGTATAAAGTACACCAGTACAAAGTAAATGGTTGTACGAGTCAAATGAATAGTAGAAAAAATTAATCATATTTGAGTCAAACAGCTACTTGAAGCAGTGCTGTTTCATTCTCTCATTACATCTTCTGAATATATTATTATTGTTTTCTTCATTTAAGTGAACTTGACCACTGATTAAGTGCACAAAGTTTTTAGCCAGAAAGGCCTGATTTCAAATTCCAGTTTTTTCTGGTGTTGTGATCTTGGGCAAGTTAGAGAACCTTTGTGAGCCTCTGTTTCTCCACTTGTAAATTAAGGATACTATTAGTCACCACATAGGATTGTCATAAGGAATAAAATGAGATAACATGTGCACTTGTAGTAGGCACTCAAGACATTGTAGCTACTGTTATTTTTGAAGAACTTGATTATTATCCTATAATTTTCCACGTTTTCCTTCTTTACTCACAACATCATTCTGTCCCACACTCCAGTCTGTCTCTATGTAATTGATGTTTCCCTTTTCATCACCACTTAGGCCCTGGCCCTCTTCTCATCTGAGAATCAAATCCTAAATCCTCAACCTGTCTTTCCCTTCCACTTCTCTGGAAACTTTTGAGAAATAAACTGTTTAGGTATCTCTTATTCTTAGCTTTCCATCTTGGAAGACTTCTTGGGCTGGAGTGAAAGCAGTATGGATGCAGATATAAACCCTTCCTAAGTAGTTAGCATTTTGAAATGACCTGTTGCAACTCTTCTCAAATGGAGGTGCAGAGAGGGCTGCATCAAGATCAACTAAAACTTATAAGTACATTCATGGGCTCCACACTCACATATTTTAATTTGGTGGATCTATAGTTGAATCAGGGAACATTGTTTTAAAAGAAAGAGAAATGTACTTAGTGTAATGGTGTGCGCCCGTAGTCCCAGCTACTTGGGAGGCTAAGATAGAAGGATTGCTTGAGCTCAGGAGTTTGAGTACAGCCTGGACAAGTAAAAAGAGAGAGAGAAAGAGACAAATAAAAATCCACTTCAGGTGATTTTCATGTATAGCAAAGTTTGGGAACCAATTGTCTATTCTATTTATTCAGCCTAGAAAAACACATCTAATAAATACCCTTCAATACAAGTGTCCATGCACCTAATAACACTTCCAAGCAATTGAATTCACGTGTTTAGTACTATTACTGTGTTGGGTATTACAAAAGCAGCGTGGTAGAGAAGAACTTGTGTGGGTTTTGGCGCCAGACAGACCTGGATTCAACTCCCAATATAAAATAGATATAATAATATCTATCCTGCATGTTCTTGTGAAAGGAGCTGAACATTTAGTATTAGTGTAAAGTGTTAAAAATTAATAGTTACCCCAGAACTGGTAGCTATTATGTATTATTATTTGTTTCTAAATCATTTTTTGGCTTGTCAGATATGAGATGCTGCAGTTGAATTGAAATATTGGGTCCAGGAAGTCTTAGCCAGAGCAATCAGGAAAGAGAAATAAATAAAAGGCATCCAAATAAAACAAGAAGTCCCACTACTTCTCTTTGCTGATGATAATATTCTATACCTACAAAATCTTAAAACCTCAGCCAAACAACTACTGGAACTGATAAACAATTTTAGGAAAGTTTTAGGATAAAAAAGCAATGTACAAATATCAGTAGATTCCTATACACCAATAACTTCCAGGCTGAGAGTCAAATCAAGAACACAAATCCATTTACAATAGCCACAAAGAAAATGAATTACCTAGGAATACAGAAAACCAAGGAGGTGAAAGACCTCTCCAAGGAGAACTACAAAACACTGCTGAAAGACATCAGAGACAACACAAATAAATGGAAAAATATTCCCTGTTCGTGGATTGGAATAATCAATATCATTAAAATTGCCTTACTGCTCAAAGAAATTTATAGACTCAACCCTATATCTATCAAACTATCAATGCCATTCTTCACAGAATTAGAAAAAAAAAGCTATTGTAAAATTCACATGAATCCAACAAAAAACCTCAAATAGCCAAAGCAATCCCAAGCAAAAAGAGCAAAAGTGGAGGCATCACACTTCCTGACTTCAGACTATACTAAGGCTATAATAACCAAAACAGCATGATACTGGTACAAAACCAGACATGTAGACCAATAGAACATAATAGAAAACTCAGAAATAAAGCCACACACTTAACAATCATCTGATCTTCAACAAGGCTGACAAAAAGAAGCAACAAGGAAGAACTTTGTATTCAATAAATGGTGCTGAGCTAACTGGCTAGTCATAGGCAGAAGAATGAAACTGGACCCTTTACCATATACAAAAAGTAACTCAAGATGAAATATAGATTTAAATGTAAAACATCAAACTATAAAAACCTTAGAAGGAAACATAAGAAATAATCTTCTCAACATCAGCTTTGACAAAGAATTTTTGCCTAAGTCCCCAAAAGCAATTGCAGCAAAAACACAGTTTAACAAGTGAGACCTAAATAAAAAGGTTCTGCACAGAAAAAAAAAAAAGTCCACAGAGTAAACAGACAGCCTACAGAATGGGAGAAAATATTTGCAACCTATGCATCTAACAAAGGTCTAATATGAAGATTCTGTAAGAAACTGAAAGAAATCAACAAGAGAAAAACAAATAACCCAATTAAAAAATGAGCAAAGGACATGAACAGACATTTTTCAAAAGAAGACATACAAGCCGCCAACAAACATATGAAACAGTTCGCAGCATCACTAATCATCAGAGAAATGCAAATCAAAACCACAAAGTGATACTATCTCACAACACTTAGAAAGAATGGACTTAGAAAGAATTGATATTATTGTTAAATTAAAAAAAAAAAAACAGATGCTGGCAAGGCTGTGGAGAAAAGGGAAAGTTTATACACTGTTGATGGGAATGTAAATTAGTTCAGCCCCTAATCTCAAAGATCTTCATAGAGGGCTACCATTCAACGCAGCAATCCCATTACTTGATATATACCTCAAAGAAAAGAGGTTATTCTACTGAAAAGACACATTCACTTATATGCTCATTTCTATGTTGTTTATAATAACAAAGACACGGAATCAACTTAGGTATCAATCTATTGTGGATTGGATACAGCAAATGTGGTACATACACATAATGGAACACTATGTAGCCATAAAAAAGAATAAAATAATGTCCTTTCTAGCAACATGGATGCAGATGGAGGCCATTATCCTAAGAGAATTTACACAGGAACTGAAAACCAAGAACCACATGTTCTCACTTATAAGTAAGAGCTAAACATTGAACACATATGAACATAAACATAGGAACAATATACACTGCAGACTCCTGGGGGAGGGAGGGATGGGTGTGCAGGTTGACAAACTCCTATTGGGTACTCTTGCTCACTATCTAGGTGCAATATAACCATGCAAATAATGTGCACATGTACCCCCTAGATCTAAAATAATAGTTGAAAATTTTAAAAAAAGGAATACAAATAAAAAAGAAATATTTGGTCCAAGTCTTCACGTGCTTCTGCATCTTCAACTTGGCTATCATTTTATTGTATTTCCCCAACCCCGGATTGGAGCTTGGCTTTGTAACTTGCTTTGACCAATAGGGTGCTATAAGGCACAATGCAAAACAAGGGCTTGGAATTGCTTGCATGATTCAGCATACATTCTTATATCTGTTAACACCATGAAGAGAACATTCCTCACTTAATCTATTTATCCAAGGAAGATGAGGGACACTTGGATTAGAGTTTCCCAAGGGACTTGGTAAACTGCAGCTTGAAGAACAGCCACATAGCTTCAACAGCCAATCCAAGCCTAGTAACTCCCAGCTGAACCCCAGCCACGTGTAAGTCTATCTGAGATCAGCAGAACTGTCTCAGTCATTGCAGCCTGAAGCAAAGCCACCTATGATGACTTGCAGAACCATAGAAATAATATTTTTTTCTAAAATACTGAGTTTGGAGATGGTTTTTAAAGCAACTTTATTGTGGTAAATAGCCAGCCTGTGCAGATGATTTTGTCTCTTTCCAGTGATAATCTGAGTTTAGCAATCTGTCAAAAACAACAACAAAAATACACACACACACACACACACACACACGAAAGAGAGAGAGAGAGAGAGAGAAACAAGCAAAAAACAAAGTTCTTACTTTTTAGCAAGAGTACCTGCCATTTCTGTTGATTTAGTAAGAGTGGTAATTGTGTATTAGTATAGAGTTATGCTGTTGTAAAGCACTCTTTGAACACTGCATAGGCATAATTTTATGCCTATGTCTGAGTACATTTTTTAGTTTTGAAGTGTATAGATATTGCAGAAAATACTGGGGCTGTGCCTCAAGCTGCCTGATTCCATTGTGTATTTTTGTCCAAGACATGGACAAATAAAGGAGACTGCTCATGAAAATAGTGTACAGAAAAAAGAGGGCCCAGAGAGCCAAAAGGATATTATTTAGAATTGATTGTGAGAAATGAGCAGTAAAAGAAAAAGGAAAATATAACTGAAGGCCATAAATCAGGAGAAATTGTATCAAACGTGTTCCACATTTTATTGTCAGTTGATAAGCAATTCAGTTGTTTCAAACTCTTTGTTATTGTAAGTATAGCTATGATAAACATTCTCATTGTTGCCTCTCTCTACATGTAAGAGTTTTTCTTGGCTATATATGCAAAAATGATATGTTCATGCTTAGTTTTTCTAAATGCTTACAAATTGCTCCCAAGAATGGCTTTATCAATATATACTTCCACCATGAGTTGGTAAAAGATTCCCACCACTCACATATTCACCAACACTAAATACTACCCGAATTTTTATTTTTTATATGATGGTTAGAGAGTGATGTCTCATTGTTTTAGGTTGCATTTCTTTGATTACCTCTGAAGTTTAGCAACTCTTCTTTTACTTTCAATTTTTATTTTAGATATGAGAGTACACGTGCCTGTTTGTTACATTGGAATATTGTGTGATATTGAGGATTGGGGTATGGATCCCATCACACAGGTAGGGAGCATAGTACCTGATAGGTAGTTTTTAAATCTTTGTCTCCCTCCTTCCCTCCCCATTCTACTAAACTAGTGTCTATTGTTTCCATGTTTATGACAATGTGTGCTCAATGTTTAGCAATCTCAATCAAAATCCCAGGAAATTCTGAAGTTTAAATGGAGAGGCAGAAGACCCATAATAGCCAACACAATATTGAAGGACAGCACAACAAAGTTGGTGGACTGACATTATCTGACGTCAAGACATACTGTAAAGCTATAGTAATTAAAACAGTGTAGTATTAGTAAAAGAACAGACTTAGATCAATGGACCAGAATAGAGAGCCCAGAAACTGACCTCTTTGACAAAGGAAGAAACGCAATACAATGGAGAAAATATAGTCTTTCCAAAAAATCATGCTGGAACAACTGGAAATTTACATGTAAAATAGTGGATCTAAACATAGTCCTAGGCTAGGCGCAGTGGCTCACACCTGTAATCCCAGCACTTTGGGAGGCTGAGGCGGGCAGATCACGAGGTCAGGAGATCGAGACCACGGTGAAACCTCATCTCTACTAAAAATACAAAAAATTAGCCGGGCATGGTGGCGGGTGCCTGTAGTCCCAGCTACTCAGAGAGGCTGAGGCAGGAGAATGGCGTGAACCCAGGAGGTGGAGCTTGCAGTGAGCCAAGATCACGCCATTGCACTCCAGCCTGGGTGACAGAGAGAGACTCCGTCTCAAAAAATAAATAAATAAATAAATAAATAAATAAATAAACATAGTCCTAACATCCTTTACAAAATTGACTCAAAATGGATCACAGACCTAACGTAAAACAGAAAACTACAAAAATCCTAGAAGATAACATATGAGAAATATCTACCTGACCTTGGATATGGCAATGACTTTAGATATATCACCAAAGACAGAACCCATGAAAGAAAAAAAATCATCAACTAGACTTTATTAAAATTAAACATCCAGTTTTGTGAAGACACTGTCAACAGTTTAAAAAGGCAAGTCAAAGAATGGGAGAAAGCATTTGCAAAAGATATAACTGAATAAAGGATTGTTATCCAAAGTATAAGAAGATCTCTTAAAAATCTCAACAATAAAAAAACCAAACAAACTGATTTAAAAATGTGCCAAATTATTAACAGACACTTCACCAAGAAGATGACAAATAAGCATACAAATAGATGTTTTACATCATATGTCATTAGGGAAATGCAAATTAAAACAGCAATGAGATACCGCTACACACCTATTAGAATGGCCAAAAACCAGAACACTGACAACATCCAAAGCTGGTGAGGATGTGGAGTAACAGAAACTCTCATTTTTTGCTGGAGAGAATGCAAAATGGTATAGCCACTTCGTAAGACAGTATGACAGTTTCTCACAAAGCTAAACATACTCTTAACATATGACCTAGCAATTATGGTCCTTGGTATTTACCCAAAAAAAGATGAAATGTTGTACGTTTCAATGTAGCTAGAAGAGAGGGCATGAAATGTTACACATAGAAATTATCAAATCTCAAGTTGATGGGTACCCCAACACCCTAACTTTATTATTACACATTCCATGCATGTAACAAAAGCTCACATGCACTTCATAAATATGCAAAATATTTTGTGTAAATATAAAAATAAAAACTCCTGCACATGAATGTTTATAGAAGCTTTATTCACAACGAATAGACCTTGGGAAAATATGGCCTATGATAAGTAGGATACTAAATATGTGAATGAATAATGGAATATTATTCAGTGCTAAAAGGAAGTTAGTTAATAAGTCATGAAAAGACATAATAGGAAATTTAAATGCATATTGTTAAATAAAAGAAGCCAGTTAGAGAAAGGCTACATACTGTGTGATTCCAACTATACGACATACTGGAAAAAGCAAAACTATGGAGATAATAAGAAGATTATTGGCTGCCAAGGGTTGAGGAATGGAAGAGATAAAGACACAGAACAGGGGATTTTTAAGGCGGTGAAAATACTCTCTATGATACTATAATGGTGGATGCATGTCATTATTTGTCCAAACCCATAGAATACCGTTTTGAATGAAGCTCTTCAAGTTTTTTTCTATTAACTTAGCTTGTAGGTACTGTTCCTAGTAGCCATCAGAGGTTCACACAGAAGAGAACGGTAAGGGATCCACCAGCAAGGGTCCCTTTGGGGTGGCCTCACCATCAGGGGTTGAATTCCAGATGCAGCTTCAATTACATACCCATAACGTGAAAGTTTGAGTGGGTTTCTTTGTTTTAATTACTTACCAATCATCAAACTCAGCCCAGCAGGACGACCAGATAGGGACAAACAGTAGCTCTCCATTTCAGGTCTTGTGTAGCCAAAGCAACCTCACAGATGTAGGATGGAGTTTCTCTTATTTACGGGTCATCTGTGGTGAGGTGTACTTATTTCACAGGGTGACATTTTACTGGTGGAAAGGGCAGTTGAACAGTTTGGCACAAAGCTGGAGTTAAAAGAGGGCTCTGCAGAGGGATTTCTTATCGCTCTTGGTCATCCTGGTCCAGGCCTAGGCAGCAATTACCTATGGTTTCTCCGTTATTCCTAAGACAAATGTTCAACGCCAAGACTGAACCCAAATGTAAACTATGAACTTTGAGTGATAATTGTTTGTCAATGTAGGTTCATTAACTGTAACAAATGTATCACTTTGGTGGGGGATTTGATAATTGGGGCGCTTATTGATGCATGGGGGCATGTGGTATATGGGATGTCTATGTACCTTCCTCTCAATTTTTCTGTGAAACTAAAACTGCTTTAAAAAATAAAATATTTTGGCCAGGTATGGGGGCTCACACCTGTAATCCCAGCACTTTGGGACACCGAGGCAGGTGGATCACCTGAGGTCAGGAGTTTGAGACTAGCCTGGCCAACACTGTGAAACCGTCTCTACTAAAAATACAAAATTAGCCAGGTGTGGTGGCGTGTGCCTGTAGTCCCAGCTACTCAGGAGGCTGAGACAGGAGAATTGCTTGAACCCGGAAGGTGGAGGTTGTAGTGAACTGGGATCGTGCCATTGCACTCCAGCCTGGGCAACAAAAGTGAAACTCCATCTCAAAAATAAATAAATAAATAAATAAATAAATAAATAAATAAATAAAATATAATTAAAAAAATAAAAATGAGAAAAGCCCAGTGCCATAGAGGTCAAGTGAATGACTTTAAGGAGGAAGAGGTTGTTAAACACTGTCAAATACTGTAATTAAGTCAAAGAGAATAAAATCTGAGACAGACCCAGTGCAAAACTGTAGAAGTACAAAAATAATAAAGATCACTTGAACTCAAAAAATACCATTTCCAAAGTATCTACTGTGTTGTGTAATCCTATGAGAGATATACATTGCATTATATATATATAAAGGAGGTTTTCCTTCTTCACACTGCTTCTCTATGTCACTATAAAAATGTGGCCTGTGTTCTGGTTCCTGAGAGTATTAAGAGTGACCATCTTATGTCTTTTTTTCTCAACTATAGGAATAAAAATCTTACTCCTTATTCTTCTCTATTGTAGGATGAAAAATGAATACATAGATTATCTCTTCCTTATAAAAGACATCACTGGTCCACAAGTTACAACAGCCCAAACTGGGGACTAATCACTTTGCATTTAGCATCAACATGTTGCTTCTGTGGAGTATTTAAAAAGCAAACATTGAATTAATTTCCTAAAGGATATCTAATCTCTTAGTTTTTGCCTCAATTGGCTTCTAAATTATATGACTAGTTTGTAACAGTACAAAATTAAGTTGTTTGGTTCTGAAGATAGACTGTCTAATAAGTTTGCCAGTAGTCACAGGTGAATATTTAAATTTAAATTAATTAAAATTTAGCTGGACACAGTGGATCATGCCTGTAATCCCAGAACTTTGGGAGGCTAAGGCAGGTGGATTGCTTGAACCTAGGAGTTTGAGAACAACCTGGGCAACATGGCAAAAACCTGTCTCTGAAAAAAAAAAAAAAAGTTAGCCAGGAATCTTGGAGTGCCCCTATGGTCCCAGCTACTTGGGAGGCTAAGATGGGAAGTTCGCTTGAGCCTGAGAGGCGGAGATCGCAATGAGCTGAGATCATCCCACAGTACTCCAGCCTGGACAGCAGAGAGACCCTGTCTCAAAATAATAATAAGAAAAAAAATTAAATAAAATTTAAATATTTTTTTCTTAATAACATTATCTACATTTCAAATGCTCAATAAACACATGTATCTGTTGATTACTTAAACAGCACATATACAATATCAATCAATGCAAACATTTTTATTGTACAGCACTGCCAGGAATATTTGTCTTTGTTCTTTACAAGGATGAGTGATGAATGCTATCTTAGTGCACAAGAGTCTAGAAAATTCAGTATGCATGGGAATATCTAAACTGGGAATTATTTAATTATTTGCCAAAGATGTCCAAAGATTGCAAATTTTTATATTTTTATAAGTTGAAATTTGAGCAAAAACTTAAGTATCAGAATGTTTTATTTTTATTGTACATACATTACCAGAAACTGTAAGCAGGCTTTCATAATTTACAGCCATTTTCATTAAAATCTGTTCATCAATTTCAACAAATTTTCTGTTAATTTTCCAATAATTAAAAAAAACTGTGGCACCTAAAATAATCTCAGCTACTTGTATGATCTTGATGATAGTAATGCCCAATTTATTCATTATTTATTTTCAAGGCAATTAAAAGTGTCCTACAAATACATCTAGTTGGAAAGTGAGATCATTTCAAATGTCCAAATGAAATATGAACAATTTTGGTGACTGAGGATCATCAGAGGCATGCAATTTGACAAGGTCAAATATCTTTGAACTTTCATAGTTCACAGCAGCTTTACTCATAGCTCTATTTATTATGTGATCATGTGCATGTGCCAAACTTATGTAACAATTTCTTCTCCTAAAGATATTGTAATACTTTTCTTTGGAATCAGTTTTTTGGGTATTTTAACAGATGAGTTTGTTCTGGAGGCACTAATTAAGTAATCAGATTGGCTGAGTAAGGATTTGATAATTGGATATAACCATGTAAATTTCAAATCTCAGAATTTCTATTTTAAATTGCAGAAATTTAGTAGACATGGATATACAGTCATATGTCACTTCACAACAGGGATACATTCTGAGAAACGCATTGTTAGGCGATTTTGATATTGTGCAACCATCATAGAGTGTATTAGGTTGGTACAAAAGTCATCAAGGTTTTTGCCGTTATTGCACTAACCTAAATTCTTACATAAACCTAAAAGCTATAGCCTACTGCACACCTAGGCTATATGGTATAACCTTTATTCCTACCCTATAAGCCTGTAAAGCATGTGACCGTACTGAATACTATAGGCAATTGTAACACAACGTATCTGTGTATCTAAATATATCTAAACCTAGAGAGGGTGCAGCAAAAGTATGGTATAAGAGGTAAAAATATGGTACGTCTGTATAAGGTATGAATGGATTTTTCAGGACAGGAAGTCACTCTGGGTGAATAAGTGAGTGGGTGAGTGAATGTGAAAACCGAGGACATTATTCTAAACTACTGTGGGCTTAAACATTGTACACATAGGCTGCTGTGAATTTATTTTAAAAATCTTGCTTCAATAATAAATTCACCTTTGATTAGTGTAAGTTTTATACTTTATAAAGTTTTTAATTTTAAGAAACCTTTTGACAGTTTTGTAATAACACTCAGCTTAAAACACAAACACATTGTACAACTGAACAAAAATATTTTCTTTATGTCCTTATTTAATATTTTTTCAGTTTAAAAAAATTGTTTTACTTACTTTAAAAACTTTTTTCTTAAAAACTAAGTCACAAACACAAACATTAGCCTAAGCCTACCCAGCGTCTGGATCATCAGTATCACTGTCACCCACCTCCACATCTTGTCCCATTGGAAGGTCTCTAGGGGCAGTAACATTCATGGAGCTGTCATCTCCTATAATAACAATTCCTTCTTAGGAAATGTCTCCTGAAGGACAGGCAAAGGCTGTTTTACAGTTAACTTTCTGTGAGTAGAAGGAGGATACTCTAAAATAATGATGAAAATATAGTATAGTAAATACATAAACCAGGAACATTGTTACTTATTATCAAGTATTATGTACTGTACATAATCATATGTCCTATACTTGTGTATGACTGGCAGCACAGAAGTTTTGTTTACACCAACATCACCACCAACATGTGAGTAATGTGTTGTACTATGAAGTTAGGACAACTATGATGTCACTAGGTGATTCAGAGTTTCATTTCCATTATAATCTCATGGGACAATAATTTATATGCAGTCTTTCCTTGACCAAAATGTCTTTATGCATCACATGACTGTATCTGAAATGATAGTTATTTTAAATATTTATAAATGATATCTTGGACTGGACGTGGTGGCTCACGCCTGTAATCCCAGCACTTTGGGAGGCCGAGGCGGGCGGATCACGAGGTCAGGAGATCGAGACCATCCTGTCTAACACAGTGAAACCCCGTCTCTACTAAAAATACACATAAAAAAAAATTAGCCGGGCATGGTGGTGGGCACCTGTAGTCCCAGCTACTCTGGAGGCTGAGGCTGGAGAATGGCGTGAACCCGGGAGGCGGAGCTTGCAGTGAGCTGAGATCGTGCCACTGCACTCCAGCTTGGGCGACAGAGTGGGACTACGTCTCAAAAAAAAAAAAAAAAAAAAAAAAAAAGATATCCTAAGATTATACAGTGAATTATTTTCTAGTGATGATTCACTGGAAAGCAGATATGTTATTTTCAAGATTTCCAGAGAAAGCAATGCATATTAATGTTTCTCAAAGTATAGTTTGTGGAACAGTCGTTTCTTTCCAGGTTAGTTAGTAGGTGAGATACGTTTAGTTAGATTTAGAAAAAGAAAGGGGGTTAAAGGTCCGTGACCAAATTTATTTGAGAGAAGCTGGGTTAGATAGTTTTTTTGATTTTTTCTTTTTTTAACTGTAGGGCATTCTAGAGCTTTTCAAGTGCTCATGTGCATTGTGAATCTCCAAAAAGGGTAGGGTAGCATTGCTCAGGAGCATCTCACAGAACTAATATGTCACCGAATACATTTTGAGAAATTTTAGTACACGTGCTAAAATTATCTGAAAATAAAAAAAGCAATCATATGTATTAATTGTGTCTAAATTTAATGCTATAGTTTGAATTTTTAAAATTGTATTTAAAAATAAAAAGAACAACAAAATATCATCTAAGAAATTGCTAGTACTCTCTCACAGAAGAAAGGAAGGAAGGATGGAGGAAAAGAGAGAGTGAAAAAAGGAGTTGTATTATCTACCAGTGAAAGAAGGAGTTGTACTATCTACTAATTTAGCAGATTATTTTCTACTTTGGTTTTAGAATGTGTACAGCAAGTTCTTCTTATAATAATTCATTTTTTGAATTAACCATTTTATTAAAACCTCACAGTTTTGTGGGTCAGGAATTTGGACAGGGCTCGGCTGGGTGATTCTTTTATTGCACATGGTGTTAATGGGAATCACTTAGTGCCATTCAGCAGGTAGATGAACTGAAATGGAGGGTTTGAGATGGCTTCACTCACATGTCTGGTGTTTGGTGAGGGTGGCTGGAATCTAGGACTGTTGACCAGAGCACCCACACATGGATTCTCTGGCAAGAATACAAATTCTTGTACATACTTATTCTTAGAATACACTTAACAGCATTTATTAATGGCTCCCAATAGTCTAAATAAGAGAAGCTACCATGTAAGACAGAGAAACAATCACAGGCCCAGGAGCCCAGACCAAAAAAGAAATTAGATCAGGCCTAATGAGATTGAGAATAGCTCCAGAATAAACTGTACAATTTATTTTTTTGTTGTTTTTGTTTGAATTTCATGTTTATATGTGTTCCTGAAGAGCTCTGTGAATCATCCATTTACTATATCATCAAAAGGTCTCCAAATATTTGAAGCCAAAATGGGCTTTTAAAACATCATGAAATAAATACAGACTTTGCCATTTATTTTTTGAAACTGCACCGTGGTTATATCTTTTTTTCATCTTCCAAGATATGATCTAAATGGAGATTTAATGTTCCAAAGAGGTTATGCTCATCTTCTCAAAATAAACATATTATCTATTGCTTCATGTTTGGATTATTGTTCTTAATTCTCTGTGAATCATCAAAATGCTTTAGGGAAATGCCACTAGTAGAAGGAAGTTCACTTTCCTCGTTTAACAAGTTTTTTTTTTTAAGCCATTATTTATTTTAAATGAAGAGATTGTTTGAAAATATGCATTATAGAGATGCAGTCAAGGTACATGTACTGTAGATAGGAGCTTGAATCATTAGCCAAATGCCATGTTTCTCAAAATACATTTCATATAAAATGAATTTGTAGGACTACTGATGTTTTTCAGGGGCATGGTACACTGTTAAAAGTTTACGGAACTGAGTACTAGCATCAAGCAAGCTTTTGTTTCTTTTTTAACTGCAGGACTTCTGAGTAACTTTAATAGGCAGTGGTTGGTAAACAATCATTTAGTAATATGGGAAAGGATTAGATCTGACAGAAGTGACTTGTGGGTAGCTGTGTTAGTGTGTGCAGAAGAGTAAACATCATACTTTTTGCAAAATAGAATGAGTTTCTTACGTATTCAGTGTAATACCTACACTTTAAAATAATTGAGTGTGAGAAAAGGAGGTTCCTTTGGGAAGTATGCTTTGTTTCAGTCTAATATATCCTTTCATTGAGAATGTGCTGTAGAGGGCTGAAACTTTGTTGATGAGTACAATGAGGATATTTTGGTACTTTCTTTACTTCAGTTGTGTAGTACTATCATATCACTCTCTACTGATTAACAGCAGTAAAAATATTTTTTTCAGAGAGAACTTACAACATAATGAACCTGAAAGACTTTTTTAGCTCACGTGTGTACTTGTGCAAAATCTCATTGTAATATCTACTCATCATATCATATTTGGAAAAGACAGCAAACTTTGAAACAAAAAGAAAGAAAACTTTTTTATTTCCTATTACTGATATAATTATGAACATATTTTATCCTAGATGTTTTAGATAACCCTTGATTACATCTTTACATTTTCCAGAAATTGAGTCAAATAATATGAATATTATTAAGACAACATATTTTGACAAATTACATTCCAGGAAGATTATCCAATTTTCCAATTTGCCAGCAGTAAATTAGAGTTACGGCCTTCTCACATCTCACCATTAGGCAGTTTTTCTTTAGAAAGTATAGGAATTTGACAGGTGTAGTAAAGTTAGGCTTTTTTTTTTTTCATTTTTCATGTCTTTAAATTATTTTTGAGCCAGAGAAACATAGCTTTCCTGGAAGTAGATCATTGATGGGTCAAGCTTTGGCTTTCTTCATCTCCTCCAACTACTTTAGGGACACTGCAGTTGGAAACCAGTAAAACCAGGCAGTCATCCACCTACTATTTAGGTCTCTTTTCTAAGGTAGCAGAGAAACAATGAAAAAAAAAAAAACTGTTAAATCCTGGGTCTTTTTAAATCTCATACCCAAACGGAATAGATTTTTTTGTCCATTCACTAAAAAATGGACATTTTATAAATTATATCCATGACTCTTCATGTAGGAAATTAGAATGCTTGTACAATTGGCAAAAAGTAATCGCACAACAGAATCCCAAGTACTGCATTATCTACTGTCCCCATCACTTTGAGGGCTCATTTACTTTTTATCCTTTGACATCATACAAAACTAGTGTGAGCCGATACTGGACAACCAATACTTCATAGATAATGGTTTGGAATTCTAAATTTTTTGGGAGCCCAAAGAAGCCAATTAGATATCAGTATTAATGATCTAATATTGATGGTACATTTTCTTCCATGTGCTTTCTTCTGATGTGCTTGATTCTATTTTAAATTCCCCAAATCATTAATCTTTTTTCATGAGTTATCATAAAAAGCTAGAGTTAGCCAATAGGTGAAAACAATTCTAATCCTAACCATTGGTGAAGAATAATTAGTGAGAGCCAGTTATCACTGACAATTTGTACCCAGCTTATTCTTAATGACATTGAAAAAGTTAAATGTTAATATGGAGTAGAAAACTATACTTATTTAATGTGATAGGTTCTACTGAACATTTGCATAATATTTAGTAAAAAAAGTGATTGCTTGAGTGGGAGAAAATAATATGGTATTCAGTGGGATGGTTTTAGAATGTGGCAAAATTGAAGTAACATTGATATTCTCAATTTATTTCCATTCATAAATATAGTATACTTCGGTTTAGTTTTTCAAGGTCACTATACAATGATGAATCTGGGAATTCAATTTTTATGTTGTAAGTGCTGAGAAACAAGTAAGCATAAATCAGTACATCTGTTAGTGTCTTTCAATTTTCCCATTCAACATGAATAACAATTATTAGGAAGAAAATGTTCATATACATGGCCTCTGAAATTGTGTGGCATCTACCTAAATGATTTTTATTTTAAGAAATACATTAATAAATCCCCTTTACTTTCAGCTATTGTGAGTTACTTTAGTTATATATTGTTATTTATGTTTTTTCTTTGTAATATATTGCTATAGAAATCTTTAATCTTGAACAATTGCTTGTATAATTTAATAAAATATTTTTGGAAAAGGTAATACTTATTGGGGGAACCCGCCCCCAATATTTCAACATAGGTTCTTTCTATTTTCCGTAATAGTCGGCTGGCTGAGAAATAAAGAGAAAGAGTACAGAGAGGAATTTTACAGCTGGGCCTCCAGGGGTGACATCACATATCGGTAGGACCATGATGCCCACCTGAGCCACAAAACCAGCAGGTTTTTGTTGAGGATTTCAAAAAGGGAGGGGGGTGCAAGAACAAGGAGTAGGTCACAAGATCACATGCTTCAAAGGGCAAAAAGGAGAACAAAGATCACATGCTTCTGAGGCCAATAAACATCACAAGGCAAAGGGCAAAGCAAAGATTACAAGGCAAAGGGCAAATTCAAAAACTCCTGATAAGGGTCTATGTTCAGCTGTGCACGTATTGTCTTGATAAACATCTTAAACAACAGAAAGCAGGGTTCGAGAGCAGAGAACCAGTCTGGCCTCAAATCTACCAGGGTGGGGTTTCTTCCCCACCCTAATAAGCCTGAGGGTACTGCAGGAGACCAGGGCGTATTTCAGCCCTTATCTCAACCACATAAGACAGACACTCCCAGAGCAGACGTTTATAGAGCTCCCTGCAGGAATGCATTCCTTTCCCAGGGACTTAATTATTAATATTTCTTGCTAGGAAAATAATTCAGTGATATCTTCCCTACTTGCATGTCCATTTATAGGCTCTCTGCAAGAAGAAAAATATGGCTCTATTCTGCCTGACCCCACAGGCAGTCAGACCTTATGGTTGTCTTCCCTTGTTCCCTGAAAATCGCTGTTATTCTGTTCTTTTTCAAGATGTTCTGATTTCATATTCTTCAAACACACGTTTTACAATCAATTTGTACAGTTTAACACAATAGTGGTCCTGAGGTGACGTACATTCTCAGCTTATGAAGATAACAGGATTAAGAGATTAAAGACAGACATAAGAAATTATAAGAGTATTATTAGGGAAGTGATGAATGCCCATGAAATCTTCACAATTTATGTTTCCTCTGCCACGGCTCCAGCTGGTCCCTCCGTTCGGGGTCCCTGACTTCCCACAACAAATACTTACTTGTGGTCAAAGGAGACAAAAGATTTTTAACTGAAATATTTCCCTCTCATCGCTAATGTCCAGTCATTTAGGTCCTCCCCTTAGGAGAGCAGATGGAGTCATGGTTGCATCCAGAGATCTGTAAATATTTTTGTGATTATTTTTAAAAGAGAAGCAGAATTATACTGTGACTATATGTTGCACATAACATGCAGTATGATTTTTGGTTTACTTCTTTGTTTTTTAATTTATGCCCTGGCTTCTGAAGGAAAGAACTATGCTTATTTATATTTTCAGCAAAATTGCTATTAAATGCCTACTCTGTTCCAAGTACCATTATAGGTATTGGGGACAAAACAAACCAATAGTCCTGCCTTTGTGAAAGTCATATTTTTATTTGTCGCTATATTCCAGGAATATAGCACAGTATCTGGTACATAGTCATATTCGGTCAAGTTTTTTGAATGAAATTAAGATGCTGACTATGTATTAGTTAGAGTTTATTGTCTGTCTCTCTTTCCCTCCCTTTATATGTAGATAGATAGATAGATAGATAGACAGATAAACATGGATTCATCTTCACCAGTCTATCTACTCCCTGCCTATCTATCTATATATCTATCTATCTATCTATCTATCATCTATCTATCTATCTATCTATCTATCTATCTATCTATCTATCATCTATTAAGAGAGAGATTTTAAGGGTGGTCCACACGATTGTGAGAGCAGGCAAGTTTTAGATTCATAGGACAACTGGAAGGCTGGAGATTCAGGTAAGAGTTGATGTGGTGGTCTAAAACTCAACAGTTCAAAACTCAGACAGAATTTCTATGTTGCAGTTTGGAGGCAGAATTCTTTTTTCAGGAAACTGTTGCTCTTAAGGCATTCAACTGATTGTCTGAGGCCCATTCACATTATAGGGAGTAAATCTGCTCTACCTAAAGTCAACTGATTGTAAATGTTAATCACATCTACTAAATACTTTTATAACAACTAAACTAGTCTTTGACCAAACAACTGTTCATCATAGCCTAGGTAAGTAGACACATAAAATTAAGCATCATAGATGCCTACCTGTTACAATAATGTTCTAGGATGCCTGGATAATGTGGATAATTTAGTAAAAGCTCTATTTCAAAATAGGTTTATTGCAAAACATCAGTTACACTCTTCACAGATGTGTTCTCTAAGTACATGTTCTAATTTACTCATGTTTCTAATTTCACTGTCTCTTTGCATTCAGTAAAATACCTTATTGAGGTGTTATGGCTAAATTTTCAGCAGTATAGAAAAAGCTACAAGCTGGTTTTCTTCTTATTTAAAACAGAATAGTAAGTGGATATTCTTCATAATATTGCTTGTTTTGCCCAGATTACACCATTGAGATTTGATTATTGCCCTTCCATTTGCTCTTTCTGGTTTGACCTAGATAATTTTTTTTTACCAGTTTACAGTTCTTTACCATTTTCTGAAATCATACACATTTGAATTAGATGCAATTTAGAAAAAAGGTAATATCTGAAGTATATTAAACTACTTAAAGTAATGACAATATCTTTAAGAATCCAAAATGGGCTTGCCAATAATTGTACTTATAAAATATGGTTTTCTTTTAATTAGTCTCCTGTACTTCTGGTTTAACATTATAGCATAATATCAGTGTCTGTATGCCCCCGTCCTACTCTCCAATAAAATATTGAGGAAGAGACTCTGAAACCAAAACATGAGATTCAGAGATCAAAGCACTGAATGAAATAATGATGAGGAAAAATTATGGTGGATACACGGCAAATGGGATTGAACCGGAAAAAAAAAAGCCTTTCCCCTTTTGGAAACACTATGACCCATTAAGGTAGAAAGAAGACAAGAAAAGGCTTTGTCTGTCATTGTCAGCCTAGATTAGAAATCCAGGGTTGTTCCACTGGCCAGAAAACTAGAAAACCACTTCCCTGAGGCACAGGGACCATTTATGAGATGGTCAGGGTCCTGCTCACCATTTCCTCCTTCCTAGCCACAGTTTAGGCTCCTATATTTCTACCTCCACTGGGAAAGTGGTTCCTACACTTTCCTGATTTATGTATTTAACAAATATTTATTGAGAATCTACTATAGCTAGGAACTATTCTAGGTGTGGAGAATATAGCAGTGAAAAAAGTGCCTTCTTAGTACTTAAGTACTAGTGGGAAAAGAAAGACAATAGACTAAAAACAATAAATGGATAAACTACGTAGGATGTTAGAACATGATAAATACTATGGAAAAAATAAAATAAGAGGACAAGAGGAGTTGGGACTGTGGTGGATGAGCAATATAGTCAAGGTAGGCCTTATTAAGTCATCAGAATCTTGTAGAAATGTATATATAAATATATGTATATGTATATATGCGTACGTAATATGTAATACAAATATGTAGATAGATATAGATAGATAGATGAATTTTACCCATGTTCAGAATTTCAAATTCAGTATCTGTGAGTGGGACCTCAGAATCTGCACTCCTTCCAATGAATTATTCACCTCGGTTTATAAACATGTTTATGTCTCCTATCTTGAAATAAAATCAAATAATATATAAATAAGTAATTCCTGTGTTCCCCCTTTCCCCTACCCATGCAAACACTAACTCTCTTCTTTTCCCCCTAGCTAAATTTCCAGAAGTAATAATCTGTACTTAAGATATCCATTAAGTATATTTTAAATTTATCACACACATACATAGTGCTTATTAAGTGCAGGGATTCTTCTAAACACAACATAGGTAGTATTACTGTAGTCATTATTTTATCTCTATACTACATTGCCTCAGTCTTTTGAGTCATCCAGTTCTTCCCCGTTTCAATGTGTACCAGGGTAATTTAAGATAAACACAGTTTGCCTGAAAGAACATGAGGAAATTTTATTTGCACTAGGCAAACCATAAGTCATGGGAATCCAGCAATGCTCTGTTTCATGACAGCTGCAGAGAGAGGCACGTTGACAAACATTATAGAAAGCTCTAAATATACATACCTTGTTTAATTTTATCCCAGTTCCTCCCACTCACAGTAATATAGCTTAACCACTTGCAGAGGAAGCAATAGAGGAAAATATAGAATAGACAAAATATAACAAATGAGTTTGTTGCTGCAACCTATGCCTTCTGTCCTGGGAGATTCCACAGCGCATATCTTCTCAGTCTTGCCTCATTCTCGGATTCTTCAAATTGTTTATTATAAGACTCCTTGGCGCCTTGAGCCAAATCCCAGATTTTCTGTATTTATATACTCTCTGTGTGTGTGTGTGTGTGTGTGTGTATTGCATTGGGGCATATAACTGGAAGTTTTAATATAATGTTTCTTTTTTATTAAGAATTTCACAAGAGGTAACTTTGCTTACTGAAATAAAAGAAATGAAGGACATCCATTATACAGATGTCTGTCTATTTAAGAGTCCTTCTATCATAAATGTCAACAAACATTTAATACTCTAAGTACTGGTAATATTTTTACTCCAACCCCTTATTATCTTATATTGCTTATGTTTCTCATAGTAGATAATCCCTTTCCCTCATCTTTATTAACAGACAGCCTCACTGAAATCCAAGTATTTTCCTGTGTTAGTTGTTCCCCCTATCCTACTCCATGCTTCCGTGAAGACTAATGTATTAGCGTGCTTTATAATCAAGAGTAGTTCATAGGTAAGGCAGAACTCAGACAGTGTGGTAACTTCACACTATTTTTTCTTGACTGTTGGTCAAGATTTTCTGGAATTGGGTCTAGTTGCATCATGTGCATCATCTCAGCACAGTACTGAATATCTGAAAGAAACAAAAAACCAACATTGCTGTAGGGCAATATCAGAAGTTCAAAGTCATTAAAAAATAGTTTAAGCCCACATAATTTGAGCCCCTCATAAACTTTGACTCCATTTGGTTCTTGAAGTTTTGTATAAAATTCCAGGACTCTTTCCTCTTAACTAGATTCTGGACCTAAGCTCCTGTATCTGAACCCTAATCTTAGAACTTATTTCCTTCTTTTACATATTTTAGGTTTTGAATCTCTGCTCATTTCAAATCAGTTCTTGTGCTGTGTCTTGTTAATTACAAGGAATCAAAGTTTAAATCCATAGTCATCCTTATCTCCATATCTTTGTAATTTATTTCCAATCATTTTGGTTCAACCTCAGTTTTTTCAAATAAAAATAACACTGGAAATTCAGAAAATTTTAGGCATTTCTGACTCAATGCAAATATCTAAATTTTGTATGAATTAAAGAATATATCAGAGATTGACATCCAGCTACCTTTAAAGATTTTAAGCTTGCCAAATTAAAATACCAATAATTCAAATAACCCAATAAAAGTTTCTCCCCATTCTAATTAAGATTGCAAAGTTTAAAAAAGCTCCCACTACTGAAAAATATTAAATTTAGTATTATACAACATATTCATCTTCACTACCTTTTGCATTTGTTCACAAATGAAAAATTTAACTCACAGTCTCCAAAGTGTCAGCCAAATATTGGTGCTTTAATTTAGACTTAAAAATCTAAACATTACAATTGTGAATCGTGCTGCAATAAACATGGGAGAGGATATCTCTTTGACATACTGATTTTCTTTCCTTTGAATAAACACCCAGCAGTAAGATTGCTGGATGTTATGGTAGGTCTATTTTTAGTTTTTAGGGGAACCCCCATAGCATTTCCTATAGTGGTGGTAATAGTTTACATTTGAATAAACAGTTTTTAAAAATTCCATTTTTTCCACATTCTTGCCAGCATCTATTATTTTCTGCCTTTTTGATCATAGCCATTTTAACTGAAGTAAGGTGTTATCTTCTTGTGATTTTGATTTGCATTTCTCTGATGATTAGTGATGTTAAGCATTGTTTCATATACCCGTTGGTCATTTGCATGTCTCCTTTTGAAAAATGCCTGTTTAGATTTTTTGTCCATATTTAAATCAAATTAATTGCCTTTTATTACTATTGAGTTGTTTGAGTTCCTTACACATTCTGACTATTAATCCCTTGTCAGATGGATAGTTTGCAAATATTTTCTGATATTCTGCAGGTTGTCTTTTCACTCTGTTTATTGTTTCCTTTGTTTGTGTGGAAGCCTTTTAGCTCAATGTAATCTTGTCTATTTTTGCTTTTGTTGCCTGTGCTTTTAAGGTCATGACCATAAAACTTTGCTGAGACCAATGTCCTGAAGGATTTCTCCAATATTTTCTTCTAGTTTTACAGTTTTCATTGCTACATTTAAGTCTTTAATCCCATTTTCAGTTGATGTTTGTATATGGTGAGAGATAGGGGTCTAATTTTTTTCTTCTGCATATGGATAACCAGTTTTCCCAGCACCATTTATTGAGGAAGCTGTCCTTTCCTCAATGTACATTGTTGGCACCTTTGTCAAAAATGAGTTGACTGTAAATGTGTGGATTTATTTCTGTATTCTCTATTCTGTTCCATTAGTCTATGTGTCTGGTTTTATGTCATCAACAGATGAATGGAAAATGTGGTACAGGTACACAAGGGAATATTATTTAGCCATAAAAAATAAAATCCTGTTATTTGCAGCAACATGGATGAAATTGAAGAATGGAATTGAAGTGAAATAATCCAGGGAAAGAATGACAAATATCACATATTCTCATTCATATGTGAGAGCTAAAAAATAATCTCATGGAGGTAGAGAGTAAAATTGTGGTCACCAGAGGCTGGAAATTGCAGTAGGGAGGGCGGGATAAAAAGAGATGGTTAATGGGTGCAAAGATACAGTTAAATAGAAGGAATAAGTTCTAAGTTTTGACCACAGTAGGGGAAATATAGCTAGCAATAATTTATCGTATATTTCAAAATACCTGGAAAAGAAACTTCAGATTGTTCTTAATACAAATGATAAAATTTTTAGGTGATGGGTATCCCAAACACCCTGACTTCATGGTTACACATTGCATGCATGTATCAACACATCATATCAAGCCCATAAATATGTATAACTATTATTTATTATTTAAAAACTAAATATTGCTTTTCTCATCTTAGTCTTTAGGCGGCTTTTAGTAGCTTCTTCATAACCTTAAACATTAGGCTACAAGCTGGCAGCTAGATTAGTAAATATGGCCAGAAAATACATTTTGTTTGGCCTTTAAGTTCTTTCTTTGACAAGTGAATTAGTAGCCACAGTTCAAAAATTGGGCAGAGACACACAAGAAAATTCATACTTTAGGTGTGGGCTCTCTCTTGCTTCACAGTCCCCGTTAGACTATTGACATCTATTTCTGTAGTTTGCCTCAATCATGCATCTAATTACATTTTTGATGCATACAAACACATTTGGAGAAAAAATAATTTTCAAGAAGAATTCCTCAAAGTACAACTAAATCTTTTAAAGAGATTTTCCGACACAGGTATCACATTGTTCTCACCCTTGTTGAAGGGTAGACAGTCTCATGAAATAGATTTTGAAGCAATTATTCTCTAGAAAGTACAGATCAGCAGGCACTTAAAGGCCATTTAGCCTTTCTGAGCTTAAAAGCCATTTAGCCCTTCTGCAGATTCCCTGGCAGCAGTTTCAATTCAACATCCCTTTCATCAGTTAGTAAAAAGTTAGTGGGTGTGACCCTCTCTCTGAGAACTGGTGAGAGGGAAGACATTTTTTTGCTTTTGAGTGAAAGAAAAATAGCCCATTTAAACACAAAATAAACTTTAAAAGTAACAATGTTTCTTTAGAAATGATTTAAGGCAAATCTACATGGGACTGAATATTTCCCATTCAAGCCTATGTCTTTTTCACATTCATATGTACAACATAAAAAAAAAGTAGTAATAGCCTTTCAGCCTGATAGAGACATACTCCACAATATTCAAAACGCACACATCATAATCTTAAAATATTAAGAAGATGGGTATTGATTAAAGAAAATTTTAGAATTAATTTCACCTTTGAAATAAACATATGTGTTTCTGGAGGTTTACAAATTAGAACAGCTTTGTCCAATTTAAAGATATTTGTATAAGGGAGGGATTAATTCTGCAAATAAACCCTTTTAAATGCCCAAAGATAGAATATATCTTTACCTTTTAGCCAAATACAAATGGAAGTTTATACTATCTCTCCCTCTCCCGCCTCCTGGGAAGATTTTTCAAGGTTCCTCTACAATTCATAAAGAAAACAAGTTTGACATATATTTATCGACTCAGTCTAAAGCCTGGGACCAGCCAGATTCACAAGGCCCAGGCCCAGGGCATTGTTTCTACACTTTAGTGATCCCAGCAGTTCTTCAAAATCCAGATCCAAAAACAATACTCACTTTGGTGTATCTCCACCCCTGTGTCAATCAGCTTGCCAGTCTTTCAGCCAAACTGAGGTTCCCAGAACCCCCCAAAGCTCTGTCCCTTTAATTAATGCACTTGTACACAGAGTCTGTTTTCTTTTATTCCCCAAGGTAAAAGATTGCCCTATTAACTTATTACAAGTGATAATACAGTTGGTGTAATTGTTTCATAACCTATTCCGGTCCACTTGTTTTGTTTGGAATGGGACTCCTCTCCACACTGATCTTAAAAGACAATTCACCATAATTGGGGCAAGTGAAGAATAAGAATTTTTGCTTATTCTTACATGCAAAAAATGAACACAACATTTCCCCAACAAAAACACACCTACACAAGCACAGGCACACACATGAACAGACGCTTCAAGGCTGGTCTGACTCATCAACACCTTTTTGGTTGTGAGCATTTGGAATTTAGAGTCAAAATCCTTCAGATTCTCCCTATCCATCCTGGGAAACCTGACAGAACCCTTTCTGCAGCAATTAAAATTACTCTTCAATGGGGAAATTCCAAAACAGACCAGAGCAAAGGGAAGCATTCTGCAGGTACTATCTATGGGTGTTCAAGACACATTAAGGCCACTCACTGACACCACAGATTTATAAAGCACAGCTTCTCAGCCCATTCTGTAATACTGGTGCATTACTATCTGCCCACTGACCTCCACTAGATGTTGACCACTGCCAGGATCCATTCTCTCTTCTTCACATGGCTCCTAGGGGCCTCAAGCAATGCATAATAAAACAGTGATTGTTTGGCAGGTAGAATTTTCTGTCTTATTTGACATACAGCATAGACCTATGCCATGGGAGTTACATAATGTACTAAGGCAGATCTGACTCAGAGAGAAGCATTCTTATAGGTTATACATGCTGCAATAAATTCTTATAATTTTCTTTCCATATCTCACACTTTCAATACGACCTCTTAGACCAGCCGTGAGAAGATAGGAGCAGAGGATGAAACATTTTAGATGGAAAATTTAGATCCTTGTAACAAACAACGTCTGCCTTTAGTCCCTAGGAGTCTCTGATTTTATCTTTGTCTTGTCTCATTCTTCCCTAATGCAAGTTGACTATAACCAAACTCCTTAGTGCTTGAGGCCAAAGCAAACAACAACAACTTATATGTATCATATAAGCAAAAATTCTTATTATTCACTTTCCCCAATGATGTCCTCTCTCTCTCTCTCTCTGTCTATCCCTGTGTGTGTGTGTGTTTGTGTATGTGTGTGTTGTATTGGTTGGGTGGAAGGTGTTATAACGTACTCTAAGCAAATATTTTTTCCAATGCCTACTGTAGACATTTTACATCAATTGATAGGAACAAAAGAAAGCCATGAAGGAATTATGAAACTATCACACAATTGAAATACTGAGGGTGAGTTTACCAAAGTTCCAAGACCCCCTTAAATTTACTATCAGGCCACTATAGAATTATTAATATTAGAACAGACACTTCTCAAAAGAAGACATAAAAGTGTCCAGCAAGCATATAAAAAATGCTCAACATCATTCATCATCAGACAAATGCAAATCAAATGCATAAAATCCTGGACAGGTACACCCTCCCAAGATTAAACCAGGAAGAAATTTAATCACTGAACAGATCAAAACGAGCTCCAAAATTGGATAAATAATAAATAGCCTACAAACCAAAATAAGTTCCAGACCACTCAGATTCATAGCTGAATAAACATAGGGAGTAAACAGCCAACCTACAGAATGGGAGAAAATAGCTGCAAAATATACATCTGACTAAAGTCTAACATCCATCATCTATAAGGAGCTTAAACAAATTTACAAGACAGAAACAAACAATTACATTAAAAAGTAGGTTGGGCATGGTGGCTCACACCTGTAATCCTAGCACTTTGGGAGGCTGAGGTGGGCGGATCACCTGAGGTCAGGAGTTCGAGATCAGCCTGACCAACATGGAGAAACCCTGTCTCTACTAAAAATACAAAATTAGCCAGGCATGGTAGTGAATGCCTGTAATCCCAGCTACTTGGGAGGCTGAGGCAGGAGAATCACTTGAACCCAGGAGGTGGAGGTTGTGGTGAGCCAAGATCACACCATTGCACTCCAGCCTGGGCAACAAGAGTGAAACTCCATCTCAAAAAAAAAAAAAAAAAAAAGTGGCCAAAGGAAATGAAAAGACACTTTTCGAAAGAAGACATACATGCGGCCAATAAGCACATAAAAAAAAAAAAAAACCTCGATTATCACTGATTATTAGAGGAAAGCAAATCAGAGCGACAATAAGACACTATTTCATACCAGCCAGAATGATTATTATACAAGGTGAAAAAATATATAACAGATGCTAGCAAGGTTGTGGAGAAAAGGGAATGCTTATACACTGTTGGTGGGAGTGTAAATTAGTTCAACTATTTTGGAAAGCATTGTGGTGATTCCTCAAAGAGCTAAAAACAGAACTACCAATTGACCCAACAGTCCCAATACTGTGTCTATATCCAACAGAATATGAATTGTTCTATCATAAAGACATATGCAGGTGTATGTTCATTGCAGCACTATTCACAATAGCCAAGACATGGAATCAACCTAAATGCCTGTCATGGTAGACTGCATAAAGAAAATCTGGTCGGCAGAGGAGCCAAGATGGCCGGATAGGAACAGCTCCGGTCTACAGCTCCCAGCGTGAGCGACGCAGAAGATGGGTGATTTCTGCATTTCCATCTGAGGTACGGGGTTCATCTCACTGGGGAGTGCCAGACAGTGGGCACAGGTCAGTGGGTGCGCGCACCGTGCGTGAGCCAAAGCAGGGCGAGGCATTGCCTCACTCGGGAAGCACAAGGGGTCAGGGAGTTCCCTTTCTGAGTCAAAGAAAGGGGTGACGGACGGCACCTGGAAAATCGGGTCACTCCCACCCGAATACTGCGCTTTTCCGACGGGCTTAAAAAACGGTGCACCACGAGATTATATCCGGCACCTGGCTCCGAGGGTCCTACGCCCATGGAGTCTCGCTGATTGCTAGCACAGCAGTCTGAGATCAAACTGCAAGGCGGCAGCTAGGCTGGGGGAGGGGCGCCCGCCATTGCCTAGGCTTGATTAGGTAAACAAAGCAGCCGGGAAGCTCGAACTGGGTGGAGCCCACCACAGCTCAAGGAGGCCTGCCTGCATCTGTAGGCTCCACCTCTGGGGGCAGGGCACAGACAAACAAAAAGACAGCAGTAACCTCTGCAGACTTAAATGTCCCTGTCTGACAGCTTTGAAAAGAGCAGTGGTTCTCCCAGCAGGCAGCTGGAGATCTGAGAACGGGCAGACTGCCTCCTCAAGTGGGTCCCTGACCCCTGACCCCCGAGCAGCCTAACTGGGAGGCACCCCCCAGCAGGGGCATACTGACACCTCACACGGCCGGGTACTCCTCTGAGACAAAACTTCCAGAGGAACGATCAGACAGCAGCATTCGCAGTTCACGATAATCCTCTGTTCTGCAGCCACTGCTGCTGGTACCCAGGGAAACAGGGTCTGGAGTGGACCTCTAGCAAACTCCAACAGACCTGCAGCTGAGGGTCCTGTCTGTTAGAAGGAAAACTAACAAACAGAAAGGACATCCACACCAAAAACCCATCTGTACATCACCATCATCAAAGACCAAAAGTAGATAAAACCACAAAGATGGGGAAAAAACACAACAGAAAAACTGGAAACTCTAAAAAGCAGAGCACCTCTCCTCCTCCAAAGGAACGCAGTTCCTCACCAGCAATGGAACAAAGCTGGATGGAGAATGACTTTGGCGAGCTGAGAGAAGAAGGCTTCAGACGATCAAATTACTCTGAGCTACGGGAGGACATTCAAACCAAAGGCAAAGAAGTTGAAAACTTTGAAAAAAATTTAGAAGAATGTATAACTAGAATAACCAATACAGAGAAGTGCTTAAAGGAGCTGATGGAGCTGAAAACCAAGGCTCAAGAACTACGTGAAGAGTGCAGAAGCCTCAGGAGCCAATGCGATCAACTGGAAGAAAGGGTATCAGCAATGGAAGATGAAATGAATGAAATGAAGTGAGAAGGGAAGTTTAGAGAAAAAAGAATAAAAAGAAATGAGCAAAGCCTCCAAGAAATATGGGACTATGTGAAAAGACCAAATCTACGTCTGATTGGTGTAGCTGAAAGTGATGGGGAGAATGGAACCAAGTTGGAAAACACTCTGCAGGATATTATCCAGGAGAACTTCCCCAATCTAGCAAGGCAGATCAACATTCAGATTCAGGAAATACAGAGAACGCCACAAAGATACTCCTCGAGAAGAGCAACTCCAAGACACATAATCGTCAGATTCACCAAAGTTGAAATGAAGGTAAAAATATTAAGGGCAGCCAGAGAGAAAGGTCGGGTTACCCTCAAAGGGAAGCCCATCAGAATAACAGCTGATCTCTCGGCAGAAACCCTACAAGCGAGAAGAGAGTGGGGGCCAATATTCAACATTCTTAAAGAAAAGAATTTTCAACCCAGAATTTCATATCCAGCCAAACTAAGCTTCATAAGTGAAGGAGAAATAAAATACTTTACAGACAAGCAAATGCTGAGAGATTTTGTCACCACCAGGCCTGCCTTACAAGAGCTCCTGAAGGAAGCACTAAACATGGAAAGGAACAACCGGTACCAGCCGCTGCAAAATCATGCCAAAATATAAAGACCATCGAGACTAGGAAGAAACTGCATCAACTAACGAGCAAAATAACCAGCTAACATCATAATGACAGGATCAAATTCACACATAACAATATTAACTTTAAATGTAAATGGACTAAATCCTCCAATTAAAAGACACAGACTGGCAAATTGGATAAAGAGTCAAGACCCATCAGTGTGCTGTATTCAGGAAACCCATCTCACATGCAGAGACACACACAGGCTGAAAATAAAAGAATGGAGGAAGATCTACCAAGCCAATGGAAAACAAAAAAAGGCAGGGGTTGCAATCCTAGTCTCTGATAAAACAGACTTTAAACCAACAAAGATCAAAAGAGACAAAGAAGGCCATTACATAATGGTAAAGGGATCAATTCAACAAGAAGAGCTAACTATCCTAAATATATATGCACCCAATACAGGAGCACCCAGATTCATAAAGCAAGTCCTGAGTGACCTACAAAGAGACTTAGACTCCCACACATTAATAATGCAAGACTTTAACACCCCACTGTCAACATTAGACAGATCAACGAGACAGAAAGTCAACAAGGATACCCAGGAATTGAACTCAGCTCTGCACCAAGCGGACCTAATAGACATCTACAGAACTCTCCACCCCAAATCAACAGAATATACATTTTTTTCAGCACCACACCACACCTATTCCAAAATTGACCACATACTTGGAAGTAAAGCTCTCCTCAGCAAATGTAAAAGAACAGAAATTATAACAAACTATCTCTCAGACCACGGTGCAATCAAACTAAAACTCAGGATTAAGAATCTCACTCAAAACTGCTCAACTACATGGAAACTGAACAACCTGCTCCTGAATGACTACTGGGTACATAACAAAATGAAGGCAGAAATAAAGATGTTCTTTGAAACCAACGAGAACAAAGACACAACATACCAGAATCTTTGGGACGCATTCAAAGCAGGGTGCAGAGGGAAATTTATAGCACTAAGTGCCCACAAGAGAAAGCAGGAAAGATCCAAAATTGACACCCTAACATCACAATTAAAAGAACTAGAAAAGCAAGAGCAAACACATTCAAAAGCTAGCAGAAGGCAAGAAATAACTAAAATCAGAGCAGAACTGAAGGAAATAGAGACACAAAAAACACTTCAAAAAATTAACGAATCCAGGAGCTGGTTTTTTTAAAGGATCAACAAAATTGATAGACCGCTAGCAAGACTGATAAAGAAAAAAAGAGAGAAGAATCAAATAGATGTAATAAAAAATGATAAAGGGGATATCACCACCGATCCCACAGAAATACAAACTACCATCAGAGAATACTACAAACACCTCTACGCAAATAAACTAGAAAATCTAGAAGAAATGGATAAATTCCTCGACCCATACACTCTCCCAAGACTAAACCAGGAAGAAGTTGAATCTCTCAATAGAACAATAACAGGAGCTGAAATTGTGGCAATAATCAATAGCTTACCAACAAAAAAGAGTCCAGGACCAGATGGATTCACAGCCGAATTCTACCAGAGGTACAAGGAGGAACTGGTACCATTCCTTCTGAAACTATTCCAATCAATAGAAAAAGAGGAAATCCTCCCTAACTCATTTTATGAGGCCAGCATCATTCTGATACCAAAGCCAGGCAGAGACACAACAAAAAAAGAGAATTTTAGACCAATATCCTTGATGAATATTGATGCAAAAATTCTCAATAAAATACTGGCAAAACGAATCCAGCAGCACATCAAAAAGCTTATCCACCATGATCAAGTGGGCTTCATCCCTGGGATGCAAGGCTGGTTCAATATATGCAAATCAATAAATGTAATCCAGCATATAAACAGAGCCAAAGACAAAAACCACATGATTATCTCAATAGATGCAGAAAAAGCCTTTGACAAAATTCAACAACCCTTCATGCTAAAAACTCTCAATAAATTAGGTATTGATGGGACATATTTCAAAATAATAAGAGCTATCTATGACAAACCCACAGCCAATATCATACTGAATGGGCAAAAACTGGAAGCATTCCCTTTGAAAACTGGCACAAGACAGGGATGCCCTCTCTCCCCACTCCTATTCAACATAGTGTTGGAAGTTCTGGCCAGGGAAATTAGGCAGGAGAAGGAAATAAAGGGTATTCAATTAGGAAAAGAGGAAGTCAAATTGTCCCTGTTTGCAGACGACATGATTGTATATCTAGAAAACCCCATTGTCTCAGCCCAAAATCTCCTTAAGCTGATAAGCAACTTCAGCAACGTCTCAGGATACAAAATCAATGTACAAAAATCACAAGCATTCTTATACACCAACAACAG
Organism: Homo sapiens; assembly: GCF_000001405.40. NCBI lineage: Eukaryota > Metazoa > Chordata > Mammalia > Primates > Hominidae > Homo > Homo sapiens. Next base: position 93,944,097 of record NC_000023.11, read on the forward strand.
ACAAACGGAGAGCCAAATCATGAGTGAACTCCCATTCACAGTTGCTTCAAAGAGAATAAAATACCTAGGAATCCAACTTACAAGGGATGTGAAGGACCTCTTCAAGGAGAACTACAAACCACTGCTCAAGAAAATAAAAGAGGATACAAACAAATGGAAGAACATTCCATGCTCATGGGTAGGAAGAATCAATATCGTGAAAATGGCCATACTGCCCAAGGTAATTTACAGATTCAATGCCATCCCCATCAAGCTACCAATGCCTTTCTTCACAGAATTGGAAAAAACTACTTTAAAGTTCATATGGAACCAAAAAAGAGCCCACATCGCCAAGTCAATCCTAAGCCGAAAGAACAAAGCTGGAGGCATCACACTACCTGACTTCAAACTATACTACAAGGCTACGGTAACCAAAACAGCATGGTACTGGTACCAAAACAGAGATATAGATCAATGGAACAGAACAGAGCCCTCAGAAATAACGCCACATATCTACAACTATCTGATCTTTGACAAACCTGAGAAAAACAAGCAATGGGGAAAGGATTCTCTATTTAATAAATGGTGCTGGGAAAACTGGCTAGCCATATGTAGAAAGCTGAAACTGGATCCCTTCCTTACACCTTATACAAAACTCAATTCAAGATGGATTAAAGACTTAAATGTTAGACCTAAAACCATAAAAACCCTACAAGAAAACCTAGGCATTACCATTGAGGACATAGGCATGGGCAAGGACTTCATGTCTAAAACACCAAAAGCAATGGCAACAAAAGCCAAAATTGACAAAATGGGATCTAATTAAACTAAAGAGCTTCTGCACAGCAAAAGACACTACCATCAGAGTGAACAGGCAAGCTACGAAATGGGAGAAAATTTTCGCAACCTACTCATCTGACAAAGGGCTAATATCCAGAATCTACAATGAACTCAAACAAATTTACAAGAAAAAAACAAACAACCCCATCAAAAAGTGGGCAAAGGACATGAACAGACACTTCTCAAAAGAAGACATTTATGCAGCCAAAAAACACATGAAAAAATGCTCATCATCACTGGCCATCAGAGAAATGCAAATCAAAACCACAATGAGATACCATCTCACACCAGTTAGAATGGCAATCATTAAAAAGTCAGGAAACAACAGGTGCTGGAGAGGATGTGGAGAAATAGGAACACTTTTACACTGTTGGTGGGACTGTAAACTAGTTCAACCATTGTGGGAGTCAGTGTGGCAATTCCTCAGGGATCTAGAACTGGAAATACCATTTGAGCCAGCCATCCCATTACTGGGTATATACCCAAAGGACTATAAATCATGCTGCTATAAAGACACATGCACACGTATGTTTATTGCGGCATTATTCACAATAGCAAAGACTTGGAACCAAGCCAAATGTCCAACAATGATAGACTGGATTAAGAAAATGTGGCACATATACACCATGGAATACTATGCAGCCATAAAAAATGATGAGTTCATGTCCTTTGTAGGGACATGGATGAAATTGGAAATCATCATTCTCAGTAAACTATCGCAAGAACAAAAAACCAAACACCGCATATTCTCACTCATAGGTGGGAATTGAACAATGAGATCACATGGACACAGGAAGGGGAACATCACACTCTGGGGACTGTTGTGGGGTGGGGGGAGCGGGGAGGGATAGCATTGGGAGATATACCTAATGCTAGATGATGCGTTAGTGGGTGCAGCGCACCAGCATGGCACATGTATACGTATGTAACTAACCTGCACAATGTGCACATGTACCCTAAAACTTAAAGTATAATAAAAAAAAAAGTTGTTTTAACCATTCTAAAAAAAAAAAAAAAAAAGAAAATGTAGTCCATATATACTGAGGAATACTGTGCAGCCATGAAAAAATGAAACCATGTCGTTTGTGGCAACATGAGCTGGAGTTCATCATCCTAAGCAAACCAATGCAGGAACAGAAAATCAAACACTGAATATTTTCACTTATTAGTGGGAGCAAAATAAGGGGAATACATGGATACATAGGGGGGAACAATGGACACTGGGGCCTCCAAGAAGGTAGAGGGTTGGAGGAGGGAGAGGAGCACACACACACACACACACAAAAATATTGGGTATGAAGTTAAAAACCAGGGTGATAAAATTATCTGTACAACAAACCACTTTGACACAAATTTATCTATATAACAAACCTGTAAATGTACACCTGAACCTAAAATTAAAGCTTAAAAAATCCCACAATAAATGACGAGTTAGTGGGTGCAGCACACCAGCATGGCACATGTATACATATGTAACTAACCTGCACATTGTGCACATGTACCCTAAAATTTAAAGTATAATAATGATAAAAAAAAATCCCACAATAAGGCCGGGCGCGGTGGCTCACGCCTGTAATCCCAGCACTTTGGGAGGTTGAGGCGGGTGGATCACGAGGTCAAGAAATCGAGACCATCCTGGCCAACTTAGTTAAACCCAGTCTCTACTAAAAATACAAAAAACTAGCCGGGCGTGGTGGCAAGCACCTGTAATCCCAGTTACATGGGAGGCTGAGGCAGAAGAATCGCTTGAACCCGGGAGGTGGAGGTTGCAGTGAGCCGAGATCGCACCATTGCATTCCAGCCTGGGCAAAAAGAGCGAAACTCGTCTCAAAAAAAAAAAAAAAAAAAATCCCACAATAAGATACCATCTCAACTCCAGTCAGAATGGCTATTTTTTAAAAAAATCAAAAAATGACAGATGCTTGTGAAGCTGTGGAGAAAAGGGGATGCTTATACACTGTTGGTGGAAATGTAAATTAGTTTAGCAACTATGGAAAGCAATTTAGAGATGTCGCAAATAACTTAAAACAAAGCTACCATTTGACTCAGCAATCCCATAACTGGGCAACTATCCAAGAAAAATTGTTCTGTTAAAAGCAGATATGTACTCATATGTTCATCACAGCACTATTCACAATAGCAAAGACATGAAATCAACCAAAGATGCCCATCAACGGTGGATTGAATAAAGAAAATGTGTTACACATACAACATGGAATACTATGCAGCCATAAAAGCACTGAATCGTGTATTTTGGGGGCATCATAAAAAAGCTGGAGGCCATTTTCCTAAGTGAATTAACACAGAAACAAAACAACAAATACTTCATGTTCTCACTTATATTTATGAACTAAACAATGAGTACTAATGGACATAAAAGATGACAAAAAAGACACTGGGGACGACTAGATGGGGTGGGGAGTGAGGGCAGAAAAACTGTTGGGTACTATGCTCAGTACCTGCATGATGGGGTCAATTATACCTCAAACCTCAACATCATGCACTCAGGTAACAAACATGGATGTGTACCTCTTGAATCTAAAATGAAAGTTGAAATGATTTGAAAATAAAAGACTCATCTGTCTCCACTTCTTTATCTATTCTCTCCAAAAGTTAGCACAGTGTGGCTTCTGCCTTTCTCACTCAACAAAAACTGTTCTTTCTTGAGTTACCTATGATTCCTGGATTCTGAATCAAAACCAAGAGCTTTTTACTCTTTGATTTACTTGAATCAATACAGCATTTTGCCTGCATAACTACTCACAGCTCCTTGAAACTTTCTCTTCATCAGTTAATTTTCACAACTTTGCTCTTTCCTGGTTCTCCTTCTACCTCTCTGAATCCTCCATTTTGGGTTCTTCTGCACTGCCCATAAATATTAGCATTCCTCAGGAAAGCAACAAATATAGAAAAATCTCTTCTGGTTGAAAGATGAACTACAAAATAACAAACTAACTACTTTCTAATTACTGATTTACATGGGGGAAGATCAATTTAGATATATTAATCCGAATAAAATTAGATTAAACTGAGTCATACCAAAATGTGGTCCGTACATCCCATGAAATACTGTGCAGCTACAAAAAGAAAGGAGAGATCATTTCCTTTGCAGGAACATAGATGGGGCTGGAAGTCATTATTCTTAGCAAACTAACACAGGAACAGAAAACCAAATACCACATGTTCTCACTTGTAAGTGGGAGCTAATTGATGAGGAAAAAATGGACACATCCGGGAGAATAAAACACATTGGGGCTTATCAGAGGGTCGGGGAGTGGGAGGAGAGAGAGGACTGGGAATAATAGCTAGTGGATGCTAAGCCTAATACCTAGGTGATGGGATAATCTGTGAGGGTAACACGATGGCACACGTTTACCTATGTAACAAACCTGCACATACTGCACATTTACCTGTGAACTTAAAATAAAAGTTGGAAATGGCCGGGCGCGGTGGCTCACGCCTGTATTCCCAGCATTTTGAGAGGCCAAAGCAGGCGGATCACCTGAGGTCGAGAGCTCGAGACCAGCCTGACCAACATGGAGAAACCCTGTCTCTACTAAAAATACAAAAAAATTAGCGGGATGTGGTGGCACATGCTTGTAATCCCAGCTACTCGGGAGGCTGAGGCAGGAGTATCCCTTGAAGCTGCCAGGCAGAGATTGTGATGAGCCAAGATCGCGCCATTGCGTTCCAGCCTGGGCAACAGGAGAGAAACTCCATCTCAAAAATAAATAAATAAATAAATAAATAAATAACCAATGAATATTAAAAAATAAGTAATTATAGATAGAATTACTTAAAATTACTTTACATAGAGCAAGAAACTCAGTATTTGGCTATTTCCATTATACTGTAAATTGCTATCCTTGGGTAAGACAGTTAATTTTTTTGAGTCATAATTTTCCCTGTGTAAAATGCAGATAAATCCCAACTTTTTAAGTTTGCTAGTTGGAGTCTATCAGATTGTAGCTCATATTTTTTTTTCTTTTTATACTCAACAAAATTAAAAAATAAACCACAATTTAGTAATTTTTAAATTTTTAAATTTTTCATTAGCATCTTCAAATTATAGTAGAATTAAATATAAATTCAGAAATGATTTTCTATTTTGTTTTCTTTTAAATATTCAAGCTTTATGTTGGTTAAACTTAAATGTTTAGTATGGCTGTATGTTTTAGATGTTCCAATAAGTTGTGAATTTATATAACTAAGAACTTTTCTAAATAACAGAAAAAAATAAAATATTCAAAATCTAGTGTCTTAAGAATTTCAGATTGAAAAATTACTATCACACTAATTGGAAATTTTACTGACAAGTAACTTTTTAATATTATTATTTTCTTAAGCTACAGAAGTACATGTCAGAGATCAGCAGTTTAAGGCTATTTACTGTGAGTTTATTGATTAATTGATTTTTCATATGTTGTTTACTGACTCCTTTTTTGCTCTCTTTAAAAAGAAATTATATTTATCTATAAAGAGTTTGAGAGACTTCTTATCAGAAGAATTGTTAAAAGAGATCCCTTCTAATTTTATAATTTCAAACAGTGTGCATGTGGAATGTAATCCCGTACAATATTGTTGTAGCCTATTTATTTTCTCTAACTGCTGGGTCATATTATCTTCTATTCATTCATTATATAGGAAGAAATTACTGCCTACATATTTAGGTTTTAAATGATTTGCATGTGTATCATTATACAGTAAAATCATTAAAAGTCAAAAAAACCTGGGTCATATCAGATAAAGCAAATCAAATAAATACAACACTATTAAAGTATTACAAGTAATCATCCACTCATAAATGAGAGGGACAACCTCAAATCCTTGCTCTCCCTTATTGTCATATCCAGGGGGTCATAAAACCCTATTAAATCTACCTTCTAAATATTTCTCAAATTGATTGCCTACTTGAAGCAAGTAAAACTCCAAAAAGAGAGAAGTTGGACAGCAAAATAAACTTTTGATCTCAACCAAATTTTGGGAGATCAGGGATTCTCTGGAGAGGGTGCTCTCAGATGTCAGCAAATTGTCCTGTTGGTTTGAACCTTAAAGCTAGCCCATGCTGGTACTAAGCACTGATAGGATTTGTCAAAGGTCAGGAGTATATCCATTCAGAATCCCTCAGTGGTTATCACATGTGAACCCCCTCCAAAATTGAGACAGGTCTCAGTTAATTTAGAAAGTTTATTTTGCCAAAGTTTAGGACACATGCTTGTGACACAGCCAGAAAGTCCTGATGACATGTGTCCAAGCTGGTAAAGGCACAGCTTAGTTTTATACATTTCAGAGAGACATGAGACATCAATGAATATATGTAAGAAGTACATTGGTTCCATCAAGAAAGGCAGGGACAACTCAAAGCAGGGAGGGGGCTTTCAGGTCACTGGTAGGTAATAGAAAAATGATTGTATGATTTTGAGTTTCTGATAATCCTTTCCAAAGGAGGCATTCAGAATATACATCTATCTCAGTGAGCAGAGGGATGACTGAATAAAATGGGAGGCAGATTTTGCCCTGAGCAGTTCCCAGCTTGACTTTTCTTTCTAGCTTAGTAATTTTGGGGCCCCAGGATTTTCCCACCATAGTACCCAATTAGTAATTTTTCCACTCTTTCTCTACTCCCTTACTTCTGATTTGGGGTCCCCAGTGTCTATCGTTGCCATCTTTATGTCCACAAGTACCCAAAGTTTAGCTCCAATGTGTAAGTGAGAATGTGGGGTATTTGGTTTTCCGCTTCTGCATAAATTCACTTAGAATAATGGCCTCCAGCTGCATCTATATTGCTTCAAATAACATGTCATTCTTTTTATGGTTTTGTAGTATTCCATGGTGTATATGTATCATATTTTCTTTATCCAATCCAATGTTGGGGGGCATATGAGGGGACATTGGGTAATGTGATGCCTCCAGCTTTGTTGTTTTCTTTTAGGATTGGTTTGGCTATTCAGGTGCTTTTTCTGGTTCCATATGAATTTGAGAATAAAAAAAGAAAAAGTTTAATTTTTCTTTTATAAATAGTGCTGTGATAAATCTAAAACTGCAGATGTCTTTTTGGTAGAATAATTTATTTTACTCTGGGTATATACAAGTAATAGACTTGCTAGGTCAATTGGTTATTTCATATTTTGTTCTTTAAGAAATATCCAATATGCTTTACACAGTGACTGAACTAATTTGCACTCCCAGCAAAAGTGTCTAAGTGTTCCCTTTTCTCCACAGCCTCACCAACCTCTGGTTTTTTGTTGTTGTTGTTGTAGTTTTACTTTTTAATAATAGCCATTCTAACTGGTGTAAGATGGTATCTCACTGAGGTTTTAATTGGTGTTTCTCTGATGATTAGTAATGTTGAAGAATTTTTTCATGTTTGTTCACTGCTTGAATGTCTTCTTTTGAGAAGTGTCTGTTCATACATTTGTCCACTTTTTAGTATGGTTATTTGGTTTTTCTTGTTGATTTGTTTCAGTATCTGGATATTAGTCCTTTATCAAATGCATAGTATGCAAATATATTTTTCCATTTTATAGATTGTCTGTTTAAGCTGTTGATAGTTTCTTTTGCAGTGCAGAAACTCTTTAGTTCAATTAAGTACCAATTGTCAATTTTTGTTTTTTGTTGTAATTGCTTTTGAAGACTTAGTCATTGATTTTTTGTGTAGTCCAATATTCAGAAGAGTATTTATTTGGTTTTCTTCTAGGATTTTTATAGTTTGAGGTTTTCCATTTAAGTGTTTGTTGTTGTTATTTTGTTATTATTTATTTATTTTTTTTGAGATGCAGTCTTACTCCATCACCCAGGCTGGAGTACAGTGGCTGCTATCTTGGCTCACTACCAACTCCACCTCCCAGGTTCAAGTGATTCTCCTGCCTCAGCCTCCCTACTAGCTGAGATTACAGGCACATGCCATCACGGCTGGCTAATTTTTGTGTTTTTAATAGAGACCGGGTTTTGCTGTGTTGGCCAGGCTGGTCTCGAACTCCTGACCTCAGGTGATCTGCCCACCTTGGCCTCCCAAAGTGCTGGGATTACAGGCATGAGCTACCATGCCTGTCTTCCATTTAAGTCTTTAATCCATTTTTAGTTAATTTTTGTATGTGGTGAGAAGTGTCCAGTTTCATTCTTCTACATATAGGAAGCCTGTTTTCACAAAACAATTAACTGAATAGGGAGTCATTCCCTCATTATTTTTGTTGCCTTGTTGAATATCAGTTGGTTGTAGGTGTGGAGATTTATTCCTGGGCTCTCTATTATGTTCCATTGGTTTGTGTTCCATTTTTGTACTATTATCATGCTGTGGCCACATGGTATAGTTTTATGTTAGGTATTGCAATGTATTCAGCTTTGTTTGTTTGCTTAGGCTTGCTTTGCCTATTTTTTTTTTCTTGTTCCATATTAATTTTAGAGAAGTTTTTTCTAATTCTGTAAAAAACAACCTTGGTAATTTGATTAAGATAGTATTTAATCTGTGGATTGCTTTGGGCAGTATTGACATTTTGATGATTTTGATTCTTCCAATCCATGAGGATGGAAAGTTTTTCTATTTGTTTGTGTCATTTCCAATTTCTTTCAACAGTATTTTGTAGTTCTCCTTGTAGAGATCTTTTACCTCTCTGTTTAAATGTATTCCTAGAATTTTTTTTTTTGCTATTTTAAATGGCAGGGCATTCTCCATTTGTTTCTCAGCTTGAATTTTATTCGTGTATAAAGAAATGCTACTCATTTCTGTCTATTACTTTTGTATTCTGAAACTTTACTGAAGTTGTTTATTAGGCCTAAGGCTCTTTTGACATGATCTTTTTGGTTTTCTAGGTATAGGATCATATTGTCAGTGAAAAGAACTAATTTGGCTTATTGTTTCTTATTTGGATGCATTTTCCTTCTTTCTCTTGCCTGATTGATCTGGCTAGGACTTCCAGTACTATGTTGACTAAGAGTGATGTGAGTGGACATCTTTGATTGTTCCAATTCTAAGGCAGAATGCTTGCAAATTTTGCCCATTCAGCATGATGTTGGCTGTGGGTTTGTCATAGATAGGTCTTATTATTTTGAGGTATGTTGCTTCAATGCCAAGTTTGTTGAGGGTTTTTATCATGAAGGGATTTTGAATTTTACTGAATTCTTTCTTTGCTTCTACTGAGGTGATCATATGGTTTTTGCTTTTTATTCTGTTTATGTGGTGACCCTTGTGTATGGTGAAACTTCCTTGCATCCAAGGCATAAATCCCACTTGATCATAGTAAATTACCTTCTTGATGTTCTGCTGAACTTCTTTTGGTAGTATTTTTTGAGGATTTTTGCATGTTTATGCATCCAGGATATTGGCCTGGAGTTTTTTTTTCTGTGTTATATCTTTGACAGACTTTAATATCAGAATAATACTGGTTTAATAGAGTGAGTTAGGAAGGACTCTCTCCTCCTTGATTTGTTGAAATACTTTCTTAAGGAGTAGTAACAGCTCTTTGTACATCTTGTTGAATTTAGCTGTAAGTTTATCTGGTTCTTGGGTTTTTTTTAGGATTGGTAGATTTTTTTAAATTACTGACCCAATGTTGTGACTCAATATTGGTCTATTCAGGGTTTCAATTTTGTTCTGGTTCAATCTTGAAAGGCTGTGTGTTTTCAAGTGATGTGGTTTTGTTGTGTCCCCACCCAAATCTCATCTTGAATTGTAGCTCCCATAATACCCATGTGTCATGGGAGGGACCCAGTGGAAGATAATTGAATCATGAGGGTGGGTCTTTCTTGTGCTGTTCTCATGATAGTGAATAAGTCTCATGAAATCTGTTAATTTTATGAAGGGAGGTTTCCTACACAAGGTTTTTTTTTTTTTTTTCGCCATACAAAACGTGACTTTGATTCTTATTTGTCTTCCACCATGATTGTAAGGCCTCTGCAGCCATGTGGAACAGTGAGTCAATTAAACCTCTTTTCTTTATAAATTACACAGTCTGAGGTATGTCATTATCAGCAGCATTAGAACAGACTAATACAATAAATTGGTACTGGTAGAGTGGGGTACTACTGTAAAAATACCCAAAAATGTGGAAACAACTTTGGAACTGGGTAACAGGCAGAAGTTGAAACAGTTTGCAGGGCTCAGAAGAAGAAAGATGTTGGAAAGTTTGGAACTTCCTAGATACTTTTTGAATGGCTTTGACCAAAATGCTGAAAGTGATATGGACAATGAAGTCCAGGCTAATGTGGTCTCAGATAAAGATGAGGAACTTGTTTGGAAATGGAGCAAAGGTGACATTTGCTATGTTTTAGCAGAGAGACTGGCGGCATTTAGCCCCTGCCCTAAAGATCTGTGGAGCTTTGAACTTAAGAGAGATAATTTAGGGCATCTAGCACAAGAAATCTCTAAGCACCAAAGCATTCAAGAGGTGACTTGGGTACTGTTGAAAGCATTTAGCTTTGTATATTTACAAATACATGGTTTGGAATTGTAACTAATGTTTTAAAGGGAAGCAGAGCATAAAAGTTTAAAATATTACAAAAAATTAGCTGGGCGTGGTGACGGGCACCTTTAGTCCCAGCTACTCGGGAGGGTGAGGCAGGAGAATGGGGTGAACCCAGGAGGCGGAGCTTTCAGTGAGCCGAGATCGCGCCACTACACTCAAGCCTCGGTGACAGAGTGAGACTTCGTCTCAAAAAAAAAAAAAAAAAAAAAAAAGTTTAAAATATTTCCAGGCTGGTGATATCATAGAAAATAAAAACCCATTTTCTGAGGAGAAACTCAAGCCAGCTGCAGAAATTTGCGTAAGTAATGAAGAGCCAATGTTAATCACCAAGACAATGGGAAAAATGTCTCCAGGGCTTGTCTGAGGTCTTCACGGCAGCCCCTCTCATCGTGAGCCAGAAAGCCTATGAGAAAAAAAATATGGTTTCATGGGCCTGGTCCAGGGCCTTGCTGCTTTCTGCAGTCTCAAGACTTGGTGCCCTGTGTTCCAGCCATGGCTAAAAGAGACTAACATAGAGCTCAGGCCATTGCTTCACAGGATGCAAGCCTTAAGCATTGTTGGCTTGCATGTGGTGTTGGGCCTGTGAGTGCACAGAAGTCAAGAATTGAAGTTTGGGAGCATCTGCTTAGATTTCAGAGGATGTCCTTCTGGATGTCCAGGCAGAGGTCTACTGCAGGGGTGGAGCGCTCATAGATTACCTCTGCTAGGGCAGTGCAGAAAAGAAATATGGGGTGCAAGCTCCCACACAGAGTCCCCACTGGGGCACTGTCTAGTGGAGCTGTGAGAAGTGGGACAGCGTCCTTTAGACCCCAGAATGGTAGATCCACCAACAGCTTTCACTGTGTGCCTGGAAAAGCCACAGACATTCAGTGCCAACCCATGAAAGCAGCAGGGAGGGGAGTTGTACCCTGCAAAGCCACAGGGACAGAGCTGCCCAAGACCATGGGAACCACGTCTTGCATCAGCATGACCTGGATGCGAGACACGGAGTCAAAGGAGATCATTTTGGAGCTTTAAGATTTGACTGCCCCACTGGATTTCAGACTTGCGTGGGGCCTTCAGCCCCTTCATTTTGGCAAATTTATCCCATTTGGAATGGATATATTTACCCAATGCCTGTACCCCCATTGTATCTAGGAAGTAACTAACTTGCTTTTGATTTTATGGGCTCATAGGTGGAAGAAACTTGACTTGTCTCAGATAAGACTTTGGACTGTGGACTCTTGAGTTAATGATGAAATAAGTTAAGACTTTGTGGGACTGTTGGAAAGGCATTATTGGTTTTGAAATGTGAGGACATGAGATTTGGGAGGGGCCAGGTGCGGTATGATATGGTTTGGCTCTATCCCCACCCAAATCTCACCTTGAATTTTAGCTCCCATAATTCCCATGTGTCATGGAAGAGAACTGGTGGGAGGTAATTGATCATGGGGGTGGGTCTTTTCCATGCTGTTCTCATGATAGTGAGTAAGTCTCATGAGATCTGACAGTTTTATAAATGGAAGTTTCCCTACACAAGCTCTCTTTCCTGCCACCTTGTTAGATGTGACTTTGCTCCTCATTTGCCTTTCATCATGATTATGAGGCCTGCCAGCCATGTAAAACTGTAAGTCAATTGACCCTCTTTCCTTTTTAAATTACCCAGTCTCAGGTATGTCTTTATTAGCAGCATGAGAACAAACTAATATACTAGAAATTTATCCATTTCATCTAGTTTTTTTTAGTGTACATAGAGTTGTTAAAAGTAGTCTCTGAGGATCTTTTGTATTCCTGTGGGATCAGTTGTAATGTCATCTTTGTCATTTCCAATTGTGCTTATTTGAATCTTCTCTCTTTTTCTTTATTAACCTAGCAAGCACTTTATAAATCTTGTTTAACCTTCAAAAAACCAATTTTTAGTTTTATTAAATCTTTGTATGTTTTTGCTGGGTCCAATTTCATGCTGTTCTCTTCTAATTTTAGTTATTTCATTTATTTTTGCTAGCTTTGGTTTTAGCTTGTTCTAGCTTTTCTAGTCCCTTTAGGTGAAATGTTGGATTGTCAGTGTGAGATCTTTCTGCCTTCTTAATGTAGACATTTATTGCAAATAACATTCCTCTTAACACTGCTTTTGCTTAATCCCAGAAGTTTGGTATATTGTGTCTCTATTTCATTTGTTTCAAAAGACTTTTGAAACTTTTGATTCCTGCCTTAATTGACTTGTTTCCCCAAAAGTCATTCAGGAACAAGTTTAGCCTCCATAAATTTGTGTTTTTTTATTGTTTTTTTTTTATTTTTGTGGGTACGTAGTAGATGTATATATTAATGAACTACATGAGATATTTTGCTATAGGTGTGCAATGTGAAGTAATTACATCATAGAAAATAGGTTATCTATCCCCTCAAGTATTTACTATTTGTGTGGTCTGAGAGTTCCTCTTGGTTTTATTTTTATTTTTATTCCACTGTGGTCAGAGAAAACGCTTGGTATAATTTCAATTTCTTTGAAATTTTTGAGACTTGCTTTATGACCAAGCATGTGGTCAATCTTTGAGTATGTTCCATACACAGATGAGAAGAGTGTATATATTGTGATTGTTGGGTGAAGTATTCTGTAGATGTATATTAGGTCCACTTTGTCAAGTGTTGAAATTAAGTCCAAAATTTCTTCATTAGTTTTCTGTCTCAATGATCTAATGCTATCAGTGAGGTGTTGAATTTCCCCATAATAATTGTGTGGCTAAGTCTTTTCTTAGGTCTAGTAGAAATTAATTAGAAATTAATTATTTGTTAATTATAAATTATAAAGTAATTTATAAAACTGGATGCTCCAACATTGGGTGCATATATATTTAGGATAGTTATATCTTCTTGTTGAATTGAACCCTTTATTGTTATGTCATGTCCTTCTCCATCCTTTTTTACTGTTGTTTTAAATTCTTAATTTCTGATACAAGACGTGATGGTTAATACTGAGTGTCAACTTGATTGGATTGAAGGATGAAAAGTATTGATTCTGGGTGTGTCTGTGAGGGTGCTGTCAAAGGAGATTAACATTTGAGTCAGTGGGCTGGGAAAGGCAGACCCACCCTTAATCTAGATGAGAACCATCTAATCACCTGTCAGCACAGCCAGGATATAAAGCAGGCAGGAAAACGCAAAAAGGTTAGACTGGCTTAGCCACCCAAGCTAAATCCTTCTCCCATACTGGATGCTTCCTGCCCTCGAACATCGGACTCCAAGTTCTTCAGTTTTTAGATTTGGATTGGCTTTTCTTGCTCCTCAGCTTGCAGAAGGCCTGTTGTGGGATCTTGTGTTCATTTGAGTTAATACTACTTAATAAACTCATATATATACACACACATATATATACATATATATACAATGTGTGTGTGTGTGTGTGTGTGTGTGTGTGTGTGTATTCTATTAGTTGCGTCCCTCTAGAGAACCCTGACTAATACAGATTTTGGTACCAGGAGTGGTTCTAGAGAAGGAGAATACTAAGGATGGAGTTCTTTTTTTTGGTTTTGGGGTTTCTGGAGTTGGCTGCTTAATGTGATTAGACCCCAAAATGCTGAGGACTCTACTTCTAATAGTATGGAGAACACTGATAGTCCTTGGTGTGAACTGTTTAGAGAGTTATGCAAAGTAAATGCAGTTGACGCTCCTGATTCACCATTTGTTAGAGGCAAGGAGTTAGTGACTCTATACCTATTATCTTTGACCATATGTGGAGAACCAAGGAACATAATGAAGCTGGTTGGTTTCTCCTAAGTTCTGTGTACAAAGTGATGAAAGAAAATGATAAACTCAGGGATTCTAACTTTCAGTTTCAGAAGCAGATACTGAGCCTCAAATCTGCTAAGATTGCCTCGAGAGTTTTATTTCCTGCACAGAAAGAGCTGAAATTGCAGACAAACAGACACAGACTCTTACCATGAGAGTGGCTGACCTGCAATGAAAGGTGCATGCACAGCCTCGCCAGGTGTCTACTGTTAAAGTGAGGGCATTGATTGGAATAGAATGGTACCCTGCAACTTTGAATGGTGACAGGTGGTAGGACCTTGATGAAGCTGGGGACATTGAGTTTGTAAACTCAGATAAACATTTTTTTTTGCCAGAAGAAGCAGCTTCCCCATCTCCAGTAGTGGAAACACCTGCTTGCCGACTCATGCTGCCATCAACCTTTCCACCTTTTTCTGAGGAGATAAACTCTGTGCTTCCTAAGGTAAGAGTGATGGCCTCCCCTGAGCTTGTTGCCAGGCAAAATAATGTTGATTCTTCTCAGTAGCTATTCCCGACACCTCTGTTTGCTTCTAGATCTGTAACTAGACTAAAGTCCCAGTAAGCCCCGAGGTGAGGTTCAGAGTGTGACCCATGAGGAGGTGCACTACACTTGAAAAGAACTGCTTGAATTTTCTAATTTATATGAGAAGAAATCTGGAAAACAGGCATAGGAATGGATATTAAGGGTGTGGAATAATGGTGGAAAAAACATAGAGTTGGATCAGGCTGAATTTATTGATTTGGGCCCGGTAAGTAGGGAATATGCATTTAATGTTTCAGCTCTGGGAGTTAAAAAAAAGATTCCAATAGTTTATTTGCTTGGTTAGCTGAAATATGGATTAAAAGAAAGCCCACTGTGAGTGAGCTGGAAATGCCTGATCTCCCTTGGTTTAATGTGGAGGAAGGGATCCAAAGGTTTATCGAGATTGGGATGGTGGTGGGGATTAGTCACTTTAAACCTACTCATTTCAGCTGGGAAAGTCCAGAAGATATACCCTTGAAAAATGCTTTGTGAAATAGATTTGTGATGGCAGCACCTGCATCTTTGAAGAGCCCTGTAGTTGCTCTTCTTTGTGTGTCAGATCTAATAGTGGGAAGCACAGTCACTCAACTACAAAATTTAAATACAATGGGAATAATTGGATCTCGAGGTTGCAGGGGCCAAGTGGTGGCACTCAATCATCAAAGGCAAGGTGGGCATAGCTACCATAATGGACAGCAGAGGAAAAGCAGCAATTAGAATAGTCTGACTCATTTAGAGATCTGGCATTGGCTAATTAATCATGGTGTTTTCAGAAGTGAAATTTACAGGAAGCATACTGCATTCCTACTTAACATATATAAGAAGAAAACTTCCAGGGTGAAGGGACAAAAGACTAATTTGATTTATAAAAACAGAGATTCATGGCCTTTCATTCAGTTTCCAGACTTGAGCCAGCTTGCAGACCCAGAACCCCTTTAATAGAGGGTAGGCTGGCTCCAGTTGAGTAAGGACCCCACTACACTACTGACAATTTATGCAGTTAATCTTTCTCCCATCATTCCCCAAGGAGACCACTAACCTTTTACCAGGGTAACTGTGCATTGGGGAGAAGAAAATGATCAGACATTTCAGGGATTACTGAACACTAGCGCTGAGCTGATACAGAATCCAGGGGACAAAAAACATTATTGTCATCCTCCATTTAAGGTAAAGGCTTATGGAGGTCAGGTAATCAATGAAGTTGTAGATCATGTCTGACTTACAGTGGATCCAGTGGGTTCCTGGAGCCATCCTGTGGTCATTTTTCCAGTGACAGAATGCATAGTTTGCATTGACATACTTAGCAAGTGGCAGAACCCCCACATTGGCTCTCTGGCTGGTAAGGTGAGGGCTATTATGGTGGGAAAGGCCAAATAAAAGCCGTTAGAGCTACCTCTACTAGAAAAATAGTAAATCAAAACAATATCGCATCTCTGGCGGGATTGTGGAGATTAGTGTTACCATCAAAAACTTGAAAGACACAGGCGTCGTGATTCCCACCACATCCCTGTTCAACTCTCCCATTTGTCCTGTGCAGAAGACTGAGGGATCTTGGAAAATGACAATGGATTATCATAAATTTAACCAAGTGGTGACTCCATTGCAGCTGCTGCCCCAGATGTGGTTTAATTGCTTGAGCAAATTAACACATCTCCTGGTACCTGTTACACAGCCATTGACTTGGCAAATGCTTTTTTCACCATTCCTGTCTCTAAGGCCCACCAGAAGCAATTTGCCTTCAGTTGACAAGGCCAGCAATATACCTTTACTGCCTTACCTCAGGGGTATATCAACTCTCTGGCTTTCTGTTATAATCCTATTCAGAGAGAACTTGATTGCTTTTTGCTTCCACAAAATATCACACTGGTCCATTACATCGATGACATTTTGCTGATTGTTTCCAGTGAGCAAGAAGTAGCAAACACACTGAACTTATTGCTGAGGCACTTGCATGCCAGAGGATAGAAAATAAATCTAACAAAAATTCAAGGACCTTCTACCTCAGTAAAATTCCTAGGGGTCCAGTGGTGTGGAGCCTGTTGAGATATTCCTTCTAAGGTGAAAGATAAGTTGCTGCATTTTGCCCCTCCTTCAACCAAGAAGAGGCTCAATGCCTAGTGGGCCTATTTGGATTTTGGAGGCAACACCTTCCTCATTTGGGTGTGTTACTTCAGCCTATTTTACAAGTGACCTGAAAGGCTGCCAGTTTTGAGTGGGTTCCAGAACAGGAGAAGCTCTGCAACAGGTCCAGGTTGCTGCGGAAGCTGCCCTGCCACTTGGGCCATATGGCCCAGCAGATCCAATGGTGCTTGTGGTGTTAGTGGCAGAGAGGAATGCTGTTTGGAGCCTTTGGCAGGCCTCCATAGGTGAATCACAGCAAAGTCCTCTAGGATTTTAGAGCAAGGCCCTTCCATCTTCTGCAGATAACTACTCTCCTTTTGAGAGACAGCTCTTGGCCTGTTACTGGGCTTGGGTGAAAACTGAACATTTGACTATGGGTCATCAAGTCACCATGTGACCTGAGCTGCCTATCATGAACTGGGTGCTTTCTGACCCATCTAGCTATAAAATTGGTCATGGACAGCAGCATTCTATCATCAAATGGAAGTGGTATATATATGATAGGGCTCAACTAGGTCCTGAAAGCACAAGTAAGTTACATGAGGAAGTGGCTCAAATGCTCATAGTCTCCACTCCTGCTACTTTGCCTTCTCTTCCCCAGCCTGCTCCAATGGCCTCATGGGGAGTTCCATATGATCAGTTGACAGAGGAAGAGAATACTAGGGCCTAGTTCACAAATAATTCTGCAAGGTATGCAGGCCCCACTTGAAAGTGGACAGCTGCAGTACTACAGACCCTTTCTAGGACATCACTGAAGGACAGCACTGAAGGAAAATCTTTCAAGTGGGCAGAACTTCAAGCAGTGTACCTGATTGTGCACTTTGCATGGAAGGAGAAATGGCCAGATGTGTCATTATATACTGATTCATGGGCTGTAGCCAATGGTTTGACTGTATGGTCAGGGACTTAGAAGAAGCATGATTGAAAAATTGGTGACAAAGACATTTGGGGAAGAAATATGGGGATGGAGCTCTCTGAGAGGTCAAAAAATATGAAGATGTTTGTATCCCATGTGAGTGCTCACCAATGGGTGACCTCAGCAGAGGAGGATTTTAATTATCAATTGGATAGGATGACTCGTTCTGAAGATACCACTTAGCCTTTCTCCTCAGCAACCCGTCATTGCCCAGTGGGCCCATGAACAAAGTGGACAGGATGGCAGGGATGGAGGTTATGCATGGGCTAAGCAACATGGACTTCCACTCACCAAGGCTAACCTGGCTACGGCCACTGCTGAGTGCCCAATTTTCCAGCAGCAGAGATCTAACACTGAGCCCTTGATATGACACCATTCCTTGGGTGATCAGCCAGCCACCTGGTGGCGAGTTGATTATATTTGACCTCATTCATCATGGAAAAGGCAGAAGTTTGGAATAGACACTTACTCTGGATACGGTTTGCCTCTCCTGTGCACAATGCTTCTGCCAAGACTACCATCCATGGACTCATGAAATGCCTTATCCACAGTCATGGTATTACACAGCATTGCCTCTTACCAAGGCACTTACTTTACAGCTAAATAAGTGTGGCAGTGGGTTCATGCTCATGGAATTCACTGGTCTTACCATGTTCCCCATCAGCCTGAAGCAGCTGGATTGAGAGAACAGTGGAACGGCCTTTTGAAGTAACAATTACAATGACAACTAGGCAACAATAATTTCTAGGGCTGGGGCAAAGTTCTCCAGAAGGCCATGTATGCTCTGAATCAGTGTCCAATATATGATACTGTTCCTCCCATAGCCAGGATTCATGGGTCCAGGGATCAAGAGGTGGAAGTGGAAGTGGCACCACTCATCATCAACCTTAGTTATCCACTAGCAAAATTTTTGCTTTCTGTTCTCACGATATTACGTTCTGCTTGCCTAGAGGTCTTAGTTCCAGAGGGAACTGCTGCCACCAGGAGATAAAACAACAATTCCATTAAACTGGAAGTTAAGATTGCCAACCAGACACTGTGCTCCTCCTACCTTTAAGTCAACAGGTTAAGAAGGCAGTTACAGTTCTGGCTGCAGTGATGGACCCAGACTATCAAGAGAAAATCAGTCTACTACTCCACTACTAAGGTAAGAAGGAGTATGCATGGAAAACAGGAGATCCATTAGGGCATCTCTTAGTATTACATGCCCTGTGATTAAGATCAATGGGAAACTACAACAGTCCAACCCAGGCAGGACTACAAATGACCCAGACCCTTTGGGAATGAAGGTTTTGGTCACTCCACCAGGAAAAATACCGTGACCTGCTGAGGTGTTTGCTGAAGGCAAAGAAAACACAGAATGTGTGGTAAAAGAATGTAGTCATCAATACCAGCTACAACCACATTACCAGCTGCAGAAATGAGGGCTGTAATTGTGATTAGTATTTCCTCCTTCTTTTGATAAAAACATGTTTGTGCATGTATACCCTTATACTAAGAAAATATCTTCAAATATCTTCATTTTATTTCCTCTTTTCTTTATAATGTAACATAATATTTGTTGACTTCATATCAGCATTTAAGTATTGTTAACTTTATGTAATAGCATTTGGATTGGGGATTGGTGTGTTTCCAGTTGTACAAAGGATAGTTGTCTTATGTTAGGTGTAACTATGACCTTACTACTGTCTTTATTAGAAGATTACTTATGATCTCAGGAGATATGTATGGGTTCAAGTTGACAAGAGGTGGACTTGTGATGGTTAATACTGAGTGTCAACTTAATTGAGTTAAAGGATGCAAAGGATTGATCCTGGATGTGTCTGTGTGGGTGTTGCCAAAGGAGATTAGCATTTGAATCAGTGGGCTGGGAAACACAGACCCACCCTTAATCTGGGTGGGCACAAACTAATCAGCTGACAGCACAGCCAGGATATAAAGCAGCCAGAAAAATGTGAAAAGGATAGACTGGCTTATCTTCCCAGTTTACATCTTTTTCCCATGCTGGATGCTTCCTGCCCTCGAACATCAGACTCCAAGTTCTTCAGTTTTAAAATTTGGATTGGCTTTCCTTGTTCCTCAGCTTGCAGGTGGCCTATTGTCGAACCTTGTGATCATGTGAGTTAATACTACTTAATAAACATATTTATATATCCTGTTAGTTCTGTCCCACTACAGAACCCTAATACACAATAATGGTAACTTCTGCACTTTTTTGTTTTCCATGTGTGCATTAGATCTTTCTCCATCCCTTTACTTTGAGTCTGTGGGTATCATTACATGTGAGACAGGTCTCTTGAAGATAGAAGAATGGGTCTTGTATTTTATCCAATTTGCCACTCTGTCTTTAAGTAGAGTACTTAGGCTGTTTATGTTCAAGGTTAATATTGATATGTGAGGGTTTGTTGCTGCCCCAGTGTTGTTAGGTGGTTGCTTTGTAGTCTCGATTCTGTAGTTTCTTTATAGGGTCTGTCGGGTATGTGCTTACATGTGCTTTTCTTGAATTAAGTATTTTTCTTTCATTTCCATGTTTAGAACTTCCTTAAGCATCTCGTGTAGGCCCAGTCTGCTGCTGGTAAATTTCCTTAGTGAACGCCGATCTAGTGAAGACTTTATTTCTTCTTTTTTATTAAGCTTAGTTTGGCAGGAGATAAAATTCTTGGATGGCATTTCTTTTAAGAATGCTAAAAATGAGTCCCCCAATCTCATCTGCCTTGTAAAGCTTCTGCTGATAAGTATTAGTCAGATAGCTTTCCCTTTATAGGCTATATGGCCCTTTTCTATAGCTGTCTTTAAGACTTTTTCTATCACATTGACCTTGGATAGTCTGATGACTGTGTGCCTTGGAGATGGTCATCTTGTATAGTATCTCACAGGATTTATCTGGATTTCTTGTGTTTGTGTATCAACCTCTAGCAAGATTGGAAGTAATTTTGCTGAATTATATCCTCAAATATATTTTCAAAGTTGTTTCTATCTCAGGAATGCCAATAAGTTGTAAATTTGGTAACTGATGCAAAGAACTTGTCTTCAAACTCTGAAATTCTTTCTTCTGTTTGGTCTAGTCTGTTGTTAAGACATCCAACTACATTTTGAAATTCATGTAGTGAACTTTTCAATGCCCAAAGATCTGTTTGTTTTTTTCTTAATATAGCTATGTTGTCTTTCAAATCTTAGATCATTTTTCTTTTTTTGTGTTAAATTTCAACTTCTTTTTGGATCTTGTTGAGTTTCCTTGTCATGCATATTCTGTTTAAGATCTAAGGCTAGAGAGCTAGTGAGCTTTGGTGGTGACAAAATACTCTGGCTTTTTGTCTTGCTGGAATTCTTGCACTGGGTCTTTCTTATCTAAGGGAGCTGATGCTTTTTTAAAATAAATTGCTATTATTTGGATAGGGCTTTTTGATTTTTTATTTTTATTCTTGAGAGTATGACTGTGGTGTATGTTGTGTGTAATTGATTGCCTTCATTTTTGGGTGCTTTCAGAGGGACAAGGCTCTGTATGGGTTCCTTGCTTGCAGATAAGGTTATTGTGGTGGTTTTCTCAAATGTTACTAGTTGTAACAATGTATTATTTGTTCAGTCAGGTAATTCAGGCTATAGTTCCATAGATAATCTTTAAGGGTAAGAGCCAGCCCTTAGGCTCTTACTCTGCATGTGCTAGCCCTTTGTGGGGGCAGAGTCTACAGAGATATGTGAAAAACACCTTCCTCTATTGAGGCTTGCTTTGGCAGGAATGGAGCCACTGGAGAAGCCTGAGAAGTGGCTTCCTTCAGCCCATGTTCCCTGGACCTCAATGGGAAAAGGGATTGCTGTGTCTTCAACAGTGCACCGGGGAGGGGAGCAGAGGGTGAGAAAAGACCCCCACTCCAAGTTCATTCGCTGTCTTTAATGATGCTCCCATCAGAAGCTGTTTCCCTGTTAGCATCTCCCTTGACCCAAGGGAGGCATTGGTGGGCTGTGTTACCCCCTCCACTAGGGACAGTCTGTGCTTAGAGCTAGTTCTCCAGAGGAATGAAGTCCACTTCCCTCCTACTCCTCAGAACTGGTGGAACGTCCCCCAGTGACCAAGGGAGCTCTCTGAGTCACTGAGGATTGTTGGGAGAAAAGCTGAGTGTTGGGAGAGAAGCTGAAGCAGGGTTGGGATGTCTGCTGGACTAGCTGGCTCCTTGCTTCTAGCACTCCCATTATCTCAAGCAGCAATATGTTTTTCATTCACTTGATACAGTGTTTCCTTTCAACCCCCACATCCTCACCACTTGTTTGTTTTTTTGAGCACCAATAAATAGCATAGGTTCCCAGAGCTCGGGGCCTTCACAGCCTCCACACTCACAGAGGCCCCCTGGTCCCACTTTCTCTCTCAAACTGTCTTTTTCTCATTCCTTTGACTCTGCCAGACTTCGTCACCCCCATGACCTGGTGTTTGGTCTGATCACCCCAACAGAGGATGACACACACAGATTGCTTCCAGGTTACAAAACTGTCCCTGGCTGCAAGTCTCACCACCCAGGAGAAACCTCAGCTTCAGCAAGTCTTCTCCCACTCCAGTCCTGTGATGGGGGACAGCATAATTCTAGTGGCTAATTATAGGTGCTCTTCACACTCACCGCTAAATTCTGGCTGTGGAATCCCGTCCTTCACCTCAAAGCAAATGGTCCAGTTTCTGAATTAAAGCTACAATGACTTCAGTGGCTGCCATTGTAAGGTTGCCAAAGAAATGACCAACTTCGTGTGAGCCTTGTTTAAAAATGCTGTTCTCCTCTCAGTCCAAGGCCTGGGAAATTTTCCTAGTGTCTTTTCTCAGCCTCTCCCCAAGTTAGCTCCAGAGCTTGGGAGAAACAGGGTGCTCTTCCTTGGCCTGAGTTGCACAGATCCCTATTGGAAAGGTGAGCTACAGAGGGAACTGAGTGGCTCTTTCATGTACTGGAGCTTCACTCACTTTTATCAGTTGAATTCTGCTATGAGAGCTGCCTCATTACCTTTTCCTCTCCAAGGTCTGGGGTGTTCTCACTATTCCAATAAATTATTATTTTCCTTCTTGTATTAAGGTTCATAGAGTTGATCTTTTTGTTTTTATTTTTGAGATGGAGTCTCACTCTGTCGCCCAGGCTGGAATTCAGTGGCACAATCTCGGCTCACTGCCAGCTCCGCCTCCCAGGTTCACACCATTCTCTGGCTTAGCCTCCCAAGTAGCTGGGACTACAGGCACCCACCACCACGCCCGGCTACATTTTTTTTGTATTTTAGTAGAGACGGGGTTTCACTATGTTAGCCAGGATAGTCTCTATCTCCTGACCTTGATCCACCTGCCTCAGCCTCCCAAAGTGCTGGGATTACAGGCGTGAGCCACCACGCCCAGCCTATAGAGTTGAACTTTATGTGCTATTTTGCTATTTCCAAATGGTGGAGACATGATAAAAGTCTCTAATCCACAGTTTATGAAAAAAATAATTTGTAAAAATCTGATGAGTTTCTTGGTATCAGAATCTGTGTTGCATTTATCTTTGTTTTCCCAGGATATATCACATTATTTAGTGCATAGTAGACCACACTTGTTGGTCAGTGTTATTTATACTTTATTTTATCAATTCATGATTGTAACATGATCATAATCCAAGAGGAAAGATGTTGAGAGACTAAAAGCTGATGTCAGAGTAGGTTGTGATACTCTGCCTGTACTAAAACAAAACAAAAACCAGCAACAACAATGAAAGACATGCAAAAGAGGGAAGAGCTAGCAACAGTAAGAATGTGTAATGTTCTACATGGAATCTAAGGATGTTTGGGGAATGGTCAGCATACTATATAAAATTATTATTTTTAAATACAACACTATATCCCAGAGATTGCTTTATAAGAATATATAGAGATCTACTTAACTGCTTTTTACAACTTCATTATACTCCGTTGTGTTGACTTACCACGCCCTGTCTTTAACCTCCATCCTGTTGACAAACATTTGAGTCATTTTCAGTGTTTCACTGGTACAAATTATGATTTAATGAACACCCTTCACATGGAAATTCAATTTTAGGTGTTTCTGAAAACAAACCTACTAACTGAGAAACAAATAATAACAAGATATATTGTATCTACATTTGACCAAATTAAATACTCACATCTTGGAAAATATTTAACAATTGTTTAAGGCTATCTAAAGTACTTATTTCAGTTGTTAACTCCATCATCCTATGCCTAGACTGAGAGATAAAGCTGGAGGATTTTTCCAAACCTGAATTAATGTGGAATGAACTTTTTTGAAATATTTACATCAAAACAATCTTTCAAAATACATAAATACTAGGTAATTTAACGTTAGAGCCCAATAACTTCTTACAAAGCATCTTGAATGAGAAAAATCTAAAATAAGCTAAAACAGGCTTTAACTATAATAGAACAGAAAAAAAAGAACAATTTCATTACTTAAAACTCTGAAAATATGTCTCTCTTACAGAAACATAGTAGTTCCATCAGGAAAATGGGACAATAGGTAGGTTTCCAGCTTCATTATAAAATCAATTTTTAAAGAGTAGATCAATGAAAGACCTCAAAAATGCAAATAATTGGTCCAGGTAGCTTTAGAGACTCTCCATACTAATTGGCCTATGCATTTGGCTGGAGATTCTCTTCTGACATGATGGATCTTGCCTCAGTATTGGAAGTGTCCTTCTGAGTATTGTAAAATCTAGATGAAGGAGGTTATGCCAAGAAGGGAGCAGTAATAAATATATTTAAGAAAACTAAAAATAGAACTATCATTCTATTCAACAATCTCACTACTGGATATCTACCTCAAGGAAATCAATATGTCAAAGAAATACCTGAATTCACATATTTATTGCAGCACAATTTACAATAGCAAATATATGGAATTAATTTAAGTGCCTATCAGTGGATGAATAGATAAAGAAAATGTGGCATATATATACAATGAATGCTATTCAGCCATGAAAAAGAATGAAACCATGTAACTTGCTACAACATGGATAGAACTGAAGGTCAATATCTTAAGTAAAATAAGCCAGGCATAAAAAGACAAATATCACGTATTCTCACTGGAGATAGAGGGTGAAAAGATAGTGAACAGAGACTGGAAAGAATGTGTGGGGAGAAAGTGAGAGCATGAATAGAAATGAATTAAAGGGCAAAAATATACAGTTAGATAGAAAAAACAAATTCAATGTTTGATAGCAGTGTAGGGTGACTATAGTTAAAAAGGCATCATACTCAGAAGATGGACACCTTAAATGTCCTGACTTGATCACGATGCGTTATGTACATGTAACAAAATTTCACATGCACCACATAAATGTGAACAAATTTTTAAAAGTTGGGCTGGTTGTGGTGGGCCATGCTTGCAATCCCAGAGCTTTGGGAGGCTGAGTTGGGAGGGTTGTTCAAGGCCAAAATTTGATAACAGCCTGGGCAAAATAGCAAGACCCCATTTCAACAAAAAAATAAAAAAAATACATTTAAAAATTAGCTGGATGTGGGGGTGTGCACCTTCAGGTAGTCCTAACTACTTGGGAGGCTGAGGCTGGAGAATCACATGAGACCAGTTCAAGGCTGCGGTGAGCTTTGATCAGGACAGATCATGTCTCTACAAAAAAAAAAAAAAAAAAAAAAAAAAGGAAAACAGAGAAATAGATTTGTGACCTAAGGCATTAAAAAGAAAAGCCTCATTTGTAGGTGCTAGAAAAGAATGAATATAAGTTAATCTAGCATTTTTATACTTATTTCACAAATCTTGGTAAATCACTACACTTATAGCTAAATATTTGCCTTATCAGGAATAATTTTGTGCTTCTAATATTCTCTAGTTTATTAATGTTTCTGAATTCTTGACTGCTTGATTTCTTATGAGCCCTTTCACTAAAAAACATAGTTTGTTGTTTGTTTCCCCCTTAACCCATATATATATATAGCTTTACAATGTTTCCTGGGGAAGAAAGGAAAACAATTTGCTGAAAGAATGCTTTCAGTATTGCCAGCATTGTCAGAGAATTTTACCTTTTGATAAGACGCAGGAAAGGAAGAGAAAGCCTAGAAGAGTGAAGGAGTGGCAGAGAGAACTGAAGAAATAAGAAGGGAAAAGATGGCGTTCAAAGTAATGATGACATAAAAATTGAATTAGTCAGGCTGTCAGACCATAACAAAAGAAGCTACATAGACTTTTGCTATATAAAAATTTAAAAAAATATGGACACCCTTCAATGCTTCTTTCCTTCCCCAATAAACATGAATAGCTCTGGAACTTTCATTTAAAATATACTAGCTCAGCCATGGTTACACATTAGAAAGGTTACTTCTTCTAAGTCAGGTGTTCAGTAAAGGAAATGTCACTTAAGGCCTCTTTGCATTTAAATGTGGCATAGCTTTAATGCTAATTCCATAATGGAATGTTTAAACATTATCTGAATAATGTAAAGACGATCTCTGGGGAAAAAAAATTTACACCTAGTTGCAACTAAAAATCATAAAAAATTGTCAATATTCAACCATCCAGAAAACCTCTTTCCACCTAGTTTCCTCTACCCCAGCTATACTGATTTTGCTCTTTCTCCAACATGCCAAATTTCTTGTTTCTTATAAACCCAAATTTGCACTTACTCTTCTTTGTAGGTGACACACTCTGTCCCGAGGTCACCCATGACTTGCTCCTTCATTTCATTCAGGTATTTGCTCAAATATCCACTACTACTAAGATTTCTTTTCTGACTACCCTTTCGAAAAATGGCATTTGTAACACTCTTTACTCCTATTTTGCTTTATTTTTCCTCATAACACATAACACTGCCTGTTATATTAAATTTATTTATATACAGTCTTTCTTCACTATACTATATAATCCACTGGAAAGGGATTATATCTTTTTTTCTTCACTTCTATCTTATCATTTTTCCAAACAGTGTTTAGCACATATTAAAATAAAATTTATCATTTATTCAGTGCTTACTATGTGTCAGGTACTTTGCTAAATAGTTTGCATTAACTTATTTAATTCCTAAAACAGCTATTATTATTGCCACTTTAGAGGAAAAAGAAAGCAAAGTGAGTTAATTAACATGACAAAATTTACATCTAGTAAATAAGCCAAAATTCAAACACAGAGCACAATATTATATGGCTTTTCACTGGTAATAGATGTTCGATACTTGTTAAACGAAGACCCTTTGGCTTAAAGTGATACGCTAACGTTAATATCTCAAATAGTATCTTAGCTTCCAGTGGACATCAATGTAATTCATAATTTTGTATTTATATTTAGAGCACCAAATGAAATATATGAAAACAACTTTCAAGGCAACAAGTTATTTGCCATGTTAAAGTGAGCTCTTACTTGTTGGCAGGCATTTTTCCATATATTATATGATTTAATCCTCATGACAACCCCAAAAGGTTAAGTACTACCTGCTCTATTTTACAAATGATGAAACTGAGGCCAAGTTCAGGGACGCATAAGGCCACATAGCAAAAACTGTTTCCATTGGTTCTAAGGCCTTAAAAAAAAAAAAAACATTTTAACATCTTTGCAGTTGGGGTGCATCTTTAAAGTCTTTGGCTTCTAACAAATAAAATTGCCCACTTTATTTTTTTATCTCTTAGTAGTACATAAAGAAATGATGAATCTGAAAATTAATTGGCATCTTATAATTATGGCATATGATAAGGGGCAATGATAGTATGCAAATGCATGCAGAAGTGACCAAACTTTTAACCATTATGCTATGCTGCTGACTGTTGTCTTGCTTGATTTCTAATTCTGATATCAGTTACCCTTCTCTTGTGGCAGGCAATATAATTAACCACTGTGGAGCTTCAGTAGTAGACAAACGCAGAAATACTCAAAGTCTGTCTACCTCCTAAGGCCTACTATTGAGGATATGTGGTCTTAGTAACCTAGGATTCTTATACTTTTGGGTTTTACATTTAAGTCTTTAATCCATCTTGAGTTAATTTTTGTGTAAGGTGTAAAAAGGGGGTTCAGTTTTCATTTTCAGCATATGGCTAGCCAGTTCTCCCAGCACCATTCATTAAATAGGGAATCCTTTCCCCATTACTTGTTTTTGTCAGGTTTGTTGAAGATCAGATGGGTGTACATGTGCAGTCTAATTTCTGAATTATTTATTCTGTTCCATTGGTCTATGTGTCTATTTTTATATCAATATCATGCTGTTTTGGTTACTGTAGCCTTGTAATATAATTTGAAGCCTGATGCCTCCAGCTTTGTTCTTTTTTGCTATGCAAAAAGAACAAAGCTGTTCTTTGATTTTGGCTATACAGGCTCTTTCTTGGTTCCATATGAATTTTAAAATAGTTTCTTCTAATTTTGTGATGAATGCCAATGGTAGTTTAATGGGAATAGCATTGAATCGATAATTACTTTGTGCAGTATGGCCATTTTCTTTCTTTCTTTCTTTCTTTTTTTTTTTTTTTTTTTGAGACGGAGTTTCACTCTTGTTGCCCAGGCTGGAGTGCAATGGCATGATCTCGGCTCACTGCAACCTCCGCCTCCCAGGTTCAAGGAATTCTCCTGCTTCAGCCTCCCTAATAGCTGGGATTACAGGCACCCACCACCCCACCCAGCTAATTTTTTGTATTTTTAGTAGAGATGGGGTTTCACTATGTTGGCCAGGCTGGTCTCGAACTGCCGACTTCAAGTAATTTGCCTGCCTTGGCCTCCCAAAGTGCTGGGATTACAGGCATCAGCCACCACATCCAAGTATGGCCATTTTCACAACATTGATTTTTTTCTGTCCATGAGCGTAGAATGTCTTTCCATTTGTTTGTGTCCTCTCTTATTTCCTTGAGAAGTGATTTGTAGTTCTCCTTGAAGAGGCTCTTCACTTCCCTTGTTAGCTGTATTCCTAGATATTTTATTTTCTTTGTTATCAATTGTGAATGGTTCATTAATGATTTGGCTCTCTACTTGCCTGTTGTTGGTGTATAGGAATGCTTGTGACTTCTCTACATTGATTTTGTATCTTGAGACTTTGCTGGAGTTGCTTATCAGCTGGAGAAGCTTTTGGGCTGAGACAATAGGGTTTTCTTGATACAGGATTATGTCATCTGCAAACAAAGACAATTTGACTTCCTCTCTTCCTATTTGAATACCTTTATTTCTATCTCTTGCCTAATTGCCCTGCCCAGAACTTGCAATACTACATTGAATGGGAGTGGTGAGATTAGGTATCTTTGTCTTGTGCCCCTTTTCAAGGAGAATGCCTCCAGCTTTGCCCATTCAGTATGATATTTGCTGTGGGTTTGCCATAAATGACTGTTATTATTTTGAGATATGTTCCTTCAATAGCTAGTTTATTGAGAGTTTTTAACAAGAAGGAATGTTGAATTTTATTGAAGACCTTTTCTACGTCTATTAAGATAATCATGTGGTTTTTTTGTCTTCTGTTCTGTTTATGTGATGAATTATGTTTATTGATTTGTGTATGCTGAACTAGCCTTGCATCCCAAAAATGAAGACAACTTGATCGTGGTGAATAAGTATTTTGATGTGCTGCTGTATTTAGTCTGCCAGTATTTTATTGAGAATTTTTGCATCAATGCTTATCAGGGATATTGGCCTGAGGTTTTTTTTTTTCTTTTCCAAGTTTTGGTATCAGGATGATGCTGGACTCATAGAATGTGTTACGGAGGAGTCCCTTCTTTGTAATTGTTTATAATAATTTCAGAAGTAAGGGAGTCATACTTCTGTTAGAATTCAGTGGTAAATCCATCTTGTCCTGGGCATTTATTACTGCGTCAATTTCAGAACTTCTTATTGATCTATCCAGAGATTCAATTGTTTTCTGGTTCAGTTTTGGGAAGGTGTGCGTGTCCAGAAATTTATCCATTTCTCCTAGATTTTCCAGTTTATTTGCATAGAGGTGTTTATAGTATTCTCTGATGGTTGTTTGTATTTCTGTGGGGTCAGTGGTAATGAGATGTGACAACGTACTAGCAGCCCTCGCCCGCTCTTGGTGCCACCTCAGCCTCAGCATCCACTCTAGCCATGCTTGAGGAGCCCTTCTGCCCACTGCTGCATTGTGGGAGCCCCTCTCTGGGCTGGCCAAGGCTGGAGCCAACTCCCTCTGCTTGCGGGGAGGTATGGAGGGAGAGGCGTGGGTGGGAACCAGGTATCTGTGTATTCCTGTATTGGCTGCATATATACCTATGAAAGTTAGCTCCTCTTCTTGAATTGACCTCTATACCATTATGTAATGCCCTTTTTTGTCTTATTGATCTTTTATTTGTTTAAAGTCTGTTTTGTCAGAAACTAAGATTGAAACCCCTGCTTTTTTCTGTTTTCCATTTGCTTGGTGACTTTTTCTCTTTTTATTTTGACTCCTTGTGTGTTTTTGCATGTGAGATGGGTCTCTTGAATACAGCACATCAATGGGTATTGACTCTTCAGCTTCCCATTCTGTGTCTTTTAACAGGGCATTGAGACCATTTACATTTAAGGTTAATATTGTTCTGCATGAATTTGATTCTGTAATCATAATGTTAACTGGTTATTCAGCAGACTTGTTTATGTATTTGCTTCATAGTGTCACTGGCCTGTGTACATCAGTATGTTTTTATAGTTGCTGGTAATGATTTTTCCTTTCCATATTTAGCTCTTCCTTCTGGAGCTCTTGCAAGGTAGGCCTGGTAATGACAAATTTCCTCAGCATTTCCTTGTCTGAAATAGACTTGAATTTTCCTTCACTTATGAAGCTTAGTTTGGCAAGATATAAAATTCTAAGTTGGAAATACTCTTTTTTAAGAATGTTGAATATTGACCCCCAATCTCTTCTGGCTTATAGGGTTTCCACTGAGAGGTTACTGTTAGTTTTCTGGGCTTCCCTTTGTAGGTGGCCTGGCCTTTCTCTTTGGATGCTCCTAATATTTTTTCCTTCATTTTGACCTTGGAGAATCTGATCATTGTGTCTTTGGGTTGATCTTCTCATGGAGTGTCTTACTGAAGTTTTCTGATTTTCTGAGTTTGAATGTTGTCCTTTCTTGCTAGGTTGGGGAACTTCTCCTGGATGATATCCTGAAATGTGTTTTCCAACTTGGTCCTGTTCTCCCCATCTCTTTCAGGTACCCCTATCAGTCATATGTTTGGTCTTCTTACATAATCCCATAGTTCTCAGAGGTTTTGTTTGTTTCTTTTTATTCTTTTTTCTCTAGTCTTTTCTGCCTGTCTTATTTCAGCAAGATAGTGTTCCAAACTCTAATATCCTTTCTTCAAGTGTATCCAAATACACTTGATGTATTTGGCTATTGATACTTGTATTTGCATTATGAAGTTATCGTGTTGTGTTTTTCAGCTCCATCAGGTCATCTGGGTTCTTCTGTAAACTGGTTGTTCTGGTTAACAGCTCCCATAATGTTTTATAAAGATATTTAGCTTTCTTGCAATGAGTTAGAAAATACTCCTTTAGCTGAGCAAAGTTTATTATTATCCATCTTCTCAAGTCTATTTCTGTCAATTCATGCATCTCAGCCTCAGCCCAGTTCTGTGCCCTTGCTGGAGCCATGTTGCCATCATTTGGAGGGGGAGGCATTCTGTTTTTTTGAGTTTTCAGCATTTTTGCATTGATTATTTCTTGTATTCATGGGTTTATCTAGCTTTGATCTTTGAGGCTGCTGACATTTGGATAGGGTTTTTGTGGGATCTTTTTTGTTGATGTTGTTGTTGCTGTCTGTTTGTTTTTCTTTTAGTAATCAGGCCCCTCTTCCACAGGGCTGCTGCAGTTTGCTGGGGGTCCACTCCAAACCCTATTTTCCTGGGTCCCTCCCACCCCTGAAGGTATCACCAGTACAGGCTGCAGAACAGCAAAGATGGCAGCCTGCTCCTTCCTTTGGGAGTTCTGTCCCAGAGGGACACTGACGTGATGCTGACTGGAACACTCATCTATGAGATGTTTAAAGACTCCTGTGGGAGGTCTCACCCAGTCAGGAGGAGTGGGATAAGATACCCACTTAAATAAGCAATCTGGCTGCCTCTTGGTGGAGCAGGTGTGCTGCACTTGGGGGAATCCCCCTTGTCTGGGCTGCCCTGACTCTTCAGAGCCAGCAGGCGGAAAAGACTAAGACCACTTATCCATGATATCACAGCCACCCCTCCTCCTAGGGGCTCCTCTCAGGGATATCAGAGTTCTGTTCATAAACCCCAGGCTAAGAATGCTGAAATTCCTGATGTCAGGCCAGTGAGGAGGAGTGAATTGGAGTCCTGCTTAAAGAAGCAGTCTGGCCATGAACTGTCCCAGCTTCAGTGCTGCATTGTTGGTAATTGCTCCTAATCCAAACTGCCCAGTTTCACTGCCACCAGTGGCAGGGGAAAATGGCCAACTGGAGCTGCAGTGATGGCCACTGCCCCTCCCCACCCAGAACTCCATCTTCTTAGGCAGTCTCCAGCTTGCTGTACTGGCCAGCAGGGATTCCAAGCCAGTGGGTTTTTGTTTGTAAAGTTCCATGGAAATGGGGCCTGCTGAGCGAGGCTGCTTGGCTCTCTGGCTTCAGCCCCCTTCCCACAGCAATGGATGGATCTCCTGCCTCACTAAAGTTCCCAGAGCCAAAGTATGCAAAAACTCCTGTGTCTCAGTGCCTGCTTGACAGGCCACCCACCCTAGCAGCTGTCATTAGTTTGCCCAGCTCTGTGCTTGGGACGCAAGGCCCTGATGGTGTGGGCTCATAAGAGGACCTCCTGATCTAAGGGTTTCAGGGAGCCATGGTAAAGTGTGGTTTACAGGGAGGGGTAGCACAATCTCTCACCACCTCCCTTGGCTGGGGGAGAGGGCTACCTTTGCCTTGTACAGTTCCCGGGAGGTCCCTCACTCCACCCTGCTTTTCTTCACTCTCCGTGGGTGACACCAACCGCCTAGTCAGTCCCAATTAGAAAACCTTAGTACCTCAATTTAAGATGTAGAATTCACTTGCTATTTTCATACTTCTCAGTGGGAGCCACAGAGCAGAGCTGTTTCTATTTGGTCATCTTGGCTCCTCCTTACTTTCTTTTTCTTAAACTAGAATATATCTTCACTTTTCAATTATTCCCATTATGTCAGTAAATGGTACACATTTATGCAATTAACTTTTGGCTAATAAAGTGCAGAATATTTTCATTAACCTTACTTTGCAAGAGTGGTCAATTAATACTTCTGGTAGAATTTGTGGTATATTTGGAGGTTGGCATTTGTCAAAGGAAATACATTGATGTTTTTATGTAAATATAAAGCATGATTAGAATATATTATTCAAAAAATACATGATTGTGATAAATAGTGTTTAAAATTATCCATGTAAAACAATTTTTTAATAGAATTAAGTAGATGATAGATACTATTGCTACATTTCTGGTGCTCTGTATTCTAACAAGTAGTGTGCTGGCAAATGATTAACAACTACCTCTTTGGGGGATGGGGAAACAAAGTACTGGTTGTAGTGTTTGTTGATTCCCTCTGTTTAAGTATTCTCAACATGGACAATTTTAGAATACCAACATGGCATGAACTGACTCACAAAATTCCTCAAAATTTAAGTTATATCAAGCTGGTATAAGTTGATTCCAGCACATCAGTGATCCTAACAAACTCAGGCACTACTAGATCTTAAATTCATCTGGGTCTTTCTAATTAATTAGCTTAATACTGGAGCTACCAAACAACACTCTACACTGCAGCTTCCTCTTCATTTCTGCACTTTGATCTATAATCTGTAAATATCTAGATAAAGCTCATTAATTAGTTTTAAGTAACTAGCTCCTCAGCTAATATTCTTTGTTAGCTGAGGAGGAGTCTGCCGTGTACATTGTAGAATGTTTGGCAACATCCCTGGTCTCTACTCACTCAATGCCAGTAGCACCTCTTAGCTATGATGATCAAAAATGTCTCCAGACATAGCTAAGTGTCACCTGAGAGGGGTCACTTTCTGCTTTTCTGTGATAGATAGATAGATAGATATAGAGATATATGAATAATATTAGTGAATTATAGGAAATGATCAAAGGAAGGCTCACAGGCTGTTTATATGGCACAAACCAATTGCAAGGAAACTAAAGAATATAGTTAATCTTTTGGATATTTCCAAATATCTAGATATGAATCACCAAATAGGCAAAACATCTGTGAGTCAGACTGAATTTTTCCAGTTTTCATCTGGAAGATTATCATTCTGTAAATATGTTTCATATCTCATTGGTCAAATGACTATGTCTGTGTAATAGATAACACTGGTTCAGAAATCTGTTGATATGGTATTTTGAGCTGTCTTACAGTCTAATTTGAATCAAAGCTCAGCTGCTCTGACTTAGTATGCAAATTGAAATGATGTACAAGAAAAAATTATGTATTGATTTTTTAGTCACACTTTGATGCTATAGCTCAAGATCAGTACTCTCACCAATTGTGTATTTTTTATCTTTCATTATTTGCCATAAATAGTTTTAAAAATATAGGGAAGTTCATATTAATTTAATGAGAAAAAGCTAAAAGTTGTAAATCTTAGACATTAAACTAATTTCTCTCTCTCTCTCTCTCTCTCTAATTTATTCCTTTATGGCAAGCTTATCTCATCTCTTTTCACTGGCTTACACACTTTCAAAAGTAGAAACTTTCTTCCCTAGACATTTCCATTTTGGATATCATCACTGAAGCATATACCTTAACCTGGGGATATGAACATTATATGGCTCCCTATAAGAACATCACTTTCATAATGGCGCAGTGGGGAACCTTCCCAAAGCTTTTGTGTGTATCTCTACATGGAGACAAATTTCAAAATATAGGAAGCCAATTCTAAGTAAGCATAAAGCTCACCTTAGCAGCAACGGAAGGATCAACCTCAATTTACTTTTCTACTTTATGTACTGGTAGTGGTAGTTATACTAGTTGCTACTATTTTGGTACAAGGGAATGGAAAAAAGAACTCCTTATTTTTTTACTCTTACCTCATGTGAACAAACGTTTTCTTTGCCTGAGGAAAGTTTGACTCAAAATTAGCCTTATTTTCCTCACAGAATTGTTGAGTGGCTTTATATTATTTTAATCTTTGACGCTTAATGATATCAGAAATAAACTGAGATCTAGAAAAAAAAAAGATCCTCTCTAACATATTCAATTTCTTAAGCACATTTACATCTTTGATCATTAATGAACTCAGCACAACCAAGTGAACCTGGATTTTGAGGGGAATATCCTATATTAATATAGGAAGAACTAAACAAATAATACAACTTAAATATACAGAGCTGTTTTCTTAATGTGACTATTAGATTTGATTTCAATAGAATTTATCTTATTTCAAATTATTATTTATTCGACAAAAGTTACTTAATCGTGGAGTGACAGAAAAACATTTTGAAACCCTAATTTCTACATTTTTTTATTTTGAAATTAACATATGCGACATATTCTTTAGAATAAAGCACAATCTATTGTATACTTATATTTGTTTTTGCACTTTCGACATTTTCCCATCAATTATCTCACAGAACTTGGCAGAGCACCAAATTAATCATAATCTGTGTTGTGGGCTCTTGTATCTATTTTGGGGGCATCCTGTTTTATTATTTTCCATGGGAGATTGCATTTTCTTGAATTCAGAAGACTATTAGAGATTTATATTCAACTTGATGCTTCACAGTGACTCATTGTGTATACCATCTGAAATGCATGGCCAGAGATTTAATAAATAAAGAACAGAAATGTCAAGCTTAATTCTAAATCATCATGTCTGACAAACATTTAGCAAACTTTGCAAGATTTTTATGCTTCATTGTGTTCTACGGAAACAGATGAATTTATGATTTAGTCTCTTTTGCATTTTAGATGCTTCTATAATAAACTTGGCAGACAAGTAATTACTACCTTTTGACAATGGATGTAATGCACAGTTGAGTTGCAGTATAAGAATAATAAGTACATAAAATAAACTCACCAGCTAAATAGTGTATTACTGAGTCCGATATAAGTATGCCTCCTAGAAGAAAATCTTTTTTGGCATGAATATTCCTAAAGAGTATGGTCAATCACAGAAATTAAATGAGAATACTGAATTTCCAGATGTATAATTGAGTAATTTTCTCCTCAAATTACTCTGTGCATCTTAACAAGATGCAATTAGTATATTCTCAACTCATATTTTCAGATAAATGTACTGTTACATTCCCTAAAAGTATAAGACAATTAACTATTTACTAGTCAATATTAAATGTCCTTTTATTAATGACACATTTTATAGGAAGAGAGAAATTCATTCATGCCTTTAACATACTTTAAAAATTATTTTTATATAGCAACTTTTATTAGTTTAATATAAAAGTAGAAATATAAGATATAAATTATAGCTGCTGCAAAATAGTTTTGAAAATTATACACAATTACATCTTGAAAAGAGAAAGTTTTTAAAACTCATCCTTTTGAGGGAATAAGCAGGGTGCCAGTTTATGGATAATTACACCTCAAAAAGAGAAAGTTTTAAAAAATCATCCTTTTGAGGGTATAAGCAGGGTGCCAACTTTATAGATAATTGATTCATCTGTGCAAAAGAATGTACCTTGAAGAGACTAGCCATCAGCCACAGTCAGCAGTCACTCATAAGAAAGAACTCCTAACAGATGTCTCTTCTCTTTCTTTTCAAATAGGAAGACAATCCTTCCAATCTTCCTTTTTCAACTCATATTTCTTCAACACCATGCTATCTGCCAGATACTATAGTAGGCACTGAAAAACTTTTTTCTCTTCCTATTCTTTCTCCATGTCAAGTCCTACAGAGTGTGGCCATAAATATACTATTTACTGTTTACCACTGCATTGCAAGTTAAAACTGTTTCTTTGAATTCATGTTGTGTTATTTGGTAGAATTATAGACAAGTATATATGAAGGGAATACATAGCACTATATTTCATTATGTGGTGTTAGACTTCTTATTGTTGTCATTGCTCTCTGTATAATAATGCTTAAGGAAAGTATAAAACAAAAGCTCATCTTACATTCCTAGACTTGCAAAACATTTCTCTAAAACAGAAAATATTTCTATTTGTTTTGTTCTCACCTCTGACATCATCCATGATTTTCTACTTGGTTGAAGAAATCTCTTAATTTTGTTTCTTACAACAGCACTGTCTTAGTCCTTTCAGGTGGCAATAACAGAATATCACAGACTGGGTGACTTATAAACAGTAGTAATATATTTCTCACTGTTGTGAAGGCTAGGAAGTCCAAGAAAAAGATGCTACCATCATCGGTGTCTGGTGAAGGTCTGCTTCTCAGTTGATAGCCATCTTTTTTACTGTGTCCTCAGATGGTGGAATGGGTGAGGAGGCTCCCTGGAGTCTCATTTATAACAGCACTAATCCAATTCATTAGCGAGAGTGGTCCAATATTACTCACCGCTTTGGATGTCCCTTTGTGGTTGCCAAAATGTTACTGGGGGTCCTTGCTCCCAGAGCTCCCAAGATGGTGGTGGGCCACTTCCAAAATGGCGGCGGGCCACTTCCAAGATGGTGGCAAGTCTCGTGTTCTCTGACCTGGGGTTCTTGGCCTCACAGATACCAAGGAATGGAATCTTGGGCCATGTGGTGAGTGTTATAGCTCTATTAGAAGTCGTGGGTCATGGAAGAGAACCATGGAACCCAGTGACTAGTGTTCAGCTCGATTAGGACCAACCCAGGCACTTAGCCGGGCAGGTACAATGGCAAGCCTTTAGCCCGATCGGGAGTGGCAATGGGCGCCTTGCTGGATCAGGAGCACAGCAGACACCCTACCGGATCCGGAGTGATGGAAGTCAGCGGCGGGTCTGCGATGGTGGCAAAACAGCAGTGGTGGACAGTGAGCGAAAGCTCAGCTCCAGCCATAACAAACACGCACCAGAAGAGTGCAGTTGCAAGATTTAATAGAGTGAAAACAAAGCTCCCATACCAGGGGAGGGGACCCAAAGGGGGTTAGGTTGCAGGCTCCAATGCCTGGGTTTATATCCCGATCCTTGTCCCTCCCACTGTGCTCTCAGGCAATAGATGCTTGGCTATTTCTTTACCTCCTGTTTTTGCCTAATTAGCATTTTAGTGAGCTCTCTGATTGGTTGGGTGCGAGCTAAGTTGCAAACCCCATGTTTAAAGGTGGATGTGGTCACCTTCCCAGCTAGGCTTAGGGATTCTTAGTTGGCCTAGGAAATCCAGCTAGTCCTGTCTCTCAATATGAGAATAGCTACTCCTCCTTGCTTTTGGTGTCCATTTGCATGGAATATTTTTCCCCTTCTTTACCTTGTTTATGCGAGTTCTTATGTGTTAGGTGAGTCTCTTCAAGACAAAAAAATACTTGGTGGATTCTTTTCCATTCTGCCATTCTGTATCTTTTAAGTGGACCATTTAGGACATTTACATTCAACGATAGTATTGAGACATGAGGTACTATTTTATTCATTGTGATATTTGTTTCCTGAATATCTTGTGTTTTTTAATTATGCTGTTGTTTTTTAGGTCCTGTGAAATTTATGTTATAAGAAGGTTCTATTTTGTTTTATTTTGATTGTTTCAAGATTTAGAGCTCCTTTTAGCAGTTCTTGTAGTGCTGGCTTGGTAGTAGCAAATTCTCTCATTGTTTGTCTGATATAGACTTTGTATTTCCTTCATTTATGAAGCTTAGTTTCACTGGATAAACATTTCTTGGCTGATAATTATTTTGCTTGAGGAAGCTGAAGATAGGATCCCAATCCCTTCTGGTTTGTAGGGTTTCTGCTGAGAAATCTGCTGTTAATCTGATAGGTTTTTCTTTATAGGTTGCCTGGTGCTTTTGCCTCACAGCTCTTAAGATTCTTTCTTTTGTCTTTACATTAAATAACCCGATGACTATATGTCTAGGTGACAATCTTTTTGTGATAGATTTCTGGCTTCTTCTATTTGGATGTCTAGATCTCTAGCAAGGTGGAAAATGTTTTCCTCAATGATTGCCTCAAATATGTTTTCCAAACTTTCAGATTCCTCTTCCTCTTCAGGAACACCAATTATTTGGGAGTTTAGACATTTAACATAGTCTCAAACTTCTTGGAGGCTTGGTTCATAATTTAATTATTTTTTCTTTGTCTTTGATGGATTGGATTAATTCAAAAGCCTTGTCTTCAAGCTCTGAACTTTTTTCTTCTACTTGTTCAATTCTATTGCTGAGACTTTCCAGTGTATTTTGCATATCTCTGAGTGTGTCCTTCATTTACTGAAGTTGTGATTGTTTTTTATTTATTTTATCTATTTCTCTGGAAATGTTTTATTTATATCCCGTAATATTTTAAAATTTCTTCAGGTTGGTATTCACCTTTCTCTGGTGCCACCTTAAGTAGCTTAATAATCAACCTTCTGAACTGTTTTTATGGCAATTCAGAGATTTCTTTTTTATTTGGCTCCATTGGTCTGAAATCCACAACCCCATCCCACAAAGCAGCAGCAGCAAACCCTGCCCAAGGAAAGTCTGAGCTCAGACATGCCTTACCCTGCCCCCACCTCATAATCTTTCTCTACCTGCCCTAGTAGCAGAAGACAAAGAACATAATCTCCTGGAAGCCCTATGGTCCTGCCCACCACCTGAGAAACTTATCCAGGTGACCCTAGGGCAAGCCTGTGCCCTTCTTATACCACTGCAGCTGATGCTCTCTTGAAAGTACCATCTCCTGGCTGGAGGAAAACAAACACAAAACCAGTGAACTAAATAAAAATACAACAAAAATTCATGGATGAAAGACCTACAGACTGATCACATCACAGGACTCTTTGCAGACATTCCCCAGTACCAGCCCAGAGTTCGATAGCTGTTCTGGGTGGCTATATCCAGAAGAGAAATAACAATCAGTGCAGTTTGGCTCTCAGAATGTCCCATCCCTAGGGGAATGGGGAGAACACCACATCAAGGAAGCACTCCGTGGGACAAAAGAATCTGAACAGCAACCTTAAGCTTCAGATCTTCCCTCTGACATAGTCTACCCAAATGAGAAAAAAACAGAAAAAGAGTTCTGGTAATATAACAAAACAATGTTCTTTAACACCCTAAAACATCACACTGAGAATAGTAGCACTATTATTTATTTATTTTCACAGAACTTTATTTTTATCTCTTGCTTTACTGCTAATGAACATATGAAACATGCAATAAGAGATTCAGTAGAATGGATGTGTTAACAATGAGCATCTTTATCTCATTTTCAATCTGAGAGAGAAATTTTTACTAATTCAATATTAAATATAATACCTGCTGAAGAATTTTTATGGATTATTATTGAGTTAAAAACATTACCTTTTATTCCTTGTTTGCTAAGAGTTTTGTGTATAAATGATGCATGAGTTTTAATGATTTTTATGCTTATATTGAAAATTGTCTCAACATAAATGTGTGTAGAAAAAGATGACTCTAAAAATGGAATACAGTATGTTAAAAATAACTGTTCTTATTTTATTCAATTATGTTGTTTCACAATATTGATCCTGAGTCACAAATGATATAAAAACTGAAAGAATAGATTACTTAAATGAAAATCATGGTCTAACTGAAAGATTTGTGGATACTAAAATATTATTAATTATTTTCTGAGGTTTAACCATTCAGGAGAGATGGTTATCTCTTTGTATTCAATAAAACTATTCCCGGAAGATTTCTGGTCTTCCTTTGGTAACCTACAGTTGTAGAAATTTGTATAAAAATGGCTGAAATTATTTCCTTCCCTGCAACCATGCCCATTTGCAATGTGACTTTGTGACTCTTTCCATCAAGATGAGGAGTTTATTTCCCTGTCCCTTGAATATTAACAACTCTTAGACTTTGATCAATAGAATGTGGCTGAAATTATAATGTGTCATTTTCCAGCCTCGATCTTGAGAGGACTTGCACAATCTTGCACTCTTTTAGAACTCTGCTCAGCTATCTGGTGAATAGTTTGACAGCTTTCCGGATGATGACAGGCATATAACCCAGTTGCTTGTTTTCTTCCCTGAGAGCCAGCCAAACGCAAAAAGTAAAACTACCTACCTGATTTATAGTTGACTGCCAAGGACAGAAGTACAGTCTAGTTTGAATTCAGCCAAAATTGCTAATCCGTAAAATCATAAACTAAATAAATAGTTGTTATTTTAAACCACTAAGTTTGGGGGTGGTTTAATATGCAGAATAAGCTATATGCTACATCTGTATGAAATATCAGTTTGTTTTTATCCCAGAATTTATTCACCCAGCCAGTTACTTATTTGACTAATGGAAAAAACACCTCTTATGTACTAGCCACATTTTTATGTACTGGGATTGAGCACTAAACAAAACAGAAACCGTACCTTCATCATTCTGAGACTTGTGAACAGAGGCAGAAAATAAAGAACATAAAAAGTAAAATATCTAATATCCTAGATGGTTGTAGATGCAATTATTATATTAGGTGGTGAGGATTTTTTTGTGTAAAATTAAAGAGAAAAAATAAAAATAGAGTAAGAAGTGGGATTAGGAAAATGTTTTCTTCCTTTGAGAGAAATAGCAGCATGTTTAAATATTGGTTAGGAAGCTCTAGCAGAGAGACAAAAAATTGGTGACACAAAAAATATGACACTAATTTATCCCCGCTGTAGTAAGAATGCAAGAGGAGCCTGTTTTCCACAGAATACTAATAGGAGAAATGCACTTCTGGCCTGGTCAAAATGGCCAACAGCTATTTGGTTTGTATTTCAACTGTGCTCATGTAGAAAGAGAGAATAAAGTTTTTAAAAAAGAGGTGAAAAAGAGTAGAAGAAAATCCCTCACACACTTGCTTTTCATACTACTTGGCAGTTGCACAATATGTGCTCAGTCCATATGCTGCATTCAGAGACTGTGTGCTCAAAGGGGCTCTAATGACATGGCAAATAATTATATGACTATGCAGCTGTCTGACTTCATCCCTACTCTCCCTTCAGCTAGCTTTCAATCTTACTAATCTGTGATTATAATCAGCAAATACTTTGAGACACAATGGGCGCACTGGAGCTTCAGAGTAATACTATAATAGTAACAATATCACCTTACCCAAGCTGCCTCAACAGTGCCAGGGACACAAGATAAACCCATAAGCTTGGGAAATAAGATGTCAGCCTACTAATTAGGAAGACAGGAATTGGTTTCTGACTCATCCACTGACTCACTCTGCCCTCAGCAAGTCACATTGTCTCCCTTGGCATTATCATCATTACAAAGAATAAGATGACTTCTGCCTTCTTAGATATATTGACAATTTACACATATTCAGAAGCTCTAAAAATGTGAGAGAAAAATGCCTTATACTTTAAGGTAATAAAGTTAGTTTGTTTTTTGTTTGTTTGTTTGTTTTGTTATAGCAGTTTGTTTTCATGTTAGGCAGATGACAAGTGGATAAAATTCCCCCTTTTTTCTGGAATGACATCAAGCCATTGAAATATAAAACTCTCAGGGGCGGGGCCAAGATAGCCAACTAGAAACAGCAGCAATCAGAGGCTCCCATTGAAAAGAACCATAACAGCATGCAAATCCTGCACTGGCAACCAAGGTATCCAGGTTCTGTCATCAGAACTTACTAGGTGATTGGCATGAACCATGGACAGGAAGGAAGAGCAGTGTGGCACAATGACCCACCTGAGAGCCACATGGGGAAGAGGAGCCCCCATACCCCATCCAAGAGAGATGGTGAGTGAACGTGCTACCCAGCCTGAGAAAATGTGCTTTTTTCACGGAACTGTGCAACCCATGCATTGGAAGATTCTGCTCTTGAGCCCATACCACCAGGGCCTAGGGTCCCAACTATGAAGCCATGCAGATTCTCAACAGCCACTAAGCTAGAATCTGCTAAAGTCTGCCGAGATCCCAGGGGGAGGAATGGCCAGCACCACAGCTGTGGCTGTCTGCTGTCTAAGTTGTTTGAGCTTCTTGGGGGAGAGATGAAAGCCAACCCTGGGACTGATAGCCACCTAACACACTAATCTCCCAGGGCAGGGGCAGGGCAGCAGCCATCTGCATAGCTCCAGGCTGCGCTTTTCCTCTGCTGGAGCAGGGGATGCTGGATGGCTTGGTCCCAAGAGGTATCCCCCACAGTCCAAAATACCAGCTGTGGCAGACTGCAGACAGAGTACCTCTTCAGGCCTGACGACCCATCCCTCCTCACTGGGTGGGGCCTCTTTGCAGGAACTCCAACACCTCCAGCCAGTGGATCAGGGACAGAACTCTGATCTCCATGGGTCTGAGCCTGTAGGAGGAGAGGTGGCCGCAGTCTCCACAAACCAGCAGACTTAGCCTTTCCTCCTGCTAGTTCTGAGGAATCCAGGCAGCCCAGAGAAGTGGTTTTCCCCCAGTGAAGCACACCCCCCTCCACCAAGGGACAGTCAAAGTACTTTGTTAAATGTGTCCTGCTCCCCGTGCCACCCAATTGGGTGAGACCCTCCAACAGGGGTTGCCAGACACCCTATACAGAAGCATTCCTACTGGCATCATGTCAGTGCCCCTTGACGTCAGAGATCCCAGTGGAAAGAGCAGTGCTCATCTTGGCTGTTCCCCAGCCCCCTTGAATGACATCTCCTGGCACAGGAGTGAACCAGATGAATACGCCTGAAGTAAACCCCCGGCAAACTGCAGCAGCCCTACAGAAGAGGGACCCGACCATTGCAAAAATAAATAAATAAATAAATAAATAAATAAATAAATAAATAGGCCAGGTGCGGTGGCTCACGCCTGTAATCCCAGCACTTTGGGAGGTCGAGGCCAGCGGATCACAAGGTCAGGAGATAGAGACAGTCCTGGCTAACATGATGAAACCCCATCTCTACTAAAAATACAAAAAATTAGCCGGGCATGGTTGCAGGTGCCTGTAGTCCCAGCTACTTGGGAGGCTGAGGCAGGAGAATGGCCTGAACTTGGGAGGTGGAGCTTGCAGTGAACTGAGATGGTGCCACTGCACTCCAGCCTGGGTGACAGAGCGAGACTCCATCTCAAAAAAATAAATAAATAAATAAAACAAAAATAAATAAATAAATAAATAACAGAAAGCAACAAAATAGCATCAACAACAACAAAAAAGTCCCCACAAAAACCCAATCCACGGGTCAGCAGCCTCAAAGATTGATACTAGACAAACTCATGAAGATGAGAAAGTATCAATGAAAAAATGCTGAAAACTCGAAAGTCCAGAGTCCCTCTTCTCTTGCAAATGATTGCAATGCCTCTCCAGCAAGGGGGCAGAACTGGACAAAGGATGAGATGGATGAGTTGACAAAAGTAGGCTTCAGAAGGTAGGTGATAACAAACTCCGCTGAGCTAAAGGAGCATGTTCTAACCCAATGCAAAGAAGCTAAGAACCTTGATAAAAGGTTACAGGAGCTGCTAACTAGAATAACTAGTTTAGAAAGAAACATAAATGACCTGATGAAGCTGAAAAACACAGCAAGAAAACTTTGTGAAGCATACACAAGTATCGAGAGATGAATCAACCAAGTGGAAGAAAGGATACCAGAGCTTGAAGATCATATTGCTGAAATAAGGCATGCAGAAAAGATTAGAGAAAATAGAATAAAAAGGAATAAGCAAAACCCCTGAGAAATATGGGACTATGTAAACAGACAAAACCTATAATTGATTGGATTACCTGAAAGAGATGGGGAAAATGGAAGCAAGTTGGAAAACACACTTCAGGATATTATCCAGGAGAACTTCCCCAACCTAGCAAGACAGGCCAACATTTAAACTCACGAAATAAAGAGAAAACTACTAAGATACTGCACAAACAGAATAACCCCAAGACACATAATCATCAGATTCTCCGAGGTCGAAATAAAGGATAAAAACGTTAAGGGCAGCCAGAGAGAAAGGCCAGTTCATCTACAAAGGGAAGCCCATCAGACTAACAGCAGACCTCTCAGAAGAAACCCTACAAGCCAGAAGAGAGTGGAGGCCAATATTCAATATTTTTAAAGAAAATAATTTTCAAAGCAGAATTTCATATCCAGCCAAACTAAGCTTCATAAGTGAAAGAGAAATATAACCTTTTCCAGACAATCAAATACTGTTGGATTTTGTGACCACCAGGCCTGCCTTG
This sequence comes from Homo sapiens, assembly GCF_000001405.40. Classification (NCBI taxonomy): domain Eukaryota; kingdom Metazoa; phylum Chordata; class Mammalia; order Primates; family Hominidae; genus Homo; species Homo sapiens. The sequence continues at coordinate 93,988,745 of NC_000023.11, forward strand.
CAAGAGCTCCTGAAGAAAGCACTAAATATAGAAAGGAAAAAATGGTACTGGCAACTGCAAAAATATACCAAAATATAAAGACCAATGACACCATGAAAAAACTGCATTAACTAGTGTGTAAAATAACCAGATAGCATCATAATGACAGGATCAAATTCACACATAACAATACTAACTTTAATGCAAATGGGCTAAATGACCCAATTAAAAGACTTAGACTGGCAAATTGGATAAAGGGTCAAGAACCATTGGTGTACTATATTCAGGAGACCCATCTCAAGTGCAAAGACACACATAGGCTCAAAATGAAAGGAAGGAGGAAAACTTACCAAGCAAGTAGAAAGCAAAATCACAAAATGCCAGGGTTGCAATTCTAGTCTGTGACAAAACAGACTTTAAACCAACAAAGATAAAAAAAGACAAAGAAAGGCACTACATAGTGGTAAAGGTATCAATTCAACAAGAAGAGCTAACTATCTTAAATATGTATGCACCCAATACAGGAGCACACAGACACATAAAACAGATACTTAGAGACCTATAAAGAGACTTAGTCTCCCACACAGTAATAGTGGGATACTTTAATGCTCCACTGTCAATATTAGACAGATCAACAAGGCAGAAAATTAACAAGGATATTCAGGATTTGAATTCAGCTCTGGATCAAGTGGACCTAATAGACATCTAGAGAACTCTCTAACCCAAATCAACAGATTATACATTATTCTCATTGCTACATGGCACTTATTGTAAAATTGACCAAATAATTGAAAGTAAAACACTTCTCAGCAAATGCAAAAGAACTGAAATCATAACACTCACTCAGACCACAGTGCAATCGAATTAGAACTCAGGATTAAGAAATTCACTCAAAACTATACAACTACATGGAAATTGAATAGCCTTCTCCTGAATCACTCCTGGGTAAATAATAAAATTAATGCAACTATCAAGAAATTCTTTGAAACCAATAAGAACAAAGAGAAAATGTACCAGAATCTCTGGGACGCAGCTAAAGTGGTGTTAAGAGTCTCAGAATACAAAATAAATGTGCAAAAAATCACAAGCATTTATATACACCAACAATAGACAAGCAGAGAGCCAAATCATGAATGAATTCAAATTCACAATTGCTTCAAGAGAAGAAAATAACTAGGAATATAGCTAACAAGGGATGCGAAAGACCTCTTCAAGGAGAACTACAAATCACTGCTCAAGGAAATAAGAGAGGACACAAACAAATGGAAAACCTTTTCATCCTAATGGATAGCAAAAATCAATATCATAAAAATGGCCATACTGGTCAAAGTAATTTATAGATTCAATGCTATTCCCATCAAACTACCATTGACATTCTGTACAGAATTATAAAAAACTACTTTAAATTTCATATGGGACCCAAAAAGAGCCTGTATAGCAAAGACAATCTGAGGCAAAAAGAAGAAAGCTGGAGGCATCATGCTACCTGACTTCAAACTATACTACAATGCTACAGTAAACAAAACAGCATGGTACTGGTACCAAAACAGAGATATAGACCAATGGAACAGAACAGAGACCTCAGAAATAATACCACACATCTACAACCAGCTGATGTGTAACAAACTGGACAAAAACAAGCAATGGGGAAATAATTCCCTATTTAATAAATGATGCTGGACAAAGTAGCTAGCCATATGCAGAAAACTGAAGCTGGACCCCTTCCTTACACCTTATACAAAAATTAACTCAAGATGGATTAAAGACTTAAATGTAAAACCCCAAATCATAAAAGCCTAGAAGAAAATCTAGGCAAAACCATTCAGGACATAAGCATGGGCAAAGACTTCATGATGAAAATGCCAAAAGCAATTGCAACAAAAGCAAAAATTGACGAATAGGATCTAATTAAACTAAAGAGCTTTGGCACAACAAAAAAAACTGTCATCAAAGTGAACAGGCAACCTGCAGAATGGGGGAAAAGTTTTGCAATATACCCATCTGACAAAGATCTAATATCCCAAATCTACAAAGAACTTAAACAAATTTACAAGAAAAAAGAAACATGAAAAAGTGGGCAAAGAATATAAACAGACACTTCTCAAAAAAAGACATGTATGTGGCCAAAAAACATATGAAAAAAGCTCAGCATCACTGATCATTAGAGAAATGCAAATCAAAACTACAATGAAGTATCATCTTACACCAGTTAGAATGGCGATTATTAAAAATTCAAGAAACAATAGATGCTGTCAAGACTGTGGGGAAATAGGAATGCTTTTACACTGTTCGTGGGAATGCAAATTTGTTCAGCCACTGTGAAAGACAGTGTGGCAATTCCTCAAAATTCTAGAACCAGAAATACCATTTGACCTAGCAATGCTATTACTGGATATATACAGAAAGGAATGTAAACCATTCTACTATAAAGACACATGCACATGTATATTTATTGCAGCACTATTTACAATAGCAAAAACATGGAACCAATGCAAATGCCCATCAATGATAGACTGGATAAAAAAGATGTGATACATATATACCATGGAATACTATGCAGTCATAAAAAGGAATGAGATCATGTCCTTTGCAGGGACATGGATGAAGCTGGAAGCCATCATCCTCAGCAAACTAACACAGAAACAGAAGAGCAAACACTGCATGTTCTCATTCATAAGTGGGAGTTGAACAGTGAGAGCACATGGACACAGGGAGAGGAACGACACACACCAGAACCAGTCGGGGGGTGGGGGATGAGAGAAGGGAGAGCATTAGGACAAATAGCTAATGCATGTGGGGCTTAAAACCTGGAGGATGGGTTGATGGGTGCAGCAAACCACCATGGCACATGTATACCTATGTAACAAACCTAAATGTTCTGAACTTGTACCCCAGAACTTAAAGTAAAATAAATTAAACAAAAATACGTTGCTTCCTTAAAAAGATAATTGTAAGGTATGGAGGAAATACACAGAGGAGGAACTAGAAATGAGGAAAGAGGCTAGAAAATATAGATAAGGATAGAGTATCAATGGATAAATGGAAAAGCAGAGTAATTTTTATATTTAAGTTCATTGATGTTCTATCAGGAATATAGTTATAGTTCTCAGACTGTTTATCAATAGACTCATATAGCAACATTTTATTTCCATTAAAATATAATTACAAGTGTTTATAAGTTTAAAAAAAGAAATATAAAACTCTCAAGTGTTACCTTCAAAATTTTCTCTTTTGGTGGGTTGGTACTAAAGTATAACGTGGGAGGCGTTGGCCTAGAAAGCTTTTCCCTCCTGGTTCTGCCATCTCCATCAACTCTAAATACTACTAGAAACAATAATTTTTATTTTAATCTAATTGATTTCTCCTCAGTTCTACAGAACACAGCCATGTCAACTCAAAGCAAAAGCAACCACTTACCAGGAAGCTCAGGTCGTTAAATTTACTTCTGGGCCTTGCTATAGCTTTATAGAGCCTTCTATCAATTCAAAGTTCCGCTCTTTATACCCTTCCAAACAAAAAGGAAATATGCTATGCATGTAGCGTATTTCTGTTTATTTCTTCATTCATTAATTAAACAATATTTCTGAGAAGCTACTATGTTTAAAGCATGATGCCAAGGACAAAATAGTAAGACACACCTTGTCTTATCCTCTTAGAGCACACTAAGCTAGCAAAGTGAAGACATGAACTAGATTTATTAGTATATTTTGCATGTGGAAGAAAGGAAAATAAACATTTAGAGGAGTGTATATGCCCTCTCATTTCCATATGACTTTCAATACCTTTCTGTGGAGAAGGTATACTTCCTTGCCCCATTGACATCACTTTCGGCTATGTGTGTGGCTGAAGAAATATGTGCAGTACTGACAGTTTGCCAAATTTTAAAGAAAAGCTCTAAAAGCCAGCATGTGGTTTCATGTGGTTTCATCAGTTCTCTTGCCTTTCCCTTCCACCATGAGAGTAGTAGGTCCTGGTTGGGGGTCGCTCCTTAGCCTGGATCCAGAAAGGAAGAAATCATGTGGAACAGAAGCAGAATTGCAGTCAACCTGCAGCCAACATGTAAAGCAAGTGAGAAGTAAATGCCTGTCATCTCCATGTGTCTATAAAAGATATTTGTTTTCATATTCAAGAATTTTTTTACGCTTTTGAAGTGAAATAACCTAATTTACAATAAAGAGAAAAAGACATTGAACTTTGAGTGGTGAAGTTTGATACATGTCTCTTTATGATACAAATTGCCATAAGACAAAATTTATCATGGTTTGTAACCAATGAGAAATTTCAAAAGGGTGGTATAATCTGTAATGAGAATAAAGATATTAAGGGTCAATATAATATAAGCAATAGATTTTATGGGTGCCATAATAACTTTTTTTTTCACAGTACTCCTTATTAGGTAAAATATAATTTTGGCCTAGAATTTAAAACTATTGTATTAATAATATTTTTCTGAATTTGCCCTTATTGTGGAATATTGTAGACATTATTCAACGTTACAGCTGAAAGAAACACTAGAGATTACTTAGTTCCAGCCTTTCATTTGATGATTAAAGGAACTGGTGGAGGGTAGTAGAATAAGTTACTTAACTAAAATTGCGTAGTCATTTATGACAAAGCTATGATTCTAGACCTTCTGACTCCGAGTCTAATTTTCTTCTAAATACACTGTACTGCCTTCATCACAGAGTGTCATAGTTGGGAGCATATGAAAATAAGAGTACTATATGCCAGTATTGTACTAAACATTTTACATACACAATCCCATTGAATCCTTAAAATAACTCATTTTACCAAGGAGTGGACAGATTAATGAGGTTAACTAACAAGCCCAATAACTGATAATTAGTCAGTGTCTGAGTAGAGATAGAAATCTGGGCAATCTAGCTCTTGAATCAGTTTTCTAAACTACAGGGAAAGAAAAGAATATAATAATATTGAGATGAGGGAAAGACTGGGTACATAATTGGCAATCAAAAAAGTTATTATTTTTTTAAAATTAGTGCTTGTATCAAAGCATCCACAGTCCTAAGTTCATCTGTAAAATATCACACATAATATATTCGACTCCTTTGAGGCCCTTGGACTCAGTTTACAAGAGCCAAGCCTATTTTAGTCCCATGAGGTACTGAGCAGACAATGGCAAATTATGTGAAACTCTGAAAGGCAAATTTGTCTAGAGCCCTCAGCTCCCTATCCCAGGAAGAGCTGTACTATGAGCATATTCTGAGTGCTGCGATCCTCTCAATACTTTTACTAAATGAAACAAACATCTAGCAAGGATTTATAGGAAAGCAGAATTACTAGGTCACAGTAATTTTGTGGAAATTTTGTGAATATTTTCAGTATATTCTCTTCCCCTTAGGCTGCGATAGAAGGTGGAGCCCAGCTGAAGGGCGTGCTGAAGGCTTAGTCTCAGTTGATATTATTATCACAGTTTCCACTTCTCAGGGCTCTTTTGCCCAGAGGACTCTGCCTAAACACTCTCATCATGGCTTGGCATGAAACTTCAATAAGTATTTATTAATGAAATGACTGTGTAACTTAGGCAGTTGGAAATGTTTTATTTCACTTGGCCTAAGTATCATTAGCACAATTGTGCAGAGTAAGTGAAGAAGAAAATGTAGGTTGACAGTAAAACCCCTCAAGGATGTCTTTCTCCCATTATCCAGGGAAGGCCATGTGAGAAACTGACAATCTGAATGGCACAATTTTGTCACCCAGGTGCTTTTCCCATTTGCTTGCCTTATTCTAAGGAGAGCTGTATTCAAGTTCCATGACAGTTACTGATCTTGCTTGACAATTACCCTTGTGCCTAAGAGATATATACACAGGTTAGCATGGCCTGTACTATGTTACGAATGCCATGAAGTCATTTAGTGTCTAAAGCCTAGATCATAAGCTTTAGAGTCTGCCAGACCTAGGTTTAATTCCTATCTCTATCCCCTATTTACTTTATTACCATGAGGAAAATTATTTAACATGCCTGAAACTTTGTTCCTTTTGTGTACAATGGGGGAAGAAGTAATGCCTACATCTCGAAAAACTGTTCATTCATTCAACAAAAATTTGAGACTCTGCCCAGTACCAGATACACAGAAGAACAGAAAGATAAATAAATTGTATAGTGTATTAAGAGATGAAAAATGCTATGGAAAAATAAATTATAAAACAGTGTAAGAGATGGGTAGTGTTAGGGTGGGAGTTGGAAATACAGAGTTCTTTAAAATAAGAAAGTCAGGGTGGGCCTTTGGTGAATAAAGACAGAAACTATGTTCTTTACTTTTAATGAAAAAAGTGAGCCAGTGTTGGGTACTGAGCAGGGGAGTGACATGATCAACCTTACCTTAAAAAATTAATTCTGGCTCTTATGTTGAGTATAGATTGTAAGAGGGAAGAGTAATAAGGAAATCAGTGAAGAAGCTATTGACCTAACACACGTAAGAGATGATAGTGGCTCTAACATTGGAACAGGTTGGTAGTAGTGGATGTTATAGGTGGTCAGATGATAGATAATTTTATAGGCAGAGGAAGACACTGAGTGTTTTCATCTGAGCAACTGGAAGGATGAAATTTCTATCAAATGAGATAGGGAAGGTTATGGGTGGAACGGGTGTATGTGTGGAAAGAAAGATCAAGGGTTCAGTTTGGAGGCATTGAGTCTGAGATGCCTACTGAACATCGAAGGGGAAAGTACAGTAGGCAGCCAGCTGAATGGATCTGGAGTTCAGATAAGAAAATTTTGCTGAAGATATAAATTTGGAATGTTATGAGGATTAAATGAGACAGTGTAAGTAAAGCACTAAAAGCAACATGTGATTCATAATAAACATTCAATATATATTAGATTAAAAGTGTGTCATTATAACATCAAAAATTATAATTCCCACTACCTGTCTAGCACAGTGACTGGTACTTAGTTGGTGTCATATATGTACATGAAGTAACCAAAGAGTAATATTTCAAGCTATGGTATATATGGGTGATTTTGGGGAGTGCCACACAGGAAGTAACCATAATGTATTTTTTCACTTCAATGCAAATTTATTAATTGGTCATTTATATTTTTAATTTTTATTATTTTTTCATCTTCGTGGCTACATAGTAGCTGTATATATTTATGGGATACATGAGATATTTTGGTATAGAGATGCAATGTGTAATAATCACATCATGGAAAAATGGGTATCCATCTCCTCCAGCATTTATCCTTTGTGCTACAAACAACTCAATTATAATATTTTAGTTATATTAAAATGTACAGTTTAATTATTATTGATGATAATCCTCCTGGTGTGCTATGAAATACTAGGTTTCATTCATTTTAACTATTCTTTTGTACCCATTAACCATTTGCACCTTTTTCCCACTCCACCTCCATTTACTACCCTTCCCTTCCTCTGGTAACTATCCTTCTATTCTCTATCTTTATGAGTTCAATTGTTTTAATTTTAGATTCCATAAATCAGTGAGAATATGTGATGTTTGTCTTTCTGTGCCTAGCTTACTTCACTTAACATAGTGAACTTTAGTTTCATCCATGCTGTTGCAAATAACTGTTTATCATTCCTTTTTAGGGCAGAATAGTACTCCATTGTATATATGTACCATATTTTCTTTATCTATTCATCCATTGATGGACACTTGTGTTGTTTTCAAACCTTAGCTATTGTAAACAGTGCTCAACAAACATAGGAGTGTAGATATCTCTTTGATATACTGATTTCCTTTTTTTTAAGGTATAGACACAGCAGTGGGGTTGCTGGATCATATGGTACCTTTATTTTTGTTTCTTTTTGAGCAATCTCTAAACTGTTCTCCATAGTAGTTGTACTAATGAACATTTCCTCTGACATTTCATCACCCAGGTATTAAGCCTAGTACCCACTGATTATTTTTTTGTGATCCTCTCCCTCCTCCCACTCTCCACCATCCAACAGACCCTAGTGTGTATTGTTCCTCTTTATGTGCCCGTGTGTTCTCACCTTTTAGCTCCCACTTATAAATGAGACCATGCGGTATTTGGTTTTTTGTTCCTGTGTTAGTTGCTAAGGATAATGGCCTCCAGTTCCATCCATATCCCTGCAAAAAATATGATCTTGTTCTTTTCTTATGGCTGTGCAGTATTCCATGGTGTATATGCACCACATTTCCTTTATTTAGTCTATCATTGATGAGCATTTAGGTTGTTTCCATGTCTTTGCTATTGTGAATAGTGCTGCAGTGAACATGTGTGTGCATGTGTCTCTATAATAAAACAATTTATATTTCTTTGGTTACATACCCAGTCATATAAATAGTTGGTTGAATGGTATTTCTACCTTTAGGTCTTTGAGGAATTGCCGTGCTGTCTTCCACAATGGTTGAATTTTACACTACCACCAACAGTGTATAGACATTCTTTTTTCTCCACAACCTCGCCAGTATCTCTTATTTTTTGACTTTTTGATAATAGCCATTCTGACTGGCATGAGATAGTGTCTCATTGTGGTTTTGATTTGTATTTCCCTAATGATCAGTGCTGTTGAGCTTTTTTCATATGCTTGTTGGCTGCATGTATGTCTTCTTTTGAAGTGTCTGTTCATATCCTTTGCCCACTTTATTTTTTATTTTTATTTTTTGTGAATTGGTTAAGTTCATTATAGATGCTGGATACTAGACCTCTGTTGAATGCATAGATTGCAAAAGTTTCTCTCATTTTGTAGTTTGTCTGTTTACTCTGTTAGGAGTTTCTTTCACTGTGCAGAAGCTTTTTAGCTTAATTAAATTACATATGTCAATTTTTGCTTTTGTTGCAATTGTTTTTGGCATCTTTATTATAAAACCTATTCTTGTGTCTATGTCCTGAATTGTATTGCCTAGGTTGTCTTCCAGGGTTTTTATAGTTTGGGGTTTTACACTTAAGTCTTTAATCAATCTTGAGTTAATTTTTGTATATAGTGCAAGGAAGGGGTCTAATTTTAATCTTCTGCATATTGCTAGCTAGTTTTCTCAGCACCCTACTGAAAATGAAATCCTTTCCCAATTGCTTGCTTTCATTAGGTTTGTCAAAGATCAGATAGTGATTGGTGTGCAGCCTTATTTCTGGGTTCTCTATTCTGTTCCATTGGTCTATGTGTTTGTTTTTGTACCACTACCAATTTGGTTTTGTTTACTGTAGTTCTGTAGTATAGTTTGAAGTTGGGTAGTGTGATTCTTCCAGATGTGTTCTTTTTAATTATGATTACTTTGGCTATTCTGGCTCTTTTTTATTCCATATGAATTTTAAAATTGTCTTTTTCTAGTACTGTGAAGAATGTCAATTATGGTTTAATAGGCATAGCATTGGATCTATAAATTGCTTTCGACAGTATGGCCATTTTAATGATATTGATTCTTCGTATTAGTGAGCATGAAACGTTTTCTATTTGTTTATGTCTTCTCTGATTTCTTTGAGCAGTGGTTTGTAGTTCTTGTAACAATCTTTCACCTCTCCAGTTGATTTTTGTATCAACATTGATTTTGTATCCTGAGACTTTGCTGGTGTTGTTGATCAGCTTAAGAAGCTTTTGGGCTGACAGTATGGTGTTTTCCAGGTATAGAATTATATCATCTTCACACAGGGATAGTTTGAATTTCTCTCTCCCTATTTGGATGTGCTTTAGTTCTTTCCCTTGCCTGATTGCATTGGCTAGAACTTCTAGTACTATGTTGAATAAAAGTGGTGAGAGAAGGCATCCTTGTCTTGCACTGGTTTTCAATGGGAATGCTTTTAGCATTTGCCCATTCAGTATGATGTTTACTGTAGGTTTGTCATTTATGGGTCTTATTATTTTTAGGTATGTTTCTTCAATACCTAGCTTTTCACATAAATGCATGTTGAATTATCTTGAAAATCTTTTCTGCCTCTATTGAAATAATCATCCTTTTATTTGTCCTGAGTTCGTTTTATGTGATGCATCACATTTATTGATTTGCATATGTTGAATTTACCTTGCATCCCAGGAATAAAGCCTAATTTATCTTGGTGGATACGTTTTTTGTTGTGCTTTTGGATTTGGTTTGCCATTATTTTGTTGAGAATTTTGGCATCGATGTTCATCACAAGTATGAAGCTAAAGTTTCCTGTTTGTTTTTCATTGTTTTGTTTTTGTTTTTGTTTTTGTTGTTGTTGTAGTTTTTTATCTCTTCCAGGTTTTGGTACTAAGATGACACTGGCCTCATAGAATGAATTAGGAAAGAGTCTCTCCTTGTCAATTTTTGGAATAGTTTCAGCAGAAATGGTACCAACTGTTCTTCGTACCTCTGATAGACTTCAACTGTGAATCTGTCTGTTCCTGGGCTTTTTTTGTTTGGTAGGCCATTTATTACTGCCTCAATTTTAGAGTTTGTTATTGGTCTGTTTAAGGATTCAATTTCTTTCTGGTTCAGTCTTGGGAGGGTTTGTGTGTCCAGGAATTTACCCATTTCTCCTAGATTTTCTAGTTTAGGTGCATAGAGTTGTTCATAATATTCTCTGATGGTTGTTTGTATTTCTATAATGTCAGTGGTAATATTCCTCTTGTTGTTTCAGATTGTATTTATTTTAATCTACTCTTTTTTTTTCATTAGTCTAGCTAGTGATTTATCTATTTTATTCATTTTTCTCAAAAAACAGCTCCTGGATTCATTGATCTTTTAAAGGGTTTTTAGTGTCTCTATCTCCTTCAGTTAAGCTTTTATTTTGGCTATTTCTTGTCTTTTGCTAGCTTTGGGATTTGTTTGCTCTTAATTCTTTAGTTATTTTTGTTGTGATGCTAAGTTGTTAATTTGAAGTCTTTCAAACTTTTTTGATGTGGGGATTTAGTGCTATAAATTTCTCTGTTAACACTTCTTTAGCAGTGTCCCAAAGATTCTGCTGTGTTGTATCTTTGTCCTCATTAGTTTCAAAGAATTTCTTAATTTCTTTTTAAATTTCATTATTTTTCCAAAAGTCACTCAGGAGCATGTTATTTAATTTCCATGTATTTCTGTGGTTTTGAGGAAATTTCTTAGTCTTGATTTCTAATTTTATTACCCCCTGATCTGTGAGACTGTTGGTTATGATTTCAGTTCCACTGCATTTGTTGAGGAGTGTTTTACTTCTGATTATGTCATTGATTATAGAGTAAGTGCCATGTGGCAATGAGAAGAATGTATATTTTGTTGTTTTTGGATGGAGAACTCTATAGTTATCTATCAGGTTCATTTGATTTAGTGCTGAGTTCAGATCCTGGTTATTTTTGTTAATTTTCCATCTCAATAATTCATCTAATACAGTCAGTGGTGTGTTAAAGTCCCCCACTATTATTGTGTGGGAGCCTAAGTCTCTTTGAAGGTCTCTAACTTGCTTTATGAATCTGGTTTCTCCTGTGTTGGCTTCATATACATTTAGGATTGTTAGATCTCCTTGTTGAATTGAACACTTTACCATTATGCAACATTCTTTTTGTCTTTTTAGATCTTTGTTGGTTTAAAGTCTATTTTGTCAGAAAGTAGAATTGCAACTCCTGCTTTTTTCTGTTTTTTATTTGCTTTGTAGGTATTTCTTCATCCTTTTATTTTGAGCCTGTGTGTGTCATTGCATGTGAGACGGGTCTCTTAAAGATAGCATAGCAATTGTTCTTGTTTCTTTATCCAGTTTGCCATTCTGTGTCTTTTAATTGAGGTATTTAGCCCATTTACATTCAAAGTTACTGATATGTGTGGATTTTATTCTGTCATCATGGTGTTAGATAGTTATTTGCAGACTTCATGTGGTCGCTTTGTATTGTTAATAATCTGTGTACTTCAGTGTGTTTTTGTAGTGGCTGGTAAAGGTTATTTTTTCCCATATTTATTGCTTCCTTCAGAAGCCCTTATAAGGCAGGTCTGGTGGTAACAAATTTACTCAGCATTTGTTTGTCTGAAAAGAATCATTTTTCTCTTTTACTTATGAAGCTTAGTTTGGCCAGATATAAAATTCTGGGTTGGAATTTTTTTTTTGTTTAAGAATGTTTAATATTGGCCCCCAATCTATTCTGATTTGTAGAGTTTCTGCTGAGAAGTCCACTGTTAAACTGGTGGCTTTCCTTTTTAGGTGACCTGGCCTTTCTCTCTCCTGCTTTTAGCATTTTTTTCTTTCATTTCAGCCTTGGAGTACCTGATAATTACGGATCTTGAATATGATCTCATGGAGTATCTTACTGGGGTTCTCTGCAATTTCTGAATTTTAATGTTGGCCTCTACAGCTAGCTCGGGGAAGTTCTCATGGATGGTATCCTGAAATATGTTTTCCAAGTTGGTTTCATTCTCCCTTCTTTCCAAGTTGGTTTCATATTATGACTTTGAATAATCTTTCTACCTCTCTTTCTCTACTTCCTCTTTAAGGCCAATAACTCTTACATTTGCATTTTGAGGCTATTTTCTAGACCTTGGAAACATGCTTCCATGCTTTTTTTTCCTTTTTTTTTTTTCTGACTGTGTATTTTCAAATAGCCTGTCTTCAGGCTCACTAATTGTTTTTTCTAATTTATTAATTCTGCTAGTAAGAGGTTCTGATGCATTTTTCAGTATGACAGTTGCAATTTTTAAGTAAAAAAATTCTGCTTGGTTTTTAGAAGTTATTTTAGTCTCTTAGTTAAAGTTATCTGATGGAATTGGGAATTCTTTCTCTATGTTCTATTCAATTTATTTGAATTTCCTCAACATAGTTTTATTTTATTTTCTGTCTGAAAGGTCACACATCTCTGTCTCTCCAGGACTGATCTTTTGTGCCTTATTTAGTTCATTTGGTGAGGCCATATTTTCCTGGATGATGTTGATGCCTGTAGGTGTTCATCAATGTCCAGGAATTGAAGAGTTAGGTATTTATTGTAGTCTTTATAATCTGGGCTTCTTTATGCCAGTCATTTTTGGGAAGGCTCTCCAAGTATTTGAAGGGACTTGGGCCCCAAGCTCAACAATACTGTGGTTTCTGCAGACGTGTAGAGTAACTGCCTTCATGACTTTGTATAAGATGTATAAGTCTCTGCATTACCAGGCAGAGACTCTTGTCCTTTATCATTACTTTCTCCCAAAAATATGGAGTCTCTCTCTTTGCTGACCTACCTGAAAATGGGGGTGTGGTGATGCGAACGTGCTTTTGGCCACCACCCTGGGATTTTGCTGGGTGAGATCTGAAGCCATCACAACACTGGGCCTTGCCCAAGGATGTTTCCTTCAGGCTGTCAAGTTTTCCGAGGCCCTGGGCATGTCCAGAGATGCTGCCGTGGAGTCAAAATACTTAACAATTTACCTCATGTTCTAGTCTACTTCATCTAAGCTGGCACACAAATCACAATACAAAGTCCTTCCCACTCTTTCTTTCAATTACCACAGGCGAAGGTGCCTCTCCCTGTGGCCACGACCAACACTGGTCCTCGGGGGGTTCTGCCAGGCCACCACAGATGTTCACTTAAAGCTCAAGTGCTGTTTTGATACCTTATGGTGCATGCTGCCAGGCCTGGAACTCACCTTTCAAGGCAGTGGGCTCCCCTTTGGCCTAGAGCAGGTCAAGAAATGCCATCCTAGAGTTAAGTCATAGAATTGGACACCCCAGGAGCATTCTTGCTGCTCTGCCCCTCTGTGGTTGAGCTGTTACCTGATTTTTGTTTTTCGTGATGGTGCTTTTTTTGTGTGCAGATAGTTGCTAAAAGTTGGTGTTCCATCAGGGGGATGAACGGTGAAGGCTTCTCTTCCACTATTTTGCTCCAGCCCATCTAGTTGATTATTTTTAATTTCACAAATAACTTTTAACAAATAAATAGGACTACTCTAAGCTCACACACAAATCCCTGCTGTAGGTTTATGAGTGTTTCTTACACAGAAGATTAAAACTTGATTTTATTGGTTTTATTTTGATTTTAATTTTGCAAACAGGCAGTACTTCTCTATTTATAAGTTCAAAAACCAAATTATGTAAAAGAGTAGCCACATAAAGAAGTCTTGCTTTCACTGTGTTCCTATCCATTCTCCCCACATTATAGCTCAGGTGTTGGCAAAATATTCCTATATAGGGCAAGAAGTAAATATATTAGGCTTTCAGGTCATATGTTCTCTATTGTGGTTATTCAGTTTTGCTGTTGTAGTGAAAAAGCAGCCATAGACAATACAAAATCAAATGGATATGGCTGTGTTCCAATCAAACTTTATAAAAATAGGCATTAGAGTCAAGAATGTGGAAAAATAAAAAAGAAAACAAACAACAGGCCTGCTGGCCATAGTTTTCTATCTTTGATGTTGGTAATAGATTTTATTAGTTTATGTCTTATTTCAGGCTGATATAGTAAATTACTATAGACTGGGTGGCTCAAACAACAAATATTTATTTCTCATAGTTCTGGAGGCTGAAATTTCAAGATCAGAGTGCCAGCATAATTGGGTTCTGATGAGGGCCCTCTTCCAGGTGGTGGGCAGCTGATTTTTCTTTCTACTATATCCTCCCATGAGGAAAAGAGAGCCAGATATTTCTCTGGTCTTGTATAAAGGCACTAATCCCATTTATGAGGACTCTACCATCATGATCTAATTACCTCCCAAAGGCCCCATTTGCAGTTACCATCTAGGATTAGATCTCAACATATGATTTTTTGCAAGACACAAACATTCAGTACATAACAGCTTATTTATATGCAAATACAAGAATATGACTATACATTCTCACGCCACATTTCTTATTCAAAAGTTAAGATATACCACTGTTCTATACCCTTAAACAGTATATATTGTATTGCATATTTTGGATATCTTTCTATGCAATACATAGAGAGCATTCTCTTTTTTTTTCAGTCTGTATTCTATTCCATTATATGAATATAAAACAGTTGATTTAACCACTCTTCTGTTGATAGATTTTTAAATTTTCCTAATACTTTACAATTAAAAACAACACCTGGTGAAAACCTTGGAAATACATTATTCATATGTGTGTAGGTGTATCTGATGGACGGAATTCTGAACTTGAGATTGCTGAATCAAGGGGTAAACACATTTGCAATTTTGGAAGCTATTGCTAGATTAAACTTTATGGAGTTTTACCATTTTCACTTTCAGTACAATGTATGAAAGTACCTGTTTCTAATTTATAGAATATAACCATGAATTAATGTGTCATCTTTGTGCAGAGGCCATGGTAATCTTCTCTAAATTATTCCAATTATAGTATATATGCTGCTGAAGTGAGCACCATGAAGTAATTTTTAATTTAATAATGGATGAATGCTTTTGAGTGGCATGCAGCCAAAGACAGCACATACTATAAAACTCCTTTTTTCCATTAAATCTGGAGCAGGCATAGAGAAATGGTTTTGCTGGAGAGCTGCAGCCTTTTTTTTTTTTTTTTCAGAGTGTTAATTGGAGGGGAGCCACTTCACCTTAAGTTCCAGCAACACATGTATCTGTGCACTATCTAACAGGGACACACGTGGTCAGAGGGTTGTAAAAATTTCATGAAGGTCTAACATTTGAGCAATTGTGCATAAAGATAGAGTTCTCTGCTGATTGTATATCAGCCTTAACATAAGAAAGTGGCTTGTCCACTATGAACCAACATGGACTGTGGTAAAATTCAGCAAAGGACAAGCAATGATGCAGAGCTAATTGATAAAAGAGAAAAATTTGATGGAACAAAAATAATAATAATAATAATAAAGAAAATGTTTATTTAGCAAATTTACATGAGCTAAGCATTTTATCAATGTGTGTGTTTGTGTGTGTGTATAGTATATACAGATGCTCCTTAACTTATGATGAGGTTACATCCAAATAAATCAATTGTAAATTGAAAATATCATAAGTCAAAAATGTATTTGATAGACCTAACCTACCAAAAATCACAGCTTAGCTTAGTCTGTGGAATAGCTAGGCTTTGTGTCCCCACTCAGTTCTCATCTTGAATTGTAATCCCCATGATCCCCAGGTGTCATGGGAGAGACCAGGTGACAGTAATTGAATCATGGGGGCAGTTTCCCCTATGCTGTTCTCATGATAGTGAGTTCTCATGAAAGCTAATGGTTTAATAAGGGACTCTTTTCCCATTCACTCAGCACTGTTCCTTCCTGCCACCTTGTGAAGAAGGTGCCTTGCTTCCTCTTCACCTTCCGCCATGATTGTAAATTTCCTGAGGCCTCCCTAGCCATGTTGAACTGTGAGTCAATTAAACCTTTTTCCTTTATAAATTACAGAATCTTGGGCAGTTCTTTATAACAGTATGAAAAAAGGGACTAATACAGTCTCCTTACTTGTATTTTGATCAGAATATTTACATTAGCCTATAGCTGAGCTACATCATATAACACAAAGGGTATTTTATAATGAAGTATTGGATATATCAGGTAATTTATTGAATGCTGGACTGAAAATAAAAAACAGAATAGTTTTATACTGTTGTAAATTTGAAAATCACAAATTGAGCTACTGTAAGTCAAGCACTATCTGTATATATATTTCCTCACTGAAATTGTCACAAGAAACCTACAAAGTAGTTGCTGTTATTGTACTTACTTTAAGGATTACTAAACCAAGCCCATTTGGCCAATGCTATGTAACATTCAGATAACACAATGCAAAACAGAACAGAGCCTTAGATTTTCAGAGGTATCTAAACATTTATAATTCATGGGGTTTCATGAGGAAAACAGAGGGTTTTTTTTTTCTTTCTTGTTTTTTTTTTTTTCCAAAATGAGGTCTGTGGTGCCTCCTCTGTTTTTCCCAAGGAGTCCCAGGCTACCAGAAGTTATCTCAGGGCCTCTCATATTTGCATTAAGAGTGGCAAGACAAAATGGAGAAAAATAATTTAGTCGACTGGGAAGAAAACAAACCTTTTTCCAGAAAAACAGAATTCAAAAAGAGAAAAAATAAAGGCCTTTTAAATATATCTATAGCTTGTTTATCCACTTTTAATTAAGTTATTTTAACCATAGTACTCTTTTAAAAAATTCTTTTAAATCTCTTATTACCAGACTGTAGCCAAGACAGCTGATATTTTTGGCTTTTGATTTCTACCACAGGTAACTTTCCACATAAATTAATAAGTTTTAACTAAGGTTATAACTTAACCACGGACGCATAAGGTGTCTCAAAGTGATGGTAAGCAGTTTCCATTTTTTTTTTACTTTCTTTCTTTTTTTACAAGATTTAGAATCTCCCCAAGGGTAGTTTAGAGAAAGGAAAATCCAAGGCAGCAAATCAGAAGCTATCCATGGGGGAAAACAAACCCTTAATAAATGACAAAGTTACACAAATAACAAACCAGAAAGGAATTATTCCAGAAGCCAAGAATTAAATGCAGGCCACCACTGTCAAAAGACAAAGCCTTAGCAACTGACCTATATACCATTTAGCAGTTTCTACTGCTTTTCCCAGAAAAAGTCTAGAGCAACCAATTTCAAGCTTGCAAAAGCTCTTTACTGCTCAAAATAATTTTTAGGGCTAAGTCTGACATGAACCCCAAATTTTCTGTCCTCTGGGTGGTAGGAACCAAGAAAAAGTATTCTTGCATGGTCACAAGGTTAAGCTCTTAAGGACACAAAACAAGACAGATAAATTTAATCCCATATTGGTTTCAGGGACCCATAGCAAAGGTTGTAACTGACCAGCCTGCTGAGCTGGCTTGTAAAGCAGGCTTATAGGGGTCCTTAACCCAAGTTCTATCCTGTGATGCCTCTCTCTCCATTACAGAACAACACAGAAATTCAAATTCTTAGCACAAAGTACACCAGATTTGCTACAGCCTAAGATTAGTATCATATATCCTTTTTTTCTACTAATTAAACCCTTGCAGAGAAGACAGTGATGTTTCTCATTTACACACGTGCGTGCACGTGCACACACACACACATACAGATTGAGAGAGAGAGAGAGAGACCAGAAACTTGGCTTGTAAAAATTTGGACCCTTCTGGCTAGCATACCAGTTTTCTGGGCTCTCTTTCTCTTCAGCTGCCAGAAGAATCAAGCAGATTTTGATGACCCTCCTTGCTGTGCCAAAGCTGTGCAGTTCAAGCCACTTTACAAAAGAAAATCAATCTTTTCTGTTGTATGGAACCATAGGCAAGAGATTCTCAATTTTGCAAGATGTTGCCCAATGGGCTGCATGAGGAACAGAATTAACATTTTCCATCCCAGCAAAATACACATAACCAAACAGACACTAGTCACCTCGATCAGCACCCAATATCAACCCAGCAAGGCTCACACTTTCTCCTGTTAGTTCATGTTGTATTTGATCCACTCCAGGTTGGGAGGAAAGACCTTCAGGTGGTGATTCACACTGGGGTCTCTAGGCAAGGCGAAGAGAAGATAATCACCCCAAGACAGGCCTGCTGAACCTTCTTTAGGACTCACTGAATGTTACCAGACAAATAAAGAGGGTTCTCTGAGTTAGGCCTGCTTGACTTTTATCAGCAATTCTTTCTGAGATCCCCTCCACATTTGCAAACACACTCAAAGATAAGACGGACAGAAGGCCTTCCAAATTAGATTCCTAACCAAGAACTCCAGGAATATCCCTTCCAAACTATCCTCCTATTCTCTGAGAAATCTCCCCAAAATCTTCCTGAGTGAAAAATCTCCTGCACCAAGACTCTTTCTATTAGTTAGGGAGAGCCATCCAAGACCCCCCAGGACCTGAACCTAGAGAGACACCCCACAATGGGGCTACAGACAAACTGAGGTTTCCAAAGGAGCTGAACCAAGACAGACACCCCATTGTGGAACTACAAATACCCCACAGTGGGGCCACAGACACACCCTACCATGGGACTACAGACAGACTCCCTACCACGGGGCTATAGAACCAGTCTGGAGAAGGAAGGAGGTGTTGCCAATGCCTAGGATACCCATCAGTCCAGACAGCCTGCAACTGGGCTACAGACAGACACCCACCCCGCAATGCGGCTACAGACAGACACCCTGTGATACGGTTACAGTTATGGGACATCTCCCCAGGACTGTTTCTCTATTGCAATTAAATCCCGGCACATTGGGTCAGCAGCACCCCGTTAGTAGAGAGTACCAGGGTCAGCCCCTAGTCCAAGAAAACTAGGCAGCCACCTGGGCTGGCCTCTGGATTTATCACTGGAGGGGGTCTAATGAACCATGGACAGGTAGCCACAAGGGCAATCCTGGATGAGACCCCAAATTTGTAACTGACCAATGGGTTCACTTTGCCCACTGCCTAGACAGAGCTGATTTCTCAAGATAGGGGAATTGCAATAGAGAAAGAATAATTCACACAGAGATGGCTGTGTGGGAGACCAGAGCTTTACTATGACTCAAATCAAGTCTCCTCGAGCATTTAGGGATCAGAGTTCTTAAGAATAACTTGGTGGGGGGCGGGGGAAGCTAGTGAGCCAGGAGTGCTTATTGATTAGGTAGGAAATGAAATCATACAGAATTGAAGCTGTCCTCTTGCACTGAGTTCATTCCTGGGTAGGGGCCACAAGATCAGATAAGCCAGTTAATCAATCTGGGTGGTTCCAGCTGATCCATCAAGTGCAAGGTCTGCAAAATATTTCAAGCAGTGATCTTAGGAGCAGTTTACGGAGGGTCAGAATCTTGTAACCAACAGTTGAATGGCTTCTAAACCATAATTTCCAATTTTTTGGCTAATTTGTTAGTCCTACAAAGGCAGTCTAGTCCCCAGGCAAGAAGGAGGGTTGCTTTGGGAAAGGGCTGTTATCATCTCTCTCTCTCTTTTTTTTTTTCTCTTTAAGGTGGATTCTCACTCTGTCACCCAGGCTGGAGTGCAGTGGCACAATCTCAACTCACTGCAACCTCCACCTCCTGTTTTCAAGCAATTCTCCTGCCTCAGCTTCCTGAGTAGCTGGGATTACAGGCACACGCCACAAAACCCAGCTAATTTTTGTGTTTTTAGTACAGACAAGGTTTCACCATGTTGGCCAGGTTGCTCTCAAACTCCTGTCCTTAAGTGATCTGCCTGCCTCGGCCTCCCAAAGTGCTGGGATTACAGGTGTGAGCCACCACGCCTGAGCATGGCGTTATCTTTGTTTTAACAGGTTATAGGGATGATTACCCTTATCTTGTCTCCTGCTAAGTCATGGAATTTTGGTGAGTTCCTTTAGACCCCCCAATAAAACTTGTTGTAGAGGTCCTGGGAGTTTCTCCAGACCTCCAAAAAAATTTGTTCAATCCCGGTCCTGCACAGTGGCTCACGCTTGTAATCCCAGCACTTTGGGAGGCCGAAGCAGGTGGATCACCTGAGGTCAGGAGTTCGAGACCAGCCTGACTAACATGGAGAAACCCCACCTCTACTAAAAATACAAAATTAGCCATGCATAGTGGTGCATTCCAGTAATCCCAGCTACTCGGGAGGCTGAGGCAGGAGAATTGCTTGAACCAGGGAGGCAGAGGTTGCAGTGGGCCAAGATCGCGCCATTGCACTCTCTAGCCTGGGCAACAAGAGTGAAACTCCACCTCAAACAACAAAAACAAAACAAAACAAAACAAAACAAAACTTGTTCAATCCTAAACGGGTCCTGTTAAGAATTCCTTTGTTATCTTCATGGTCCAGGAAATGCCTAGGGAAGACTCTTGGTGGGCTTTTGTTATATTCCAGCCTTTGTATAAGGGCACTGGCTCTTTCAGGTGTTTGTTTTTTGGTTTTTTGTTTCGTTTTGTTTTTAAGACGTAGTTTCACTCTTGTTGCCCAGGCTGGAGTGTAATGGCGCGATCTGGGCTCATCGCAACCTCTGCCTCCCGGGTTCAAGAGATTCTCCTGCCTCAGCCTCCCGAGTAACTGGGATTATAGGCATGCACCACCTGCCCCCCCAGCTAATTTTGTATTTTTAGTAGATATGGGGTTTCTCCGTGTTGGTCAGGCTGGTCTCGAACTCCCCACCTCAGGTGATCCGCCCACCTCAGCCTCTCAGACTACTGGAATTACAGGTGTGAGCCACTGAGCCCAGTCTCTGGTTTTAATATTTAATCTAACCACTCAGTGCTTAAACAGTTGTCATGGAGTCCTGCCTGTTCAGTTGTTAGTGGAACCTGGCCTGCCACAATCCCCATTATCAATTTATGAATGGTTTTCGTTATGCTTGTATATTTATTTATCATGAGAATTATAGGGAGATGGGGTGTCATAATCTTTCTGGTTACTTCCTGCTGTGAGGGGTCATCATTATGGGGCACAAAATGCAGCACTGTAGTGGAAGAGGTCAATTTGTTCTGGGTAGTACTCTCTGTTTTGGGGGTTTAGAGGCAGTGCCTGCTGAAACATAATAGTATGAGCTCGAGGGATGTTTTGAAACAATATGCAACAGCAATACATTCCACAACATAACATTATGCCCATGCCTACAAGGATGGCCAGGACTGCGAGGATTTTCTGCCACCAGGAAAGCCCTCCACTAAACCATGATGAGATCCAGTCATTAAGTGATAACCTAAGGCTGGAGATTGCCTGAATCTGTTGGTGCATATCCTTTAATGCCAGAGTTATTCCCAGAATGTTCAGGTATATACACACAACATTGGGTTTTGACCAGGATGCAGGATCCCCCTGGGTCTCTGTTAGAATGTCTAGGGTCATTTGATTTAGCAAGATACCTTTCTGCATATGAGACATTTTAGCGTAAGGCAAATACTTTGGAGACTGTTATTCAATGCTCAGTGCATGAAATTAACTAGTGTCTCTGTGTGTCATATGGCAGTTTCTAAGCCTATTGAGGGAATAAAGATTATGGCCAGATGATGATACCAGTGAAAGACTGACCTGGTCCACCTGTTAAGCGTATGCATGAGGTTGGCTGGGTTTTGGATGGTTTTTATCCAGTGTCCCTGTGCTCACGAGAGACCTAGAGTGCAGTGCAGCGTCCTAACCAACTCCAGGCAGCGATGTTTATGGGCCAATCTGAGACATTTGCCCTGGTTACTCCTGTCATGTGTGACCCAGTCCAAAAGTTTGCTAGTAAATCCAGCAAAAAGTCTAGAGCAACCAATTTCAAGCTTGCCAGTCATCCCATGACTTGAATTACATTAGACCAATGGTCAAGGCAGTGGTTGCATTGCTTCCAGCATAAAGGGACTACTTTATTGACGTGGAGGCAGTTAGCCAAACAAATCTATCCTAAATTTGAAGAAAGCCCTTTTTATACTGGACATTTTGTAGTATAGTCTAGGTGTACACCTTCACATTCAGCAAGGGAGTAGCTAAAGCTTTTATGTCATCCTTTGTTTTGTTTACTTAGAATGGCTTTTTGTGCCCTGGGCCTTCTAAAGTTTTGTTTATGGGCCAATCTGAGACATTTGCCCTGGTTACTCCTGTCATGTGTGACCCAGTCCAAAATTTGAGATTTCCCAGAAAAGTTTGCTAGTAAATCCAGTCATTCCCTTGGATGGGTGACAACCACCAAGGCAATACTGTGGTTCTACAAAGGGGTTATAGGCCACAGACCCAGCAGGAGCCATGTTGCAGGTTATCTGCATAGTTCTGTGCTCATTGTAAAAAATGATTAGAGGTAAGAGCAGAAACAATGAGAGGCACAGCAAGAAGGAGCATTCATTATAAGAGAAAGTCTTATTGTTTTCTGAATAGAAACTCCAGGTCTTCTAAGGGTTCTATCTCCCATCTTCTGGCCTGGAACTCCTCTGCCACAGGGTTCTCAGCTGGCAGGAATCTTTTTGCTCACATGTTATGGACCTAAGGCTTGATGGCTGCCAATTTCAGTTCTGTGCTTGTGGTAATTAGCACATCGTAAGGCCCCTTTCATTTCTCCTGTAGTTGTTGGGCAGGACTGGCTTCCTTCCATTCCTTCAGCGGCACTTGATTATCAGTTTGGAAAGGTTGGGGGGCTTCTACAGAATTCACAGTGCTCTTGTTGGAAGCAAACTTACACAAAATGTTAAGAGTTTGTCCTAAGTGAGCAACATAATTCTTAATATCTGACTCCCTATCTAGGGGCACTTCAGTACCAGAGACAGATTAGCTACAAAGGATCCTCCAAAGACAATTTCATAGGGACTTATTTTAATTCCATTTCTGGGGGCTATTCTGACCCAGAGCAGTGCGATAATAAGTACCTGCATCCGCTTCAATTGAGTATCTTGATACAGCTTGGTAATTATTGTTTTTAGGGTGTGGTTCATTCTCTCAGTTTGTCTAGGAGATTGAGATCTCCATGCTGAGTGAAGTCTCCATTTTATTCCCAATGCTTTGTTTACTTGTTGAGTTATTTCAGAGGTGAATGAAGGCCAATTATTACTTTGGATTACATCAGAGAGCCCATATTGTAGTATGTTGTTTTTTTTTCTGTAAAACTTTAACTATATTGGTTGCTTATTGGATGTGACCTGAGTATGCTTCAGAGAAAGTGTCCACTAGAACTAGGAGGTATTTGTATCTCCCAGGGGCTGGTGGCCTTTGTGTAAAGTCTATTTGCCAGTTTTCTAGGGGGTGCCTTCCTCTTCTTTGTTGCCCAGGCTGCCTTTGGCTGTGATTATTAGGCTCATTTCCGGCACACAGATGACAATGCTGAATTATATCCTTTAAGTGGGCTTTTAGTCCTTTCCCTTTCAAATAATTTTGTACAAAGGACAGTGAAGTGTCTCACCCAAAATGCATACTATTGTGATTGCGCTTTAACAGTGGGTAGACAAGATGCACTGGTTCCTGGACTGGGCCTGCTCTGCTTACTCTCTACTCTTCCTCGTTTAGTTTGAATCCCTTACGGCTTTCTTATCTTCAGAAGTGTACTGGGGCTTGGAGGCTAAGTTTATTTGTGGAATTAAGGGCACCCGGATTTCAATGCTGGCACTAGCTAAATGCCTTGTGGTGAGGTCTGCAAAAGCGTTGCTCCTTGCCATTTCAGAATTATTGCATTGATGGCCAGGGAAATGCATTACAGCTATTTCCCATGCGGCCTTTATCTCTTCTAACAATTCTAACACTTGTTTAGCGTATTCAACTTTGATGTTATCCACCTTTAGCAGCCCTCTTTCCCTCCAGATAGCTCCATGTGCATGAAGTATCATGAATGCTTGGTACTTGGAGTCAGTGTGTATGTTGGCACTCTTACCTTGGGACAGTTGCAAGGTTCTCCTGAGGGCGTTTAACTCTGCCTTCTTTGCCAAGGTTCCTGCCAGCAAAGTTATTGCCTCTGTTACTTCTGAGGAGGTCACCACAGCATATGTAGGATTTCTCTTCCTGTCAGGGACCAGGCTGCTCCCGTCTACAAACAAGGTCCAGTCTGAGCATGGGAGCTACCTCCTTTAGGTCCAGGTGGCTGAAAAACACTTGGTCTATGACCTCTAGACAGTTATATATGGGTTCTTCCAGCTCCTCAGTGGTAGGTAATAGTGTAGCAAGGTTTCAAGTTCCTGTAGTTTGCAGCTTTACTGTGGGGTCATCTAAAACCATGGCTTGATAATCTGCTCAATTGGCATGCTGTCTGCCAGTAGCCTCTTTTTTGTTGCAGTAACACCAACACTTGATTGGGCACGTATATTGCGAAAGGCTGCCCCAAGGTCAGCTTTTCACCTTCTTTGAGTAGCAGTCAAGTAGTAGCAGACTTCTCTAAGACAAGGGGGCCAGCCCTCGGCTACCATGTCAAGCTGCTTTGAAACGTATGCTATGAGTTGTAATACTTCGCCTAATCTTTGCATTAGGACTCCAATGCTAAACCCAGTCTCTAGTGCACATTACGTTGGAAAGGCTTATGAGAATTTGGAAGCTCTAAGGCAGGGGAGGAGATTAACTTACACTTCAGTTGCTCCAATGAATGTTGGTGCCTTGCTTCCCACTCAAAAAAATTATAGTTGGCTCTTTTTAACAGTTCATATAAGGGCTTTCCTATTAGTCTGTAGATAGGGATCCAAATCTAACAAAATCTGGCCATACCTAGGAAGACCCTTATGTGCTCTCTGGTGGTGGACATGGCAATAGAAGCAATTGCATTTCACCTTCCCATGGTCAGGGCTCTGGTTTCTTTCTGTAGAAGAACCCCTAAATATTTCATAGTTTGTTTACATCCTTGAGCTTTTTTGCTTGAGAGCTTGCACCCACAAGCTGCCAGATGGTTTAAGGTTTTAATGGTGTTATCCTGGTACTCTTGCTCAGGGGGGTTAGAGATTAGCAAATTATCCACATATTGCAACAATACCCCATTTTTTAATTGTAGGTTTTTTAAGTTCTGAGCCAAAGCCTCTCCAAATATAGTTGGTGAGTTCTTAAACCCTTGAGAGTACAGCCCAGCAATACTGAAACTGTGCAGTGGTCTCAGGGTCTGTCCATTCAAAAGCAAACAATAGCTGGCTCTCTACATTCACTTGTATCTAAAAGAAGGCATTTTTTCAAGTCTAGCACCATAAACCATTCATGATTCCCAGGCAGTGAGGAAAACGGAAAACCTGGTGTATGGGTTAGCCACAGTGGGGTGAATGTCTTCCACAATATCATTAATTGTTGTTAGATCTTCCACAAATCTATACTCATGTGAGTGAGGCTTCTTTACCAGCAAGATGGGAGTATTGTAAGAAGACTGAAAAGGCTTTATGAGGCCATACAGTAAGAACTAGACTAAATCCAGCTGGATGCCTTCCAAGGCTTTCCTCTTTAAGGAGTATTGTTTTTTTTTTTCAGATAGATTGAACCCCTTCCTTCAATTTGACTTTTACCAAACTCATATTAATTGCCCTCCCATTCCCTCCCATGTTAATTGCCCTCCTCAGACCTCTGGTTTTACCTTGCCAAAGACTTCCTGAGGGACTGCTTCTACCTTAGGGCATGAGGTCTTAACATTCATCAGAAGTGCTTGCAGTTGCAGTCCATGTTCTGGAGGCACTTGGAGACACATTTGATGTTTCTCATGGATGAAAATGATTTGAGCCTGTAACTTGCATAGCAGATGTCTGCCAAGTAAAGAAATTGAGCAGCCTGGCACATTAAGGTGAGTTGTTACATTATTGCCCACTTTACATGAGAGGGGGCACAGAAACTGCTCTGATCTGTTTCCTGCTCACTTTGACTATATTGACAGCTGTGTCAGAAAGTTCAGTGATCAGTGTATTAACTACCAAATAAGTAGCACCAGTGTCGATTAAGAAGTCCAATTGCTGTTTCCCCACTGCTAACTTTACCTGAGGCTTCTGTGGGGAAATTTTGATGTTACATAGAATTGGAGCTGCTGGAAGTCTTGGGCACCCTCAGTCTTCCTCAGATTCATCCCCAGGCTTAATTGCCATAATTGGCCTTGGTTCTTTTTGGTTTAACTTTGGGCAATCCTTTTTCCAATGCCCCGTTTCTCAGCATTATGCACACTGATTCTTTTCTATTTTTCCTTTCCTCTTTTCAGGTCCCTTCCCTCTTGGATATTTTCTTGCTGTGGCCATGAGTATTGTTGCCTGCCACAGGGCTTTAGTTTTCTTCACCTCCCTACTCCGGTAAACTTTAAATGCAATGTCTCAGTTGAGAGGCATTTATCCTAATGGCCCCTTCTACTTTCTGCAGCTTCTTCCCAGTGTCAGGGAAACTTTGCCTTATAAAAGTCAGGTTCACCATCCTGACATTTTCAGGGTCCTATGGGTCCATATCTGTATACTTCCCAGAGGTATGTCAAATACATTCCATAAACTCGGATGGATCTTCATTAGGCCTTTGCTGGAGCTCCTACATTTAGTTTAAGTTTTTACATTTGGGTACCCCTGACTTAATGCCCTTCAAGCTGCACCTCCTGTAATGCTCCAGGTGGGTCATTTAACCCACATTAGCCTCATTTGGATCCCAATTAGGGTCAGTATAGAGTACTGCTCCATCAGGGTCTGGAGTATTGTCTGGGTTTTCATTATGAAGGTGTTCTGCATCGCTTCTCTGGCTTTTGGGTAAGATCAAGTGAAGGTGTTCTGCCTCTTCCTTTCCCTTATCCAATACTAGGCAGCTCTCATCTGCAGTGAGCATAATGTTTAGGAGGGCTTGTATATCTGCCCATGTAGGGTGATGAGTAGCAAACATTGTGCTAAACAGCTCATTCATTTTCTGGGTGTCTTCCCTACAGGGCAAGTTAGAATTCTTCCAGTTTAACAGGTCAGATATAATAAAAGGGCTGTAGGCTCAATAATATCCTGCCATAGCCTCCTGCTGTTTAACTCCTACAGAGTATTATCAAAGTGGAAATTGCCCTGCTCCTGGTTCCATAGTTCTCCGGCCCAAACTAGTGCCTTGTCTGGTCCAAGAGGGAAAGACCAGCTTTGCTGCTTCCCGGTACTCTGGGGGCACCACTTCCCTGTACTCTGAGGGTGGTGATTCTCCCCTTTCCTGGCTGGATGGTTGGGTATTAGCTCTCACTGTATTATGTGTGCTGCTAGCTCCCACCAAGTTAAGTATATTTATCAATTATTGGCTTCCTAAGTCCCTATCTTCTCTCTTAGAGTCAGGTCAAACTTTGACTGAGCACTGCACCATTAGCTTATCTCCCTTCTCATTGACATCCTTATTATGTAATAACATACATTTCTTAAGATAGGGTATTTATTCCCATCTTCCCAAACACTTACAAAACAACTCTAACTTATAAATAATGGAATAGTTCAGAGTCCCCAAAATCGGCTATCTCCCCTCAGATTCTAAAATGTGCATTTGCCAAATCCTATTACAATAGTAAACTAATTTCCTTTTAGTCATGGAAGGATACCCAAACCATTTTCAATCCAACAGGATTCTTCCCAGAGGGCTCCCAGCGGGAATGGACTCAACACCTCCGATTTTCAAGCTTATGTGGTATGAAAACAGACCAAGACAGATACACAAACAAGTGGAGACAGATTTTGGACAAACACAAAGGGGCATGCACTCAGGCAGGGAAGACCCAAAACCAACTCAAAACCTGATTTTAACCGAAGGCAAAGCGGGTGTATAAGCGAGCCCTATCGTTGCCCTGGTGGTACCAGGCAAATGGCTTAAAAAATCCAGATAGAAAAAGAATAGGCTTCCTGCATATCATACAATTTTATCTACCCCTTGAGCATGTCTGATCCTTATCTCTGTTCTTCCCCAGTAGTGAGGGGGACATGTGGTTTCATGCAAGGGACAGCCCTCAGGAGATTCCCCTGGAAAATTTCACCCTGTAGCTGCTGGGAATTTCCTGAAGACTGTCTCATTACAAGCCACTGGCCACTGAATGCAGCACCATCCTAGCGGCTCTTAGCTGGCTCACCGAATCTGTTCCTGGGCTTAACTGAGGGTCAGGCTGATTACTCTTGCTGCCCAATAATGAGATGCAGATGAACTGGGAAATAAGAGAGTTTATTTCTGTAACCAGGTACAGGGAGAAAACCAGGGAAATACTGCCAGACCAACTAAAAATTACAAAGTTTTACAGAGCTTATATACCTTCTAAGCTATATGTCTACGTGTAAATGTGCATTCATCTAAAGACATAAGTGATTAACTTTTTCTTATCTTTAACAAAGGTCTGAGTCCTGAAGACCTTCCTCTGGAGTTTCAGTAAATGTACTTAATCCAGATGGGTCCACGTGCTGGGGATAATTACCCTTATTTTGTCTCCTACTAAGTCATGGAAGTTTGGGGAGTTTCCTTAAACCCCCCTAATAAAACATGTTTGTAGAGGTCTGGGGAGTCTTTTCAGACTGTCCAATATACTTGTTCAATCCTAAATGGGTCTTGTTAAGAATTCTTTCATTATCTTGTCAAGCTTTAAGGCCCAGGAAAGGCCTAAGCAAGACTCTTGGTGGGCTTTTGTTACATTCCAGCCTTTGCATAAGGGCACTGGCTCTATCAGCTTTCAATAATTAACCTAACTACTCAGTCAGTGCTAAACAGTTGTCATGGATGTCTGCCTGTTCAGCTGTTAGTGATATCTAGCCTGCCACAGTTAGCCTTTGTGTCCCCACCCAAGT
This sequence comes from Homo sapiens, assembly GCF_000001405.40. Taxonomy (NCBI): domain Eukaryota; kingdom Metazoa; phylum Chordata; class Mammalia; order Primates; family Hominidae; genus Homo; species Homo sapiens. The sequence continues at coordinate 94,017,607 of NC_000023.11, forward strand.
CTCATCTTAAATTATAATCCCCATTATCGCCATAATCTCCACAAGTCAAGGGAGGGGCCAGGTGGAGGTAACTGAATCATGGAGGCAGTTTCCCCCATGCAGTTTTCATGGTAGTGAGTGAATTTTCACGAGATCTGATGTATTTATAAGGGACTCTTCCCCCCTTCCCTTGGGACTTCTCCTTCCTGCTGCCTTTTGAAGAAGGTGTCTTTCTTCCACTTCACCTTCTGCCATGATTGTAAGTTTCCCAAGGCCTCCCCAGACATGGTGAACAGTGAGTCAATTAAACCTCTTCCCTTTATAAATTACCCAATCTTGGGCAGTTCTTTATAGCAGTATGAAAATGGACTAGTAGAGTCTGCCTACTTAAATCATGCTCAAAACATTTACATTAGCCTATAGTTTGGCAAAATTATATTATGCAAACCATATTTCATAATAAAGTATAGAATATCTCATGTAATTAATTAAATACTGTACTGAAAGTGAAAAACAGAATGGTTTCATACTATTGTAAAGTTAAAAATTATAAATTGAGCTATTGTGATTCAAGCACTATCTGTATATACATTCACTCATTTAAATTGTCAAAAGAAACCTATAAAGTAGTTGGTGTTATTATATTCACTTTAAGGATTACTAAACCAAGCCCATTTGGCCACTGTTGTGTAAGTACAGAGTTAGGAATCTGATGTTTGCAGCATGGAAACTTTTCCACTGGTCTATACTGACTTCTTATCTGAGTAGGGAGATAATTCCAGAATTGAGTGCAAAAAGTGGATCTTAACAAAATCCAAACCCAGGCAAATACAATTTTACTTATCTTTATGAAGAAGTTGTTCAGATATTAATAAACACTTTTCTAAAATAATAATTGCAGTCAATATCCTGACACCCAATGTGTTTAGTAGGCCTTTGTCATTCCTTGAATGAAGCCATTGTCAACTTCATGTGCCTCGGGCCAAGCCTGCCCTAAAAATTCTAGAAATTTTTTTAAGGCAAACTTCCCAGAGCTCAAAGGGTTTTTAACTGAGCTGGCTTAGAGATTGACAACCTGGACTGCTATGCAGAAAACTTCATGTTTTTTCCTAGATTTCCCATATTGGTTTGCTTTCATTTGGCTGCTGAGCAATTGGCTTAGACAGGATCCTAGAATCTGCTCCACTTTTGCTGAAGATGACACATTGCTGAAATTCTGACCCTTACCATTCTGCAGCTACTTGAGCAGCTGGACAAGAAACATTGGTTTTAGCTATGGCAGGTCCAAGTGAAGAGGCTTCAGCTATAGTTTTATCCATTTTATATTTTCAAGGCCAATTGGAGGGGGTGCATTTTTAAAAATCTTACAAAGTCAATTTAAAAACGGTGATATATAATCCATTAAGACTTATGCTAAATTTTTTTCCTCTGCACAGAGAAAATATTGTTCCCTGAATGTAATTTGAGGGTGCAATGACTCTCCTCTGTCCTATCATTCACTGACTACCTAAATTGACTGTATAACCACTGGGACTAAAGGCTTCCCAATTAGTTGGCATGTAGAAGTGTTAGCAAATGCAGATTCACTGAGCCTCTTCATAGGGAATTTAAAGTAAGGCATTTTCTCTGCTTTTTCCCATTCCAAATTTGAGGGCTTCCTATTTTGAGGTCCTGGTGTCCAGGTTCTATATCATGATTAGGCAATTATGCTAAAAGAATAAAAATGCTTCCTTTAAGAGGCTTTAATTTTACTTTAAATTTACTGTTAATTGAGTATTTATTACATGCCTGTGTGTACTAAACGTATTTTACATGCATTATCTCATTTAATCATCCTAATAATTCCATGAGGTAGGTTCAGTTCTTACCCGTGCTTTGCAGATGAGAACACTGTGACTCAGAAATTTCTTCAAAATTTGGACCTGTCAGACTTCAAAGTTTGTAGTGATAGTGGCTAAGCTGTATAATATTTATGGAGACCACAGTCTCCATAAATATTACAATTTATACAATAAAGCTGAGGAACAATTTATATTTTCTAGAATAAAGCAGAGATCATGGAAAATATATCCTAAACTCACAAAGTTAAGGTTTTGTAATATTCCCCCCAAAATGACTAAAAGAAATAATTTTTCTGGCATAATATAAAATTGAATACCCTTTCCTCCCATTCTTTTACCTTGCTTGATGCCTACATAGATAAGTGATTAGTGAAAGCAAAGTGTAGAATTCCTGCATGTTATTTTCAATGTCATACTTTGGAAGAAGATATAAAAGTGACATATTAGGGTTGTACATGGAGTTCATTCATGATGTCAATTCATGTCTCATTTGCAACACCCGCAATATGGGTAGTTGAAGGACAAGGCACTTGTCTCGGTGAATCAAAAAAGTATTTCAGTATATAAACATGGAAGAACAGGGGATTTTCTAAAATAGCAGGTTGAGCAATGTGAAATTATTATTTTCATTCAACAAAAATGATTGAATATCAGCAATTTCATTTGGTTTAATATAATAGAAAGGAATGAGATGAAAGTGATCAGAGATCAATATAGAGGGAGAGACAAGGTGAGAAGTCTGAATAGGTGGTCAAGGGTTTTTGTCCAGAGAACTGTACTAGAGCAGAATTTACATGGTTTAAAAATCATGGCGATGTCTCTGTTGATTACAGGATAGAGACTTTGAATCCTCTGCCTTTTTGAAAACACACTTTGTGATTGTCATGTGTGCTCTGCTCTCTAGCCTCTAAGAGAGACCATAGGAGCTTGGGATTGATTGACTATAGAATATATTATGCACTTCTTGAAACAAATTTGAATATTCCATGTAGTTGAATCCTTGACATAGTCTTACTTCAGAGAAATTAAGCCCTACACATAAATAAATACGGATCTAGGTCATCCTGTTAACCTCTCCCAGCTACTTATTTCCATCAAGTTGTTATTGTGAGTTACATTTATTTGTCTGTTTTTTGTTTAATTTCCTTTCTATATAGAATGTGGTCATATGAGATTGAATATATAGTTCGTTGTGTACACAACTGTATGCCCAGCAACTAGTAAAATGCCTGCCATTCAATAAGTATATGATAAATGAATGATCAAATAAACTAATTACTTTCAATAGCTATATAGTATTGCATTGCAAGGATGTGCCATAATTTGTTTAACTAATCCCAATGGACAGATAGTAGGTCATCTGAAGTTATATGGTCTTATAAACAGTGCTGGAATGAATAATACATTGTTGTATATGTATTTTCAAATATTAATCTGATTATTTTCTAATGATAGATTATTGAATGGGGAATTTTTTTTGCATGAAAAGCTATGCATTTTAAGGCCTTTGATTCATATTGTCAAAATAGGTTCTTATAGTGTACTGTTTTGCACTTCCATCCACCATGTATATATGAGGTAAGCCATTTTCCCCATAATGATCAACGCTTGGCATTATTATTTGTTTTTAATCTTTGTCAGTCTGCTTCAAATAAATAGCATTTTGTTTTATTTTGCATAATGTCACTATTAAAAGTATAATAATTTATTCGTATATATTTGGCCATTTGTACTTTTTTTGTACACATAATTTTATAGCTTTATTTATAATAGCCCAAATCTGGAAATAACTCAACTGTCCATCAACAGGTGATTGAATAAATAAATGTTGTTATATAGTATACAAGAGATATGAGTAAAACGGCAATGCAATAAAAAACGAATGACTTAAAGTTTAATAAGCTTTTTTATTTTCCATTTTTCATTCATACATAATACTTGTACATATTTACGCCATACATATGATATTTTCATACACGTGTGTGTTATCAAACAGTAGAACTTATTCCTTCTGTCTAACTGTATTTTTTTTAACCTATTAACTAACCTCTCTTCATCCCCAACCACCACACTTCCCAGACTCTGGTAACCACCATCTTATTTACTGCCTATATGAGATCAGCTTTTTAAGGTCCCACGTATGAGTGAAAATATGAAATATTTCTCTTTCTGCACCTGGCTTATTTAACTTAGTACTTCTATTATAAAGTAGTTATTAATAGCCTGTGTTTATTTTTCTATTATGGAGTTAGATATTTCCTAGTAATGTTTGAGGTTTTTTACGTATTTAGGTCATTAATTGTTTCATTAAAATTTTAGTTTTAATTTGTTCAGTTGTAGATAAGTTGTTTCTAATGCAGTCATATTTATTTATATTTTCATTTATGGTTTCTAGTTTTGTTTAGGATGTTCATCTCTACTCCAAAGTTACATACGTGTTCACTTACGTTTTTATGCAATGTTTACATTTAAGTTGTTTATTCAACAATAATTTATTCTAGAGTAAAGGGTGAGTATTGATCTCACTTTTTTTCCCATGGTTAGCCAGTTGTTCCAGAAGGTTTTCCCCCCATCATTTGAATTGACAAATTGATCAATTACATAAGCACTCCAAGCTTCAGTTCTAGGGTGACCAATCATCCTAGTTTGCCAGGAGTATCCAGGGATTCTTTACAGTTTGGACATTAAGTGTCAAAACTGGGACAGTCATGAACAAACTAGGATGGTTGGTCATGATACATTTCTCCTTTGTAAAAATTGAAATAATAGTAGTATCTATCTGAAGTAGTTGTGATAATTAAAAAATAATGAATATAAAGGAGTTAGTACAGTATCTGGTTGATAGCAAGTGCATACAAAAAGTGAAATGTTATCAATGCATTATAGATTCTCAGTCTCTTCTGATACTTGCGTTGCATTGTATTAATAATTGTAGCTTTTCAATAGTCTTTAATCCTCATGCACTGTTGATGGGAATGTAAATTAATACTGCCATTACAGAGAGCCGTTATAGAGGTTCCTCAAATCTAAAAATAGAATTATCATTGGATACATAAATTCCACTACCGAGTATATATCCAAAAGACAGAAAATCAATATATAAAAGAGATATCTGCATTTCCATCTTTACTGCAACACTGTTTACAATAACCAAAATATGGAATGAACCTAGGTGCCCATTGATAGATGGATGAATAAAGAAAATGTGATATATAACACAGTGGAATATTATTCAGCCATGAAAGTGTGAAATACTGTCATTTGCAGCAACGTGAATGGAACTGGAGGCATTATGTGAAAGGAAATAAGACAAGCACAGAAAGACAAATACTGCATGGCCACACACATATGTGGGACCTAAAAAGTATCTCATGAAGATAGAAAGTAAATTGGTGGTTAGCAGAGTCCTGGAAGGAGAGTGGGGAGGGCAGGGAAAATAAACAATATACGTGTCTTTATTACCACTGAACTGTACAGTTAAAATGGTAAAGATGGTAAACTATATATATACATATATAGACCTCAATAAAAATATTTTTAAATAACCAATAAAAATATCTATATTGTGAGACAAGAGTCTCTTCATTACTAATTTTTCCAAGATTTCAATAGTAGGCAAATTTAATAATCATTCCTCGAAAAAAGTTTAGAGTAATTTTTGTTTAGTTCAAAAATTGTGTTGAAATCGTAATTGAGATTGCATTAAATTTGTAGAGTAATTTGAAGAGCATGCTATATCTTTTCATTAATGCAATATTTTTAAAAACTTCACTTAGGAGAGCATACAAATTTCTTCATATAGTTGACATAGTTTCTCTATATATGTATATATCTCATTAAGTTTATTTCCAAGAATGTCATATACTAGTTACCATTATTAATATAATGATTTTAATTCATACTTTTCTCATGAATGGTGTTATGAAGATAAGGTATCAATTTGTAAAATTTTAGTTAGTTTTGTACATTAAAATTTTTATGAAAATATTTCAGGTTTCAGAAATATACAACTAAACAGAATAATATTAATGATACCTAATAAACTTACGTACATGGTATTAAAGATATTAGTATTTATAACAGAAAGTAATAATAAAATATTAATAACGTTAATAATAAAGACATCCATATTCTACTCCTATAGTTCTGGGAGTAGGACATTATCAATAACTTTGGAATTCCCATTGTGTCCATTGTGGATTGCATCTAGTTCTTATCTCTGGGGAAATCATTTTCCTTGGGGTCAGTTTTTTTTAAATATATTTAGCAAATATATGTATATCACTGAACAATGTATCATTTTTTGAACTTTTTGTAAGTGAGCTTGTACTGTATGTATTCTGTGGCTTGCTCTTTTTGCTCAACATTTTATTTCTGATGTTGGAACATTATAATAGAAAAAGTGGCAACCTTTCAAAGAGTCTTTAAAGCCTCTTTCCCAAAAAACTGGTTGATATAAAAAAAAGATGATTTATTTTAAGTTCACCTGCAAGAAAAAAGGTGTATAAATAATGAGGAAAAACATCTCGAAAATCAAAGGTAATGGGAGAAGTTGCTCTTCAACATGATAAAATATACTATAGCATTACAGTAACTAAATGATATAGTCCTAGCACTGGAAAAATTTACTAGAAAAGGGAAACCAGGCAAATAACTGAGAGCTTTAAGAATTTACACATGATAAAGAAGACATTTTAAGCTAATGAGAGAGCAAGAATTATTTTATAAGTAGGCATTGAGATTGTATAATTTTGGAAAAATAAATGGAACCCTACTTCACACCACTTACGAAAACAAATTCCAAATACATTAACTAATTAGTTGCAATAAATTAAACTATAAAGATAGCTGGAAATAAGAAAGAATATTTATCTGATGGCAGGTTAAACTGAAGAACAAAAGAAAAAACATAAAGGAAAATACTAACACATTTAACATAATGAAAGCTAAAACTCCTATAATTTTTTTTAAGTTTGAACAGAATTAAAAGTGAAATGAAAAAAGTGGTAAAATAATTGACAAATTTTTAAATGACAGAACAATGGTTAATAGCTTAATATATTTTAACATATAAATATGTATAAAGAGTTCTTATAAATTATTCATAATAAGAAGCATGGAAATATGGAAAATAGAAATGAACACAGAAAAAAGATTAACAACAATAACTAATAATAAAATTGAACAATTATAACAATATGCTCTAATGAAAAGTGAATGAGGTCCCCCTCTCTCTCTCAAAATATCTTATTGTACTATATTCTTCATTCTTCATGTCCTGGGCGGGTTGGAGTGGGATCGTGCGAGATTTCATCACACTACTCAGAAACGCACACAATTTAAAATTTTGCCATTAAAGGTAATGGCAAAAATTGCAATTACTTTTGCAACAACCTAAAAAAATTGTTTTTCTTTTTTTCAGGAATTTTCGAGGAATTTTTTTCAGAAAATTTTTAAAAATTTTCTGGCCACAATTGACAGCAGGTAACTGAAATTGCAGAAAGCAAAATCTCAGAAGAGGTGACTTCTGAATTCATCAAATGATGGGAAAAATATACACAAAATATTAACATCGACTATCTCTGGGTTGTGGTAACACAGGTGGCTTTTCCTCAGTGTGTTTTTCTGTATTAAAAAATATAGCACAGTCAGAAAATAGTATTCAAAATATATTAAAACCTATGTTGTTTCTTTGTCTTAGAACGAATCAGAATTTTCAAACTATGTGCAAACCTTCATATTTTACTACACATCATATTTTATTGCAATTGTTTCTTTTCTTGACTTGTCCTGCCTCACTGGATTTTGGATTTCTTAAAACTTCATTTAGTAGAGCATACAAATATTGTTGTATGAATATTAAGGTCAATTTTAATATTGAGCTCTATTTTTATATAAGATTACAATGAATCTCCAAATAACATTTTTTTCCTCTTTTAACATATAATGCAGGGCTGATATAGGAAACTATGCCTGGTTTTACTGATGAGTTTAATTTTCTATAATTGTTTCACAGCATTTTAACCTAACATTAAAGCTACCAATAAATATTTTCTCTCTAAGATCTTATTTTTTTTAGGTTAAAACTGGCTGACTTAACATTTGCTGGAAGAGTCATTAAATCATTCCAATAAGTTTCAGTATCTTATTTTTCTATGGGCCATTGTTTTTTTCTCTTTATGTTCATGTATATGATGGAAAGCAAATTTGTACTTTTTTGTATTAAAGATGCATTCCAGTTTAGTAGAGTTTTTATGTCTAGATGATTTCCTTCAAAAGGGTTTATTTCAGGTTAGTTTGGTAAACTGCTCTAAAAAATATGTGTGCATGCATGTGTGTGTGTGTAGGTAGGTAGGAAGAGAAGAAATAGGGGAAAATCCTCTAGGTAATTATTTAAACCATGTGATACACAATTAAATCAACAATGGAGTGAGGTTCTTATTCAAATGCTAACTAATCATTATTAAATGACAATTTCTTTATCTTTTTGATACTGGGTCTGATATTTCTTCATTGTGAAATATGTGTGTAAATCAAAATGGCCACATCTTATTTTTATAACTTGAAGGTGTCCTTTAAGATTTTGTTCCTAAGGGAGATACTATTATTTCAAAATATATTGCTAATTACAAGACATGTATCTTTATAAAATGCGTTAAAAAGCTGGTGTTTTCTGGCAAGAAATGTGGTATAAAAACAAGCAAATTTTATTGCAGCAACTAATTACCTTTTCTTTTTTGTACTTTGAAGTTTAAACTATTTAATTTATTTTATTATTATTATTGATTGATTGATTGATTGATTGATTCTGAGACAAGTCTTGCTCTGTCGCCAGGCTGGAGTGCAGTGGCACCATCTCGGCTCACTGCAACCTCTGCCTCCTGGGTTCAAGCGATTCTCGTGCCTCAGCCTCCCCAGTAGCTGGTATTACAGGCACGTGCCACCACACCCAGCTAATTTTTGTATTTTTAGTAGAGACGGGGTTTCATCATGTTGACCAGGATGGTCTCGGTTTCCTGACCTTGTGATCCACCCGGCTCAGCCTCCCAAAGTGCTGGGATTACAGGTGTGAGCCACCGCGCCTGGCCTAAACTATTTATTTTTAATCTGTAATAAGAGTGAGTGTTTCATTTTTATTTTGTTATGAATGTAGGTCATAAAAGATATGACTTAAAATAGCAACATTATTAAAAATAGCAATAGCCTCCAAAATACATGTATTTTGTGTTGATTCTTAAAATTATTTTGTTTTTTTTCAAAGCACTTTACTAATTCTGATTTTGATATTTTACTTTTAACCTGAGCCTTTATAGTCTATGTTTGGAATCCTATAAATAAATTTGACAGTATTTTACCTATATAATCTGTACTTGATGAAAAGTTACTTGTTAATTGGAACTAAAACAAAACAAGCAAAACAAAACAAAATAAAATACAGGCTGAGCATCACTTATCTCAAATACCTGGGACCAGAAGTGTTTTGGATTTTGGATGTTTCTGGATTTTGGAACATTTACATTTTAACTACCAGATAAACATCCCAAATCTGGACATCTGAAATCTGAAATCTGAAATGCTCCGAAGAGCATTTCCTTTGAGTGTCATCTTGGCACTCAGAAAGTTCTGCATTTTGGGTTTCAGATTTTCAAGTTTGCTATGCTCAACCTGTATAACAAGTGAATATTTAAAAATGCTTTCTTCAACAACCCTACCTCCTGTTGATTAGCATCTAGGTTAGAAAATACACACTGAGGCTTCCAAATCTGACTCGGTCAGTACCTCTCTTATCTTTGGTAACTGCCAAGATCTGGCCCTACAATTCCTGTTTCTTTTCTGGTGAGATTTTCCAACATTACACTTTAGCAGTAGGGTTACAATCTGAACATTGCCATTTTCTAAATTTCTTTCAACTTAAAAAAATCCTTTTTTAAGGCTGGGCTCAGTGGCTCACACTTGTAATCCCAGCACTTTGGGAGGCCGAGGCGGGCAGATCACGAGGTCAGGGATTTGAGACCAGCCCAGCCAACACAATGAAACCCTGTCTCTACTGAAAATACAAAAATTAGCCAGGTGTGGTAGCGGGCAGCTGTAATCCCAGCTACTCGGGAGGCAGAGGCAGGAGAATCACTTGAAACCGGGAGGCGGAGGTTGCAGTGAGCCGAGAGCGCACCACTGCACTCCAGCCTGGGTGACAGAGCTAGACTCCATCTCCAAAAAAAAAATCCTTTTTTGTATCAACCATATCGAGGAATAACTTATGTATAGTAAACTGCATCCATTTAAAATGTACAATTTAATAACTTTTGAAAATTATATAAAGTTATGAAACCACCACCAAAATCAAGATAGAGAGCATTTCTAATATCCCCTCCCCACATTCCTGCTACATCTCTTTAATCTATCCCTCCTTCATCTCACATTTGTTTCCTTTTTTAAACTCTAAATTCCAACTCTTGGGCCACAACATACTGTCTTTGCAATCCTTTACTTGCAGCATACCATCTCACAATTCTCCTGATTGTGAACTTCCTCCTTGCTCTATTTCTTTTACTAACTAGTGAAAATGGTCGAACACTTCAACTCTATTGCTTCCAGCTGTCTTAATCTTCTGCTGAACTTGCCCTCCCAATCACCATCTCCGCAATACTCATTTTTTTTTCTCCACTTCCGCTTCAGGGAAGTAGAGTTCTACTGGAGAAAAAGCACATATCCTTTTAGATTGGATCTACTACAAATTTGTGATCTCCAACCTCAGCTGTCAGCACAGCTCAGCAATTTTTTACTGATCCCTAATTGTATCCCTTTCTTGTACCCCACAGTAGCTGTTCTAAACTTAAAAATCTCATTAAAATCTCTCTCCTTCCAGGCTTTCCTTTCAGCAGTGTTTAACCTCCTACCTCAGTGATATTCTTCAAATGTGCCTTCCCTCAGCCTTCAGGTACATCTATATTTTTACTTATTCTTGCCTTATTTAATTATGCCTCAGAGGAAAATGTGTCCCTGCTCCCTCCCAAAGATAACCTCTCCATGGTGCTCCTGAGCTCATGCCCTCCCATTCCCATCAAGACTTTATTTCATCAACTGTCCTCTTCTCCCCTATATTTGATCTTGATCTCTGTCTTTTTTTCTTTCTCTTTCTTTATTCATTTTTTACAAATAAACCTGTGTATGCACTCATCTGCAATGACAGTAACAATCACAACTTATAAATAAAACCTTCTTTAATCCTAACTTCTCTAATTAGCTGTTAGTCATTCTTTTTCAGCCCAAACATTTATTGAAAAAGAGCTCTACACCCAGGACTCTACTTCCTTACCCCCCTCCACTCCTCATCTTATTATGTTATAGTTTCTGATCATGTCATTCCATCAAAAATGCTCTTGAAGTAAGGCATTTCTTTAAAAATTGTTTATACTTTTAGGCACTATAGAGACACTGGGGGTAGAACTATGAATAAGACAAAGTCCTTATTCTCATTCAGTTTACATTCTGGAGGAGGGAGACCAACAATAAAGAAGTAAACAAATGCATGACAATATAAGGAAAATAATATACGATGTGACAGAGAATGACTGAGAAAGGGCTAGTTAGATGGAGTGACAGAGAAGGTTTCTTGGAGAAGGTGGAATTTGAGTTGAACCCTGATTGACGAAAAGGAGCTAGCCATCTGAAATCTTGGAAAAAAGTATTCTGAAAGGAGAAACAGCACGGGGAAAAGACAGTGTGATCATGGTATAAAAAGCCAGGGTGTAATCCCAACACTTTGGGAAGCCAAGGCAGGAGGATCGCTTGAGCCTGGGAGTTTGAGACCAGCGTAGGCAAATAGGGCAACCCTGTATTTATAGAAAATACAAATAAATCTTTTAAAAAATTAGCTGGGCATAGTGGCACATGCCTGTGGTTCCATCTGCTCAGGAGGCTGAGGTGGAAAGATCGCTTGAGCTAGGAGATTGAGGCTGAAGTGAGCTGTGATTTTGCCACTGCACTCCAGCCTGAATCTGTATGACAGAATGAAAGTGTCAAAAAGAAAAAAAAAAGAAAGAAAAGAAGGAAAGAAAAGAGAAGAAAAAAAGAAAAGAAAAGAAAAGAAAAGAAAAAAGCCAGAGTGAGAAAGACAGGAAATGATGGTTAAAACATAGTGAGAGGTTAGATCAAGTAGGACTTGTGGGTCTGGTAAATGCTTTGGAATTTTCTAAATATGATGAGAAGCTTTTGGAAGATTGAGAACAACAAAAATTTATGACCCGACTTACCTTTTTGAAAAAGATTATTCTGGCTGCTGATGGATATTTGGCCATAGGAGAGTAAGGAAGAAAGCAAGGAGACCAGTCTGCAGACTGTTGCAATAGTATGGATGAGAGGTGGTGGTATACCAGGTACCTTTTTGCTTCTGTGCCTTTGCTCATGCAGTTCTTTCTTTCTGGTGAACTCTGATTCATAATTTAAAACTCAACACAACCACTACATCTTTGGAAAGCCTTCTTCAATTCCCAACCACTGTGTACCAGACAGAATTAATTCCTCCTTTTTCTGGGTTCATATAGTGTTTTTCATGAAATGTATTACAGTACATACCTAGCAGAATGGTTAAATGTACAAACCCTGGAGCTAGATTGTTTGAAATAAAATCTTGTCTTTAGCCCTGCTGTGGGTTGAATTGTGTCTCCCCAAAATTCATATGTTGAAACTCTCACTCTCAGTACCTGATAATGTGACCTTATTTGGAAACAGGGTCATTGCAGATATAATTACTTAAAATGAGGTCATACTAAAGTTGGGTAGACCTCTAATCCAATATGATCGATGTCCTTATAGAAAAGAGAAATTTGGACACAGGCATGCATGCAGGAAGAACACTACTTACAGAGATCGAGGTGATCTTTTGTAAGCCAAGTACTGCCAAAGACTCCCACCAAACCACCAGAAGCTAAAAGCAAGGCAGTGGATCAGTTTTCTTCCTCACATTCCTCAGAAGAAACCAAGCCTGAAAACTCCTTAATCTTGGACTTCTAGCCTCCAGAACTGTGAAAGACTAGATTTCTGTGGTAAGCCATCTTATTTTTAGTACTGTATTATAGCAGCTCTACAAACTAATATAAATCCATACTAGCTGCACAGCTTCAGGAAGATTGCATAACCCCTCTGTGCCTAAGTTGCTTCATCTGAAAAAAGAGAATGATTTGTTCCTGCCACATAAGGTTGTTATTATTATTTCATGAGTTAATACACTTAAGGGTTTTTAAATAGTGTCTGGGACATAGAAAGCATTCATTGAGTATCAGCTATTATTCTTCAACCAATCATGAGTGTTCCGAGGGCAGGGATTATCTTTTATTTATCTTTGTAAACTAAGGGTTTAGCAACATGCCAGGCACAGACTAGGAGCTCAATATTTGTTTCTTTAATGAATTCAGAATTCCCAGACATTTTTTTTTCTAGAAATGAATCATTTTACAATTCTGTGGTTTAGAGATTCTGAACACTTCCTTCAAGCTCCTTGTCAAAAATCATTATCAGTACTAATAAGATTGTTTTGAATAATTTGGTATCTTGTCTGCAGTTTAGCTAGCACTTTGTCTCTCCAAATCTTAGTTTGTTCATCTATTAGATTAGATCATTGAGCCAGATAATCTTTAAGGTCCCTTCTAATTTCAAAATTGTGCAACCTTTGTCCCTGAGTATAGTTGAGAAGGGCAGTGCATTTGAAGAATAAATTATATTTGATCATTGAAGAAACAACAAAGTATCTCACAAATCAACAAGAAAGCACTCTCAGGCAATGAGAACTCTATTTGGCAGGGCTCATAGTGCACTTTTTCTAGGCCGTTAAAATGAATGAAACCTTATGTGCACATCTCAGTAATTTAATGGTTCCACTTTTCCAAAAACCATTCAAAGAATTGTAAGTCTCTCCCTCTGTAACGAGCTTCCCAAAACTGTTCCTTTTTCCATCTCTCAAGTGAGTATTAACTATTTCAAGCCTCACACTTTCTATCTATAAGCAGAACTCTCTGCTTTACATTTTGTATGCTGCTTCAGTTGTGAAAATGTTTTCTAGCCAAAACAACTGCAACTGCATGCCACTTAGGTTGAAGTCAGGAAAGAGCTGGATTCATTAATACTGATCTGAACAATAAAAGGAAAATTAAAATAGTGATTTTCAAACTCTAGTTTACATAAAAAATGTTGGACGCTTTCTAAAAAAGGTAGCTTTCTCACGCCTGTAATCCCAGCACTTTGGAAGGCCGAGGTGGGCAGATCATGAGGTCAGGAGATCAAGACCACCCTGGCTAACACGGTGAAACCACGTCTCTACTAAAAATACAAAAAATTAGCCTGGTGTGGTGGCAGGTACCTGTAGTCCCAGCTACTCGGGAGGCTGAGGCAGGAGAATGGTGTGAACCCGGGAGGCGGAGCTTGCAATGAGCGGAGATTCCGCCACTGCACTACAGCCTGGGCAACAGAGCAAAACTCCGTCTCAAAAAAAAAAAGGGTAGCTTTCTTCCACTCACTGCCAGATTCGGATTCAACAAGTCTAAGGGGAGGGATAGGTGTAAAGTTGCATTTCTAATAATAAGAATCTCAAATAATTCCTATCTAGGTGGTCCTAGACATACATGTATTTATGAGCCTTTATAACGAAAATAAAATTCTTTTTAAAAAATGAAATATAAATTTTAAATTAGCAAAATTAAACTTTTAAAACTGGATCTATATCACCTATAGCAAACTATCTACATACCAAACTTTTATTTTTTTACTGTATATATTTAAGATGTACAGCATGAGGTTTTGATATACTTATTAAACCTTTAAAGAAAACAGATGAGGCCAGGCACGGTGGCTCACGCCCGTAATCCCAGCACTTTGGGAGACCAAGGAGGGTGGGATCATGAGGTCAGGAGATCGAGACCATCCTGGCTAACACGGTGAAATCCCATCTCTACTAAACATACAAAAAAAAAATAGTTGTGCATGGTTGCATGTGACTGTAGTCCCAGCTACTCGGGAAGCTGAGGCAGGAGAATAGCTTGAACCCAGGAGGTAGAGGTTGCAGTGAGCCGAGATCGTGCCACTGCACTCCAGCCTGGGCGACAGAGTGAGACTCCGTCTCAAAAAAAAAAAAAAAAAAAAAAGGAAAAAAAAGAAAAAGAAAAAAGAAGAAAATAGATGGATTGATATAATTTGGAAAACTATCAAATCATTAAGTAATGGTTTATTTTCATTAATAATCTCATTCACAGACCTTGATCAGCATGGTTCACATAGCCATTTTAAATATCGATTTTCTTGTCTGTTGTTTCTTTTGGAAGAATAATGAGCTTTCAACCCTCTTTACCTCTGCTTCAGTGTGTTGATTTCTGAAAATACTGATTTATGTCAAGTGAAATTTGGTAAGAGTCAAGTATAAGCTTTACCATGGTAATAAGCAGCCTTCAAATCACAGTGCTCATTTATTTCTTGCTCGTGTCGTATAGTGGCTGTAGATCAGGTTTGGCTCTGCTCCAATCTGCAGCTCTGCTTCACTCTGCTGCATATGTTTCTAATTTTCAGACCTTGTTTAAATGAGGAGCCCTTACCTGATACAGGTTGCTCTCATGACAAGGGGAGTGGCAAGAGACAGAGCCAAATGCACCATCACATTTAAAGCCTCTTCTAGGACATGGCCTAAATCACGTCTGCACACATTCCACTGACCAAAGCAATTCATATGGCCGGTACTGAATGAGGAAGTGTATTTCATTTACGAGGAGGCATTGCAAATTGCATGGCTAGTGTAGGCATGTACAACTCTATTACACAAGAGGAAATAATTTTGAACAATTTGATTATCTAATAGCTGGTGCAATTAACACTTCTGATTTCAGCTACAAAGTGTTTCTCTTTAGATAAATCATCCATTTCCATAGAAGACACCTCAAACAAAATCTATTCAGTTGATAATATAATAAGGTTTTAAAGCTGAAATGTAAAGTTTTATGGTCAATGGTTACCATTTGGTATATGCATATAAATGATGCCTTAGGCTTGACATGCTGCCATCGGCTTTTTGCTCTTCTTTTGATTACAAGCTCCATTAGGTTCTTCATTAGGTTCTCTCAGTGTCCAGCACAATGGCTGACCATGCAGCTGAAGCTCAACAGATTTCTGAGTGAATAAATGAATACTAAAGGTAGCTTGAATTAACAGGGTACATAGTAAAGAATGTCTCATCATTGTTGTTTGGATATCTTTTTCAAAGATGTTAATAAGTAGGATTTTTCCTTAAGTGCCAAGGGCTTAGTATGATAGAAAGATTTAAGGGACTTGATACTTTATGGCTATCTTTATTCAATTTATCTTAAGGAAAGTAATGTTAAATCTGTTCCATGTGATAAATTTAGAAGTTGTTGATCAGAAAATTGTTGATCTTGGTATATAGAGCACCTTTCTAGATATCTGGTAAACAGTAGGTAAACAATTGTGCTATTAAGTTAAAGTATTTCTTATATTATTAGGCCACAAATGGTCAATACTTTTTTGTCTATTTTTTTTAATTGCCTCTTCACATCTTCTAGTCTGACAACAAGCTCCTATATGAACTGAAGAACTCAAGCTCTGATATGCTTCAAGTCAAATTTCCCCACTGTCCAGAAAACATTGTTTTTGTTTTTGTTTTTGTTGTGTTTGTTTTTTAGAGTTGGGGTCTCACTCTATTGCCAAGGCTGGAGTGCAGTGACACAAATCATAGTTCACTGTAACCTTGAACACCTGGGTATAAGGAATAAAAACCATTGTTTTTGAATGAAGCTTGTGTATTCTAATGCTCTCTCCCCTCAGTGAAAATTCCTTTCACCATCAGATGTCCTGTAATGGAGACAAGATGGGGAACAAGTGACAGTTTTTATTCCCCCAAAAGCTTAAAGATCACAGTTCTGAGGTACAGACTTTCTGCTTCAACATGTTCTGGTATTCCCTTCTGCAAAGAAAGAACAATGACAGGTTGATCTTCCAGCTAGAGACTCAGAATATATCTGAATTTGTAGTGAAGACACAATTTAGATCGCTATGCGGGAATTCTAATATTCAGTTTACTGGTTTTATAAACACATAAGACTTTGAGGAGAGTTATAAGTGATTTCTCACTCTAACATCACTTTCTCTCTTATCCCAATTTAGTAATTTCTATTTTTAAAAAATCCTTGCAGAGTTAGGCATAGCAACTTTGCATTCAATTTAAAAGCTTGTTAAATATTTGTTTCAAACCAGATTTTCTTATATGTTTACTTAGTTAAGGGGCTTAAGGCTTTGGTTAGAATTTTTACTAATTTCAAATTTAATAATTGATAGGAATATGTGATTTGCTAATAAATTTGCTATTTATCAATTTGTAAGGGATAGTGTCTGAGTAAGAAATAATATAAAAGAGATGAGATCTCTGTACCTGGAATTATATAATTTTTTTAATGTTCTTTATATTGCTTTCAGAAGAAACAATGCTCTCATTCTCAGAAGGCCTCTGCTCTTTCCTCCCAAATGAAAAGTCTGCAAGACACATGCTTTTAATCTCCAATATCAAAAAGTGAACTATAATCAATAATTATGTACATCTTATATTTATTTACTATCAATATTAGTTTGCTAGGACTGCTAGAACCAAACACCAGTGACTGGGTGGATTAAACAATAGAGGTTTATTTTCTCACACTTCTGAAGCAACTCCAAGTTCAAGGTACTGGCAGAGGGTTGCAGATGTCTGCCTTCTTAATGTCTCTACCAAATGTTGTCCCTCTGTTCATGGGTTCCCCTGATGTCTCTTTCTCTTCTTATAAGAACACCAGTTATATTGGGTTAGGGCCCCTTTCTACTGGTCTCATTTTTAACCTAATCATTGCTTTAATGACCTTATTTACAAATATAGCCACATTCTAACATACTGGGGGTTAGGGCTTCAATACATGATTTTGGCTGGAACACAATTCAGCCCAAAATACTACCAAAGGATATAAGGCAGGCATATAATATTTTCTTTTTCCTCACAACATTCTAGTGATGTAAGTAAGACGGATTATATGATTTCACATGTAAAATCTGTGCTGCTTATTGATACCTCAAAGATTCCAGATACTGATCTTACGTGTTTTAAAAAGAGTTATTTTTAATAATACAAAAGGGATCATTGTAAGCTGTTGCAAAGTGCAGTATAGAGTTGCTATTACCTCCTATGCAGAAATATTGTGTCACATTGTTTTGCCTGCATGCTTCCTATTCTTTTCTGAGTACATCCACCTTTTAAATGTAAAATTAGGATCTCCTTTGTAGTTTACAATATATTACAAATGTTTTTATGACATTAAATATTTTTTAAAAACAGAATATTCTTATTTGCATAAGATAATATTGAATAGGTGTTTAATAATTGTGTAAATCTCATTTCAAGAAATAAAAGTACAATGTCATTGATTTTTTAGTTTTTATTTATTGTTTATTTAATCACTAGAATGAATACTTTTTTTCTTTTTCTTATCTTAATTTTGTGGTAAGGATACATAATATGACATTTACCTCTTAAATGTTTAAGTTCACAATATAGTATTATTAACTGTAGGTATAATGTTGTACAATAGATCTCTAGAACTTACCCATCTTGCATAACTAAAATATTAAACCAATTGAATAGCAACTCTCTGTTTGCCCCCCTTCCAGCCTCTAGCAACTACCATTCTACTCTCTTCTTCTATGAATTTGTCTACTCTAGATACCTAACATAGGTGAAATTGTGCAGTATTTGTCCTTCTGTGATTGGCTTATTTCACCTAGCATAATGTCCTCCAGGTTCATCTATGCTGTAGCATATGGCAGAATTTCTGGGTTTTTTTTTTTTTCTTTTTTAAGGCTGAGTAACATTCCATTGTTTGTATATACCACATTTTTTTTTTCCATTCATTTGTCAATAGACACTTTGGTTGTTTCCATATCTTGGCTATTATGCCTAGTGCTGCAATGAGCATGAGAGTTTATTTCTCTCTTCAAGGTCCCGATTTTAATTTTTTAGGATATATATGCAAAAGTGATTGCTGGGTCTTATGGTAGTTCTATTTTTAATTTTTTGAGAGACCTACATAGTGTTTCCATAGTGGTTGCACCATTTCTCATTCCCACCAATAGTGTAAAAGAGTTCTAAGTTCTCCACATCCTTGACAATAATTGTTATCTTTTTTGATAATGATAAGCATGAGGTGATATTTCATTGTGGTTTGAATTTGTAATTCCTGGATGATTAATGAAATTGAGCATGTTTTCATATACTTGTTTGCCATTTGTATGTCTTCTTTGTTGAAGTCCTTACCCATTTTTCTAATTGAATTATTTGTTTATTTACCCTTGAGTTGTAGTGGTTTCTTGTGTATTGTGGATATTAACCCTTTATCAGTTGTAGGGTTTACAAATATTTTCTCACATTTCTTAGATTGCCATTTCAATCTGTTGTTTCTTTTGCAGTGCTGAAACTGTTTAGTTTGATATAATCCAAATTGTCTAATTTTGCTTTTGTTGATTGTGCTTTTTGTGTCATATCCAAGAAAACATTGTTAAGCCCAATGTCATAATAGTTTTCACTGACATTTTCTGCTAGGAGTTACATAGTTCCAGTTCTTGTTTAAGTCTTTAATCTATTTTGAGTTGTTTTTTTATGTATGATATAAGATAGGGGTCAGATTTAATTTTTTCTTTTTTTGCCATGTGAATATTCAGCTTTCCCAACAACATTTGTTGAAGAGAATATCCTTTCTATATTGTGTATTCTCGATTCTTGGTACTCTCATTGAATATCAGTTGACCATATATATGAGAGTTTAATTCTGGATTCTCTATTCTGTTCCATTGGTCTATACATCTGTTTCTTGGCCAGTACCATACTATTTTAATAACAATAGCATTGTAAGATTTTGAGATGAGGACATGTGATGCCTCCAGCTTTGTTCCTCTTTCTCAAGATTGCTTTGGCTATTTGGAGTTTTTCTGGTTCCACATAAATCTTTAGATTTTTTTTTTCTATTTCTTTAAAAAGCAACATTGGAATCCTGAAGCTGGTCTGGGATACTGCAACTTATTAACTGAAATCTGAACCTCTCATAAAGGTGTTTTTGTTACTTATATCATTGTTAAATCTGTGTTTCTGTAGGAGAATGAGGGCTGGGATTTCTTATTCTTCCATCTTGCTGATATCACCTGGGCTGAGTCCTTTTCAAGTATTTATTGGCTCTTTCTTTTTTTTTCTATCAATTGTTTGTCAATGTTCTTATCTCAGTGTTATATCTGAGTAATCATAGTTTTCTTATTGAATTTTAAGAATTCTTTGTAGAGTAGGGGATATTAACACACTGTCTATAATACATGCTGTACATATTTTCACAGTTGGTTCTATGACTTGTAATCTTATTATGGAAGAAATATATTAATATTTTTTTTTGTGAAGGCTTCAGTCGGGTGCTTCAGCCAAGGAGAATGGGGGAAAAGGCTCAAATTCAACTCCCTTAAAAACAAAATTGGAGGGTTCATATTACAGGGAAAACAGAAATTAGGGAAGGGTAAGGAAGCAATCATGATGGATGGAGGGTCTGGCATTTCACTATCTAGATGTGGTGATCTAAGGAGTTTCAGCTCCTTACCTGAGGATCAGACTCCCGAGGAAGGAACTCACGAGACAAATGTAGGTTTCAAGTTTTAAGACCAAGGAGGGTGAATTTCTATGCTTATTCAAAAAAACATAAATATTAGTTCCATGAAACAGTTGGGCCTGTTTCACTGACATTCAGTTGTATTTAAAAATTTAATTAAAATTTGGGAGGCCGAGGCCGGTGAATCACGAGGTCGGGAGATCGAGACCATCCTGGCTAACACGGTGAAACCCCGTCTCTACTAAAAATACAAAAAAATTAGCCAGGCGTGGTGGCGGGTGCCTGTAGTCTCAGCTACTCAGGAGGCTGAGGCAGGAGGATGGCATGAACCCGGGAGACGGAGCTTGCAGTGAGCCGAGAACGTGCCACTGCACTCCAGCCTGGGCGACAGAGCAAGACTCCATCTCAAAAAAAAAAAAAAAAAAAAAAATTAATTAAAGTAATACATTACCATATTACGTCTATAGCTAGTACATGAAGTTGGCAAGAGTTCTGCACTAGTATTCTTGATTCCTGGTCCTTTAAAACGCCCTCCATTTCACTGACAATAAATAAAAACAAGAGGTGTCTTTCCACTGGGATAGCATCACCTCTGAAGTGTTTCCTCCTGACATTTATTATCTGTCTGTTCTGTTTCATGGATTATCTACTTCTTACCCTTCCGAGATGGATAGTTTATTCAAGAGCTTTCCTTACTTACTCTGCCACCCAGAGATCAGGTGTAGAATACTCAGATATGTTTTTTCATTTTTTTCTAAATAAAAAGGATGTCTTAACTTCTTTATCTCAAGGTTGCCATCTTTCTTCTCTCCTCAAGATGCAATACCTGCCATACTACATTGCTAAAGTTTTTGTTGGAAAGTCACATCTAACTACTTTTGAAGCCTTCAACTTTTCAAGAATCTGTTGACTCTTCTCTATCTCACATTACATTACCTACACTGTGTAATGTCACTGGGTCATTGTAATTTATTGACACGCAGCACCCAATTAAAGAATTGGAGAATAGAAAAGAAGCATAGCTGTATGAAGACACTAATGGACACTTGATTGGAGTCTTTTTCTGTAATAGTACTCTATTGAGGTATAATTTACATAGAGTAAAATGTATAGTTCTTAAATGCACAGGTCAATGAATATTGACAAATATAAATACGTGTTAAATTAAGTTTAGCCTAAAGCTGCCTCCTTACATATTTTAAGATCAGCCTAAAGGATTTTCCATATATAGTGAATTAACTCACTGGATTTGTAAACAGGTTGTAACCTACTCTTATGCCAATCACCAAGTTTTGGCCAATGAAGAGCAGCCACATGTTCAAATCCTATTCAAATAAGGCAAGCACTGAGCTGTAACCAGTATAGATGTTTCTGTACCTCGCTTTCATTTTATACACATCACTTTCCTCTTTCTGTTCATAAATCTTCTTCCACTATGAAACAGAGATGGAGTCTCTGAATCAATTCTGCTTTGAGAGGCTACCCAATTTGTGAATTGTTATTTGCTCAATTAAATTCTGTAAAATGTAACTTGTATAAAATTTTGCTTTTAACACACCCATGAAACCATTACCCAGATTGATATGAAGAACATCTCTATTAATCACAGAAAGTTTCTCTAAACCCCTTCTCAGCTAATCCCTCCCTCCCAAAGTCAACCATTATTCTAATTTCAACCACTTTTAGATTAGTTTTACCTCTTTTTCAATTTCATATAAATATATGTATAAATAAATGCACGTGATATGTACTTTCTGGTGTGTGGCTTATTTTGCAAAACATAATGTCTACAAGTGTTTCCAAGTTACTTTGTGTTGTTCGTTTATACTTATTGCTCACTAGTAATTCACTATATAAATATACCACTGCTTTTGCCCATTATTCTATATATCTATATTTGAGTAATTTTGTTTCTTGCTATTACAAATAAAGTTACTATTAAAATTCTTTTTAGGACCGGGCACGGTGACTCATGCCTGTAATTCCAGCACTTTGGGAGGCCGAGGTGGGCGGATCACAAGGTCAGGAGATCGAGACCCTCCTGGCTAACACGGTGAAACCCGGTCTCTACTAAAAATACAAAAAATTAGCCGGGCGTGGTGGTGGGCGCCTGTAGTCCCAGCTACTCGGGAGGCTGAGGCAGGAGAATGACGTGAACCCAGGAGGCGGAGCTTGTAGTGAGCCGAGTTAGCGCCACTGCACTCCAGCCTGGGTGACAGAGCAAGACTCCATCTCAAAAAAAAAAAAAAAAAAAACCTTTCATTTAAAACTTTATTTTTAGAGCTGTTTTAGGATCACAACAAAATTGAGGAGAAGGTACAGTAATTACCATATATGCTCTGCCCCTACATATGAATAGCCTCCCCCATTATCCCATTATCACCATCCCCCCCCAAGAGAGGTAGATTTGTTACAATCAATTAATCTACATTGACACATTGATATGGTTTGGATTTGTGACCCTGCCCAAATCTCATGTTGAATTGGAGTGGGGGCCTGGAGGGAGGTAATTAGATCATGGGGGCAGATACCCCCCTTGCTGTTCTTGTGACAGTGAGGAAGTTCTCATGAGATCTGATGGTTTAAAAGTGTGTTGCATTTCTCCCTTCAATTTCTCTCTCTCCTGCAATCACGTGAAAATGTGCCTGCATTCTCTTTGCCTTCCATCATGATCATAAGTTTCCTGAGACCTCCCCAGCTATGCTCCTGCACCTCTTTTCTTCATAAATTACCTAGTATCAGGTAGTTCTTTATAGCAGTGTGAGAACAGACTAATGCAGAAAATTGGTACTAGAAGGGTGGGGCACTACTATAAAGATACCTGAAAATGGGGAAGTGACTTTGGAACTGGGAAATGGGCAGAGTTTGGAACAGTTTGCAGAGCTCAGGAGAAGACAGGAAGATGTGGGAAAGTTTGGAACTTCCTAGAGACTCCTTGAATGATTTTGACCAAAATGCTGATAGTGATATGTACAATGAAGTCCAAGCTGGGGTGGTCTCAGATAGAGATTAGGAAATTATTGGGAACTGGAGTAAAGGTCACTCTTGATATATGCTTTAGCAGAGACTGGCAGCATTGTGCCCCTGGTCTAGAGATCTGTGGAACTTTGAACTTGAGCAGAATGATTTAGGGTATCTGATGGAAGAAATTTCTAAGCAGCAAAGCATTCAAGATGTGACCTTGTGGTTTCTAAAAGTGTATGTTCATATGTGTGAATAAATAGATTATCTCAAACTTGAACTTACAAAAAAAAAAAAAAAGCAGAACATAAAAGATTGGAAAATTTGCAGCCTGATCATGTGGCAGAAAAGGAAAACTTATTTTCTGGAGAGAAATGCAAGCTTGCTGCAGCAATTTGCATAAAGAGGAGCTGAATATTAATAGCCAAAGCAATAGGGAAAATGCCTCCAGGGCATTTCAGGGATCTTCACAGCAGCCTCTATCATCACAGGTGCAGAGGCCTAGGAGAAAAAAAACTGATTCTGTGGGCCAGGCCCAGGGCCCAGCTGCTCTGTGCAGCCTTGGGACATGGCCCCCTGCTTCCCAGCCACTCCAGCCCCTGCCATGCCTAAAAGGGGCCAAGTAACAGCTTAGGGCATGGCTTCATGTGGTGCAGGCCCCAAGCCTTGGTGGCTTTCACCTGGTGCTGGACCTGCAGATGCACAGAAGGCGTGAGTTGAAGTTAGAGAATCTCTGCCTAGATTTCACAGGATGTAGGGAAATGCCTGGATGTCCAGGAAGAAGTCTGCTGCAGAGGCAGAGCCCTCATGGAGAACCTCTACTAGGGCAGTAAAGAGGGAAAATGTGGGGTTGGTGTCCCCACACAGAGTCCCCACTGGGGAACTGCCTAGTGAAGCTGTGAGAAGAAAACAACCATCCTCCAGATCCCAGAATGGTAGCTCCACTGACAGCTTGCACCAAGCACCTGGAAATGACTCAGGAATTCAACACCAGCCCATGAAGGCAGACATGGGGACTGTTCTCCGCAGAGCCACAGGTGCAGAGCTGCCCAAGGCCTTAGGAGCTAATCTCTCGCATCAGCATTCCCTGGATGTGAGACATGGAGTCAAAGGAAATTATTTTGGAGCTTTAAGATTTAATGCCTGCCTTGCTGGGTCTTGGATTTGTATGGGGCCAGTAGCCCCTTTGTTTTGGCTAACTTTTCCCATTTGGAATAAAATAATTTACCCAGTGCCTGTACCCCCGTTGTATCTTGGATGTAACTAACTTGTTTTTGATTTTACAGTCTCATAGGGAGAAGGGACTTACCTTGTCTCAGATGAGACTTTGGACTTGGACTTTTGAGTTAATGGTGAAATGAGTTAAGACTGGAGGACTGTTGAGAAGGGATAATTGTATTTTGCAAAGTGAGAAAGACATGAGATTTTGGAAGCACCAGGGGTGGAATGACATGGTTTGAATTTGTATATCCGCCCAAATCTCATGTCAAATTGGAGAAAGAGCCTGATGGGAGGTGATTGGATCATGAGGGTAAATTTCCCCATTGCTATGCTTGAGATAGTGAGTTCTCATGAGATCTGATGATTTAAAAGTGTGTGGCACTTCCCCCTTCTCTCTCTCTCTCTCTCTCCTGCTGCCACACAAAGAAGGTGCTTGCTTCCCCTTCACCTTCTGCCATGATTATAAGTTTCTTAAGGACTCCAAGTAATGTTTTCTGTTAAGCCTGCAGAACTGTCAGTTAATGAAACTTCTTTTCTTCATAAATTACCCAGTCTCAGGTAGTTCTTTATAGCTGTGTGAGAACACACTAATATACATAGTATGTTTCCTTTTCATATTGGCTTCTTTCATTTAGCAATATGCATTTACGTGTCCTCTATGTCTTTATTTGTCTTGATAGCTTATTTTTTAGTGCTAAATAATATTTCATGGTCTGGAGGTAGCACTGTTTATTTATCCATTCACCTATTGAAAGACATCTTGATTGCTTTCAAGTTTTGGCTGTTATAAGCATACATGTGCAGATTTATGGGTAGATGAACATTCTTCTACAAGCCCCTCCCATCTTATTTTGTAGGCATATACTTTATTTTTATGAATATGAACCTAGGTGTAGAATTGCTGCATCATAGGGTAGATATATGTTTATTTTATTACAAGCTGTCCAGCAGCATTCCGATGTACCATTTTCTAGTCTCATCAGCAATGTATAGGGGTTTCTGTTCTTTACATCTTAGTACTGGTTAGAATCTTAACTTTCATTATAAAACTTATTCTAAGAAACTAACCCTCCTTTAAACGAAAACAACTACAAAGGTAAAACTAAACCAATTCTATTAACTCTTGCCATTTAAACTAGGAAATTTAATATGAATAATTTTTCTCTCATCCTATGTAATTTAAGCTTTTAAAGCTATTCAATTGCTCATATCTTCTGCATTAACACTCCTCTCAGTTCTTTGATTCTTCTCCTTCACCCCGTGATACTAAAAAATAAGGCGCAGTGGTTTTAAGTCAATTGCATTCTAAATATGTTTATCATGATGCAAGATTCGTGTGAAATTTTTTAAAAAGCTCATGAAATAACAGTAGATATTAAGAAAAAAGGCGTATATGAAGTAAGAACTGATCACTCACAATACATATTTTTTGAGACTTCTATTTTCTTGCTTTTAAGATTTTCCACTGAACAATTTGGATTAAGGTTAGAACATTTTGTGCTGTGCACATGAAAAACCTCAGACAGCTCTCAGTTAATTTAGAAAGTTTATTTTGCAAAGTGGAGGATGCACACTCATGACACAGCCTCAGGAGGCCCTGATGATAAGTACTCAAGGTGGTCAGGGCACAGTTTGGTTTTATTCAATTTAGGGTGATGAGACATCAATCAACATTGTAAGATGAACATTGGTTCAGTCTGAAAAGACAACTTGAGGCTAAGAGGGGGCTTCCAGATCATAGGTTGATAAGGGACAAATGATGATATTCTTTTGAGTTTCTGATTAGCCTCTCCAAAGGAGGCAATTAGGTATGCATTTATCTCAGTGAGCAAAGGGGTGACTGAATAGAATGGGAGGCAGGTTTGCCCTAAGCAGTTCCCAGCATGACTTTTCCCTTTAGCTTAGTGATTGTGGGGGTTCAAGAGATTTTCTTTTCACCTTTTCCTCTTTCTCTTTTTAAAAATCTTTTGGAGAAAACATTTTAGAAGAAAACGAGTCTCTCATGTCAGGTTTCATCTGATTCTCATGGCTAGGATCATTTATTCCTAGGCCCTTACAATTTCACATGCCAACCTCTTCAGCAATAGTCCCTGGGCCTTGAGGGGTTGAAAAGCTTTAATTTCTGACCCCGTGTCCCAGGAATGCCCTTTATTTTGATTGGCATCCTCTATCAGGCCTGAAGATGAGGCTTTAATTGTTGTCAGTGTTTAAGATTTAGCAGACTTTGGTGTCCTTTTTAGACCCAGGAGTCAAAGCCCTGTAACTCAATGTCACAGGGACTTTAAAAGCACGTACAGGAAGATACATGGATGTAATAACCTTAATTTTTTTTAAAAAAATTAAATCTCATTTTTCCCTAAGCAAACCAAATTCAATGATAATAAAATAGGAATTATTTTGATAAAACATAAAATATGTTAAACCAGCTACAAAAAGGCAGCAGAAAAGACTTTCTGCAGTGCGCAGAATATTATGTTGGAAGATGACATTTCCTTTAGACCTTTAAAAATACATGGTTAGCATCAAGGCACAAAAAAACAGAAGTCGAGGAATGAAAAAAACTTAAATGAGCTGAAAATGAGTTGAAAGGAAATGTTAATATTTTGTGCTTTTTAAAGGGGAAGAGAAAACTGAAACCATCAAGATGCAATAAAAGTTGTACTTTGGATTAAAATTTTTAAAAAAACTTCTTATAATTTATGAAGAGTAAATTAATTCCTTAAGAAAATTTTATTGTTCTAACCAATTCTTTATTGTATAAATTTTTTTTTTTACATCAAATCCAATCTCTAGGAAGACCATTATAATTTCCCTTTAATCATAGACAACTTGATCATACAAAAGGTATTTTTTTGGCCAGGTGTGGTGGCTCACGCCTGTAATGCCAGCACTTTGGGAGGCCAAGGCAGGTGGATCACCTGAGGTCAAGAGTTCAAGACCAGCCTGGCCAACATGGTGAAACCCCGTCTCTACTAAAAATACAAAAATTAGCTGGGCATGGTGGCGGGCACCTGTAATCCCAGTTTTTTGTTTGTTTGTTTTTTAAATAAATCTTCTTGTTGTGATTTACACAGACCGTTCGTTATATGCATGGACTCTCTGGTTTGTTCTGAACATTACTCTTTCTTAAACAAGCAGTCATTTTACTCTATGACTCAATTTACCATACAAGATTCTTTCTCTCATTTGGCATACATCTTTAATCTCCCTCTAGCACCACCAGGCATTTTCTCTCAGTAACTTATGATGTAAATTTTGCTATTTGATTTTCACCTGAGTTGTTTCCTTTAATATGCAAATTTAAGGCTATTTAGCTGACAACTGCCTAGGGTTGTGAAACAGGTTATCAATAATCTGAAAGTCCAAGATAGAAGAAAAAAAGGTTTTTATGAACCTATAAGCTGTACTTCTATCTGAATGCCTAATATTGAGAGGTGACAATGTGCTAGCAGCCCTCGCTCGCTCTTGGCACCTCCTCAGCCTTGGCGTCCACTCTGGTTGAACTCCAGGAGCCTTTCAGCCTGCCGCTGGGCTGTGGGGGACCCTCTCTGGGGCTGGCTAAGGCCGGAGCTGGCTCCCTCTGCTTGCCTGGACCTGTGGAGGCAGAGGCGTGGGCAGAAGCCGGGGCTGCTCGCGCCTGCAGGGACAGGTTTCGGGTGCGCAAGGACTTGGCGGGCCCCTCACATTTGGCCTGCCAGTGCCTGCTGGGCTTCATTGGGGGGATGAGCTCCCTCTGGGCTGCTGGAGTGCCCCGGCTAGGTGCCACAAAGTCCCGGGCGAGTGCCATTGAGAGCTGAAGCTGGGCTGGCTGGGCTTCTGGGTCGGGTGGGGACTTGGAGAACTTTTCTGTCTAGCTAAAGGGTTGTAAACGCACCAATCAGCACTCTGTGTCTAGCTAAAGGTTTGTAAATGCACCAATCAGCACTCTGTGTCTAGCTAAAGGGTTGTAAAGGCACCAGTCAGCACTCTGTGTCTAGCTAAAGGTCTGTACACACACCATGTCTAGCTAAAGGTTTGTAAATGCACCAATCAGCACTCTGTCAAAACGGACCAATCAGCTCTCTGTAAAATGGACCAATCAGCAGGATGTGGGTGAGGCCAGATAAGGGAATAAAAGCAGGCCACTGGAGCCAGCAGCAGCATCCCACTTGGGCCTCCCTCTATGCTGTGGAAGCTTTGTTCTTTCGCTCGTCACAATAAATCTTACTGCTGCTCACTCTTTGGGTCCGTGCCGCCTTTAAGAGCTGTAACACTCACTGCGAAGGTCTGCAGCTTCACTCCCGAAGCCAGCGAGATTACGAACCCACCCACCGGCATGAATGAACAGCTCCAGATAGGAGAAATGAACAACTCCAGATGTGCCACTTTTGTGAACTGTAACACCATGAAGGTCTGCAGCTTCACTCCTGAAGCCAGCGAGACCACGAACCCAATGGAAGGAAGAAACTCCAGACACATCTGAACATCTGGAAGAACAAACTCTGGACACACCATCTTTAAGAACTCTAACACTCACTGCGAGGGTCTGCGGCTTCATTCTTGAAGTCAGCGAGACCAAGAACCCACCAATTCCAGACACAGTATGTCTGTGTATTTATGTGTTGTGTAAACAATCTTTCACTACCAAAAATATATAAAAGAGCTCTAATTAAATGGCTTAAGAAAATAAAAGCATTGGAATCGAATACTTTATCAGAAAAAATAAAAGACTAGTCCAATGCTTTCTCAAGTAAAAGTAAATTAAGTAAAGTCTTTGACAAATAAGCTAGCTTTAAAATTATTGGTAAAGTAATATTAGAACTATCTTAAGAACTGCCAATACACTTTTGTTTGCACTTACTAATCAAGCAATTTCATACTTATCTCTGCCAAATGCTATAAGGTGTCAAAATTTGGTGTAGGGGATACAAAGCTATAAACCCAGCCTCACAGAATGATCTTTGCTTGTGTAATTTTTAATAAGACATAGATATTGGTTTAATAAAAATACATCATGAATTTAGTAAGATTATCATAACTTCTAATCTTGTGGCTTTAGGTGGTCTAGTCCACATGCAGTAAGGTTTGTTTTGGGAAAGGACTGCTACCTTTGTTTCAAAGATATACTGTAAACTAAGTTCCTCCCAAAATTTAGTTCAGCCTGCACTCAGGAATGAACAAGGGAGGCAGGCGCAGTGACTCACGCTTGTAATCCCAGCACATAGGGAGGCTGAGGCGGGCGGATCACGAGGTCAGGAGTTCTAGACCAGCCTGACCATCATGGAGAAACCCCGTCTCTACTAAAAATACAAAAATTAGCTGGGCCCAGAGGTGTGCGCCTGTAATCCCAGCTACTCGGGAGGCTGAGATAGGAGAATCGCTTGAACCCAGGAGGTGGAGGTTTCAGGAGCCGAGATCGCTCCATTGCACTCCAGCCTGGGCAACAGAGTGAGACTCTGACTCAAAAAAAAGGAAAGAACGAACAAGGACAGCTGGGAGGTTAGAAGCAAGATGGAGTCAGGTCAAGTCTTTTTCACTGTCTCAGTTATAATTTTGCAATGGCAGTTCCATAACATTAAATAATGACAATCGAAGTTTTTATAAATAAGGTAGGTAAACAGGGCTGGGTGCAGTCGCCCATGCCTGTAATCACAGCACTTTGGGAGGCCAAGGTGGGAGGATCACCTGAGGTCAGGAGTTCCAGACCAGCCTGGCCAACATGGTGAAACCCTGTCTCTACTAAAAATACCAAACTTAGCTGGGCATGGTGGCAGGTGCCTGTAATCCCAGCTACTCGGGAGGCTGAGGCAGGAGAATCACTTGAACCCAGGATGTGGAAGTTGCAGCGAGCTGAAATCATGCCACTGCACTCCAGCTTGAGTGACAGAGCAAAACTCTGTCTCGAAAAAAAATAAATAAATAAAATAATAATACTAATATAGGTAAGCAATAAAAATTAATTAGGTAAACATAATAGGATTAATACTTGTAGACAAACTTGTCATAATTTTTAAATCTAAAGCTATATTAAATTAAATAATAGATATTTCATTATTTGGGTATTTTCCAATATAAAAATATTTGTAGAAAAATATCTTTTTCTTTCCTTTTTTTATTTTTGAGACAGAGTCTCACTCTGTCACCCAGGTGGGAGTGCAGTGGTGTGATCTCAGCTCATGGCAACCTCTGCCACCCGGGTCCAAGCGATTCTCCTGCCTCAGCCTCCCAAGTAGCTGGGATTGCAGGCATCCACCACTGCCCCTGGCTGATTTTTGTATTTTTAGTAGAGACGGGGTTTCACCATCTTGGCCAGACTGGTGTTGAACTCCTGACGTTGTGATCCTCCCGCCTTGGCCTCCCAAAGTCCTGGGATTACAGGGGTGAGCCACTGCACCCAGCTGAAAATATTCTTTCTAAAAGAAAAGAAGGATCCTTTTAAAAAAAGGTCACGTATAAAACAAAGTAAAAGGAACCAGGAAATAGATGTAAAGAAAGTTATAGAAAGATTTTTTTTGGTAAAAAAGCTTAAAGAGAAATAATTTCATATGAGGAATATAATTTCATAGAGGAAGATTAGAGAAGGATGCCAAATCAAACACAAAATTATAGAAATTTATCATAGGATTGTATAAGGAGACCAATTTACTTAGATAGGAACTACCTATCTTTTAATTGGATCTCTAGCTCTGGGCAGAGCCCATACTGAATCCTGGGTCTCCAAAAAGGGAGAATTATTATGAGGTTAGAACATGTGATGCTTTTACAGTGCACTTACATTTTTTCTTTTTTTTTTTTTTTTTTGGACAAAGACATTTCTAAGTTCCTAAAGCACAGTATTCCTTAAAATCCCAAGAGTAGCCTCTGTTGCAATAACATTTCAGCAAAAACAACAACGACAACAACAAAATAAATGGATAATACAAAAGCAGTTAAAGAGCTGAGATGAACTTGAACTTGTCTGTTTACATTCTTGGGGTTCCATAAGGAAAAACAGGTTTCTCCCTCTAAAGGAATCTGGTGGCTTCTCCATTTTCTTTAAGGAACCCCAGGCTATTATAAACTGTTATATGTCTCCCATGCAGCGGAAGGCACAAGAGAAAGGAGAGACAGCAGAAGTAAATGAAGGAAACAGAATTTAGTCAACTGAGAAGAAAAAAACTTTGACTCCAAAAAAAAAAAGAAAAAAAAAAAAAGGACAAGGTCCTAGGAGAAAAAAAACAAAAACGTGAAGGCCTTTTAAATGCAAACACACACATACTCACAAGCACACACACATCTTGGATGTTAGCTTTTAATTAAGCTGAGTTTTAACCACTGAGCTCCTTTAAAAAAAATCTTTTAACATCTCATTTTCATATTTCAACCAGGACGAATTGCTGCTATTTAAGTACAGCCATCGCTCTTTCAGTTTGGCCTGGCTAGCAAAAAGGTGGCATTGTTATGTAAATAAAGCCCCTTAGTCAAAATCAAAATTTTTTCCTCTTTTTTTTTTTCCTTCTGCTCGCCGTTTTTCTTCCTTCACCACACCTCCTTCGTGTGTGTGTGTGAGATTTAGCTACTTCAGAGGCCCTGTTCCAAGTAAATTTGGAATTTACTTCAGGTTTGATCAAGTTTAATAGCATTGATCAAACCCAATGGGAAAAAGACCAAAACAACATCAAAAACAGAAGCAACAATAACAACAGCAAAAATGAAAAAACAGTTAAGCAAAACAAATGATCACACAACTTATATGATTACCGAATGCTCTAACGATAAGGAGAAATTAAGACCAGCTGGTTGTTAATCTTAACTTTAGCCAAGACAAACCCCAATTCAGTTACTTATCTAGGGATGGGACTCAGGCTGAAGACTGCTCTCTACCATCCTAGAAGCAGGAAAAACAAAACAAAAGAAAACAAAAACCTCATCTTCCCTGTTGGCGGCAAGTTCAAACTCCATAAAGGAGTTACCTGCCTTTAATCATCATGGAAGCAGGAAAAACTTGCCTTCCTTGTGTTGGAAACAAGTAGTATTCCAAAGGTAAAAAAAAAAAAAAAAGTTGTATAGCAAAATAAGATTGTGACCAAATTTGGGGAGATCAGAGATTCTCTGGGTGGGGGGTGCTTCCATGCCTCAGCAAATTGTCCTATTGGTTTGAGCCATAAGGATAGTTCAAGCTGGTACCAAGCACTGATAAGAAATTTGTGAAAAGTGAGAGGCATCTCCACTCAGAATCCCTTCACGGTTACCAAAATGTGAATCCTGAATATCTGAGACAGGTCTCAGATAATTTAGAAAGTTTATTTTGCCAAGGTTGAGGACATGTGCTCATGTCACAGCTTCAGAAGGTCCTGATGACATGTGTCCAAGGTGGTCAGGACACAGTTTGCTTTCATTGCTTTCATACATTTTAGGGAGACAAGAGACATCAATCAACACATGTAAGAAGAACATTGGTTCAGTCTGGAAAGGCAGGACTAGTCAAAGTGGGGAGGGTGCTTCCAGGTCATATAGGTAGATAAAAAACAAATGATAACATTCTTTTGAGTTTCTGATTAGCCTCTCCAAAGGAGGCAATCAGGTATGCGTTTATTTCCGTGAGCAGAGGGTGACTTTGATTAGAATGGGAGGCAGGTTTGCCCTAAGCAGTTCCCAGCTTGACCTTTCCCATTAGTTTAGTGATTTTGGGGGCCCAAGATATTTTCCTTTAACAATGTCAATAGAATTGCAGTTACTTGGTAATAAGACAGAAGAGAAAAATGTAGGTCATCGTGGGCGCATTGACTCACGCCTGTAATCCCAGCACTTTGGGAGGCCGAGGCGGGTGGATCACGAGGTCAGGAGATTGAGACCATCCTGGCTAACACGGTGAAACCCCATCCCTACTGAAAATACAAAAAAAAAAAAATTAGCCGGGAGTGGTGGCGGGCGCCTGTAGTCCCAGCTACTCAGGAGGCTGAAGTGGGAGAATGAGGTAAATCCGGGAGGCAGAGCTTGCAGTGAGCCAAGATCGCACCTCTGCACTCCAGCCTGGGTGACAGAGCGAGACTCCATCTCAAAAAATAAATAAATAAAAATAAAAATATTATCTATTCACTAGCCATCTTGGTACTCTGGCTATAAGAAAAAGATGACTTCAGTGCTCACTCAAATCTGTAATAATTATTATTTCAATAAAAGAGATTAATAGATGAATGAGCATGTTAGGTTTGGAATCCCTGGGTGGGAAAATAATAGCCTTTTTCCTGGGTTTGTATATATTGTATAGTCAGGATTCTTTGTTCTAACACTTGTTTTGAAAAAGTAAATTTCTTCTAATACATATGTGCCCCTAAAAATGTTAGTGCCATGAAAATCATGCAGTGAAAACCACAAAGCTCATGTGACGAATGTGGTTAGGCACACGACACAAATTTCTTCCTAACCCTGGTATTTCCATGAGCCTTGCAGTATTTCTTTGCACAATTTGGATAGTGAAATGATTTTTAGTAATACATACCATGTTATAGCATTATAGAAGAAATGATTGACTAGATGCACATTATACATATTTAATAATTATACGTAATAATTATGTTAGTTTATGGAATACCTGTGTTGTTACATCAGCAAGACAAACCTGAATTAAAAGGACAGCAAAATTATGGCAATAGAAAACTGACAATGGACTCTTTTCATCTTATCTCAGTTCTTTTCTCAAAGCTAAGTCTAGGTAGAAGAGACTTTGGTTAACATCTCCTCCCCAAAGCTATCCCTTAGGGTTGTCTTTAAAAATGAAGACAGCCATTCAAATGTATGTTAAATGTAAACAAAAGTACATTTAGAAACTGTCAGGCCTCTGAGCCCAAGCCTGCATGTATACATCCAGATGGCCTCAAAGAACTGAAGAATCACTAAAGAAGTGAAAATGGCCGGTTCCTGCCTTAACTGATGACATTAATCTTGTGAAATTCCTTCTCCTGCACAATGAGTCTCAGAAGCTCCCTGCCAAGCACCTTGTGACCCTCTCCCCTGCCCGCCAGAGAACAACCCCTTTGACTGTAATTTTCCATTACCTACACAAATCCTATAAAACTGCTCCACCCCTATCTCCCTTCGCTGACTCTCTTTTCGGACTCAGCCCACCTGCACCCAGGTGATTAAAAAGCTTTATTGATCACACAAGCCTGTTGGTGGTCTCTTCACATGGACGCGCGTGACAGAAACCTTTGCTATTTTTATTGGCCTGTAATATACAAGAAGGTGGCAGAGGTCAGCATTAAGCTTAAAATATAAGTAAAAGAGAGTGCTTAATGCAAAAGCAGCTCTCAAGAAAACTCCACCACAATGCTTTTTCATCCAACAATTCCCTCTTGTGTGCCTGGATCTTTACTAATAAAGATTGCAGTCATAATTGTAGTAGTACACAGTTAATTTGGCTGATAGCTTGAAACAATTGGTTGTGTATTTACCAATTTTAAGTTTTTGTTTGTCAATTTCTCTTCTTTTTACAATATTTGAATAGTTTGTCTATTCCACTGAAAGCAGAAGGCAGCTCATATGTCCCTGTCTGGTTTCCTTCCTACCTTCCTTTCTCTCCCTCACTCTTCCCTTCCCTCCCTCCCTTTCTTCCTTCCTTTCTTCCATTTTAAAACTCATGACTTGCATTTTTCTATTTAATATTTTATATAATGTTTGGCAACCCTGATTTCAACTGCTAAATTTAATCTCTGTTCCCCAAGTAGGCAGTCGCAATAAATTTTAGAATACTACCAGTACAACTGAGAATCATCTCTACTCATTATTTTTCTTGAAAGATCGCACTTCAGATAATCTTGCTCCCTATAAAAGACAGTTTATTGTCAAATGTATAGTGCCTGGGGATGTTTATGATTTTAAACATGTTTCCATCCCGCTATTTTTCTGACAGCCTTAGTTCTGTCTTTACTGTGCTGAAAATAAACCCTGCATGGTAAGAAGTTTGTGCAGTCTTGGTAGTCCACTGAGGAGTGGGGATTACTTTAACTACAGCCCTAGATTTCTTACAGTAAAAGGAATATTTTCCAAAATTTGCAAACTGGACCATAGTTAAAAACAACTTGTTGTTGTTTTTAACTATGTCATTGGAAAATCTATTCATTTACAAGATTTATTGTGTAGTATTAAATCTCATAGTAATGGCTTTATATAGCCCAGTTTTCTTAAGTCAAAGTACATGATATATTGCTATGCCATTCCACAATCAACAGATGAAGGTGTTTCAGTAATTCCATATAGTTTAATGATTATAAGAGCCATAAACTGAAAGCCCTTTTTGTATGGATAAGAGTTTAACTTCCATAAATATATATATATGTATATATATATATATATATATATATATATATATATATTCCTTCATATTTTACCTAAGACTCAGATACCCTCATGAATCCTACAGATTGCAGCATGCTGAGTGTGTTTTGCAAGATGCACATATAAGGTGATGATTAATGTTTAATCCCTTTCAAAATCACTAGTGAGATCTGCTAGGTACAGTTACTGGATCTGTTTATTTTACCGGAAATGTACGTGGGTACTCTGAATGACTCACTGTCTACCTTTAGGTTTCTAGAACAATCTCTGCTTCCTGACCTCTTTTTTCCTGCTCCTGTGCCCTTGCAACAGACAGAACAAACACAATCTCTCTCTTTCTCTTTATACCTGGATTATATGTTAATTAAAATTAATATTAGGAACATAAACTTTCCCTACTGTTAGTTGTAATAATCTCATTGTCACACTAGACTAGTTGTTACAGAACTCTCATTTTGGTTTCAGATATTTCATTTTTTCCTGTTAAAATTAATATTTTTCCTTTGTCTATGATTTACATACTGATAATATTTTTGCCTCTATGAAACTAACCTGCTAATAATATGTTAAAGAAATTATTTTATGTTGCCATTTATACTTAAAACCATTGCCACATTCAACGTTAACAAAATTTATATATACTTATCCAAAGATACTGTATCTGACTGTCCCATTTTTAAATGTTTTTTGTTC
Source organism: Homo sapiens (assembly GCF_000001405.40). Lineage (NCBI taxonomy): Eukaryota > Metazoa > Chordata > Mammalia > Primates > Hominidae > Homo > Homo sapiens. Next base: position 94,054,256 of record NC_000023.11, read on the forward strand.
TTTCTCTTTCCTGCCTGTTCCTTGTCCTGCCTTTAATAATGGAATAATATTCTACTTTCCTTCTTTCTGCCACATACCCCCTTGCACAATGTTTCCCTTATCTAATTATGTGTCTGTTTAGAAGTTCTAGAGACTAAATATTGAAACAATTCAGGCCACTACGGAATTCTCCCTGACCTGGAGATTACTTCAGGGTTGCAGTTAATTTGCAGCCTGGTTATACCCAAGATGGCACCAGCCCATTCACCAGATGGGTCAATAATCCAAGGTAAGTTGTCAGAATAAGTCATGTAGACTGGCACCTCCTTGCCTCTCCTGCATGTCTGCACATACCACACTACCCTTTTTAAGCCCTTGCATTCTGTCTAAGATTTGAAATGGTTTATTTAAAGCAGAAGCCTGGACGATTTCCCCCTGCTAGCTTTGGAAAATAAAGCCACCGTTCTTTCATAGCATTTTGCCTTTGTTGATTGACTTTGCAAGCAGCAAACAGCCAAGCCTGCACCTGGATACAATATATCCATTTTTATTATATTCTAGCTATACTGTAGATATAAGTCTTTACTAAAGAACAAAAGGAAAAAGTGTATCATATGTTCATGGTAGAAAAAGTAGATAATGTAAATTTTTGCTTCTGGGCTTGTCATCAGGATTGCAATTTTTAGATTTAGTTTGCTAATTGTTTGGCCTTTGAAAAATTATATACACTTGGTTTGTTTTGGTTTTCTTAAGTCAAAACAAGGAAATAAAATCACATTTGCTTTCCAAGAAAAGATAATGTTTAAGTGGTTGTTTAGTGTTTTGTGTCTTTGGGGGTGGGAGGGGGTGTGTGGAATACACAAACACACACACACAAACACACACAGTCTATATATAATCTTATTGGAGCCATCACTATATTTTAAGAAAATGAAATAATCTATTGAAGCTTAAAATTAGAATTTTGATTAAGCTAAGAGCTATTTTTGTAGAAAAATAATAAGGCCTCAAATAGTAAACTCATTTGAGGCAAGTAGCATTTGTTTCTGTGTATATATAAGAAATGCCATAAATGTCAATGGGATGTAATCTGCTCTGAGAGCTAAGTTATATTTTCCAAATTTCTACATGTCAGTGTTACTCAGTGAAATTGAAAGAGCATGGCCGGTGATTGAATTATGGCACTGCTCCTTACTATGTTGTATGATTTTGGCCTAGTTATTTAACCTCTAGAGTATCAGTCTTGTACTCTGTAAAATGGGATTTTTAAAAATAAGCTAAGCATCTATCTAGCACAGTGATTGCTTTGCTCTGTGTGCATAGTAAAATAGCCAATAATGATATTATGATTTGTGTTCCATATCAAAAATAGGAGATATTCAGGGATCAAAAGGAGACAAGTAAAGGGGACCTTTCTCATGTCTCCAACTTTTTCTCAGTATTCCCAGATTTAATATGTAGTAGGAAAATAGTCAGTGAGAAAGAAGCAAATGAAGAATTAACTCTGTATGTCTATGTTCAGGCATCTTGTTTTGGCTCTGCCACCCATCTTAAACGAGCCTTCACAGTCAAAGTAGAAGAGCATCAAAATTAGACATTGTTGAGAAATTCACTGCTGTTTCTGAATTATCTTGTAATTTTGAACCTTCTGCTATGAAATTAAATTATCTTCGTATTTTTGACAGTGAGATTAAATTTTGACAGCTATTAATGAATCACAGAGGAATTAACTATCAGGACAAAATAGTGGGTGTTGGAAAAAAGGCAAATTCATGTCTAGGAAAACATGTATAGCAGTAGAAACAATCCAAAAGCTTGGGAGAAAAAAAATCAGTAATGCAAATGGTAATTTATTAGTGAGCATTCTTGTTAACAAATTCAACAAATAGCACTATTCTCACAGGAGAAAATTTATGCAAATTCTATTCCCCAAAGAAAAATGGATGAAAGAAAAAACTTCCAGCCTTTTCTGAACATTCAGACATACAGGAAAATCAAATAACAATAAATAAATAAATAAATATAAAGAAAAGGAAAAGAAACACAAAGACACAACGTTTATTGAAACAGTGGAAAAGTTAATCTAAAAAAAACAAAATGATAAGAAATTTGACAAGTGTTAAGTGTGCCACTGGGACTTGAAACGTTACTAAGAATGGGGGTGAAATTAGTACTGAATTTAAAGTAGAGGAATAACAGGAGTTCTTATCTTTCTTATTAGGTTGTTACATAGAGTCCTACCATTATGAATCAAACTTAGCTTCCCAAGTTAGAACCATGAGATGTGTCTTGACTTAAGCTTGATCTGGGCATGTATAATGTTAATATATATAATTAACTGCAGTATAAAATCATTCTTCTGTATGAATATTTCTCTCTTGAATATCAACAGAAATTTTTTCCCCCAAAGGAAAATCACTAACCCATAGAACCTGAAATGTAAGTATTCTGGGGTTGAAACATTACTAAGATCATATGTAAAATTCCATTGAGTATGCCATCAAAGAAATCAACAGATAATTTACAAGTTCAAAGAAAAATAATAAATTAACAAAAAGAGAAATTATTTGCTGCAATTGCTTAATTATTAGCAATTAAATAAATGCAAATTAACATCATTTTAAGGTAGCTTTACACACTTATTTAACCACTAAGATATATAAAAAATATAAAATTTATACAAATCAATTTTAACCAACAGAACCGTAAAGTTCAGCATTCCTTAAATCTCCCCTTAGGATCAATTCCAAGGAATGGAATTGCTGTGTCAAAGGTCACGGACATGTTTAAGGCTTCTTGAACTTATGTTGAGCCCAGAAAGGTTCGGATTCTAACCAGCCTTGGGTATTTTCATACTTTTCTCACCTTGACAACTTTATGGATGGATAATCTTATTTTAGTTTGCATTTCTTTGGTACTAGTTCTTGAGCTTGAGCGGAGCTTGAAGACAATTAGACATGGTCTCTGCACTTGAGGAGCTTACCCAGACAACATGGAGGCAAGTCAGTAAACGTTAAGAGAAACATCACGTCAACATCATGTAATTTATACTTCCTATTTTGTACTGCTGCTCTCCTTGCTTCTGGACGAGAAAGGGTCACAAGGATACTATTAAACAGACCCATCCCAATCTGACAGCGAAATGTTAATTGAAAATCCATTTGCTAAAGAATTCCAAGAGATATGCAAATGCTGAACACGACTCTATTAACATTTCAACATGACTTTGCTTCACTGTTTTTTTTTAAGTTCTCAGGTTGTATTTTCCCTGATGCATCATGACTAAACCCTATGAAGGGTGGTTTGTGGTGGGACCGTGAATAGCAGCCAAGTGAGAAATACCAGATGGTGAGAGTGAGACTCCTGATCAGGCATTAACCACCCTTGACTTCTCTAGGAAGTGAGCAGTGGCCAGCCGCAGTGGCAGTTGCAGTAGCTGTAGAAGACATCCCAGGCTTTGAAATGCCAATTACTAGTAATCTCTACTAGGAATCTCTAGTACTAGCTGGCTCTTGCTGAACAACCTATCGACATGGCCTTTTCTCTACATTTATCGCCCCATTACATTCACACAAGTCTGTAATACAGTGATTATCCCCATTATTAAACATGAGAGAACAGAGGTTCAGAGAGACTAAATATTTTGCCTCCACTGCAGAGTAAGTGAGTTATAAGATTGGGATTTAAAACCACTTTCATGTGACTACAAAGCCTTTTTCTAGCATGTGGTAGTTACTAGTAGTAAAATAGACAACCTAGGTAAATCAGAGGGTCATCTTTGCCCAAACTGTAGGAATTGTACCTTCATTTTCCTCTCCTTTTCCTAGATGTAGAAATCTAATTTTCAGATTTTGTTTTTAATGGCTTTAAAGACAAACCTTTAATTTTTTGCAAAGACTGACTCACTCTGAGTTCCAAAGCATTTTATTTTTGTGGCAACCGTGAAGGTAAAATTAGAGTGAGGAAATCTGAATTAATCAGAGCAGGAAAACTTTGTTAACTAGATCATTGTTCTTATGATAATCTGCATCTCTGCTTCTTGTAGTAGAGCGATGTCTGCAGCACTGAGCTGAAATGACAGTTTGCAATGTGTACTCTGCTAACGGTTGCCTAGCAATAATTTATTAGAGATAATAAAACCTCATTGTTCCCTTTTAAAGGATTTCACGTTTTCAGATGATAATAAATATAATAAAAGGTAGACTGACATAAGCATTTTAATATTAAATATAAGGCTTAATAAAATGAATAGTCATATAGAGATGATTCAAACGTCTCCCTCATTATAATATTGCCTGAAATGTCTGCATTACAGACGATAAAACAAAGAAATGACACACGGAAATGTGAAATCCTCAAACTCAATACTGTTTTCTAATATCCCGAGACTGGGTTGCACGGTGTTCTAATTTGTGACAGCCTCCCTAAGGAAGCTTTTAAAGTGTATCAATACTGGCCCCAACCTGAGAAATTCTGCAGCCATAGATAATTTTTTTAAAGTACCCCAGATGACGTTAACGCAGGGTTGAATACCACAGCAGTAACTCACATAAAGCGTTATGTAATTTTTGGACATCAATGGATACTGCCTAATTGTGTGCTGTAAAGCCACGCGGACTCACTTGCTCTCCGGAAAAATTATTTACCTCTGGGCTGTTGCCTGAAAAAATCTTGAGTGTCCCAGGTTCAGGGAAAGGAAGCAGCATTAGTGCAGCCTGAAGGTATTGCCCTCTCGTGGTGGCTTCTTTAATAACAACGTCATGTGGTGCTGCTAATCTAAACCATTTTTTGGAGAATATTTACTTTTAAAAGACTAAACTTTTAAATTCTAATAGGATTTTCTGATTGACATTATTATTTAAGCGTTCTTTTTTATTTCATCATGATTAAATTATAAACTCAGGTCACTGCTTTCAAGTACAGTCCTCCCATGTTAACTGTGTGGGGTTTGTTCCAGGACCCCAGTGGATACCAAAACACTTGGATGCTCAAGTCCCTGATATAAAATGGAATAGTATTTGCATATAGTCTACACACCTCCCCTTGTATATTTTATATCATATCCAGATTACTTCTAATATCTAATATAATTTAAGTGCTATATAAATAGTTGTTTATATTGTATTGATTTTTGTTTGTATTACTTTGTGTTGTCATATCGTTGTATTCTTAATTTCTATTTCTTTCCAAGTATTTTGTCTCTGCTGTTGGTTGAATCTACAGATGTGGAAACCATGAATACAGAGGGCAACCGTATATAATTCCTGTCTCCTGATTGAAACAATTTGGGGTCCTCTCCTTCTTTGCCCTTATTAAAAGCCAAACCAATCAAACATTTGTTACAATGAATCTCAAGTCACTGGTTTGCTTTTCTTTCTGTTTTGCATGACATGACACCATTTTGGGGGTGAATTAAACATTATAACTTTCTTCTTGGCATTTTTATCTTTTCTCCTCATGCTTATTATTTGTTTTGTTTTCTTTTTACTCTGGGATATACATCTATGTGAACCTCTTTTGAAATGAATTTCAAAATCCATTGGGACAAGGTAGTTCAATTATTAAAGTAGAAGAAATTTTCTGTTCTGGTTACTTTTGTGGCATAGTCATGGTCTAAATCTCAATTTCCAGAAAGAAACAGATACATACAAGTGCAAGTTTCTGGGAAGTTACATTTGTTGCCGATTCAAGATAATGAAGCAAAATTAGAAAGATGCTTATTAAATGATGGTATTATGGCTCTGAACATAACCTAAGCATGTAATTCAAGTGGACATTTCAGTTTCTTGGAAGTGAGTTTCATGTGTGTAAGCAACTGGAAATTTCCTCCTCCTGTTATTCAGGCTCTTGAGGGCCAGACTTGAAGAAAATGACATTTGCATAGGGACTTAGGACATCATAATCTGTCATCTTGTTACCATGTTTTGCCTACCTTAATTTTTCTCATTACTTCAGCTGAAATCTTTACAAAACTCATTGCCACTTCATTTAGTCTTAAAACTTGAGATATTGATGGAGACTGTTTATCAGCTGCTGTATTCTGCATTAGAGATGGGTCTATTCAAAAGGACATGTAAACAAGAGATCCAACACACAAGAAGGCATCTAAAAAATCTTCAAGGTGACAGAGACTGGTGATAGAAATTCCTTAGACAGCCACTATATAGCAGGCCTAGGGAACAACCAGAATTACAGGACGAGATGAAAAGGCTCTGGGTGAGAGGTCTTCAGAGGAGCGATAAGAAGATACAAAATGTGTTGGAATGTATTGAGAGGATATTTATATAATCAAGGAAGGGTGTTGGTGGAGCTGAAAAATGTATAATACATGAAAGTCAAGACAACCATTAACTGAAAAGAAAAAAAAAGATCCAGCCTTCTCCAGGGAAGGAAACATAACCAAAAAGTAGACTATAAGTTTGTGTTGAGACTAGCTTTTAGCACAGTTGAGATAACATAAACAGTGAGCTGATTTATGATACAATAATGATGTAATATAACTAACGTTGAAGATAAGCAGAATTATGCTTATATGTAAGGATGTGGTGCTGAGTAAGTGAAAGAAAGTTGAATCCTTCTCTTCCGTAAGAGGAAGTCATTAGATAACACTTGCATTAGGCAGAGTCCAATCAGGAGACGGAAAAACCCTGTATTTAAGCAAAGAGAATTTAGCATAATTTTTTACTAGTTTATGAAGTTGTTAGCCATGTAATTAACTGAAAGAGTCAAAAGCAAATTGTATGATATCATGGAAGTAGAAAATAGAGGATGTAGCTATCCCCGTGGAGCCGATGAAACAAAAGGAAGAGGCTGAATGATTAAAACTTCAATGCTTTGAGGAGAGTGCCTTAACTGAAACTCAGCCCTCTGAAGAAGAGGGCATCTCTGCTAGTGGTGGTATTCATGAACTCAATGTAGGCTTTGTGGCAGCTGTGAAAGTGGACCAATCAAATCTCCCTTGAAGAGAGTACTTACTAATGGGAGCACTGTTAGCTGGCAGGCCCTTGCTTGAGACATCTTCAGTAGAAAGTAGAATCAGACTAAGATGCAGCTCTGAGAAAGTCCTAGCCTGCCCCACAGAGGGCTTTAGTGCAAAGGGTGCTCATAGAGGGGTCCTGCGCTGGTCAGAAATCATGAATTCTTGTACTGCTGTCATGTTCAATCATTGGCTGGGGACTTCTCAGTAATTCCACATCCTACAGCATTACATTATAGTACCTTTCCAGATGTTGAGTACACAAGTGGATATATGCATCTGGTGTTCATGGGAGGAATGTGAAGTGAAGATAGAAATGTGGTAGTTGTCAGCACATGGATGATGTTTAGCATCATGGGACTGGGCTTAGATATAGAAGAGAGATGAGTATTGAGCTCTTAGATGGAACAACCATATATGAGGGAAATCAGGACAGCATGATTTCAGCAAGCCAAGGGAAAAATGGAGTGGTCCACTCTGTCGAATGCTGGTAAGAGGTGGCATTACAAAAAGGAAAATAAATGATCAATGAGTCAGCTGAGAAGGGATTGAAGGAGAATATAGACAATTCATTGCAGAAAATTTGCTGTAAAGATAATTAATTGGGAGACCCCTGAAGAGGGACATGAGGCCAAAGATATTTTGTTTTGTATTGTTTTGTTTTGTTTTTTGCCTGGCATGATCTTGGCTCACTGCAACCTCTGCCTTTCAGGTTCCAGTGATTCTGGTGACTCAGCTAACTGTGTAGCTGGGATTACAGGCCCATGCCACCAAACCCAGCTAATTTTTGTATTTTTAATGGGGACGGGGTTTAGCCATGTTGGCCAGGCTTGTCTCAAACTCCTGGCCTCAAGTGACCCACCCACCTTGGCCTCCCAATGTGCTGGGATTATAGGCAAGAGCCACCATGCCTGGCCAATGTATTTTTGTTTTTTAAATTAAGAAGAGAGGCTCTGGATCTCTGGGAGACTGAGCACAGCACAAAATCAAACAGCAGCCTACAGAATAAAAAAGAAAATTAGAAAACCATACATTTCACAAGGGATTCATATAAAAAATTATGAGGAACATAACTCAATAGGAGAAAAACAATGTGATTTAAAAATGGCCAAAGGACGTGAATAGACATTTATCAAAAGAAGACAAAAATGGCCAACAGGTATATGAGAAGGTGCTCAACCTTATTAATAATCAGGTAATTGCAAATCAAAACCAATATGAGATATACCTCACACTCATTATGATGGTTATTATCAACAGGTCAAGAGATATGTTGGCGAGGGTGTGGAGAAAAGGACCCTTACACACTTTCGATAGGAATATAGATTAGTGCAGCCAGTGTGGAAAACAGTATTGCATTTCCTAAAGAAATTTAAAATAGCGCTACAGTATGATCTGACAATTCCTCTTTTGGGCATATATCATGAGGAAATGAAATTACCAGTTCATAAAAATATCTGCACCCCCATATGTTCATTCCAGCATCATTTACAATGGAAAAATGAAGGAAAAAACCTAAGTGCCCACTGACAGATGAATAGATAAAGAAACTGTGGTATGTAAATAATGGAATATTATTCAGCCTTTAAAAAGGAGATCCTGCCATTTGCCACAACACAGATGAAACTGTAGGACATTATGCTCAGTTAAATAAGCCAGACGCAGAAAGAAAAAATATTGCATGATATCGCTTATATGTGGAATCTAAAAGAGCAAAATATAAAAAGATAGAGGGTAAAACAGCGGTTGCCAGGGGTAGGGGTGGGGATGGAGGTGGGACTAAATGAGGAGAGGTAGGTCAGAGCTTGCAAAGTAGCAGATAAGTAGGATGAACAAGTCTAGAGATCTAATGTACAATATGAGAACTATAGCTTTAAAAAAATTGTATTGTATTGGGTTTCCTGTTAAATGAGTAGCTTTTAGCTGCTCTTGCTACAAAATCAACAACAAAGAAAATGGGTAACTATGTGAGATGATGGACATGTTAATTTGCTTCACTATAGTAACCATTTTACTATCTGTTAATATATCTATGCCATAACTTATGCCATAAATACACACAATAAAATTTACTTTTTTAAGGAAAATGATCCTAGAACAAGAGAACAAACTTGGATGCTGATTGGAATGGTCTAGCAGGAGGGATAAATATGTGATACACAAGAGAGAAAAAGATAGTTGCAAAGGAGCCATGTGTGGTGGCCCTTGCCTATGATCTCAGCACTTTGTGATGCTGAGGCAGAGGAATCACTTGAGCACAGGAGTTTAAGACCAGCCTGGATGACAAGGTGAGATCCCATCTCTTAAAAAATAATAGTGGCAAGACGGTACCCTTGAGTTAGTAGCAGTGTATAAGTGGAACGGTTATTCTCATTTGGGGTAAGAAACTCTTTCACTATAACAGACAAGTCAGGCCGGGCGCCGTGGCTCAAGCCTGTAATCCTAGCACTTTGGGAGGCCGAGGTGGGTGGATCATGAGGTTGGGAGATCAAGACCATACTGGCCAACACGGTAAAACCCTGTCTCTACTAAAAATTCAAAAAAAATTAGCCGGACGTGGTGGCGTGTGCCTGTAGTCCCAGCTACTCGGGAGGCTGAGGCAGGAGAATCGCTTGAACCAGGGAGGTGGAGGTTGCAGTGAGCCGAGATTGAGCCACTGCACTCCAGCCTGGAGACAGAGCAAGACTCCGTCTCAAAAAGAAAAAAAAAAAAAAAAACCAGACAAGTCAGAGTATATGAAAACAGATGCAGCAAATGGGAAGATATGACGTGGAAAACTTGTGTATGCCTGTATGCTTTCCTCTGATTCTTGTGAAGTAGAAAGCAAAAAGGAGGTTTTGGAGATTTTAGGAAAGAGGAAATTGGGAATCATCTAGGGAAATCTAGAAAATTGCAGAACTGTTCAAGTGTACCTGTTTTGCATTGTCTTTCGAAGATCATTTTACAAAGGTGAAATTGAAATTTGGAAGGTCAAATGCCTTATCCAAGATCAAACAGCTCCGCAATAGCTGGATTTCCCCTCAAATTCAGGTCCCTTGACTCTTATTCCAGAGCTCTTTCTGATCAAACATTTCTGTGTATTTCACTTGTGTTTTCAAAATGGTATTTTCTTTCCAAATGCTCAAGCTTCTGCTTAAAATATATCTTTTGATGTGGAGGAGGACTTCTCCCAATGCACTGCTCTTAAGCATGGGCAGTCTTGCAAAAACAAGAAATTCTTCTCCAAGGAGTGGTTCTGTAAGCAGAAACTCAATAACTTGACTTTCAAATGCATTGCAAACACAAAGTAGCCCATAGACATTGGAATTAGAATGCATTCTGAAACAGATGAGTGGGCTGAGATATTTTATGGGTGGTGAGTTTGACAGTTATTGATTACTACTAAATCATGTATGAAGGACAACAGGAAGTAAGATAAAAAATTCAAATATATGAAATTTCAAATATATTCACTGCCTCACCATTATTCTGTGTGTTGAAAAGATATGTTCTAAAAATGCCGGGTAATGCATGTAATATAGTCCACACTGGGCTTGCAGTGATTCAGAGGAATAGAGTAGGTGAATATATTTTAGTGTGACAAAAGACCTTAGAAATTACGTAATACTCTATCCTTATTTAACATTGAGATTTATGAAGTCCACAAAATTTATGAACATTAAGGAATGTCACAAAAGCTAATTAGGAAATGAGCTAGAGCTAAAAACCCAAGTTCTGTACTCTTATTTCAGTGTTCTTAGCACAACGTGCAATGTTTTGGAAAAAAAATGAAATGCATGTTTCGCTACCTGTATGTATGTGTGTGCATATGTATGTAGTTCAGAGGCTATGAATACCAGGGTGTTGTGCTGACAACATTGTTTGAATGACTGTTTTGTACAATGTTAGCTGTGCTATTGAGAGTGGAATACTTACCCTCTCTGAGCGTTGGGTTTCTCATCCATAAGTTGGGGTTGGTCATTAATATGGTTTGGCTCTGTGTCCCCATCCAAATCTCACCTTAAGTTGTAATCCCTGTGTGTCGAGAGAGGAGCCTCGTGGGAGGTGATTGTATCATGGGGAGCCTCGTGGGAGGTGATTGTATCATGGGGGTGGTTTCCCCGATTCTGTTCTGTTGATAGTGAGTGAGTTCTCATAAGATCTGATGGCTTTATAAGTGTTTGACAGTTCCTCCTTCACACACTCGCTTTCTTTCTCCTGCTGCCTTGTGAAAAAGATGCTTGCTTCCTCTTCCCCTTCGGCCATGATTGTAAGTTTCCTGAGGCCTCCCCAGCCATGTGGAACTCTGAGTCAATTAAACCTCTTTTCTTTATAAATTTCCCAGTCTCAGGCAGTTCTTTATTCCACTGTGAAAATGGACTAATACAGTTATATCTAATTTGTAGGCTTGCTGCAAAAATGAAATGAGATTATGTAAAGGCTTCTAGATCGTTATGGGCAGATTTTAGTGTGCTCAGTAAATGTTTGTACCATTTTTTTTCTTTTCCTTTTTCTATTTTGTGTTGAAAGGATGGAGTGGGCAAGAGTAATCAGATGTATAGTGTATAATGAAGCAGACATTCTGTTCCTTTTGTCACGGGTATGTCTGCGGAAAGGTTTTTTTTTTTTTTTTTTTTCCTTTTTTTCTTTAAAGGCAGATTCTCCTAACGAGTAGAAAAATCTACTAATTTTTTATTTCCTCTCTTAGTAGATATCCAGCCAATGAGAGAAATATCTGAGGGAGCAAATACCTGAAAGTGTAGCAGAGAACATGAATGACCTCTTCATAACAAGAAGTAAATTGCAATACTGATTGACCATGAAAATCAGGTGAAAAACTTAAAAGATAATATTCCTGGCATCAACTTCAAGAAGTATGGAATTGCTATCTCTGGGGTTGGGGCCAAGGAATCTGTACATAATCTTCAGTTATTCTGGAGAAAGTGTGCTTCTTATGCAGCAAATAGACATGTAAATGTGCTTACTGATGGCCAACTTTGCTTGGGTAAAGACTGTTGAATTCAGTTTATTTCACAAGTTGTAAAGTGTTCAGAAGCCTATGGGCAGCAAATTACAAGTCCTCTGACTTCTTTCTCATTTGCAAACTAAAGAATTTCAAAAAATGGCACACAGTGATTTTTTCCCAATTTTCTTAAAGCAGAAATACTGTGTTCTTTTCAAGACAAACTAAGAGTAATTAATATATTCCCTGAATATTGCATTCGAATGAATGACATTTTATCATAATGTGCTAACTTGAATACTTGGTATTCAATACTTGAATCAAACTAATTCTTCAGATGCAATTATTCTTTTTTAAAAGCTCATTTATTTCACAAATACTTTTTATTTATAAAATAAATTTATTTGTAAAATACTTTTTATTTGTAAAATAAATTTATTACAAATACTTGTAACATTTATGTTACAATGTTCAGACACATACATATAGTAACCACTTGATTGAAATTAAAGTGAAGGTTAATAAATAATGGGGAATTTAGACTTAGAATGAAGATTTTTTTTCCTGAATTATATTCAGGGAAAGCCTGAAAAGTCAAGGCAAATGTGTAAGATTCTAGTCCCTCAACTCCTCTCCTCTCCCCAATGTTAGCCTATTTTATTAGCCTCTTCCCAGCTTCATTTCCATATCTTTTCTGTCTGGACCCCATGTTTGATTGCTTTACATTTCCTGGAACACCTTTAATTCTCTCGTCTTTTTGTCCTACTGACCACCTTCTGGAAGAATCTGATATTGACTGAATACTTTTGACTAGTCACGTAATTGAATATCTTAGTTTTGAAATATATTTTAAAACTTTTCTCCTTAGTCTGAAGATATAGCCTTGAAATGTACTTTAGAAATATTTTTCCTCCCTCTAGGCACTCCCTTGCACTGTGACCCTATGACCAACATGTGCATGCTTAACTAACTATATGTTTGATTAGTAATTCTAGGAGCTAATCTTGAAACAAGCCAGGCATGGAGACCCAGCTGCAGAACTCTCCTTCATCTAGAGATTACCTCAAGGTGGTTCATCGACAATGCATCTGCAGTCGAGATGGTGCCAGCTGGTACTGCACGATAACTCAAGAGAGCAATCAGAACAAGACATGCAGACCAGTACTCTGCACCACTCTCATATGTTTTTCATACCAAACTTCCCTTTTTAAACCCCTTCAATCAGTCTAAAAATTTGGAGGCTTGAGCCAAGCCATCTCCTCATCTGTTAGCATTTAAATAAAGCTGCTTTTCTTCAGCCACACCTCACCTCTTGTGTATTGGGCTTTTTGAGCAGTGAGAAGCTAGACATTCATCTTAAACTTTCTCATGCACCTGCATTTATTTCTAGCTATTACCTTTCCCTTCACCTTAGCATCAGTACAAAAGATCTTGAAAAAACAGACTACCGGAAACACAATGTGATGAAATGGAAAAAAAAAAAAGCATAAATTTTAGATCCAGAAAGGGAGACAGAGAGAGAAAAAAATCCTTCTATTAGAAGGATAGGAAATAGACTCATGTTTGTGAATGTAAGCAAGACTTTCTCAATAAGAAAATTGGTTTGGCTCTAGTACTTCCTAAGTAAATGACATTGTGTATATTTCTTAACATTTTTGGGCTGTTTTTTTCCATTTCTGTTAAGTGCTGTTAGCAATATATCTCGCAAATCTATTATGAACGTATATTCAATGGGATGGGGGGCATGTTTCAGTCACTTGATACGTGAGATTTACCATTTTTAGCACCTACATGCTAAGTATAATATCGCTTCTTCCTTAACTGTACTTAAATTGTTCTTAAGAAGGCCATCCATAATTGCTAATTGTCAATGACAATGACTTGTTTTTATTCCTCATTTAACTTGACCTCTCTGCGGCATTTGACACTGTTGATTCCCTTTTCCTTCAAAAAAATTTCCCTTCAGTTTTCATATGTGGTGCTATTTTTTGTTTTCCTCTTATCACTCAGTATACTTTTTAATTAACTTTGCTGGTTATTTCTCACTGCAAATTCCTTAACGTTTGGAGTTTCCCAGGATTCATCACCAGGTTCTCTCATCATCTATATATATTCTTCCTGGATTATCCTAACTGCTCTCATTGTTATCACCAACAAAGTAATAGCTCTTCAAACACCAGCTCATACATTCTACTAAGTAATCCGACCGCCTACTTTACATCTTCAAGATCTCTTGACTTAATATGTCTAAAACAGAAAAGATTATCTTCTCTACCAAATATGATCTGCTGCTATATTAACAGTGTCATTATCCATTTAGTCTCATGAGCTACAAACCTCAGACTAAACTTAGTTTTATTGTCTTCTACTTGACATGCCACACAATATGAAAGTAGAGACTTTCCCTCCTAATTTTCAGTGTTATTTTCTTTAAGACCTATAGAATATATAAAAGTTTAGATAGCAAATTATATAAATGTGAAAAGAAATGGAAAAATAGAAATGGTCAAATAGGAAGCAATAGAGTTATATTTTATACTATATGTATCCATACATATTAAATTTTTATACATGAATTAAAGTTTTAAAACTAAAATATTAACCATTAAGCACCTAAAAGAATACATAAGCACAAATTTATTTGATCTTAAGATACAGAAGGAATTTCTAAGCATAAAACCAAAGAAAAATATGTCTAAATTTTTTTTTTTTTTTTTTGAGATGGAATTTCACTCTTGTTGCCCAGGCTGGAGTGCAATGGGGCCATCTCATAGCTCACTGCAACCTCTGCCTCCTGGGTTCAAGCGATTCTCCTGCCTCAGCCTCCCGAGTAGCTGGGATTACAGGCATGTACCACCATGCCCAGCTAATTTTGTATTTTTAGTAGTGACAGGGTTTCTCCATGTTGGTCAGGCTGGTCTCAAACTCCTGACCTCAGGTGATCCACCCACCTTGGCCTCCCAAAGTGCTGGGATTACAGGCGTGAGCCAGCCCAGCCCTAAAATTTTAATTTAAGCTTTTAAAACTATTATTTGTGATAATCACTAAAGAAAAATTAAATGTTATTAAAACTGGAAATATTTTGGGTTTTTCTGTTTTTTGTTTTGTTTTGTTTTTCCGAGACGAAGTCTCGCTCTGTCACCCAGGCTGGAGTGCAGTGGCGCAATCTTGGCTCACTGCAACCTCTGCCACCCGGGTTCAAGCTATTCTTCTGCCTCAGCCTCCTGAGTAGCTGAGATTACAGGCATGCACCACCACACCCGGCTAATTTTGGTATTGTTAGTAGAGACAGGGTTTCACCATGTTGGTTAGGCTGGTCTCGAACTCCTGACCGTGTGATCCGCCAACCTCGGTCTCCCAAAGTGCTGAGATTACAGGCGTGAGCCACCGCACCAGGCCTTAAAAGTGGAAATATTTTATACCTGTAAGACAGATATATGGTTAATATCCTTAATTATTAAAATAAATCCATTCAATCTACATATCTAAAGATCTAAAAATGAATACATCATTGGAAAACATGAGATAAAGATCTGGGATAAAATTAGACATTTAAGTAAGTAACAAATATAGGAAAATTATTTATTTCGCTAGTTATGCAAGATATTGCTAGCTGTTTACCAACACGCATTTCCCTCTTTTTCTTGAGCACAAAGGTAGCTTACATTCCCAGTATCCTCCAAAGTTAAGTATGGCTATGTAACTGAGTTCTTTTCTATGGAATGTGAGCAGAAAATGATGTTTCTCCTTTTAAGTCAGTAGCAGTCTTTTATCAGTGTCAACATCCAGTTTACCTGTATATGTTTTACTTTGTTTCAATTTATTTTAACCCATGAACACCTTTTCTTTTATAATCTTTTCTCTTTATGTCTGATTGGTATGGCAAAATCCAGGATAAATTTATAAGCTATGCATTCAAGACGCCAGGTCCTTGAAACCATACATAAAGAACATGTATGCAGTGACTAGGAACCACATTCTGTGCTATTTCGTGAATGAAAAATTAACTTCCATTATCTTTGAAACATTATACATTGTCAGTTCTACCCTTTTTCCCTGAAGTCTAAAGGATGGAATTATATGCGATTACTGAGCATTATTTTTTGAGAAATATAAGGATATTATCAAAATAACAATGCTTACAAATCTCAAATTCCTAAATCTTCATGGAAAACACTAAATTAAAAAATAATACCAGATTTATAGGACTAAAGATTAGTAGAATTTTTGCCAAAATATGAATAATGCTTATCTTTTTGGATGGTAGGATGGGGTGGTTTTCTTATTAGACTGGTCCAAAAGTAATTGTGGGTTCTGCCATTAAAAGTAATTGCAAAAACCGCAATTTTTTTGAACCAACCTAACATTTTACTCCTCTGCATTTTTTTAAGTTGTTTAAAATCAGCATGTTATTAAAATGAATGCAGAAGCATTTAAACCATGTGCATTAATTCATTGAAATTTCTGAACAGAAGAGAGATAATCAACTTTTGTATCCGAAGCATACTGCATTTCCTCACTTGAGAGAAAATATTTAAAAACAAAGTAGAAAGCCAAAATATCAGTTCGACATCTGATATTTGCAGAAGTAAATAGCAAATGGTGAATATACTGTATTTGTGCAAACATTTCATCATTTGGACTGTTGTTTGAAAATTTCTGAGTGTTTTGTTTATAGACATACTAAGATAGTTATTCATGTCTTTCTTTGGTGAACTAAATGTTTAATAAATTTTAGACTCAGTGAGCCGTGAGCAGTGGCTCACGCCTGTAATCCCAGCACTTTGGGAGGCTGAGGCGGGTGGATCACGAGGTCAGGAGATCGAGACCATCCTGGCTAACACGGTGAAACCCCGTCTCTACTAAAAATACAAAAAAAAAATACAAAAAATTAGCCAGGCATGGTGGTGGGCGCCTGTAGTCCCGGCTACTCGGGAGGCTGAGGCAGGAGAATGGCATGAACCTGGGAGGCGGAGCTTGTAGTGAGCCGAGATCGCGCCACTGCACTCCAGCCTGGGCAACAGACTGAGACTCCGTCTCAAAATAAATAAATAAATAAATAAATAAATAAATAAATAAATAAAAAATTTTAGACTCAGTGGGATTTGTATGGCAGACTATGTCTGCAAAATGAAAGGAAATGTTTAGAAGGAAAGATGGGAAACAGAGTGAAAGCCATCTAACTGAATTCCAATAACAATCTACACCATTAGTTAACTCAGACTATTGGTATACTGTCCTCCTGGAAATTCATGGGACCTAAGCATGTTTCAAAATAATGTCTTTCAGCATAACTACTTCATCTAAGATTAGAGTATGCAATAAATTTGTCACATTTATTGAAGTTTCAGTTCTCTCCAACACCAACAGGCATTTCTTTGAAATATACAATGGCCTATGATAATGACCTAATCAGTGATGCTGTATCATCATAGCAAAGGGATAAACGTATCTGCTTCTGTTTCTAACATACATGCTGTCCACTGTAGGTAGAGACCACTTTGCTATGAAGGGCAACATAATACAGGAAACACTCCAGTGAGGTTGAAAAATATTCCCCCTGCTTCAGGTGTAAAAGTTTGTGCCCCCATCTGATCTGAAGACTTAGAGATAGTGTATGCTGATTCTGTAAGAGAAAGTACCATTTCGTCAAATGGGGAGATTCAAAGTTCTTCAAAAGAACATCCAGAAACTCATGTAAGCACTCTTATTACCTAGTATCAAATGACTTTGACTTTTCACACAACAGTGTAATCCAGAATTTATATAATTCATCTTGTATTCAACACCTATTTATTTTGGTTGTGCTATGTTTCTCTACTGGTTACCCCAAATATGGCACTTTAAGACTAAAATCCCTTTCAAAAAGTGAAATACTAAACCAACACAAAAAGTAATGATGTGGTTTAGATCTGTGTCCCCATTAAATCTTATGTTGAATTGTAATCCCCAGTATTAGAGGTGTGGCCTTGTAAGGAGGTGATTGTATCATGGGAGTGAATTTCTCATGAATGGTTTAGCACAACTCCCTTGGTGCTGTTCTTATGACAGTGAGTGACTTCTCACAAGATCTGGCTGTTTAAAAGTGTGTGGCACCTCCCCACACACCCCTTTCTCTCTCCCTCTTGCTCCTGGTTTCACCATGTGACATGCCTACTTTCCATTTGCCCTCCACCATAATTGCCAGCTTCCTGAGGCCTCCTCAGAAGCAGATGCCACTATACATCCTATACAGCCTGCAGAACTGTGAGCAAATTAAACTTATTAACTTTAATAAATTACTCTGTAACAGGTATTTCTTTATAGCACTGTAAGAACAGCCTAATACAAGTAGTAAGTGGCATTTTAATTAAGTACACATTCAAAGTTCAAATTGATAATATACAATTATTAGAAAGTCAACCAGTAAAAGCAGTGATGCTATTGTGATACATACCAAAATCCTAAATCCAAACCTATCACCAAATGGGTGATGGGAGCAGTCTTCTATCACTGTCAGCCTCCATTTTATTTGTGTATATTTTACTTTTCTCAAAATTATTTACATAGTCCTCATTCACACAAATAAGTTGTAACAAATGTTAACAGCATTTTAACAATTATCTGGAAATATCAGTTGAATTGATTTTAAACTTAAAGTTTTCAAAGCTAAATCTCTAACAATTTAAAGAGAGTACATGATAGTCATTAAAAGCATGGTGATTTTAGCAGAAAGGTTAAGTGGATTTAAACCCAACCCTACTCTATTATTTACTGTCTCTACAATCAGAGGCAATCCAATTAACTTTCCCAAGTCTCATTTTTTTTTCAGCAGCAACACAGAAATGAAAATAATATATGCCTTATGGTGCTGTAAAGATGTAATGACTAATTCATTTAAAATACTGAGGATAGTGCTTGATATATAATAAACCCTAGATAAATAATATCATAGTCATTTTATGTGTAACAATCACACTTGCATTTCTTGTCTTATATATTTCAGCTACAAACCATGTTAATATTTATTTGTAACTGCACAACAATTATATGTGATAAGAGCATGTAGCCTGTACCCAGAAAATGAACTGAGACTTACCTGTCATTTACCTGTATATGATGCACATATGCCATGGTAGTGCGCCTACTTGAACAATTTTATAATGAATGCATGTTAAAAGACTACATACGGAAAAAATGACTAGTGCAGAACTCTCATCCTCCTAGGTAATAGTGCATTTATTCCAAGGGATAATAGAAGTACACAAACGTGAATTGACCAAGAGCATATATAAATGCCTTGATAATCTCTAGTGCATTTAAATTATGTATATACAAACAACAATCGATTCATTCAAACATGCTTTTTATTATAGCTTTCAAGTGGATAAAATTTAATTTCTAAAAGGAGTGTTAAAAGAAATTGTTTACAAGACCTGTGATGTGTAATCTTGTTTTAAAGTCATTGATGTACTCAAATAATGTACCTTTAATAAATTCATTGGTACAGAGCAAGCATTCAATAGATGTTTGTTGAGAGAATTGCTTTTTCACAATCATTTCAGCCTTCATCTTGTACTCACAGCTTCAGTTGTACCATTAGAAAGATTAACAATAAGGTGACACTTCATAGAATCCAGAGTGCTTTAGGTAAAAAAGAAATTATTTACTAATGTATCTGAAATTTCAGGTGTTTGTTGGCTCAGACAGGTAAGAGTGACTTTAGGGTTCAAACCTTGTAATTAACTTCCAATTCTATGGCTATGTTGTAATCAGTCTCAGGTTTTGTGTGGTGTCAAGATGCTACCAACGGTTCAGGACCTATATTCTCCTAGGTTCAAATCTAGTGAGCAAAGAGCCTACATTTTTCTTAGAAAGGTCCTAACAAAAGTCTTATGGACTTTTATGAAATTCCATGGTTATAACTGAACTAACTCTGGCCAGGAGTATGGAAAGATTTTGTTAGACAGGACTATATAATATGCAAACCCGAAAGTCAAGGAATGAGTCAAATTTACTCAGAGTAAAATTTGGCTATATTTTCTGGAATGAGAGTGAATGAGTGCTGGAGAGCCAATACAATGAATGTTTGCTAAAATTAGCAATTCATGCTGATTTTGTAAAACAATTTCCAGGGACGAATTTATGGATGTTGGTAGCCTGCTTTAAATGGTTGAACGTGTTCATAGTTCTATATCAGACTTCTGCTGCAAGTACAATTTTACAGTAGCTCAGAGCATAGATTGCAGATGCCTTTGTTTCTAATAATGGTACTCTATTATTTCCACTGCCTTTGAAAACATTTGTGTCTAGAGACCTTATTCAAGCTCTTATCACTGAACAGCATTGCCCTTAACAACTAGACTAAAAATGGTTCATTCTCTTAAGGATGACCTGAGTCAAGTTGTAGGAGTAGGTTGTCACCACCATTTTCTGGGTTTCCCAGAGGTGAGTACATCATTACAGGTTTAAATGACGGGAATGAGTCCTGTAGAATTATTAAAGTGGAAGTGTCTGAAGACTTGCCTAACCCATTTTTATTCAACCTCAAATTGAGATGAACAATACAATCAATAATGCATGCATTCTAGACACTGCTTTATCTACTTTTTTCCTAATTTCTTTTTTTCATTTGTTTTTTTGAGACAGAGTCTCGCCCTGTCACCCAGACTGGAGTGCAATGGTGAGATCTTGGCTCACTGCAACTTCTGCCTCCGGAGTTCAAACTATTCTCCTGTCTCAGCCCCCGAGTAGCTGGGATTACAGGCGCATGCCACTACGCCTGGCCAAATTTTGTATCTTTTAGTAGAGATGGGGTTTCATCATGTTGGTCAGGCTGGTCTCAAACTCCTGACCTCGTGATCCACCTGTCTTCGTCTCCCAAAGGGCTGGGATTACAGGCGTGAGCCACTGCGCCTGGCCTTTTTCCTCATTTCTTAAACCATAAGTATTAAGTTTCCATAATGTATGAAATAATTAAAATAAAGGTGCCTCTGATTTACAAACACTAGTGTGTGAATGGACCCATGGCAAGTAATTTCTTTCAGTGTGATTTGATACCAGTAAGGTCATTAGAAACTTCTCATTGAGAGCTATCAAGGTTTGAATTTTCCCCTTCTGTAACAGAACTTGTCATCAATGATACTTGTCTTATCCTCTGATAAAGTATATTCTTTAGGGCAATGGTTTCAAAAAATATCATGCGTAAGAATCATCCAAGTGCTTGTAAAACATATTTCTGGACCTCACTCTCAGAGGTGGTTCAGTGACTCTGGAGTGAGGCCCAGGAATCTGAAATTTTTTATAACTATTTCAAGTGATTATGAAAATATAGTCAATGATGATACTCCATAAAATACTGCTCTAGAGCTATCTGACGCTTATTTTTCGGCAACACCTTCTCTCAGGAATATGAGCTAAGCGTTAGCTTTTCACTGACTGCAGCAGTTATAGAAGAAGAGTTAACTAATGTTCTTGCTCTCCTGAGCATAAGAGAGAATTTTATGGGTATGCTCTTGGTAGTTAAATGAGCATGTTGATTAAGGGTGAAGAGGGTGAGAGGAGGACTAATGCTACAAATATAATATTGTGCTATGGCTTAACCTTGGCAGATTTTTCTTTTAAAGTTTTTGTTGTTAAATATTACACAACTTTTAGATAAGATTTTTTTTCCAATATTTTCAGTTTTGAATATACTTGTTTTCCAAGTAGCATGATGAGTACCTTGACGGTAGCATATAGCATGATGGGTGCTTTCAGATTTATCTAATTTTTTATAACTCTGTGAAGTGGGAGCTATTATATGCTCATGTTACAGATGAGGAGAGTGAGGCACAGAAAAATTAAGCAATTTCCCAGGGTTATGCAGTCTATAGTTATGGACACTAAAAAGATGTACAACATGCTTCTGGTTCCCAGCAGGGTGAGTAAAGGTGATGGGGATGGCACCAGGTAAGAGCTGGGATAGCAACACCGATGGCCATCTTCTGGTGAGCACAAATTACGTCATTTGATTTAGCATCACTATCTGAAGGGTAACCTGAGCTGAGTGTGAAGGAAAAGGATCTTGGTAATTACTACTCTTAGGATTTGATATACATTATGAAGTTCCATTACAGCCTGGATACAATGATGGCTCAAGTTAAATTCAGAAGATTACTTTGCCTTTAATTATCGTGAAGAAGAAAACCAAACAAAGAAGGTTCACATTAACTCATACCACTCCTATGATTCATAGAAATAGCAAAGTCTTCCCATTGTTTTGTGTGTTTATTTCAAGGTAACAATGGTAATATTATTTGTGTAGTAGATTTTGAAAGGATCCATGGCTAGACAAAAATGACAGCACATTTTGTAATACAATTCTAAAATGTACAGGAAATGTACTTTCTATCAAATTAAGATTGAGGAATACTGAGAATTTTGCAGTTTTTAAGGATATGATATGGTTTGGATTTGGGTCCATACCCAAATCTCATATCAAATTGTAATCCCCGTTGTTGAGGAGGGGCCTGGTGGGAGGTGATTGTATTATGGGAGCAGATTTCCCCTTTGCTGTTCTCTCGATAGAGAGTGAGTTCTCACAAGATCTGGTTGTTTAAAAGTGCGTAGGCCAGGCGCAGTGGCCCACACTTGTAATCCCAGCACTTTGGGAGGCCGAGGCAGGTGGATCACGAGGTCAAGAGATCAAGACCATCCTGGCCAACATGGTGAAATCCCGTCTCTACTAAAAATATAAAAATTAGCCGGGTGTGGTGGCATGTGTCTGTAGTCCCAGCTACTCTGGAGGCTGAGGCAGGAGAATCACTTGAACCCAGGAGGTGGAGGTTGCAGTGAGCCAAGATCGTGCCTCTGCACTCCAGCCTGGTGACAGAGCAAGACTCCATCTCAAAAAAAAAAAAAATGTGTAGCATCTCCTTCTTCACTTTCTTTCTCCTGCTCCAACCATGTAAGATGTGCCTGCTTCCCCTCCTACCAATATTTCAAGTTTCCTGAGACCTCCCAGCCATGTCTCCCATATAGCTTTCAGTACCATAAGCCAATTAAAGCTCATTTATTTATAAATTACTCAGTTTCAGGTGTTTCTTTATACCAGGGTGAGAATGAAATAATATAGAAAATTTGTACCTAGGAGTGGGGCTTGCTGTAAATATACCTGAAAATGTGAAAGTGACTTTGGAACTGGGTAATAGGCAGAGGTTGGAAAAGCTTGGAGGGCTCTGGAGAAGAAAAAAAGATAAAGGAATGTTTGTGACTTCCTAGAGACAGACAGGTTAAATTGCTGTGACCAAAATGCTGATAGGGATATGAACAATGAAGTCCAGGCTGAGGTGCCCTCAGGTGGAAATGAGAGACTTATTGGAAATGGAGCAAAGGTCACTTTTGCTATACTTCAGCAAAAAGGTTGGAAGCATCATGCCCCTGCCCTAGAAATCTGTGGAACTTTGAACTTATGAGAGATGATTTCGGGTATCTAGCAAAAGAAATTATTAAGCAGCAAAGCATTCAAGACCTGACTTGGCTGCTTCTGGCAGCCTATGCTCATATTTGTGAGAAAAACAGATGTAAAACTGGAAGTTATATTTAAAAAGAAAGCAGAGCATGAAAGTTTGAAAAATGTACAGCCTGGCCATGTGGTAGAAAAGAAAATCCCATTTTTATAGGAAAAATTCAAGCCAGCTGCATAGATTTGCATAAGTAAAAAGGAACTAAAAGTTAATGGAAAATACAATGAAGAAAATGTCTTGAAACTTCTGCTGCAGCCCTTCCCACCACAGGCAACAGAACAGAATAAATAACCCAGAAATAAATCCACACAGTTACACCCAACTCATTTTCAACAAAGGTGCTAAGAGCACACACTGGGGAAAGACAGTCTCTTTAATAAATGATGATGGGGAAACTGGATATCCACACACAGAAGAATGAAACTAGGTCCCCATCCTTTACCATAGACAAAGATCAACTCATAATGGATTAAAGACTTAAGTGTAAGACCTGAAACTATGAAAGTATTAAAAGAAAACACTGGGGAAATGTAACAGAACATTACTCTGGGCAAAGATTTGTTGAGTAGTACCTCAAAAGCTCAGGCAATAAAAGCAAAAATGAACACATGAGAGAGATTACATCAAGCTAAAAAGCTTTTGCACAGCAAAGGAAGCATCCACAAAATTAAGGGACAAACAACATGGGAGAAAATATGTGAAAACTACCCATCTGAGAAGGGACAAAAACCAGGATATGTAAGGAACTCAATAACAAAAACACAATAATCCAATTTTAAAATGGGAAAATGAATAGAATAGAGATTTCTCCAAAGAAGACATACAAATGAACAACAGATCTATTTAAAAAATGCTGAGCATTACTAATCATCAGGGAAATTCAAATCAAAACCACAATGAGATGTCATTTCACCCCAACTAAAATGGCTATTATCAAAAAGACAAAATATAACAAATACTAGTGAGGATGCAAAAAAAGGGGAAGCATTTGTGCACTGTCAGTAGAAATGTAGAATAACATAGCCATTGTGAAAAACAATATGAAGTTTCCTCAGAAATCCAAAAATAGAATTACCATATGATCCAGCGATCTCACTAGTAGGAATATATTCAAAAAGAAAAGAAATCAGCATATTGAAGATATATCTGCAATCTCATGTTTATTGAAGCACTACTCACAATAACGAAGATACTGAATCCACCTAAGTGTTCATTAACAAATAAATAGATACAAATATGGTATATATTCACAATGAAATATTATTTAGCCATAAAAAAGAATGAAATACTTTCATTTGCCACAGCATGGATGAAACTGGTAGGCATTATGTTAAGTACAATAAGCCAGACATAGAAAGACAAATATTGCATGTTTTCACTTATATGTGGGAGCTAAAAAAGTGGATGTCATGGGGGTAAAGAGTAGAATAGTGGTTACTAGAGGAGGGGAAGGGAATGGGGGAGTGGTGAATAAAGAGAAATTGGTTAATGGGTGCAAAATATATTTAGATAGAAGGAATAATTTCTAATATTAAATAGTACAGTTAGGAAGTTATAGTTAATAATAATGTATTGTATATTTCAAAATAGCTAGAGAGAATTATAATGTTCCTTATGGAAAGAAAAATGTTTGGGGTGATAGACATCCCTAGTTCAAAGTTGAACTAGGATTTTATTTACTTTATTTACTTACTGTTTTAACTTGAACTGTGCTTTAATTTTCCTTTTTTATATTTTATTTTTTATTTCAATAGCTTTAGGGGTACCAATGGTTTTTGGTTACATGGATGAGTTGTGTATTGGTGAAGTCTAAGATTTTAGTATACCCATCACTCAAGTGGTGTACATTGCACCCAATAGGTATTCATTAATCCCTCACCTCCCTCTCCTCCTCCCTGCTTCTGAGTCTCCAATGTCCATTATACCACTCTGTATGCCTTTGTGTACCCACAGCTTAGTAGCTTAGCTATAAATGAGGATGATGGGGAACATGATGAGACCAGTTAATTCCATGAGCATGAGCCCATTGCCTTACTCTTTAGCTGTAAAATGAGTGCCTTTACCATGACGGCACATAAGGCATTTTATGAATCCATGGATTGGTAGTCTTGGAAGATGCCTTGCATGTAAAATAGGCAAACCCATATCTGGAGTGTCTATTCCAGTGAGGAAAACCCACTCCCCTTTCCATGAAGGAAGAGGTCCAATATAATCAACCTGCCACCATGTAGCTGGCTGATCACCCAAGGAATGGTGCCATATCGAGGGCTCAGTGTTGGTCTCTGCTGTTACCAAATTAGGCAATCAGCAGTGGTCATAGCCAGGTCAGCCTTGGTGAGTGGAACTTTATGTTGCTGAGCCCATGTGTAACCTCCATCCCTGCCACCATGGCCACTTTATGTATGGGCCCACTGGGTGATGACAGGGGTGGATGGGGAAACAGGATGAGTGGTTTTCACAGAATGAGTCATCCTATTCACTTGAATATTAAAATCTTCCTCTTCTGAGGTCACCCGTTGGTGAGCATTCACATAGGATACAAATATATTCACAGTTTTTGACCACTCAGAGAGGTTGATCCACATACCTCTTTCCCGAATATCTTTATCACCAATCTTCCAATTATGCTGCTTCCAAGTCCCTGTCCATCCAGCCAAATGATTGGCTACAGCCCATGAATCAATATATAATTGCACACCTGGCCATTTCTCCTTCCATGCAAAGTGCACTGCTCAAAGTTCTGCCCACTGGGAAGATTTTCTTTTACCACTGTCCTTCAGGGATGTCCTAGAAAGGGGCTGTCCAATTTCGGGTTCTGCTTACATATCATGCAGGGCCATCTGTCAACAGATGAACATGTAAGCACATGTGTTATTTGATTTTCAATTTCACTTAGAATAATGGCCTCCATTTCCTCCTCAGTGTTGGAGGAGAGGCCTGGTGGGATGTTATTGGATATTGGGTGCAGATTTCTCCCTTGCTATTCTCATGATAGTGAGTAAGGTCTCACAAGAGTTGGTTGTTTAAAAGTGGTTAGCGTCTCCCCTTCACTTTCTTCCTCCTGCTTCCCCTTCTGCAATGACTGAAAGTTTCCTGAGGTCTCCCTAGCCATGCTTTATGTATAGCTTGTGGAACCATGAGCCAATTAAACTTGTTTTTTTTTAAAAATAAATTACCCAATCTCAGGTATTTTTTTTTATAGCAGTGAGAGAATGGACTAATACAGGAAAAAAAGACACATTTCTGATAGTTTTATGTTTGGGGCCTTTGAACTGTTCAGAAAATGTAAGGCAGGCTTAAACACACTTCTTATCCATAAAATGCAGCTTGTAATAACATATACCTTATAGCAGTTTTCCCCCAACCTTTTCAGCCCCAGGGACCAGTTTCATGGAAGAATATTTTGCCATGTACCAGGGGTAGGGCATGGTTTTTGGATGATTCAAGTACACTGCATTTATTGTGTACTTTATTTCTATTATTATTACATTGTAATACATAATGAAATAATTATACGGTGAGTTGTAACTCACCATAATGTATAATCAATTGGAGCCCCGAGCTTGTTTTCCTAAAACTAGACAGTCCCTTGTGGGATGTGTAGATTGTGAAGATTTTCTCCCACTCCTCTTGTTGTCTGTTTACTCTGTTTCTTTTGCTGTACAGAAACTCTTTAGTTTAATTAAGTCCCACCTATTTTTCTTTGTTTTTGTTGCATTTGCTTTTGGTTTCTTGGTCATAAATTCTTTGACTAAACCAATGTCTAGAAGGGTTTTCCTGAGGTTATCTTCCATAATTTTTATAGTTGCAGGTCTTAGAATTAAGTCCTTGATTCATCTGGAGTTGATTTTTGTATAAGGTGAGAGATGAGGATCCAGTTTCATGCTCCTACATATGGTTTGCCAATTATCCCAGCACCATTTGTTGAACAGGGTGTCTTCTCCCCACGTTATGCTTTTGTTTGCTTTGTCAAAGATCAGTTGGTTGTAAGTAGTTAGGTTTATTTCTGGGTTCTCTATTCTGTTCCCTTGGTCTATGTGCCTATTTTTATACCAGTACCATGCTGTTTTGGTGACTATGACCTTACAGTACAATTTGAAGTCAAGTAAGGTGATGCTTCCAGATTTGTTCTTTTTGCTTAGTCCCTGCTTTGGCTATGTGTTTTTGTTTTCTTTTGGTTCCACATGAATGTTAGGATTGTTTTTTCTATACATGCGACAAAGGACTAATATCCACAATCTACAAGGAACTCAAACATATTAGTAAGAAAATAACAAACAATCCCATCAAAAAGTGGCCTAAGGACATGAATAGACAATTCTCAAAAGAAGATATACAAATGGCCAACAAACATATGAAAAAATGTTCAACATTACTAATGATCAGGGAATGCAAATCAAAACCACAATGCAATATCACCTTACTCTTGCAAGAATGGCCATAATCAAAAAACCAAAAAGTAATAGTTGTTGGTGCAGATGCAGTGAAAAGGGACCGCTTCTACATTTCTGGTGGGAATGTAAACTATTACAAGCACTATAGAAAACAGTGTGGAGATTCCTTAAAGAACTAAAAGTAGAACTACCATTTGATCCACCAATCCCACTACTGGGTATCTATCCAGAGGCAAGAAGTCATTATATGAAAAATATATTTCCACACGCATGTTTATAGAAGCACAATTTGCAATTGCAACAATATGCAACTACCCAAAATGCCCATCAATCAATGAGTGGATAGAGAAATTCTGGCATATATGTATGATAGAGTACTACTCAGCCATAAAAAAAAATTAATGGCTTTCGCAGCAACTGGATAAAACTGGAGACTATTAGTCTAAGTAAAGTAAGTTAGGAATGGTAAATCAAATATTGTATGTTCTCATTCATTAATGGGAGCTAAGTTATGAGGATGCAAAATCATAAGAATGACACAATAGACTTTGGGCACTCAGGGGAAAGGGTGGGAGGGAGATGAGGGATAAAAGACTAAAAATTGGGTTCACTGTATACTGCATGGGTGATGGGTTCACCAAAATCTCACAAATCACCACTAAATAACTTACTCATGTAACCAAACACCACCTGTTCCCTAAAAACTTATGGAAATAAAAAATAAAAAAAGAAAGAAACTAGATGGGCCCATCTATGGGTGATGGGAGACAGAGACAGATGATCAGGTATTAGATTCTCATAAGGAGTTTGCAACCTAGATGGCTCTCATGCACAGTTCACAATATGGTTCAGGCTCCTATTGTGAAAATCTAATGCCACCGCTGATCTGAGAGGAGGCAGGACTCAGACAGTAATGTGAGGGATGGGGAGCAGCTGTAAATACAGATAAAGCTTTACTCACTCGCCCACTGCTCACTTCTTGACGTGCAGCCTGGATGCTAACAGGCCATAAACCGTTACTGCTCCGTGTCCTGGGGGTTGGAGATCCCTGCCTTATAGGATAGTTGTGAGGATTGAATATAATAATTATGTAGTCAAAGACCTAGCATGGTGCATTCTAAGTAGGAAATAATCACTAAGTGTTGGCCAGAAAATTCTAAAGCCTAAACCAAAGCCAAAGCTAATAAACAAAAAGCAAACAAACAAAAACCCCAAGCTCCCCTATTTTTTTTTCTTTTCATTGTTTTTGCCTTTCATGGAGCATGCATACCCTCATAAACTGAAGCAGGTGCTTGTTAATTTTAGAGGTCTATAGTGAAAGTGAAAGAGTGAAAGAGAATATTAGGACATCTACTCTCATTCTCTGTTTTATTCACCTCAAAGTTTTCTTTAAGGTCTTTTATGGACCTAAATATCTTTGTACATGCAACTTTTATTTTGACAAAGGGTCTTGCTCTGTTGCCCAGGCTGGAGTTCTGTCGTATGATCATAGTTCACTGTAACCTTGAACTCCTGGGTTCAAGTGCTCCTCCTGCCTTAGTCTTTTTAGTAGCCAGGAATACAGGTGCATGACACCATGCCTGGCTAATTTTGGGGAGAGACGGGATCTCACTACATTGCTCAGGCTGACTTTGAACTCTTGGCCTCAACGGATCTTCCTGCCTTGGCCTCCCCAAATGCTGGCCTCCCCAAATGCCACCACACCTTGACTGTACATGTAATTTTAAAGATAGCCAAACAGGTGTATGTGTAAAATGATTCCTTAAGGGAAACAATTCATGAAGGGATGTATGTAACAAAGAATAAAAAAATTGAGGTAACAGAAGATCAAAAAGCAAAGCATAAGGAATTTAGTCAGAAGCTCCTCAAGTGAAATAAGCCAGGCACAGAAAGACAAGTACAGAATGTTCTCACTCATATGTGGAAGCTAAAAAAGCTGTTCTCATTGAAATAGAGAGTACAATAGTATTTACCAGAGGCTGGGAAAGGTAACATTACTATAAAGAACTACAACAAATAACTCAATAAATAACAGAAAATTATTTCCCTACCTTTGCAGAAGATAATTGAGTTTAAAATGTTCTCCGTAAATGTTTTAATCTAATCTTATGACCAATTTGCACCCCCCCAAAAAAAGCTTAAATATTTTCATACTGTTAGCAAAGCAGGAGCTTAGCTGAGCCAGAATGACACCATTTTAAAATCTCCATCTTCAAATTAGCAAGACACGTTCTTTGCCAGTTATGACCCATGGTCATAAGATATTTAGAGTTGAAGAAATAGTCTAAGGATACCTACAAGGACACACTGACAACAGCAAATAGTTAAGATGTCTTAATACCCATAAAAATATATGCTTTCAAAAATAATTATAGTTATGGTTTGATGTACTTACACACTAAAATGTCAAGGATAATTTTCTTTAAATTAATAAAGTAATACGTTTAGCCATGCTGTCAGCCCACTTGCACATAGACACAGATTAGTTTAGTCTTTACATAGACAAGATCCCTATATAAGAAAAACTTAACACAAAGATCCTGCATTCCTCCACTTGCTTTCTGAGGATGCCCTACTCTGTAATGGAGTAGCTTTTAATAAACTATCTCTTCTCACTGAACTCTGTGATTCGCCTTGAATTCCTTCTCCTGTGAGATCCAAAAACCCTTTCCTGGGGTCTGGATCAAGACCCCTTTTCTGGTAACAGTAGTACAATCCTGATGTGTCATAATTTAATGAGAAATTATTCTAATTAATGTATTCGGCTACTTTTTTCTCCACAGAAAATATTGGTTTAATTAGATTCCACAAATTAAAATTAACTTAATTACAGTAACTTATAATAACCACCAGATTCTCTGAAAGAGCAACTATTTCCCATCAGAGCTCTACTGAGTATTAAATATTAATGAAGATAATGTTAGCTCAAGAGCCCTTGATTTTGACACTTGATTTTTCCAAATGCTTACAGTAACCACTCAGAAAAGGTTATGATGTTGATACTTTCCTTTTAGTTTAGTACGCCCTCATTTTGATCTTTTTCTTTTTTAATCTGGAAAATGTTATAGAGTATCTACCACTACAGTTTACTTTCTCTTTAAGAAATGTGGCAGATGTCTCAGCTGAAAATAAAAGAAAAAAATTAGGCTTTTAATTTAATTACCGCATTGGAACATGTTTATAAAAGCACATTCTTCTAATTTTATGGGATAAGAGAACAATAACTTTCTTAGCTTTTAGGAGAAATAGAAAAAACATGTATACTACGTGGATGAGATTTGACGTACTTGAACCTGTAAGCCCAGGCACCAGTAAATTTTTTGGTAGTTTCATAATGTATTAGAGTTGGCAGTGCTGTCCCAGCCTATATTACTTATTGGTAGTAATTAATGAAGATACAAAGAAATAATTATTTTTTTCTTATTTAACAAACATGGCAATAAATGACTTATAATACAACTGATGATGAAGTGCATCTATATTTCATTATAATTTTTTTTAATATACTTTAAGTTCTAGGGTACATGTGCACAACATGCAGGTTTGTTACATATGTATACATGCGCCATGTTGGTGTGCTGCACCCATTAACTAGTCATTTACATTAGGTATATCTCCTAATGCTATCCCTCCCCCTCCCCCAACCCCACAACAGGCCCCCGTGTGTGATGTTCCCCACCCTGTGTCCAAGTGTTCTCATTGTTCAATTCCCACCTATGAGTGAGAACATGCGGTGTTTGGTTTTTTGTCCTTGTGATAGTTTGCTGAGAATGATGGTTTCCAGCTTCATCCATGTCCCTGCAAAGGACATGAACTCATCATTTTTATGGCTGCATAGTATTCCATGGTGTATATGTGCCACATTTTCTTAATCCAGTCTATCATTGATGGACATTTGGCTTGGTTCCAAGTCTTTGCTATTGTGAATAGTGCCGCAATAAACATATGTGTGCATGTGTCTTTATAGCAGCATGATTTATAATCCTTTGGGTATATACCCAGTAATGGGATCGCTGGGTCAAATGGTATTTCTAGTTCTAGATCCCTGAGGAATCGCCACACTGTCTTCCACAATGGTTGTACTAGTTTACAGTCCCACCAACAGTGTAAAAGTGTTCCTATTTCTCCACATCCTCTCCAGCACCTGTTGTTTCCTGACTTTTTAATGATCGCCATTCTAACTGGTGTGAAATGGTATCTCATTGTGGTTTTGATTTGCATTTCTCTGATGGCCAGTGATGATGAGCATTTTTTCATGTGTCTTTTGGCTGCATAAATGTCTTCTTTTGAGAAGTGTCTGTTCATATCCTTCACCCACTTTTTGATGGGTTTGTCTTTTTCTTGTAAATTTGTTTGAGTTCTTTGTCGATTCTGCATATCAGCCCTTTGTCAGATGAGTAGATTGCAAAATTTTTCTTCCATTCTGTAGGTTGCCTGTTCACTCTGATGGTAGTTTCTTTTGCTGTGCAGAAGCTCTTTAGTTTAATTAGATCCCATTTGTCAATTTTGGCTTTTGTTGCCATTGCTCTTGGTGTTTTAGACATGAAGTCCTTGCCCATGCCTATGTCCTGAATGGTATTGCCTAGGTTTTCTTCTAGGGTTTTTATGGTTTTAGGTCTAACATTTAAGTCTTTAATCCATCTTGAATTAATTTTTGTATAAGGTGTAAGGAAGGGATCCAGTTTGAGCTTTCTCCATATGGCTAGCCAGTTTTCCCAGCACCATTTATTAAATAGGGACTCCTTTCCCCATTTCTTGTTTTTGTCAGGTTTGTCAAAGATCAGATGGTTGTAGATGTGTGGTACTATTTCTGAGGGTTCTGTTTTGTTCATTTCATTATAATTTTTATAATTGTTAGTTTTCTATAGTCAATAACCACTGAACATACATCATAAATGACATTGTTGTCTCCCAACTATTTAAAACATCCAATGTTGCCAATGCTGTAGAATCATTTCTATTAAATTGAGAAATACTTTTGGTTAACAAATCATGTATAAAAGACATGACTTCACTTACTCTGACCACTCAATAAGGTAACATTAAAATGTATCAAAGAAGGAAATGGTGAGTAAAGAAACCATATGTTCCCTTGACAATTATGAAACAGATTGTTCATCATTTTTTGGATACTGCAAATACTAAGACTTAACTGATTTCTCTGTGGAAAACTGTCATTGAGGGTTAACTGATAATAAAGATTAAACCTGCTGAGCCTGATAAGATAAATTTAGCATTTTGAAGTGTTACTATTCCACTTGACTAAAATAATGGATTATAATTTCAAGGCAAATGACCTATAAGGAAATCATGATGCGGTCTTTATGTTAGATGAATATTACTTGTTATATTTTGATTTGTTTCATCAAAAACACATGAAACTGATGGAAGCAAAATTTTCACTATATGTCTTAATATAATTAGTCATTTACTTATCTGAGCTTAAAGCCTATAGATTAATATTTCTGATTTATTTTAAATTTAATAATATTATTATACATTTTCCTAGTTCAATAAAAAATATATTTTAAATACCATTACTACATAAATAACTTTTTAAAATGTATGATTCTTGAAACTTTTTTCTTGTATTAATTACATCAAAGTAGATTTGAGGGTACCTATTACAATGCAAATTTCTGGGACCCAGCCTAAACTTGAGTCAAAATCCTTGGGGATTGGGACTATATAACTGATTTTGACAGGACTTTCAGGTAGTTTACATGCATGCTAAAACATGAGACCGCTGCTTTAGTAATTTTAATTCATACACGTGAGTATCTTGCCTAAAATTTGCAAAGTGAAAGAAATGGATAAAAGAAGAAATACTGTGTATGTAGCTGCTGTCAGATTTGTCAGTTAGCCCAAAATATGAATATAAAATAATGCTCAGAAATATGTTGGCTCTTTCAAAGACAAAGAAGAAAATGAAATTCAAGAAGAAAAAAATTGAGGTAACAGAAGATCAAAAAGCAAAGCATAAGGAATTTAGTCAGAAGCTCCTCAAGTGAAATAAGCCAGGCACAGAAAGACAAGTACAGAATGTTCTCACTCATATGTGGAAGCTAAAAAAGCTGTTCTCATTGAAATAGAGAGTACAATAGTATTTACCAGAGGCTGGGAAAGGTAAGGGGTAGAAGGATACAGCCAGAAGTTGGCTAACAGACACAAACTTGTAGATAGATAGGAATAATATTTTTAGCATTTTATAGCACTGTAGGGTGAAAATAATTAACTATAATGAATGTATATGTTCAAAAACTAGAAGAGAGGGTTTTTAATGTTCCCAACACAAGGAAATGATAAATGTTTCAGGTGATAGATATCTTAATTACCCTGTTTGATAATTACACATTGCATACATGTATTGAAATATCACACTGTACCACATAAGTGTGTACAATTATCTTGTCAATTAAAAGTATACTA
The DNA here is from genome assembly GCF_000001405.40 of Homo sapiens. Lineage (NCBI taxonomy): Eukaryota > Metazoa > Chordata > Mammalia > Primates > Hominidae > Homo > Homo sapiens. The sequence goes on from NC_000023.11 coordinate 94,088,462, forward strand.
AAGGTTAAAAAAGAAATAGCAGGGAAAATGTGTAGGAAAAGACAAGATATTTAAATGGAAAGAAAGAAGATTAAATGATACATTTCTGTCTTTAAGTATAGAATTTAGCAGTACGGAAATAGCATCTTGAGTGTCAGGGAGCTGAAACACTGAACAAACTTGTAAGCTTGTAAACGAGGTTTCTAGATTCCTCACATTAGAGATGCTTACAATCAGATGGACACAGATGCGTGTTAGAGAAGATCCTAAGTAGAGAAGTACGCTTAGGAGGTTAAGGGTTGAGTTAAAAAGTTTTACTCTTTCCAGTTGAATTCAAGAGTTCATCATAGTGAACTAGCAACTGGTTGTGATTGCTTCTGTTGTGTGCCCAGTAGGGATTGAAGTTCTGTGAAGAATGGGAAGGATGTAGTATCCCTGTTCATTAAGATGCTTCATGCAACCTGATAAAGGACATATATAAATAAAACAAATAGAGAACAAGACAAGTCAGTGAATAATCAGGCCTTGGGTTGTATAGGAGTGGTTGTCACTTTAACTGTAACAGAACTTACCAGATGACATGAGTTGAAAAATATACTGTGGATGTTAGACTTTCTTTTAGGGTTGGCTTGATTCAGAGGTCATATGGACAGGAACCCATGTTACATATTCAGCCTGATCAAATTGTATTATCCTGGGCATGCTATTAAAGTTCTCTGTACTTCACTTTATCTGTAAAATTTCATTAATAACAAGACCAAACTCATTGAGTTTTGCTGTGAATAGTAAATGATATATTTCTTAGTCAGTTTGGTCTGTTCTAACAGAATACTATAGGCAGAATGGCTTAAAAATAAACATTTATTTCTCACAGTTTTGGAGGCTAGTAAGTCCAAAATCATAGTGTCAGCAAATCTGGTGTCTGGTAAGGGCACTTTTCCTCATTTACAGATGGTCATTTTCTCATTCATATGATGGAGAATAGAGAGAAGAAACATGCTTTTTCTCATCTCTTTTTGTAAAGGGCACCAATGCCTTCACGAGAGTCTCACCCTTATGGCCTAATTACCTCCCAAAGGTCCTATCTCCAAATACCATCACATTAGGGATTAAGATTTCAACATATGAATTTTTTGGAGTCACAAACATTCATCCCACAACAATATTACAATCTCATGATGATTGTCTTAGTAAGCAATAAATAAATGGTAGTGCATTTCTTTTCTATTCCAATTCAAAACATTTTTTCTAGATATATGTAGGAAAATGATACAGATGGAGTGTTTGAGGGTAAATTATATGGTAATGTTACAAGATATTTATTCTCTATATGAATAATCTAGTAAGACATGAGGATAACTTATAGCTACATATAGATGTATAAAAATAAAAACAGGTAAAATTTGTTGATCACTTACTGTGTGCCAGGCACTAAAGTGGGAACTTTATATATGTTTTACTTTTAATAAGCAAAATGGGCTACATAATAAGGGGAGTTGAAATAAATATTGGGTAATGTCAACATGAGACAAAAGTTGATACTGAACTATGTGAAAAAATAGTACAGTTAGTAAAACAAAAATTTAAATCATTCATTCAGATATAAATATTTCAAAGTATCCTTTGAAGAATACATGAATATTTAATATTAATTCAATTTTCTAATATAATTTTACCACATATCTGCAGTTACAAAAGGGGAAAAGTAACTAAACTCAAATACCTAGTGGAGGAGTCACAAATGACTAAATGGAAACCATTACCTTATTTAAAAGTCAAGATATTTTTCCCAGTACAGTTTATCTTTGCAATCAAGCAACAAGTATCTAATAAGGTTAAAATAATGAGATTCAACCTATTTTTCTAATGAATAAATCACAAAAAACTATGTCAAAATTAGACCTATTCAGGCAATGGTATCAGTCATTTGTTATTTTTTTCTGAAAGGTCTTAATGAGAGGGTAACTGGTAATTGGACAATTGCTATTGGAATAAGTTGGCAGGCAGTACCATTTGGGAGTTACAGACTTATTTCCTAAAGTGGAGACTATTTCATGCATTTTTGTCCTTTACCCTTAAACCTTTCTCTGAGTTAACACTGATGATTACAGAAATGATTTGTTTCATTGAAGACTTCTCCCAGAGAGGTCAAAAGCTGATCACTCAAATAGCCTTGAGAAACCTTCTAATGTCTCCAGAAGGTCGCTCTGACAGAATGGATGACACCAGTGCCATGGTGTCTAGCCAAGGTAAGAACAACTTGCTGTTAACATAATTATTCCATTATAGAAATATCGAATTACATAAAGTCACAGTCTCCTGAAGCAGTTATTGCTGGGGCACTTTTATTTCATTTTGAAACTGCCTTAGATATCAATTGGCTCTGACAGTATGATAAAAGCTAGCTTTCAGGTCATATTCTTAATACCCACTATATTAGATAAGGAAATACATATGTTTTCTTCCAACATGTTCCTAATCATTGGATTCAGTGTATGTGTACAGAAGAACATGCTATAAAAGTATCTATCAGTAGTAGCATTTACATTGTCAATTACTCCTTGTTATTTAAAAAAGTCTAGCCACCAAGTACTCTATATAGGAATATAAACAATGTCATAAGCCTCTATGAACAATATGTCTCCTTGTTAATAGAAATGAATTAATAGATTTGTGATGCTGTATGTCAGATAAACTTACGACACTAATACTATAGCTATTATTTTGTTTATGTTTTTGTTGATGTTAAGGTAATTGTGTTTTGGGTGGAGTTTACGATAGTGCCTGTTTCTTTAAGAAACCATTTTTACTCAGGGAGACTGAAAATAATTTACAGAAGAACACATGAAAATTATTTTTAATCATTCTTTCTTGTGGTATTTAAAATCAAAATGTCACCCTTAAAAGTCTGAATTATTCTTTCAGACAGACAAATAGTTAAATAGTAAGATCTGCCGTTTTGCAGTGACTCTCATTAATAGGACCATCAGCATCTAAGAACTTTTCTCTCTCCTAGACCTGGACAATTTGTTTTTGGTCTGATAATTTTTGTACTGAGATCACTCAATAACTTACCAATAATGATCATCCTGAGGCATCTGGTGTTGGATTATCTGATGAGTAAGAAGAATGGAATTGCATATAGACTTGAACCTGGCAGAAGTTATAGCCATTTTATGCCATAGATATTTCTTTGCCTCTCTGATATTTCTAACATGATTACAGAAGTCAGTCAGTGACAGATGACTTTTTCCATCCAGTGAAAAACACCTTTGTAATATTTTCATGTCCACAGAGGCCACTATAACCGAAAGAGATATTACAGGGATTATTTCTGGAAATATAAGGTAGCCCAGAGGAATTCTTAAGTGGTATCAACCTCCCTAACGTGACAATCTTAGACAAGCGGATATTACAGATATAGAGAAAAATTATAACAGCAGTAGCAAATTTTAGAGCAAAATAGAAGACCGAGTTCAGAAGTTGAGATTAATTTCTAATTACAACGTGATATAAAGACTGGGTCTGCACTATCTATTCATTCACTGGGACTTAATGAGCGTGTTACAGTGTGTATTTTCCTTTTAAAATAGTTGATTTGATTTATAACAATGGGGTCATTCAGATCTAGGATGATACATTGGTGTTTGATTATTATAATATATCAAAAAAACTAAGCCTGAGCTTGTGGAACACAGACTGTGTTTCTCTTTGTACTTATTGATGAATGTTAAACCTTTGAATACTTCACTTTTCTATTGATATTGTGGTAGGCAAAATAATATTCTGTCCAATGGTATCCATGCTCTAATCACTTGAATCTATAAATATCTTACCTTACATGGCAAACGGGAATTAAAGTTGCAGATGGAATTCAGATTGCTTTTCCGCTGACCTTAAAATAGGGAGGTTATCTTTGGTCAGTCCGTGGCCCATTGTAATCACAAGTAGAAGAGGAAGGCAGAAGAAGTGGTCAGAGTGATGCTATGTGAGAAGGACTAGACCTCCCATCCATAGCTTTGAAGATGGAGGAAGGAAGCCATGAGTCAAGCAATGTGGATGCTCTCTAGGAGCTGGAAAAATCGAGAATGGATTTTCCCCTACAGCCCCCACAAAAAAACATAGCCCTGCCAACACCATGATTTTGGCATAGTGAGTTCGTGTCAAACTTCTGACCCACAAAACTTTAATAAATAAATTTGTAATAATTTAAGGCACTAAGTTTGTGGTAAACTAACACAGCCATGTTGTGAAAACAACCAAAACCAACTTACATTTCCTTTTCGTTTTAGTTTTTCATTAGTTTAATATGCCTTTCAACTACTGCCATAGAGTTGAATATTTTTAGCATTGGTTTTGGTAGAGGTAACTTTTGTTTACCTTTTTAATCTATAGAATATTTGTGAGCTAAATTACTAAAGCTAAATTGAAAAGAAACTTTGCTTTTGTACTTGTATTTTTCTTGCAAAAACAACTTAAATAAGGTATTTCGACTCTTTAAATAAAGATTTCTCTACCTGGGCACTACTGACTTTTTGGGCCAAGTTGTTGTGGGAAACTATCCTGTACATTGTATGATATTTATTAGTATCTCTGGCCTCTACTCACTAGATGTCAGTAGCATCCTCCCTCCTTATGCCTCCTTTCTCCCTTAAACTATGACAACCAAAAACTATCTCCAGACATTGACAAATATCTCTGGGGAGCAAAATCTCCCCTCCTCACTGAGAACCACTGCTTAAGGTGAAATAGTTAATATACGAACAAAATGAGCAGAGCTTTCATAAATTGGTAATGGCTGTTAAACATTCAGAACTCTTTTAAAACAGTCATTAACATGTCAGTAATTTATATTCCAATTATACTAAAATTGTGATTTTTAAATTTAGAAGTTTTGCAGTACTGCTTATACCTCATACTCTCCAGATAGCAGCAATCAATTCTGAGTGTGAAGTGTGACTTTTTTTTTTTTTTTTTCTCATGGTCATCTAAATGGTTTTGTGTGATTGTCAGATGGGAATGGCACTAAAGCATTCTAATCAAAGATTCGTGGTGAAAACTGCTGAAATCTGTTTCCCAGCTTACCTCTGGTTATCAGAGGAATACAAAGAAGTCATTAATTTTACTCTCTCCCACTTTTCCCATCCTAGAATTATATAATATACCTTATTCTTAAAGCTATTATTTTTTACTGACATGTTTTACTGATAGGGCATTGATTCCTAAGAAATCAATAATGCACAAACATTACTGGAAATCTGGAGTACACTCTGAATAATTGTGGGGTATCAGGGCCTAAGGCTTGATCGGAAAATACATAAGGAATGCTTATAACATTATCCATCATTAAGATTTTTAAGAAAATCTGTGACTCTAATATTTAATTTTTTACCTGAGTCTATTTTATTTTATTTTATTTATATATTTATTTATTTTGAGACGGAGTCTCACTCTGTCACCCAGGCTGGAGTGCAGTGGTGCAACCTCAGCTCACTGCAACCTCTGCCTCCCAGGTTCAAGCAATTCTCTCCCTCAGCCTCCTGAGTAGCTGGGATTACAGGTGCCCGCCACCACGCCCGGCTAATTTTTGTATTTTTAGTAGAGGCGGGGTTTCACCATCTTGGCCAGGCTGGTCTTGAACTCCTGACCTCATGATCCACCCGCCTTGGCCTCCCAAAGTGCTGGGATTACAGGCATGAGCCACCGCACATGGCCTCCTGAGACTATTTTAATAGCACTTATAGAACTCACTCAGTAATTGAATGGTGAATTTGGAATTTGTCTATGTACTTTAACTCACATCACAGAGGAAACTTGAGCTGATCTGCTCTTTTCCTTAGTCAGAAAAAATAAGGCTGGGCGTGGTAGCTCATTTCTGCAATATTCAATTGGCTACAGTGTGTTACTGCAAGTCCTCTGAGAAACAGAGAGAACTAGCAGAGGCTGGGAGAACTGACAGTCCATGAGAGCACTGACAGACTATGCTAGTCTTACTATGAGCGAAGGAAAGAGGGAAAGGTAGGGGGAGATCAGGTAGAAGTGTTTAGATTGCAGTGCGGTTCTTAGGGAAGTTTGGTAAGGCAGGTCTCCCAGGAACAGGCCCACTTTAGTGTCTCAGTTGAACTCAATCATTGGCTTGGAGAAGCCTGTGAGAAGTATGTCTTTCCCATAAACATCATGATGGATTTCAGAGCACAGTAGATGGAGCTATTAACAATGCAGCCTATAATAAGAGGTCTACAAGATGTATTCTTGTGGTTTGCACAGTGAACCTTTTACTCCACACAGCTTTACTTCTTCACAAAATTTTGAGAAGCAGCTTTCCTACGGTTCTTGTTAACCTCACTTTCTGAGGAGAAACTTAGAACAAGGAGGTTATTGGGACAAACAATAGTGCCCAACTCTGCAGTTGATATTAGGGACACAATTGGAGCTCATCCCCTCCCTCCTCCGCTGTCCTAAATCCCCCTCACCTTCAGCTATCACTTTGGAAGGTCTTAGTGGTGGGATCCAAACCTTTGACCTCAAGGATTTTGAACCCTTGATAACAATATTCTTCTTAACCTGCAGTGTTTGCACTTGCCTGTTCTGTTAAAATGGGTCAAGGATTTGAAAGGAGGTACTGAGTGAGTCACCTGGGTTTCTCATGTTATATCCCTCCTTGTTCCCATTGTACAAAAGCCTTACAGCTTAGATTCAATTACACCTGCCAATATAGTAACTCATCTTTTTGCCTGCTGGTCCTTGGGAACGGTAAATGTGCTCTGGTGGCAGCTGCCGTTTGTAGCTCAATGACACATTGAGAGAATGTCCCCTTAGAGGGGACCAGGATTTCCAACCCTGCAGAATTTAGAGTTTGCTCAATGGGGACAAGAATCAAACGGTCTCCAATTGGGCCATTGGGAGTGATGGTAAGTTAGGTCACTCCAGATTCTATCCTTTGGTTCTAGAACCCATGTATTTTTCTGTTGGGGACACAGTATCATAGAGGGGTGTCTGATTTAATGAATACACTGCATCTTGAAGGATGGCATCCATCCTTTCAAAGTTCTGCCTCTGATTTCATGCTTCATTTACATCTTTAGAAACCCAGTCCATAATTTTATGAAGTTACCTAGTTCTGGAAATTATGGTATGTTGATCACACTACTTTACCTCTTTCATTGTGAAGTAGGTCCTCTGGTTAGATGCAATGATATATGAGCCTAAGCCTATGGATAGGCTGAGGCTCTGTGAGCTGGAAAGGAGTGCCCATACCCAGAATGACTTCTGTTCCTTTGAAGACAACCTGCTGGTCCTTCCAAGGGGCCTGATGTATTCAACTTGGTTTCCTTCAAGAATAATGCCATATGGGAAGCTCAGTGTTGGTTCCTTTTGCTGACTTGGACATTTAGAGGAGGCATCAGTAGTTAGATTAGCTTTGGTAAGTGGGAGTTTATGTTGTTGGGTCCATATGCAATTCCTGCCACTGTGGCCTGCATGTTCATGTGCTCATTGTGCCAGTTCTGGGCTGGCTGATGACATCACCTGAAGTCCTTTTGAGTATTTCGTCATTCAGTGCCTTTCTATGGTGGTTGCTTTCTGGCGAGCATTAATGAGTGATTCAAAAAAATCTTCATACTCCATATCCTCACATATATGTTCATTTAACTGCCTCTATTAACTAAATTCATGACTTCCTGTGAGTAAATCCTCTTTGGTTGCCTATATAATGTTGCTAGTTATTATAGTAATTGTGGCCTCATAGCTTCTGGAGATTAAGTCCCAATCCTAGTCCTATGTTTGTTGAAACATGCTGAGTGCTTCTTTAAAAGTGTAAGCCTTCTGGGGAATAATAACATGAAGTATTTGTTAGTCATACACAACTTATTGTGAATTAGTTTCTCTTCCTAGTACCATCTTCAGAACTCGGTACTGAGAAAAGAAAATCTGATGGTTAGGGTGGGATGAATGGAGGTGGAGAACAGTGTAGGAAAATATAATAATGGAATCTGGACCACCTATTATGGAGAGAAGCCTGATAATTTGCTTGCCTCTGGACAATCAGGACATTCAAATAAATAAGCAAAATGGGTACTTGGAAGTGAAGACATCAGTAAGGGAAAGTGACTAGAAAGTGATGGGGGAAAATATAATAAACTTTACAATTTGGGCCATAGGTTTACCACACTTTTGGGATTTCTATTTTTGACCAATAACTGTAAATGATAATTTTTCAATAAGATATTTCCTTGCAGAAAAGGATAAACTATTTCTGGTAATCTCTTTGTATATTGGGTTCAAATCTGGTAAAGTGTGAAGAGACACATGGTTAGGTAAATTTCCTGTGTTTCTACTGATTATATGGCCTTGAAGCAAATGGTACTCTTGAGTCTCTGTGAGCCCTAGTTTTCACAACTATGAAATTGGAACATAAATACCTAACTTGCATAGTTACTATGAGGATTAGAGGAGATAATAAATGCTTATAAAACACCTGGCACATAGGACATGTATTTTAGTGTTTGACTGTTTGAAGACTGGGTTCAAATCCTGTGTCTGCCATTTAGCTGTGTGACTCTGATAAGTTTTCTAAGCTCTGAGCCTCAGTTTCCTCATCTTTAAAATGGAGAAATAAATAATACCTAGATTTAGTATTTGTTTTTGATTGACTGAAATAAGCATCAAAACCTTTAGTGTAATGCCTGACATACAGTACATGCTTAATACACATTTATAGTTATTTCATGTCTTTAAAAAGTAACTATTATTGGTTTCTGTAACATCATTATAAGGTCATTTTAGGCTACTTCTTGCATCCAATAAACTTTAAAATGGTCAAACAAAAATAAACTTGTAAAGTTCAGCAATCTAAGGGTAGAATACAATTAATTTCAGTGGTAGGTACATTCTGAAACTTTTCCTTAGGAAATAAATTCCTAAATTTATTTTGTAACTACCAGCTTTCATATAATCTTAGTGATGATATTACTTTAATAGGGCACACTATTCTCTATCTAGGTAGACACTACAACTGTTAAACAAGAAACATACGTTAGCTCTTTAAAATATGAACTGAGTCAGAAAAACCTTGGGTTCGGACCCTAGCTCTATTACTTATTAGTCATGCAATCTTTTGCAAGTCACATAGTGTCTCTGAGCTCATTTCATCACTTCAGTAAAAGAAAACAATTATCCTTGCGCTAGCTAAGATTGAATGAAGTATTTGTGAAAACACCTTGAGAATGTAAGATAGCGCTTGAATTATTATTAATAATGTGCGCAAGCTTGAGGAAAACAGTCAACAAGAAACTATATTTTACATGTCAATGCAATAAACTATAAATACATTTAGAATCCAAATCTTTCAGGTACTAAAGTACTGAAATTTGAGAATTTCATTTGCCACTATATAAAAAACTCATCTCTGCCTTCCAAATTCCCCTGAGGAAGAGGCTGCTACAGTGGTGAAATGGCTTTTCTGGCCTTTCTCATTTTTGACTCACATCTAAATACCAAAGACAAAGTAAAAGGAAAAAAAAAACACATGCAGCTTTTCTGTGGAACTACCATGTGTGAAAAGCACTGGCTGCATTTGATGTGTGCCAAAAGCAAATTTGAACAGTTGAGGGAAGAATCAAGATTAGGTGCCACTTGGGTGTTTGCCCTATTTTCAGGGTGGCTACACACCAAGTGAGTTTTATTCTCCATTGCCTTGACACCTTTGAGCTTAAACCAGTCTACCATGAGCTTTTGGCACACCCAAAGTGCCTCTAGGCAGTTTCTTTATGCAACACATTGTGTGTTTTTTTCTTTCTCTTGACAATAAACATGATTTCCCAAGTGACACAATTACTATAGCCCAAATGTATAGAAATCATAATATTTCCCCACAGAAACCAGTATCTGTGTGAAATTAAAATGTGTTACATAGGAGGATCAGTTGTTTAGCCAGACAAATACAGAAACATGTATTTCTTAAAGCAAGTAATATTTGATTCCTGCTGTCAATTTCCTGGATTCTGCCTATCATTTTGGCTGAGGGTTGGCACTTCAAAACCAAGAGCAAATGAAACCCATCTCTATTCTGCCATTGACGTGCATTGGCAGGTGTCTTTTTGACAGGTGTCATTCTGCTCTTTCTATATAAAGATATTTCTTGTTCCTTCTGGGCATTTTCCCTCTGGTATTTTTCTCCAGTAACTTCTCGTTTTCTTTTCATGGCCAATTTTTATGAAAACTATGTTATTTCTGATTGGCTTCTTTCTCTGAGGGAAGAGAAGGGAAAGAATGACCTGTTGGAATAACATTTTTATAACAACATGCCATCTCTGGGTCGTAGATGGAGTATAGGTGATGGAATTCCTGACGGGACTTGAAGAGAGAGGTATTTTTAGGAATCTAGAAGAGAGAAAGGCCCTGGCCCCTTTAGCAGTAATTCTTCTTTAGTAAGGAACTGACAGCCAAGTTTTTTGATTGGTGTGGCTTTCTAATGTTGGCTTCCCTGGAGTTTGCTTCTTTAGATTTGCTTCCTGTGGGGCCAGGCTAAAACATCCCCTTGCCATTTCCAGAATAGCTATGTTGTTCTGCAACAGAAGGTAGGACACGTGTAGGCCACCAATGTGGTTTCTTAATCCAGGTTCACTGGCACTATGGTAAATAGAAATCTCTCTATGAGTCTGATGGAATTATTGTAATTTTGATTAGTTTTTTGTTCTGTTTTTTTGTTTGTTTTGTTTTGTTTTGAGACGGAGTCTCACACTGTTGCCTGGGCTGACTGGGCTGGAATGCAATGGCGCGATCTCGGCTCACTGCAACCTCCACCTCCTGGGTTCAAGTGATTCTCCGCCTCAGCCTTCCGAGTAGCTGGGATTGCAGACGCCCGCCACCACGCCCAGCTAATTTTTTTGTATTTTTAGTAGAGACGGGGTTTCACTACATTGGCCAGGCTGGCCTTGAACTCCTGACCTCGTGATCCATCCGCCTTGGCCTCCCGAAGTGCTGATATTACAGGTGTGAGCCACCTGTAATACATAAGTATTTTAATGGGAAAATCAGAGGGGGCATATCAGGCATTACTCTCTTGCCATTTTAACCTGGCATTAACAACTACTTAAGTGTTACTTTCCGTTTTTTTATTCAATTGTTTGACTTTTTAGAAATTATAGTGCACATTAATATCTATTCTGTATTTCCCCTGAGATAATGTGTTTTCACTCCTAAATAGAATTGAGCCTGCCATGTGAGCAGCTACTTACTAGTACACTGCCACCCACAGCAACTTTCACTTGCTTTGGAGATTATCATCACTGCTTGCCGAAGAGTAAGGACGAAGAAAACTGGGATTTAGGTTCAGTAATCTGGCTTCCTTGTTATAAGCTCCATGAGAATAGGCACGCTTTTTTTCTTGATCATTTCTGCTTTGCCAGCATTAGCATAGTATCTGACATATGACGGACACATAATAAATGTGTTGAAAGAATTCCTCGTGTTTCTGAAAATTGTATCACAAGCCCCAAGATTATAGTGAAGCTCTGGAGGCTGTGTGTTTTTGGGGAAAAAGTTTCCTTAAAGAGTGCTTTTTCCCCATTAAAAAGAGTACAAAAGAATGTCTCAAAAATAATGCCCAAAAAATATGTCTCAAAAAATAAAAATATGCCTCAAAAAAAGTCTCAGACGAAGATATACATGTGGCCACCAATCATAGGAAAAGAAGCTCAGTACACTGATCATTAGAGAAATGCAAATTAAAACCATAATGTGATACCATCTCATGCCAGTCAGAATGGCTATTACTAAAGATTCAAAAACTAGCAGATGCTGGTGAGGTTGTGGAGAAAAAGGAATGCTTATACACCATTGGTGGGAGTGTATATTAGTTCAACCATTGTGGATGACAGCGTGGCAATTCCTCAAAGACCTAAAGACAGAAATACCATTAAACCCAGCAATCCCATTATTAAGTATAAACCCAAAGGAATATAAATTGTTCAGTTATAAAGACACATCCATACATATGTTCATTGCAGCACTATTCGCAATAGCAAAGACATGGAATCAACCCAAATGCCCATCAATGATAGACTGGATAAAGAAAATGTGGGATATATACACCATGGAATGCTATGCAGCCATAAAAAAGAATCAGATCATGTCCTTTGAAGGGACATGAATGGAGCTAGAGGCAATTATCTTTAGCAAACTATCACAGGAACAGAAAACCAAATACTGCATGTTCTCACTTAGAAGTGAGGTCTAAATGATGAGAATACATAGACACAGTGGGGAACAACAGACACTGAAGCCTATCTGATGGTGAATGGTGGGAGGAGGTGCAGGATCAGGAAAAATAAGTAATGGGTACTACGCTTAATAGCTGGATGATGAAATAATCTGTACAACAAACCCCCATGACATACGTTTACCTATGTAACAAGCCTGCACATGTACCCCTGAACTTAAAATAAAAGTTTTAAGAAATATTTACCATGTAAAGGAAAACATTAGAACATAGGTCATGTGAGCTGAGACTTTGGAGACAGGCTGAGTCAAGCTCAGGTTCTCTTGTACCTTTCCTGCAGGGCTTCTGGATCAGATTCAAAATTGGACTACGGGATTGGTAATAGCACCTATTTCTTGAATATTGGACAGATTTTATGAATGGATAACATTTAAAGCATATAGTAAACAAAAAAAGGAAATTAAGTTCTTGTTAAGTGGCAGAGTGGAGGGAGAGACATTTACATGTAAATCTAGGTTTTTCAGTTTCGTTTCTTTAGAAGCTTCAGGTCTGCAAATTTGATATTAGGAAAGCAAGACCGCCTAACTTGATAGTTTAGCTTCAGCTTACCATTTCACTCTTTTCAAAAATTTGTTGCTAGGACTTGAGACCTTCCTTAGCCTTCTCTACCCCAAAAAAGTCTGACCCATGGGATTTTGTGCAGACAGTTTATTTTTGAAAGTGATTCCAAGGAAGAAGAACAGGAGACTGAGACAAGTGGAGTAAGGCATCTGGTTTAAAACAAACAAACAAACAAAAACAGTAGTAGGAGCAGAGAACAAAATACATACAGCAGCATTAATTTATTAAACCTTGAATGTGTATATCTATGTGTCTATCTGAGAATGGTGGAGTAAATAGAATGCTTAAGGATATTCAAAGTGACCAAGTTAAAGGAGAAGGTACAACTCAGAGTTGGTTTTGTTACTGGTAAACAGAATTGGTTATGGAGAACAAGGCTAAAACGTAGACTAAAGTGAGTGGTGATTTAATATTCCTTGTGGAAATTATCATTCTCCACACATTTCGCCCTTTATTTTATCTCTTCTTTTCCACACTGCTGTCTTCTTTCTTCTAGAGCACACACACACACACACACACACACACGAGCATGTGCACATGCCCACCCAGTTTTGCAGGTGCCCAGAAAAACCAAAGTAAAAGGCAAGTCTCATTGAAGTCTGCTACTTTATTTCCCTTGAGTCAGTCTGAGTTTTGCTTTAGCTCTGGGATTGGAACATTATCTTAATTTTCTTATTGGTTAATTAGACCCACAATTTTAAGGCAAAATCTCTGCTTTGTTCTACACTGTACATCATTAAGATGTGGGTGCATTTTCAAATCTTGCCCAATCCTTAGAGAATGTGTTCTCATTATTTTCAACAGGGTCTTTTGAGTGATATTTATAATGTCAACAATTCAGTTCAACAAACATTTAATAAGTGCCTATTATAATTGGTGAATTAACCAGAAGGAAAGAAAAAAAAAGAAGATACCATGCCACAATGAATGTGCAAAGAAAGAAAACAAGGCTGATTTTGAGGTTTCTAAATTGACTTACCAGGTGGATAGAAACGATACTACGATACGGAGTAAAGAGGAGGTTTGTTAGTGGAAATACTTAGTTTGATTTTGAAATTTTTTACTCTGAGTTGCCTACAAGACAGGCAGAGTTGCCTGTCTAGTTGTTATTGGTGGCTATATGTCATTGGAATTAGCAGAGAAATATACATGCTAGAGATTTAGAAACCATTGGTATATATAATAAATGATAGTTCCAGTTACAGACATAAATGAGAATGTCCAGAGAGATAGTACAGAGTTAGGACATAAGAGGTCTGAAAATGGAACCTTGGGGGAACACTTAAGGGGAAGTAAGAGAAAAAAGAATAAATGAAAGAAACCAATGCATCTATTACAAAGCTATGAGGAAAGCCAAGATCAAGCGGTATCATAAAAGCCAAGGAAAGAAAGTTTTTCTAGGAGAACAAAGTCAACAGGATCAAATGCCAGTGAGAGGGAAAATAAAGTGGAGAGATAACTAAAAAGAGACCATTTAATTCGTACATCCAAGCAAAGATTTCAGTAGAGTTGTGAAGGTGGCAGTCAGATGACTGTGGGTTGAAGAGAGTGAAAAGTAAGCTTGTCTTTCAAAAAGTTTAATGTTATGGTAAGGAGAAATATGACAGAGAAGTGGAATTGGAGAAAGGCTTGGCCATTATTGTTGATGGTTTTGTTTTGTTTTAACATAACAAATACTTCAGCATGTTTGCATAGAGAGGGAAGAAAGAAAAGAGAAAAAATAAAATTTGTAGTGTGTGGGAAAGGATGAGATGAGGCATAAGGTGGAGGAATTTGTTGTGGTAAGGCACAGGGACGTTGTCCACTGCGACAAGAAGGAGATTAGGTTTTAAGTGAATTGAGAAATTATAGGAGGAGGTATGGGAAAGTAAAGAAACCGTACGAGGTACAGGTATGATGGCACAAACACGTCTACTATTATCCCTCTTTTCTTTTTGTAGTAGAGAACAAGTATGAGCCAAGTAGTAAATATGTTTTAATTTTTAACTTGTTTTCTAAAAGTCATTGTGATAATTTATAACTAAACTATTAAGAAATCATAGACACTATTGATTCTTATATGACTGGTTCTTTCACATTTTGGTAACTTTTAATTTGCCTTTTTCTCTGAGAAATTTTAGAAAGCACGAATTTTCTCAATATTTTCACGGGATGCTCCTTCATTTTAATTAAATAAACTGGATTTGAAGTTCACCATATTTTAAATTTTTATATGTATTTCAGTAAATGATACTTATTACATAAAATGTACCATAGCAAAAAAGCATACTGTTGAGAGTGTATATTATGCTTTTCAGGAAATGGAATGTTCTAAAATTTGCACAGATACTGTGTTTCAAAGAAGGATTTTAATGACAAAAGAAAGTCAATATAGTACTTAAAATGATAATTTTTCAGCTAAATCAATTTATTTTTGATGGTTTGCCTCCCTCAGAACCCTAGTTATAAAATTTCAGTAATTTTGCTTCTTCATTCTTACGTATCTAATGCTTTCTTCTTAAAACTCTTCTATTTGAAAAGCTGGTTTTATGACTGTTGTCGCTCATTACATGTTTATCCATCATGTTTCTTAAACTACTCACAAAACTTTCAAAATGTTTTCCTTCATAATATTTGTTCTCAACCTGAGTCCAACCAATAAATAACTTCTAAAATTTCTGCTCTTTCACATAACTGAAATCTCAGGTAAAATCTCTTGCTTATAACAAGAAAAAAATAAATGGAAGGGTTGGATAGAAATACTATGCATTTGCAGAGTAAACATCATTGCATTTCAAAGCAGGTGTCTTTTCATAGATGGATTTAACTATTTCTTTCTCCAAATGACATCTGTGAGTGTTTCACTTGTAGCAACTTATTATAGCCCATGCTTTTCAATTGCAACATTTATTGCATAAATAAAAATTGATGAGTGTATCAGCCCATTCTCATGCTGCTAACAAAGACATACCTGAGACTGAGTAATTTATAAAAGAAAGAAGTTTTATTGACTCACAATTCAGCATGGCTGGGGAGGCCTCAGGAAACTTACAATCATAGCAGAAGGGTAAGCAAACACATCTTTCTTCACATGGTGGCAGCAAGGAGAAGTGCCAAGTGAAGGCGGGGAAACCCCTTATAAAACCATCAGGTCTCGTGAGAACTATCACGAGAACAGCTTGGAGGTAACTGCTGCCGTGATTCAATTACCTTCCACCAGGTCCCTCACATGAAACGTGGGGATTATGAGAACTACAGCTCAAGATGATAATTGGGTAGTGAGGACACAGCCACACTATATTATACCACTCCCAGCCCCTACCAAATCTCATCTCCTTACATTTCAAAACACAATCATGCCTTCCCAACAGTCCCCTAAAGTCTTAACCCATTCCAGGATTAACTCAAAAGTTCAAGTCTAAAGTCTCATCTGAGACAAGACAAATCCGTTCCATCTATGAGCCTTTAAAATCAAAAGCAAGTTAGTTACTTCCTAGATACAATGGGGGTATAGGAATTGGGTAAACACACCAGTTCCAAATGAAAGAATTTCAATATTTAGCTGAGAGGAACTTGAAAAACCTAGAACTTTCATAAAAGATGGCGATCAGGCCATAATAGATATTGTTACTCTTATTGGGTCCTGCAAAAAGCTAAAAAGAATTATTTTTGCTTGTTTCTTTTCTATATTTTGCAAAAGGTATGTTAAAAATCATGTAGTTATTTAAATTAGTTTTTTATAGCCTAATTTCAATTATGGGAAAACAACACTAATAGAAAACACCAAGACTCATTTTAATCACAAACTTAAATTTCTACAAAAGCAAACTTACAAATAATACACATAAACACACATAAATATGTGTACTAGAACAGCTTCAGACTGTAAATGAAAATTTATAGTATCCAAGAATCTAAGTGGAATTATGCTTTTTTTATTACAATGGCCTACTGTATTTTTGAATGAATATGTAAGCCAACATTCAATTTCCTCTTTTTTAAAAAAAGGAATAACTTTTACTTTAGGTTTGGGGGTATATGTGGTTTTTGCTACATGGTAATCTCATGTCATGAGGGTTTGTTGTACAGATTATTTCATCACCCAGGTATTAAGCCTAGTACCCAACAGTTATTTTTTCTAAACCTCTCCTTCCTCCTACTTTCCATCTTCAGGTAGGCCCCAGTGTGTTGTTTCTCTTTCTGCATCCATGTGTTCTCATCATTCAGCTCCCACTTATAAGTGGGAACATGCGGTGTTTGGTTTTCTGTTCCTGCATGAGTTGGCTGAGGATAATAGCTTCCAACTCTATCCATGTCCCTCCAAAAGACAAGATCTCATTCCTTTTTATGGCTGCATAGTATTCCATGGTGTATATGTATCACATTTTCTTTATCCAGTCTATCATTGATGGGCATTTTGGTTGATTCCATCTTTGCTATTGTGAATACTGTTTCAATGAACATATGTGTGCATGTGTCTTTATAATAGAATGATTTATGTTCTTTTGGGCATATAACCAGTAATGGGATTGCTGGGTCGAGTAGTATTTCTATCTTTAGGTCTTTGGGGAATTGCCACACTGTCCACCCGTTAATTGTGGGAGTGATCACCTCAAGCTTTCTTGAGAATAATACAGGTACTAAAAAAGCATATCAATAAATAAAAGTGATACATTTATTATATTAAAAAATGCTTGCCATCATTTGCTTCGAGGATAGTGTTGCCTTGTTCTTCTATCAGTCTGGTACATTCTTGATGTCTGCCAGCTTCTTCTTTCTTATATCCTTTAATTCTGGACATCCTTCAGGGTTTAATCTTGGATATTTTAACAATTCAGCTATTTCATCTCTCAAAAAGGTTTAAACTATCACCTGTCAGCAAAAACTTAAACTTTGGCTTTGATCATTGACTCTTGTCCTAAATAGCTGGCTTACTCTCAATATTTTACAGCTCTTCAGCATGGCATATTTATGTGTATTCTATTAATTTGTACCTCGATTAATTTTTGAACTTTTCCTTGAGTAAGTACATTTTAAAGGCCATTCTCATCTCAAGGGAAGAGGCAGTTTTCCATTTATTTTGCACCTTTCCAAAGCTCCTAGTAATGTGCTATTAATATTATGGACATCTAATAATGGCGTTGAAAAGCAAACAACAGATGCTGGTGAGGATGTGGAGAAATAGGAATGCTTTTACACTGTTGGTGGGAGTGTAAATTAATTCAACCATTGTGGAAGACTGGCGATTCCTCAAGGATCTAGAGTGAGAAATATCATTTGACCCAGCGATCCCATTACTTGGTATATACCCAAAGGAATATAAATCATTCTACTATAAAGACATATGCACACGTATGTCTGTTGCAGCACTATTTACAATAGCTAAGACTTGGGACCAACCCAAATGACCATCAATGATAGACTGGATAAAGAAAATGTGGCACATATACACCATGGAATACTATGCAGCCATAAAAAACGAATGAATTCATGTCCTTTGCAGGGACATGGATGAAGCTGGAAGCCATCATTCTCAGCAAGCTAACACAGGAACAGAAAACCAAACACCTCATCTTCTCACTCATAAGTGGGAGTTTAACAATGAGAACACATGGACACAGGGAGGGGCACAACACACACTGGAGCCTGTCAGGGGGTGAGGGGCAAGGGGAGGGAAAGAATTAGGACAAATACCTAATACATGTGGGGCTTAAGACCTAGATGATGGATTCATAGGTGCAGCAAACCACCATGGCACATGTATGCCTATGCAACAAACCTGCACATTCTGCACATGTATCTCAGAACTTAAAATTTAAAAAAAAAGCAGGCAGATTGCTTAATCTGAGTTTTACTCCATCATTTCTGAGTTTCAAACATGTGCATAGCACTGTCAATATAGAGATTAATAAGATGGTTCTTCATGGAACTCACAGTTTGGGAATGGGAGACAGATACGTAAACAAAATCAATCAATTTGCTAAGGGACGTAATTCAAGGTACAAAGGTAAATCAGAGAGAGAGTAGTGAACGCCTGTCAGGAAGTGAGGAGGTGGGACTCAAGTATCTTCTGATATTTTAGAAGTAAGAAAAGTAAAATATCCATTTGATAGGCAGTAGGATGGTAAAGAAAGCCAGACAAAAGGGGTGGATGGCATATTTCTGAGTAATTGAGAGACTCCTGTAATATATTTTCTGATGTGAAGTAGTTCTTTAGACCAATGATGAAGCTCCCTTTCCAGAGTTGACTTGAACTATATCAGAGTCCTTGGGAGGTTATTTTATTCCCCTTGCAAATGGGTTTCAGCTGCGTTTCATTGAGTACAATAAACTGAGATGAAAATTTAAAATATATAATGAAAATTAACATTTTACTAATTTTTATTTCATGGAGTTCATCTTTGAGCATATTAAAATATCAATCATCATTTTTTGCCCAAAGTCAGATATTCTGGCATTGCAGTCTAATTTGAACCTCCTGGCAAATGTAGTACTACTTCGCTTCAGGAAAACTAACTGAAAACTAATTTCCGTTACCACTGCACTCTTTGAAGTTTTAATTTAAATGGAAATGTGAGGATTACAAAAATATTGCATATTTTTGGTTGTTGTTTCAATTGGCAAATAGAAAAAAAAGTCTATGTAGATACTCATAATTTTTGGTAAATCTTACATAAATGCAGAAGAAGGAAATTATAAACTATAAAACCAAAGCTAGTCTTGATGCTTAAAGAGCCAAGAGACTTTTTTTAATTATAATTTTTTGCCTGAAAAAATAGTTTAAATATTTCCTAGGTTTGCTAGACTTAAAAATGACAGCTCTGTTTTTAGACATTTAATTGCTGCTTGGGAATAATTATTTGTGCAAATAAAATTTCTGTGCCGGTCTGCAAATTTTTGCTGCCCTCTATTGGCTTGCTGAGAAATCTATAAACTGCCTTCTAATGATAAAGGAAAAATGAAACTTGAGTAGAACCGAATGGATTTTTAGGGATCATTCAGTTCAACATCTGACCTCCACATGCAATCACTTACACATTTAAATTACTTTTTAAAAAGCAAGAAACTACGAGAAGGTCTACCAGAAGCACAGA
The DNA here is from genome assembly GCF_000001405.40 of Homo sapiens. Taxonomy (NCBI): domain Eukaryota; kingdom Metazoa; phylum Chordata; class Mammalia; order Primates; family Hominidae; genus Homo; species Homo sapiens. Next base: position 94,108,355 of record NC_000023.11, read on the forward strand.
TGTATGTGTGTAGGTAGTTAATGGCATTTTCAAAATTTCCTTTTTTTTTTTTTTTTTTTTAAGGCAAGGTCTTGCTCTGCCAACAAGGCTGGAGTGCAGTGAGCATGATCTCGGCTCACCGCACCCTCTGCCTCCCGGGTTCAAGTGATTCTAATGCCTCAGCCTCCCGAGTAGCTGGGACTACAGGTGTGTGCCACCACCCCCAACTAATTTATATATTTTTAGTACAGACAGGTTTTCACCATGTTGGTCAGGCTAATCTCGATCTCCTGACGTCAAGTTATACACCTGCCTCAGGCTCCCAAATGCATTTTCAAAATTTTATTCATGGTACTGTCATCCATTTTAAAGCAAGAAAATCTTCAGGCAAATAAATGACAGACCAAGTCAGAATGTATTTTTCCCCCAAACTTAAACACTCTAAAATACATTTAAATCATCCCTGAGTATATACAAACTAACAGCCCATACTTTTAACATAATCCACCATGTGGGCAAAACAAAAGAGATCACGTTCCTTTCCACTTGGCAGACATTAAATGAAGGGCATGGGCCAGGTGTGGGGCCCATGCTTGCAATCCCAGCACTTTGGGAGACTGAGGCAGGTGGATCACTTGAGGCCAGGAGTTCAAGACCAGCCTGGCCAGCATGGTGAAACCCCTTATCTCTACTAAAAATACAAAAAATTAGCCGGGTGTGGTGGCAGTTGCCTGTAATCCCAGCTACTATGGAGGCTGAGCCAAGAGAATCACTTGAACCTGGGAGATCATGCCACTGCACTCCAGCCTGGGCAACAGAGCGAGACTCTTGTCTCAAAAAATAAAATAAAATAAAATAAAATAAGCGTGTATTAATTTATTCTCACACTGCTAATAAAGACATACCCAAGACTGGATAATTTATAAAGGAAAGAGGTTGAAGGGACTCACAGTTCCACATGGCTGGGGAGGCCTCACAATCATGGCAGAAGGCAAATGAGGAGCAAAGTCACGTCTTACATGGCAGCAGGCAAGAGAGCTTATTCAGGGGAACTCCCATGTATGAAACCATCAGATCTCATGAGACTTATTCACTACCATAAGAACAATATGGGGGAAACTGCCCCCATGATTCAATTACCTCCACCTGGCCCCACCCTTGACATATGGGGATTATTACACTCAAGGTGAGATTTGGGTGGGGACGCAGTCAAAGCATATCAAAGGGCATGATTGCTCCCCTCATAAATTGGTCTTTGGACTAATTTTCTTCTCTGTCTATACCTTGCTCCCTTCGATTTTTACAGTGAATAAAATAAGAAAATTTGTCTGTGCATTATAGGCATGGTGAACATACTCCAAAGAAAATGACAGGTCAGAGAGGCAGCAGCAAAGGACATTTCTGATGGCCTTAATCATTCCTTGCTTGTATTTAGAATTTGAAGAACAAACTCCCCATTCCCCACTTTTGCCACTCTTTCTTCACAGCTTAGCCCTTTTCAATGTTGTGATTTATAATGAAACCATGCTTTTGGCTTTCTAGTCATTTGCCTTTTCAGAAAGATTTGTTTCAACAAGTGAATTCACCAAGTGAAAGTTTTTCCTATAAATATGTCTGTCAGAAATAAACGTACTATATAAATCATATGCAAATTGAAAAATCTGAACTGTCTCCAATAAACATGTAAATGTAACGAGAAAAATTCATGATCTTCTACATCATTATCCCTGTTCTAGAGCCTCTGAACAAAATGAAAGTGTGCAGAAAATGGCTTTCACACCAGACCCACTGTTCCTCCTACAGTACATGCTAGATGGATCATTCACATAATAAGTTACAATATATTGTAGCAATTCAGAGCAGCACACTTTGCTGATATTTGCACCATGATTGTACTAAGAAAAGGTTGTGATAAAATATTCACATGCAGATAAACCAATTGGAAGGCCAGAGTTCTGCTCAGAATTAGACTATTATATTTTATTCCTACTCTTATTTTAACCTTGGAGAAATAGAAAAAATAATTATGCTCTGTACACTTAAATGGCAAAAACTGTTTTTATAATGTAAGACATATTAAATAATTTATTGCCTCAAAGAAATATTTGCTTCATTTATATTGTTCACCTATTGGGTTTAAATACACCTTCATTTTTATGCATAGTGGTTTCTGCAGGAAAGCAGAAGTGAGATACATAAAAGAAGAAAAGCTGAATAGCTGGAAGAGCCCAGAGTGGCAGCAATTTTATAGTAGAAGAAGGAAACTCATAAATATCAGAACAGATGATTAGAATTCTGTGTATAAGAGTGGGTTGAAATAATGCTGTTTTAAAACCATGAATTTTTGGCATATGTTTAGATAAATTACTGAGGCAGAAATTGGAGGAGAAAAATGAAATCCCACCTACCACTAGATATTTTGTTTTAATTAGTGCCTTATGATATAACCACAGAGGGTGGATAATAGCGAAGAATCCTACTGGCCTAATGATAAAATGTGCTAGGCAAATGATTCATCTTAATTTTGGTTAGGAACTTTAATATTACACCATCTGCTATATATGCAACCTAGGAAAAAAGAACGGAGAACCCCAAAGTAATTTCTTCAAAAGACTTAGAACTATGTGAGACAGTCAGAATAGTAAGATTTTTCCCCTGAAGAGAGTAGAACATCCAGTATACAAAAGTTTTCATGTGCTGTTTTGCTTAAAGGAGTAAATAAGCACTCTAAGAGTTAGAAGGAAAATAAGTATATAAACATATCTTCATCAATAACTCTAAGTGCTCCTTTGAAAATTCAAGGATACATGTCCTAAAAAGAAAAAGAGTGCTTTGTTTGTTTGTTTTTTTAATTGTCCGATAGAGTATTCGTGTATTGCAGGTTATTATACTATTTGAGAAAATAAAAGAATGGATCCTCTGTTTTAACTCATTAAAAAGCGAGCAACAATTCTGAACACCAGTTTTTTCTTGGCTTGATCCCTGAGTTTCATGTGTATATCCATACTTTCATAGGTTTATTGAACTTACGCTGTGTGTAAATCATAAATATATGAAAGCACATACATAAACACATATGTCCACATATGCCCATATAGACATACACTTTCTTAGAGACCCAAAACAAAGCACAGAAAAATAAATCATTTACAGGGATATTTATAAATATCTTTTGTTCTTTAAAAAATTAATTTAAAAAAGTAATGCATGATTTCTTTAAAATAATTCAAGCACCATATTTGTGAGGTAAAAAATGTGCAAAGTCATTTGTCACCTTCTCCTCATCCTAATAAGAAATTTCTGTTGGTGATCTAATGTGTAACCCTCCAGAACTCTCTTTTGCTTTCGCTGTCTCTCTCATATCATATATTAGGGGCATGTTTGCATGTATGTGTTTGTGAAAGAGAGAGAGAGAAAGAGGGAGAGAGGACATCTATTCTGCTACTTGGTACTTTAGTAATTTACCTTGGGCATCTAATTATTTTAATACATATAGAGCTACAAAATTATTTTTTAAAGTGCATAATATCAAAAAATATTGATAGGTAATTTCCTTTAAAAAGTTTTAAAGGAAACTTTAAGGTGTACAACACAATTTAAGGTGTACAACACAATGTATGTGTGTATATATATACACACACACACACACACACATATTATACAATGTCCTTCAGGTCCATCCGTGTTGTGACAAATGATAGGATTTTCTTCTTTTTTATTATTTTATTATTATTATTAGATTTGCTTTTCTTCTTCCATATATATACATGTATATACACATTGTGGAATGAATAATAAAGCTAATCCACAAATCTATCATCTCACATACTTATTGTGAGGAGAACATTTAAAATTTACTTGCTCTGCAATTTTCAAGTATATAATAATTATTATTTACTACACTCATCATTCTGTACAATAGATCTCCAGAGCATATTCCTTCTATCTAACTGACACCTTGAACCCTTTAATCAACATCTCTTCAACCTCTCTACCCCTCCACCAGACCCTGGTAATCATTTTATTCTATTTCTATGAGTTTGACTATTTTAGATTCTACATATAAGTGAGATGTGGCATTTGTCTTTCTGTGTCTGATTTATTTTACTTAAAAATAATATCCTTCAGGCTCATTTGTGTTGTGACAAATGACAGGATTCCCCTCTTTTTATTATTTTATCATTATTTTTCTTCTTTCTTTTTATTATTGAATAGTGTTTCAGTGTCTGTATGACCACATTTTTAAGCCATTCATCCTTTAATGAACACTTAGGTTGATTCTCTGTCGGCTATTGTGAATAATGTTGTTATGAATATGGGAATGCAGATATCTCTTTGACATTCTTATTTTATTTCCTTTTAATCATTTCTTATTGATGTGTAGTCAGGTTGTTTCCAATCTATCACTATTACAAACAATATTAGAAAAACACTCATTTACATATATATATAATAGTGAATGTTTGCAAGCTTTTCTGTAGAACAGATTCCTAAAAGTACTGTGTGAGGTCAAATGGTAAGCATAAATTATTTTGAAAGAACCTCACCTAATATCTAGTGCACCCAGACAAATATTAACCTTGTGATTACAGAATCTATAAGGCACAGTTCTTACCCTTGTTTGTCCATCTTGGGAATCAGAATCTTGTTTGCAGTAGTCAGGAGGTCAACCCAGCTCATTATTGGGCACAACAAAAGCATATATGACTTTTTTTGAAGAGAAAATAATTGTTTAATTATATTTGGCTGTCTCGATGAATACTACATAATTTTCCTTTATATCAATTCTCTCTCTCTCTCTCTCTGTGTGTGTGTGTGCAAAATAATTGTTTATTTCAGTTTGGCTGTCTCTATGCATATTATATAGTTCTCTGCACTGTTTTTGAGATATATTAGCCATGTCATGTGATTAATGCAATAGTTTGTAGCCTGGTTGTTTCTGTGTTCTTTTTCAAGAACTGCTTATTTTTACTTACTTCCATGCCATTCTGGCCATACTGGGATTGTTATGTATTTGCACAGAGGTCTTTAATCTATTTCTACTTATGAGTTTGCATGAACATTTTTCTAAATAAAATCCTTATCAAATTACTTTGACCTGAGGCTCTGCTTCTATCCAACATGATATGCCCAACACACTATGCCCAACACAACTTTTCACTTTATTCATTCACCTGGGAATGACGGTTCCAGCATGGCTCTATTTAAACACTTTGTAGTGTGTGAAATCTGTATTTTATCAGTATTTCAGTACTGTCATGATGAGAAGAGTATTTTAAACACTTTTGGGTTGAAGGCAAAGGGACTTAGACTGATTGGGGTCTGAACTGTGCCACAGCACATTCTTTATAATACCGTTAACAACCTTCTGCATACAGCCATATGCCACTTCATGCCTATCCCCATCTGCACCACCCAGGTCTATCAACATCATCTCACACTCACTAAGCCATGTTAGCAAGCACAGTGTCCTACACATAATAGGCATTCAAATGTTTGTTTAATAAGTGAATGATTTTATCACTCCTACTGACAGATTATTCTACAATGAAGTTTGCCAAAACCCTGAAATATGCCATATTGTCGTTTCACTTTGGAGAATTTGGAGTGAACTGATACAAGTAAAACATGCTTCCTCAAAACTTTGTGTTTTAGAAATCTGCCATATAACCTTACTTTTCTCACACAAGTATGAAATGCTGGAGGCCATTATAGGCCATTAAGTCACCATTAAGAGCACCCTGCTATTGTTTTTCACTGTGCTCTTAGTATTCTCTTAGCTCTTTGTTGTCAGAGGAACGAATGGTGAGTATTTTGGCACAGTGGTTATAATCAGTATTATTAGGTATTCAGCATTAGTCACTATAAATGTTCTATCATCCATTAAAATACGTGAGAATTATATCCCATAGAAAATATCAACACTTAAAACATTGACCTTTTCAGTGTTCTAATATATCACATCTATTCTGGTTTCTTCTGAGTGCCTACTCTGAGTAACCTATAGGGAGCAAGTGAAATGGCCAGTCATTCTAAATACAAAATATCTGAAGGTCAACTATAAAAATAGTCAGTTAATGCCAAGACATAAATCATCATAAACAGAGAACACTAGTTATCAAAAAAGAATTCGTTCTCAGTCACTTCAATGAGAACAAAAAATGGCAGGGATGTAACCTCTTTTGATTCATGTAGTGCCTACAGATCCGTGGACTGCCTGGGGTAGCACTGGAGTTATTATAGATGTTATTCTACTGCAGATGAGTAATGATGCCTTGGACTCAGGATTGGTGTGTGACATTTCTGTTTTCTTCTCTGTCCCATCACTTTTGATTAAAGCCAAATGAAAGATCATTTCAGTAAGAATGCTTAGAGTTCAGTAAGAATGCATGTTGATTCATGCATTCTTACTGAACTCTAAGCATTCTTACTGAAATGAAACTGCCTAATTTCAGTGCCTAATAAGACACTGAAGAGTGTCTGCCTAATTAAATATCACAACATTTCCAAAATTTTCAAAGATGACGTAAGATACACAAACATAAAACCAGAAAATCCAAGGCCTTCTGTAAGCGTGGACCTTTTCTAAAGCTTTTTCTTACACTTTGAATGTCTTATTTTTTTTTTTTTTTTTTTTTTTGAGACGGAGTTTCACTCTGTCGCCGAGGCTGGAGTGCAGTGGCATGATCTCGGCTCACTGCAAGCTCCTCCTCCCAGGCGCACGCCATTCTCCTGCCTCAGCCTCCTGAGTAGCTGGGACTACAGGTGCCCGCCACCTCGCCCGGCTAATTTTTTGTATATTTAGTAGAGACGGGGTTTCACCCTGTTAGCCAGGATGGTCTCGATCTCCTGACCTCGTGATCTGCCCGCCTCGGCCTCCCAAAGTGCTGGGATTACAGGCGTGAGCCACCACACCCAGCCGCCTTATTCTTTTTATACCATGGTCCTATTCATCTTTGAAGTGAAGCTCTCTGTCACTAATGGTCAGTCATAATCAAACCAGAGACAGCTAAGGAACATATTCATATTATCTACAAATTGGCTATAACTTGAAATAAGCAACATGACAGACAGTTAGATTGAGAAGTGGATCATCTGTCCCCTCTTTAGCTCCCACTGTTAGTTATATGAAAATTAGCTTAGATGAGAGATCCAAATCCTCAAATTCTAGATGAATACATGCATAGCTGCCATTTAATCCACTAAATTTTTTCAAAGTGTTATACATTAGAGTAACATAGGCCAACAGCAGAACTCAAATATCAGTCTTGTCTTCTCTGGATTCATGAGCTAGAGCATATATAAACCCGACAACCTCTCTATTCTATCCATTTATCACACATCTTGTTTGAGGCCTGCTTTTCTTTTCTTATGGTTCCTCATTGAGTCTCACTTGACTTTCCAGAGGTAGGATTTTAAAAGTAAATAAGCCATGTCTTTCTTCCCTAACATCTAGGATAAGCTGCTAATTTTATTCTTCCTTTCACTGTATTGACAAAACAAAAAAGCCAAACTCTGTAAAATATTTGAAGAGATTTTTTCTGAGCCAAATTTGAGGACCATGGCCCATGACACAGCCTCAGGAGGTCCTGAGAACATGTGCCCAAGGTGGCTAGGTTACAGGTTGGTTTTATATGTTTTAGGGAGACATAAGACATCAATCAATACATGTGAGGTACACATTGGATAAGTCCAGAAAGGCACAACAACTTGAAGTAGGAGCTTAAAAGCCATAGGAGGACTCAAAGATTTTTTGATTGGCAATTGGTTGAAAAAGTTAACTTATTATCTGAAGACCTGGGATCAAGAGAAAGGAGTGTCTGGGTTAAGGTAAGGCTCTGTGGAGACCAAGGATTTTATTATATAGATGAAGTCTCATAGGTAGCTACCCTTAGAGGCAATAGGTGGCAAATGTTTCCTCTTCAGACCCTGAAAAGGTATCAGACTCTCTGGAACAGAGCTACTAAGGAAAGGGGAGTCTCTATAGAATGCACAAGAGATAGCCATGCAGGACCAGTCTAAAAGATGTCAATGAAATACATTTTGGGATAAAATACTCTGATTTTCTTCAGGGCCTGCTGTTTGTCATGTGATGCTATACTATAGTCAGTTTGGAGTTTTTGTGTCTTATTGGTACAAAGAGTCTGTTTTGTGAGTCTTAAGATCTCTGTTTAAATGTTAATGCTGGTCAGTTGTGTCTGAACGCCATAGGAAGGAAAATATAATGAGGCATATCTGACCCTCCTTTCCTATCATGACCTGAACTCATATTTCAGTATTTCTTTGGGTCCCCTTGGCAAAAAGGGGGTCCATTCTGTCAATTGGGGGACTTAGAATTTTATTTTTGGATTACATCTGGATTTGACTTTGGTCTGCTCATTTAATCGGGGCAAGGCCATCTCATCTCCCATACAGTATATGACTACACGAGCCATATAGGGAAGAGTGAAGAGGAAGAAAATGGTTAAAAAGAGAGGAGGGAATCAAAAGCAGAAAACTTCACCTGTCCAATCTGCTGATAATACATGTTCTTTTTCCAGTAAAAGTGATATTCTTTTCTTGATGAACCTCTTGTGTGTTTGGCCGTCTTTTTTTTTTCTTTCTAGTCTGACCTTTTTGGGCAATGCTGCTAATTACCCACCCAGTATTTGTACTCCTTGTATTCCTTACCTAACAGAGCCCTAATTTTGGGTAGGATGAGGAATGGCAAGATACCTGGAGGAGTAGAAACTACATTTACCAGATCCTCTTGCCACTGTGCATGATATATCACTTTGTTCTAGCCAATGAGATGTATGTGGAATTTTACTCTGTGAGGGTTTCAGATCAGCTATTGATTTTATAATAAAAAGAGAAAGACTCAGCTATATTGTGTATTTTTCCTTTGCCCTTCCTTTTTCTTCCTGCCTACAGTCAACAGTTAAAAAAAAAAAAAGAAAGAATTTAGCATAATCGATCCACATTATCAGCCTTGTACTGCTAACTTATGGATTTATCTTTATGTAAAGACATAAATTTTTATACATTTAAGATATTATCTATCAAGATTTTTATTAGTACCTCTTGAAAGTAATTGTTACCAACACAACCTATAAGAGATTTCTTTCTTCTTGGAAAGAGAAAGATACAAGTGAGGAGTAAAAAAAGGAGAGAGTGAAAAAGAAAAAGATATATTTATCTATCTATATACATACATATATATATACATATATAAATATATATAAAGCCATATATATGTATGTATGTGTGTGTATGTGTATATATATGATATATATATGAGATTATATATATATATGATATATCACTTTGTTCTAGCCAATGAGATGTATATATAGCCAATGAGATATATATATAAAGCCATATATAACAGACCCACAGCTAATATTATACTGAATGGGGAAAAACTGAATGGTTTCCTTCAAATATCTGGAACATGACAAGGATGCCCACTTTCACCACCTGTATTCAACATAGTACTGGAAGGTCTAGCAAGAGCAATTTGATGAGAGAACAATATAAAAGAAATCCAAATTGGAATATAAAAGTCGAACAATCCTTGTTGCAGATGATATTATCCTGTAGCTCAAAAAACTTAAAGACTCTACCAAAAAAACTAATGAACTAATAAATTCAGTGAAGTTGCAGGAAACAAAATTAGCACACAAAATTCTGTAGCATTTCTACATGCAAACAATGAACAATCTGAAAAAGAGAAAATTAATTTTATTTACAATAGCAATACGTAAAATTAAGTGCCTAGAAATTGTTTAACCTACTCGTGAAAAATTGCTATAATAAAAACGACAAAACACTGATGAAGGAAATTTAAGACAACACCAAAAAAATGAAGACATTTCATGTTTACAAATTGGAAGAATCAATTTTTAAAATGTACACAATACCCAATGCAATCTACAGATTTAATGCAATCCCTCTCAAAATACCAATGACATTCTTCACAGAAATAGAAAAAACAATCCTAAAACTTATATGAAAACAGCAAATGCCTGGAATAGCCAATACTACGTTAAGCAAAAGGATCAAAACTAGACGATCACATTATCTGACTTCAAATTACACCACAAAGCTATAGTAAATCAACATTGAGCCTTTGATATGGCACCATTCCTTGGGGTGATCAGACAGCTACCTGGTGGCAGATTGATTATATTGGACCTCTTCCATTATGGAAAGGGCAGAGGTTTGTCCTCACTGGAATAGGCACTTACTCTGTATATGGGTTTGCCTATCCTGCACGCAATGCTTCTGCCAAGACTACCATCCGTGGACTCACGAAATGCCTTATCCACTGTCATGGTATTGCCTCTGACCAAGGCACTCACTTTATGGCTAAAGAATTGTGGCAGTGGGCTCATGCTCATGGAATTTGCTGGTCTTACCATCATGTTCCTCATCATCCTGAAGCAGCTGGATTGATAGAATGGTGGAATGACCTTTCGTAGTTACAACTGCAATGCCAACTAGGTGACAGTACTTGGCAGGGTGGGGCAAAGTCCACCAGAAGGCTGTATATGCTCTGAATCAGCATCCAATATATGGTACTTTTTCTCCCATAGCCAGGATTCACAGGTCCAGGAATCAGGGGATGGAAGTGGAAGTGGCACTACTCACCATCGCCCCTGGTGATCCACTAGCAAAATTTTTGCTTCCTGTTCCCACGACATTAGGTTCTGTTGACCTAGAGGTCTTAGTTTCAGAGAGAGGAATGCTGCCACCAGGAGACACAACAGTTCCATTAAACTGGAAGTTAAGATTGTCACCTGGACACTTTGGGCTCCTGCTACCCTTAAGTCAACAGGCTAAGAAGGAGTTACAGTGTTGGCTGGAGTGATTGACTGAGACTGTCGAGATGAAATCAGTCTACTTCTCTACAACAGATTTAAGGAAGAGTATGCATGGAATACAGGAGATCCATTAGGATGCCTCTTCTTATTACCATGCCCTGTGATTAAGGTCAATGGGAAACTATGACAGCCCAATCCAGGCAGGACTACAAATGGCCCAGACCCTTCAGAAATGAAGCTTTGGGTCACTCCACCAGGAAAAAATAAATATGACCTGGTCACAAGCTTTATTTTTTATTTATTTTTTAACTGGGAGGTTTTTTATTACAGCTTTCATCTCATTCGCTGTTATTGGTGTGTTAAGGTTTTGGATTTCTTCATGGTTCTATTTTGGTAGGTTGAATGTGTCTAGGAATGTGTCTATGTTTTCTAGATTTTTGAATTCATTAGCATATAGTTGCTCATGGTAGTCGCAAATAATCCTTTGAATTTTTGCAGTGTCAGTTGTAATATATGTTTTTCATCCTGATTCTATTTATTTGGGTCTTCTTCTTTTTTTCTTAGTCTGGCTAAATGTTGATTTTTGTTTAACTTTTCCAAAAACAGTTTTTCATTTTGTATTGTTTTATTCCTTTCAATTCATTTATTTCTGCTCTGATTTTTGTTATTTATTTTCTTCTACTGATTTTGGGTTTGGTTGGCTCTTGCTTTTATAACTCTTTAACATGCATTGTTAGGTTGCTTATTTTATGTTTTTCTTCTTTATTGATGTAGGCACTTACAGCTATACATTTGCTGCTTAGTACTGCTTTTGCTGTGTCCCACAAGTTGTGGTATGTTGTGTTTTCATTATCGTTTGTTTTAAGAAATGTTTCAATTTTCTTCTTAATTTCTTCACTGGTTATTCAGAAGCATATTCTTTAATTTCTACTTTTGAATAGTTCCAGAATTTCTCTTTTTATTGATTCCTAGTTTTATTCCATTGTCATCAGAAAAGATGCTTGATATTATTTCAATATTTTTGAATATTTTAAGACTTGATTTTTTACCTAACATATGACCTATGCTTGAGAATGATCCATGGGTTGAGGAATAGAATGTGTTTTCTTCAGCCATTGGATGAAATGTTCCCTAAATATATATTAGATCCATTTGGCCTATAGGGCAGACTGATATTTCCTTGTTGATATTCTGCCTGGGAGATCTGTCCAATGGTAAGAGTGAGGTGTTGAAATCTCCAGTTATTATTGTATTGGAGCCTATCTCTCTCTTTTGCTCTAGTAAAATTTGCTTTTATATATCTGTGTGCTCCGGTATTGGGCATATATATATTTCAAATTGTTATATCCTTTTGCTGAATTGACCCATTTATCATTTCATACTGACCTTCTTTGTCTCTTCATATCATTTTTATCTTGAAATCTATTTTGTTTGATATCAGTATAGCTACTCCTGCTCACTTTTTTGTTTTTTTTTTGTTTCTTTGTTTTCATTGGCACAAAATACCTTTTACCATCCCTTTATTTTCAGTCATGTGTGTCTTTATAGGTTAAGTGTGTCTTTTGTAGACATCACAACAATGTGTCTTATATTTTTATCCATTCAGCCACTCTATGTATTTTGATTGGAGAGTTTAGTCGATTTACATTCAATACTATTATTGATTAGTAAGGACTCACTCCTGTCATTTTGATTTCTGTTTGTTTTGTGGCCTTGTTTTCTTTCTTTCCTTCCTGTCTTCCTTTCAATGGAGGTGATTTCCCCTGGTTGCTTTTCGATTTTTTTTTTTTTTTTAACATGGAGTTTCACTCTCTCACTCAGGCTAGAGTGCAGTGGCACCATGTCAGAACACTGCAACCTCCGCCTCCCAGGTTCAAGTGATTCTCCTGCCTCAACCTCTTGAATAGCTTAGACTACAGGTGCATGCCACCAGGTCCGGCTAATTTATGTATTTTTAGTAGAGACAGGGTTTTACCATGTTGGCTAGGCTGGTCTCAGGTGATCTGCCGGCCTCGGCCTCCCAAAGTGGTGGGATTACAGGCATGAGCCATCCTGCCTGGCCTGTTGCTTTTCAACTTTTATGTATTTGTTGTGTTTTTTTGGTTTAAGGTTACCATGATACTTGCAAATACTATCTTATAACTCATTATTTTAACCTGATGACAACTTAACACTATTTGCATAAACAAACAAGAAAAAATCTAATAAAAGCACTATGCTTTAACTTGATCTCCCCACTTTTTAAAGTTTGTTTTTAATAATTATGTTTTATTATACTGTCTATGTCTTGAAATATCATCATAGTTATAATTTTTGAGTGTTTTGTGATTTAGTCTTTCTACTTGATTAGTTTTCACACCACAGTTACAGTGTCATAGTATTCTTTTTAATCTGTGTTTTTTCTGTGTACTTATGATTACCAGTGAGTTCTGTACCTTCAGATGATTTCTCATTGCTCACTGACATCTTTTTTTTTTCTGATGGAAGTACTCTCTTTAATATTTCTTGTAGGACAAGTATGATGTTGATGTCATCCCTCAGCTTTTGTGCATCTGGAAAAGTATTTTTCCTTCATATTTGAAGAGTAATTTCACTCGATATACTATTCTAGGGTAAAAGTTACTGTTTTGTATCAGCACATTAAATATGTCATGTTACTATGTCCTGGCCTTTAAAGTTTCCATTGAAAAGTCTGCTGCCAGATGTATTGGAGCTCCTTTGTATGTTGCTTGTTTCTTTTCTCTTGTTGTTTGTAAGATCTTTATCTTTGACCTTCGGGAGTTAGATTAGTAAATGTCCTGAGGTAATCTTTTTTGGGTTAAATCTGCTTGGTGTTCTGTAACCTTATGAACTTGGATATTGATCTTTCTCTAGGTTTGGGAAGTTCTCTGTTATCTTTGCTTTGAATAAACTTTCTACCACTGTCTCTTTCTCTACCTCCTATTTAAGGCCAGTATCTGTTAGATTTTCCCTTTTGAGGTTGTTTTCTAGATTCGGTAGGTGTCCTTCATTGTATTTCTTGTTCTTCCTTTTGTCTCCTCTGACTATGTGTTTTCATATAGCCTGTCTTCAAGCTCACTAATTTTTTCTTCTGCTTGATCAATTCTGCTATTAAAAGAATGATGCATTCATCACTATGCCAGTTACATTTTTCAGCTTCACAATTTCTGCTTGATTCTTTTTGATGTTTTAATCTCTTTGCCATATTTATCTGATAGAATTATGTATTCCTTCTCTGTGTTATTTTGAATTTCTTCAAGTTTTCTCAAAATAGCTATTTTGAATTATCTGTCTGAAAGTTCACATAGAAGTATTTCTCCAGGATTGGTCTCAGGTGCCTTATTTAGTTCATGTGGTGAGATCATGTTTCCTTGGATCATCTTGATACATTTTTTTTAAAGACAGAGCCTCACTCTGTTGCCCAGGTTGGAGTGCAACGGTGCGATCTCAGCGCATTACAACCTCTGCCTCCCGGGCTCAAGTGACCTCCGTACCTTAGCCTCCTGAGTAGCTGGGAATCACAGGCATGCACCACCATGCCTGGCTACTTTTTGTATTTTTAGTAGAGACAGGGTTTCACCATGTTGCCCAGGCTGGCCTTGAACCCCTGACCTCAGGTGATTAGCTCACCTTGGCTTCCCAAAGTGCTTGGATTACAGACGTGAGCCACCACGCACAGCACTCATCTTGATACATTTAGATGTTCATTTTTGTCTGGGCATTGAAGAGTTAGGTATTGTAGTCTTTACAGTTTAGGCTTGTTTTCACCTGTCCTTCTTGGGAAGGCTTTCTAGGTATTCTAAAGAACTTGGTTATTGTAATTTAGGCTGTTTGTGTTTTGAGCGGACCCCAAGCCCAGTAACAGTCATCCTTGCAAACACATACAGGTACCACCTTGATGGTCTTGGCCAAGATTCAGAAGAATTCTCTGAACTACCAGGCAGAGACTCGTGTTCTCCTCACTTACCTTCTCCCAAGAAAATTGAGTCTGTTTGTTCTGTGCCACCTGTAGCTGTGTGTGGAGTGACAAAAGAACCACTGTGGCCACCACAGCTAGAACTGCACTGAGTCAGACCTGAAGCCAAAACAGCACTGGATCTGACCAAAAGCCTGCTGTAACCACTTCCTGGCTATTGCCTAAGTTTGCTCAAAGCCCTGGGGCTCTACAATCAGCAGGTTGCAATGCCATCCAGGACTATATCTTTTCCTTCAGTGTGGCAAGTTCCCCTAGGCCTTGGATGGATCCAGAGGTGGCGTCTTGGTGCCAGGGGCTAGAGTGAAAAACCTTAACAATCTACCTGGTGTTCTATTATACTGTGGCTGAGCTGACACTCAAATCACAAGAAGCAGATCTTTCCACTCTTCCCTCCCCTTTCCAAATGCAGAGGAGCCTCACCTCATGGCCACTGCTACCTCAGGCTCACAAGGAATACTGCCAGATTACCACCAATGTTTCCTTAAGGTCCAAGGGCTCTTCAGTCAGCTTGTGTTGAATGCTGCTGGCCTGGGACTCACCCTTCAGGGCAGTGGCTCCCCTCTGCCCTACAGTAGGTCCAGAAATGCCATCCAAGAGCCATATCCTAAAATTAGTGACCCCAAGAGCCTGCTTTTAGCTCTATTCCCTTGTGGCCAAGCTGATACTTAAGGTGCAAGACAAAGTTCCCTTTACTTTTTCCTCCACTTTTCTCAAGCAGAAGGAGTCTCATTCCATAGCACCCATAGTTGGGAATGTGCTGTGTCTCAGCTGAAGCCAGTAAGTCTCAATGTCTCACTCCTGGGCCTCAACATAACACCTGGTTTCACGGCTGGTTTATAAGGACCCAGGGACTCTTCAGTCAGCAGGTGATAAATCATGCCAGGACTAGGTTCTTCCCTTCAAGACAGAGGATTCCCTTCTGGCCCTGGCATATCTAGAAATGTCCGAGAGCCAGGGCCTGAAAAAGGGGCCACATGACTCTCACTTGTTCCCTATCCTGCTGTGGCTGAGCTGGTACTCAAGATGCAAGACAAAGTCCTCCCCACTCTTCCATTTCCTCCCCTCAAGTGAAGGGAAGAGGCTTCCTTTGGAGAGATGAGCTGTGTAGCCTGGGGTTAAGGGAGGGGTGATGCCAGTACTCCCTTAGCCACCCCAGTTGATGTCTAAGATTGCACGTCTCCTCAGTCCACTGTTTCTGGGCTGAATTCAGCCCTGGGACTTGCCTGGGTGTTGCAGTCCTTGTGGCCTTGATGCCTTTCAAGTTTATTTTGGGTCCTAGGACACTTCAGTCTGTGGTGGTGAGACTTGCAGGAACTCATGTTCCAACCACTGGGATTGGTGATTCCCTTTTGCCTAGAAGTGGTTTAATTACTCCTTCCATGGTCGGGTGCCAGCTGAGTATAGTCTGGTTTCGGTTTCTTCTATAAAAGGGCAGCCCTATGTTCAATACCTCACAATTGCTGGCTCACCCTCTCCCTAGGGCACAAAAAAGTTTTCAGCACTATGCTGCCAGTGCCGGTGGATGTGGGAGGGGTGACATCAGCAATTCAACACTGTTTTTGCTACCTCTTCAGTGCCTCTTTCAGCGAAGTTAAAACCAGGTACTGTGAGTGCTATCCTGAGTTTTGGTCCTTATGAAGATTTTTTTTGTGTGTGTAGACAGTCGTTAAATTTGTGTCCTTGTGGAAGGAATGATCAGCACAGTCTTCTATTCCGCCATCTTGCTCCACTCCTTCTCTCAGAAGCACTTTGAACTATAAATTTTGGTGTGTTTAATATTAAAGTTTTTTAGGAAAATTTGAACAGAAATGATCTTATACCAAGGAACAGGAAAATTTTATTTGGTGACTTGGTTCATGATAGGGTCAAAACAAGATTGGTTCAGTAACAATTAGCAAATAAGCAAATCAGAAAATTAGCTATATACCCCAAAGTTTATAAAATAACTAGGTAATATGGCTGTATATTTTCATCTTTTATTTTATGAATACTTAGGAGAGATATTTACTGTATGGACAACAAACAATGTTATAATGTTAGGGTGGCAGTAAAGCCTTAAAGTTAAGAACATTGTCTTTGGAGTCAAAGTTGTGTTGAAATACAGATTCTGCCACTAAGAATTGTTTTGCTTAGAGCATATTACTGTAAAATGGAGAGAATCATAAGTTGTTGTAAAAACAAATGTGACAACGTTATAAGTTATTTAGCCAAGTGCCTGCAATAGCTGTAAGGTTTTTTAAACATACAAAGAATGATGAATAAAAAGGTAACCAGATTGAAGGAGATATCATTTTTCTAACCTATAGAGCATCCCTGCATACATTAGAAAAGCATGTCCTCTCTTGGTGGATATAACCTTGAAAGTGCAGGATTGTTTCTTTGTGCAAAGCCAAATTCATTTCTTTCTGCAGGCTACAGTAACCCTGCATCAGAATGCACAGTATGATAAGCCAAGTGTAAATTAGATTCCAGCCTTCATTTGCTCCATCTCCCAGGTGTCCTTACAGTGAAGAACTTATATAACTTACACTTTGTCTAAACTTATACCTTAATTAGATGTGTCAATGAATTTTTTTCTGAACAAACACCCTTTTCATGAAGGGAGTTCTGGGGAATATATTTTTCTGTATATCATTACAATATTTTAGTGGAATAAAACTTGTTCAAAGTAAAGAGGAAAGAATTCTCTCCAAATTCACTATTCTATCAAGACTTAGCTATGGGTCTTACTCTAATGTCCTAACATATCAAAGTAGTTTAGACCAAAATTCTGGTGTTATTCCTACTAGAAGAATATCAGAAACATGCCTATTAAAAGGTTAGACAGGATATCCCAAGTACCACATCCACTTTGCATATGTAATTTAAGAGTGCTTTGAGATATCAAGAGATGGAGTCTATCCTCAACTGGGAAGAACTCAGAAAAGGAAATAGTATGGTATACTGGCTAGGAACATGGGTTTTGGAGTATAATAGGGTTGCATTTGAATATGGATTCCAGTCTGTTATTTAGTAGTAATTTGGCCGCCATCAGGTTTCTTTACCTCTCCGAGGTTTAGAGATTTCACCTGTAAATGAAGCTAATACTAACTTTGCAGAGTCGTTGTGAGGATTACAAAATAAACTATATAAAGAGCTGGCATACTGTAGTCATTCAATAAATGACAGATATTTTTTATTGACTGTTGATGTATGTTCCTAAATACCTAATATCTATTGTGTTCTATAGTGGCCAGCATCCGACAAATTAGTTCAGCCTGACGATGGGTAAGCTTATTTACGCTGTATCAGGACCCTGGAAGGACTTTTAGACCTTTACTGTGCATAATTGGATGAGACTCTTTCATGCTATTGAAAGAAATACTGACAGAAGGCAAATGTCAGTATCCTTGAAGCAAAGCAGGCGACTTATTTAGCCTGGGCAGCATGATATCAATTTGACTGTTTGCCATTAGAAGGGTAAGACATGTAACTGCGTATAAATCTTCAAGTATGGTGCTCTCGTGAACAATGCAAATCTATACAATTGCAGCTAAAATTTTAAAAGTATGTTTTTTATATCTACTACCAATACACAATGGCATTATGCTTCCAGGAGCCCTAAGTGATGCATAAACATTAAGCTATGCCTGTACTTCATTCTCTTCACAGAAAGTCAGGCACACAAGGAGGTTAAGTGATTTGCCCAAGGCAGTGTGTTGTGCCACTAACAGAACTGGAAATTGAACCAGAAGTCAGGCTCCCAGGTAATATAAAACCTAGATGAGAATGTCCTTTTGTTGTTGCTGGGTCTGTTGCTCATCCTTTTTCTCTTTAGACTAACACATCAACTATACTCCTTCCCTTAACTCTGATTCAGTGTTTGTATGGCTGTACTAAATCACTGGTGCTTGTTTTAGATGTTGACAAAGTGAGAAAGGAGGGACTACATTTATATAATAAAGACAAATGGGATTGAAGATCAGTTCTCCAGAAAGTCAATGCGTTTTTCAAAATCTGAAGAAACTTGCAATAAGTCCTCTAGAAAAATTACAATATGAGGCTGGGCATGGTGGCTCACGCCTGTAATCCCAGCACTTTGGGAGGCCAAGGTGGGCGGATCACCAGGTCAAGAGATCGAGACCATCCTGGCCAACATGGTGAAACCACGTCTCTACTAAAAATACAAAACTTAGCGGTGGTGGTGTGCTCTGTAGTCTTAGCTACTCGGGAGGCTAAGTCAGGAGAATCGCTTGAACTTGAGAGATGGAGGTTGCAGTGAGTCGAGATCGCGCCACTGCACTCCAGTCTGGGGACAGAGAGAGACCCTGTCTCAAAAAAAAAAAGAAAAAAAGAAAAAGAAAAAGAAAAATTACAACATGAGGGAGGACTATGGCTTTCTTGCAGAAAGTAATGCCTTTAACCTTCTTTTTTCAGAACTACCATTTTGAGGGGGTATTGGAGATATCATGATAGAAGAATGGTTACTATCAACCAGCAGCCAAAAGAAGAGATCTTGAGATTTCAGTTGGTCACTATGATTACTAAAGCAAATTGGCAGGAATTGAGCATAGTTAATTTTTATGATGTCAATAATTGTTGAAAATCTTCAGTAGTCAATACCAATTTTTACCATCCTTATCCTTAGAGAGGTGGGAAATCCATTTGGCAGACAATCTTGTAGTATAATCAATCAAAGATCATGCAAGCAGTCAATACATCATAATCATATTAATAATTTAAATAGCATGCTAAAACCTTCAACAGCAGGCTAAGGTTTACCGAAAACATTCCAATATATCATTGCATTGGATGCTCACAGTAGTCTCCTCAAGAACACAAAACATAAATATCCCATTTTATTTGTGATCTGTCTCAACACCTGACTAGCAAGTTATATAACACCTTACTAGCAAGTAAGAATAAGGAGTGATGTCTTCTTACCTATAGGTCCAAGGTACTTTTCATTATACTATGCTGCCAGAGAGGCTTTAAAAAGAAGCATGTCTGGAATACCGCCTATTCCTATTTAATAGATGGTGTACTCGAGATCCAAATAACATATTACTTCTTTACCTCCAGCTCTAGATCACACAGGTAGCCTCCTAGAGAGAGGTTATACTCACCACAACATGTTGATTTACCTTTAACAAACTTTACTTTTTTCCTAACTCCATAGTTAATATGACCAGCACAAATCACTATGTATCTTTTTTTATTAAAAATATATTTTTCTTGAAAACATATTCTAATAATGGAAAGATAACATTTTTCACACCAGGGGCTCTTATGATTTAAAGGACATCAAAAGTCTGCCTATCTTCCACAGATTATATAAACACCTGTTATAATCACCTTTGCTCTCTTCCTCATTCATTATTATATTTCTGTATATGAGTCAGGAGTGGGATAATGGTGTGCTGATAAACTGATTTTGGAGAGGGGGAAGGAAGGCTTGATTTGTACCATTTGATGATTTCTATTGTGTAAATATGTCTATCATGGTTGATTTCATTCTACCAATGAGATAGTATTGAACATAGAATTGAGAAGAAATGTATACAAATCAGCTCTTGTAAGCTGGTATGAGTTGACTCTAGAACAACCTGGAGAGGGAAGCTCGGAGTATCAAAAAATTGTGAGGACATGGACAGGCAGGGTGAAGCATGTATTCATTTATTCAAACATGTGCTCAGCACCTACTGTTTAACTAGGGTTCTGTTAATTGTTTGTGGAGGGGCGATATAGATAATAACATCCATCATTTTTTGAGTGCATGCAATGTGTTGGGCAAAATGCTAAGCCTTTACGTACAGATCCTTAATTTATCTTCATGTTCCCCATATAAAATATACATTACCATCTTCATGTTTTAGATGAGGAAACATGCTCACTGAGACTAGGTGATTTGTCCTGTGAGTAAGTGGCTAAACCAGGAGTCTAGCTTATGTCTCAGTGTCTTCAAAGCACTTTATATTATGCCAAGCCCACACAGTCAGGGATTCATGGCATTCAAGAAATTCACAGTTTAGTTGAGACTATAGATAAGAAACACAACCATAATATAGTGTGATAATATGAGAATATTGCAAAAGAGGATCAATTAATAAAGTGTAAAAGATGTTAAGGAAGGCTTCTAAAAGAAAGCAAATCTTAATTCATTAGAGTAGGTAGGAGTTAATACGGCATACTTAGGTAGGGAGGGCATTCCTGGCAGAGAGAATAGCATATGCAAAGTCATGCAGAGAGTGCGGGGGTTCTAGAAATTGCAAGTAGATTTGTACATTCTTCATTCAACAAATGTTTATTGAGTATCTACTATATTCTAGGTACTATTCTAGGCACTAGATATACAGCAGTGAACAAAACTTGAGATAATCCCTGTCCTCATAGAGCTCGCACTGTTTTAGGGACAGAGAAAAAAGTAACAATTATATAAGTAAATATGTTGAATAGTGACAAATACTATAGAGAAGTAAACCAGAGGAGGGGGATAGGATGTGTCAGGGTGTGGTTACAATATTATATGGTAGATGCCAGGAAGGCTGGGTCTAGGGTGAGGCAAAGGAAGTCATCAGAACACAAAACGTAAGAAGGCACTAATTCTCAGTAGCCAACACTGCACTTTCACAAGTCTGGGAGCAAATTCCTCCTTAAATTTTGTGCCCTTGGCACCTCGTTTCCCTCACTCTAATCCAGATCCTGGGTCCTGGCAAGTGATATTTGAGCAAAGACTGGAAGTAAATGAAAGGGCAAGACATTTTGACATCAGAAATAGAGGATTCCAGCAGATTCACAGCTCTGAGGCAGAGTTCTTGTGAGCGTTTGATAAGGCAAAGAAAAGGCAAGAGAGTCAGAACATGGAGAATGTTGCTTGCTAACTGAAGAATCTGATCTTTATCCTGAAGACAATAGTGAGAGGTGTTTAGTGGGTTTTAAATGGGATATGCTCAAAGCAAATTTTGCTTTAAATTTTAGAAATATCATTGTGGTTGGAGTATGGATGACGCAGTGAGTGAAGGGAGAATATTTACAAGGTATTTAAGAGGTAAAAAGAAATTAGTGACTGTAGAGGAAATGTGCTATTGAGGGAATTAAGATGAGCTCAAAGAGAGGATAGAGGAAGAATAAAGATGACAAATTGGCTTTTCCTAAAATGGTCCTGTGGTCAGCTTTCGTCCTTAAATATTTACACTATACAGAGAGATGTGAAAGAGTAAGATCTATGAGCAAAATATCATTTGAGTGGTATACAATATCCACAGTAGCAGTTTTGTGTTTAAGCTAACAGGGCACCACGGACAACGCAAATGTCTTGAGAACAATCACACAATAATGTGGGTTATACTTCTTATTTAGGATGAGAGATTGTTTCTTTCAATATGGCCTACTGTTTTTACACTATGTACTCATTATTAGGAATGGGCCACAGCAGGATGATAAATTAGGAAATTTTTTTTGAGAAGGAGTCTCAGTCTGTCGCCCAGGCTGGAGTGCAGTGGCGCGATCTGGGCTCACTGCAACTCCGCCTCCTGGGTTCACGCCATTCTCCTGCCTCAGCCTCCCGAGCAGCTGGGACTACAGGCGCCCGCCACCACGCCTGGCTATTTTTTTTTTTTTGTATTTTTAGTAGAGACGGGGTTTCACCGTGTTAGCCAGGATGGTCTCGATCTCCTGACCTCCTGATCTGCCTGTCTCGGCCTCCCAAAGTGCTGGGATTACAGGCGTGAGCCACCGCCCCTGGCTAGAATATTTTAAAGACAAAATTAGAAGCTGTAAAAAATACAGAAAAAAGTAAAACTTCTAACAAGAATTTAAAAAAAACCCTTTTACGTGTGTGTGTGTGTGTGTGTGTGTGTGTGTGTGTGCGTGCACTTGAAAGATTCTCTCTCCAAATGCAGTCACATTCTGAAGTACTGAGGGTTAGGACTTTAACACATAAATTTGGAGAAAAACAAGTTAGCTCATAACTGCAGCCCTTGCTAGATTATTATCACTTACCTGACCTGAATTCCTACTTCATAAAAAATTAATGGTCATCAACAAATGTGTATGTGTGTGTGTGTGTAGATGAATGTAACTCATTTAAGAAGGAATAAGGTATGGTTTAATCCTTTAGTACTTTTTCTAACTTTCAATCTTTTGATGTAGAACTTCTGTCATTTCAGGCTGTTTCTTGTTCTCTTTTTACAAGTGATGGCATTATATTCACGCTACACACTGTGGGTTTTGGGCTGTACATAAATAGCAGTGTTCTTTATTTTTACGAAAAAATATTTTATGGCATTGGATTAAAAATAGAAATGAAATATGTATCAAGAAATATTATACTGTCTTTGGTGGACATTGTGTTGCAAATTATATTCCTGTCAGAATGTTAAAAAATAGACTCAACTACTATATTAGTAAGGGGTCTTTGGTTATACAATAAAGAAGACCATGTTGCATTAGCTTAAACAAAATAGGGAGAATTTATTGATTCACTTGATACGGTTTTTGTGAAAATTCAATCAAATAAGTTATGTAAAATATTTAGTTCACTGCCTGGCATATAGTAAATGTTCAATAAATGGTATTTGTTATCATCAGTATTCATTCAAGAAATATTTACTGATGCTTCACACCTGTACCAAGCACAACAATCCTATGAGACATGTATTATTATCTTGATTCTACAAATTAGAAACTGAGCTCAGAACAATTAGCTGAAAGTCCCAAGGTCACACAGCCAAGTGAGTTACAGACCTGTAATATCAAATATTCAAGTTTATCTTCATGATATCGACTACCAAAAAAGGCTGGAGTTAGTGGAACTGAGAACATGGGTAGAGGATTTTGTCTTAAAAAACAGAGGCAGGGAAAAAGGATGAATGTGGATACGTTCCATAGTTGAGATGACAATATTGAAGCAATTCTCACTAATAGAAGGAAAAGAAAAAGGAATTCATATTTGTTTAATATTTACTTTCATCAGACACTACAATAGGTTCTTTACATTTAATATCATTTAATGTGCTCAATAATTCTATGAGACAGATATTATCATCCTTATTTTGCAAGTCAGGAAACTGAGGCTAAGAGTGTTTATCTTGACCAAGAACATAAAGGTACTACACAGCAGAGGGGATAAAAAAGCAAATTAGTTGACTAAATGATGTTATCTCTATTTTGTTGATGACCATTAATTTTTTATGGAGTAGGAATTCAGATCAGGTAAGTGACAATAATCTAGCAAGGGCTGCAGTTATGAGCTAACTTGTGTTTCCCCAAATTTATATGTTAAAGTCCTAACCCTCAGTACTTCAGAATGTGACTGCATTTGGGGAGAGAATCTTTTGAGTGGTAATTAGGTTAAAATGAGATAACAAAGATAGGCCCTAAGTCAATATGGCTGGTGTCCTTATAAGAAGAGGCAATTAGGACACAGAACTGTATTTGTACAGAGGGAAGACCATGTAAAGACACAGGGAGAGGACAGCCATTCACAAGCCTAAGAAGAGAGGCCTCAGAAGAAACTAGCTCAGAAAACACCTAGTTCTGGATTTCTAGGCTCCAGGACTATGAAAAAAAAAAATTCTGTTATATAAGTCACCCTATCTGTGGAATTTTTATGGCTGCTCTATCAAACTAATACAAATTTTGATATTGGAAAGTGGGGTGCTACTGTAACTAATACATAAAAATATGGATTTGGCTTTGGAACTACATAATGAGTAGAGGCTGGAAGAGTTTGTAAGTGCATGTTAGAAAAAACTTAGATTGCTTTGAAGCTGTTAGAAGAGTATGGATGTTAAAGGTGATTCTGGTGAAAACTCAGAAAGAAAAGAGGAGAGGTATAGAGAAAACTTTTATTGTGTTAGAGAATACATATATCATCATGAAAATAATGGTTATATGAACATTAAAGGTGCTTCTGGTGAGGTCTCAGATGAAAATGTGTAACATATGACTGGAAAGTGGAGGAAAGGTGATCCTTGTTATACAGTGGCAAAGATCTTTGCCAAATTGTGTTCTAGTGTTTTGTGGAAAGTAGAACTTATAAGCAATAAATTTGGATATTTAGCTGAGGAGATTTCTAAGCAGAATGTTTAAGATGCAATCTGGTTTCTCTTCTCTGCTTATGGTAAAATGTGAGAGAAGAGCCATCAGTTGAAGGATTTTTTAAAAATTAGTAAATGTTTATATTTTTCAAAATCATGTTATTGTGCATATTTAAGCTATATGACATAATGTTATAGGATAGAGAGAGTAAAAAGGTTACTACGGTGAATCAAATGAACACACCAATCAGCTCACCAAGATACTTATTTATTGTGTGTGTTTTTGTGGCCAGAGCTGCTAAAAATCTACTCATTTAGAAGGAACTCCAAATACATTATAATTTTATTATCTGTAGTTCTCATGTTATACATTAGATCTCTAGATTTTTTTCATCCTACATATCTACTGCTTTGTATCTTCTGACCTACATTCCCCAGTTCCTCTTCCTTTGCTCCTAATAACCATTGTTCTCTATTTGTGTATATTTGATTTTATTTTAGATTCCACATATAAGTGAGGTAATGCAATATTTTGTGTGTGTGTCTGGTTTATTTCACTTAGGATGATGTCCTCCACTCTCATTCATGTTGTGGCAAATGGCAAGATCTCATTCTTTTTTAGAGCTGAATAATATTCATTATATATATATATATATATATATATATATATATATATATATATGAATTGTTAAGCACAAAAAAATAGAATGTGAAGATTTCCAAAGTTCTCAGCCTATCTTATATTTTAAAAAATGAAAAAGCATATTCTGGAGAGAACAAGGTTGTAGCTAAACAGTCATTTGCTACAAAGATTATGAGTGTATCTCGTGGGTCCAATCAACTATCTCAGCAGAAGCTAAGATCTGATTATCCAGAAATATCTGTGGAGGATCTTTTTGTCTGAGAGCATGGACTCTAGTGAATTGCATGGGAGATCAACAATATTTTTGAAAATTTTATACCAGGAGAAATTCTGCTAACTTGTATTGAACAGAACAGAGATGAGATTAAATGAAGGAAGGTTGTTGGACTTCTGTGATTCTACAAGATCGTCAGTAGAGATATCTAACTGTGAACATAAATTATCCTTCAAGAAAAGGGAAAGATAATCTTGAAGGTAGTTCAGAGGTTAGCATGACTGGCAGAGAGAGCACAGATTCAGGGAATGGGGCTGTTGCTGTGGTGAACCTGGAAGGCAAGGCCACACAGATAGGCCTAGATAACAGAGCATCAAGTCAAAGAGGATTATTCTTGAACCTTAAAATCTAATGGAATTTGCCCTGATAGATTTTGGACTTGCTTGAGGCCCATGACCCCATTGTTATTTACAATTTCACTCTATTGGAATAAGAATAATTATTCTGTAACTGTCTCACAATTGCATTTTGAACACAGATAGTTTGTCTCGTTTCACAGGTTTACAGCTGGAGAGAAATTTTCCTTCAGAATGAATCATACTTTAAGTCTCACCCATTCATGATTTAGATATTTAGATGAGATTTTGGCCTTACATTGCTTATGAAATGGGTTAATATTTTGTTTTGGGCTTTTTAGAATGGGTATATATATTTTGCATATGAGACGAACATTTATTTGGGGGTTCAGAAGGTGAAGAGTTTTGGGCTGAAGTGTGTCCTCCAAAATTTATAAGTTAAAGTCCTGAATTCCAGTAACTCAGTATGTGACTGCATTTGAGGAGAGGATCTTTAAAGAGATAATTAAGTTAAAATATAGTCACTACAGTGGACCCTAATCCTGTATGACTGGCGTCCTTAGAAAAGGAGGACATTAGGACATAGACATGTTTGTGTACAGAGAGAAGACCATGCAAAGACACAGGGAGAAGATGGATGCTTACAAGCCAAGGAGAAAGGTATCAGAAGAAGCCAACCTTGCCAACATCAGCACTCAGACCTCTAGGCTGCAAGACTGTGAAAAAGTAAATTACTGTTGTTTAAGTTACACAGTTAATGATACTTTTCTATGGCGGCCCTACCCCACTAATACAGCTGTCTAGAGTAACACTCAGGAAAAGTCATACTACATGAGACGTATAATTGTTACTCTCATATATTTATTTTAATAAAAATTTATTACAAAAGTTGTATATATATACACATATACATATATATATATCTTTTCAAAAATGTGAACATTGCAGAAGAGAATTTAGCCTAAATACAGTGACTCTACCTCCTACCACTCAAAACAAATACTAACATTTTACTATTTGTTTCCAGTTGGTTGCAATATAGTTTTTTACTTATATAAACTGTTTATCTTACTTTACCCATAACATTTTTAAAGTTAATTTCCTTTTTATTCAAGTGTTTAACGTATTTTTCAAGCTTTGTTTAGGTATAATTAGTATACAGCAAACGCTTCATAATCAGTGTATACACTTTGGACATATGTGTACACTCAAGCTACCATCACCTCAATCAAGGTAATAAACATATACATCAATTCCAAAAGTTTCCTTGTGTCTCTCTGTTGTTGTTATTTCTGATAAGAATACTTAACATGAGATCTAACCTCTTAAATTTTTATGTGTGCGATACCTTATCGTTAACTATACACACAAACACATAACATTTTAAATTTAGCATTTTCACATGCTACCAAAAACATTCCATAATTGTAGTTTAATGGCCTTATTTTTATATACTTAAATTACTTATATTTTCACTACTCTGAATAATGTTTCAAGAAGCATCTATATGAATTAATAGTTTCTAAAATCTTATTATTTCCTTAACTAGATTCCTCAGGGTAGGAATATTAGATGACAGTTCCAGGAATGTAGTTCTAACATATACTGTGTACATAAAAATGCTGCGAATATGGTTAATATATCACAAGAAGGGAAAGAATATGGATTGGGATGCACTGGACACCTAATATGTGCCAAATTCTACACAAGGCATTTTAGCGTATTTTTCTCACTATTAATATAAGCCTAGGCTGGTCATGGTGGCTCACGCCTGTAATCCCAGCACTTTGGGAGGCCGAGGTGGGTGGATCACAAGGTCAGGTGATCGAGACTATCCTGGCTAACATGGTGAAACCCCGTCTCTACTAAAAATACAAAAAAAAAAAAAAAATTTGCCGGGTGTGGTGGCCAGCACCTGTAGTCCCAGCTACTCTGGAGGCTGAGGCAGGAGAATGGTGTGAACCCGGGAGGCGGAGCTTGCAGTGAGCCGAGATTGCACCACTGCACTCCAGCCTGGGAGACAGAGCAAGACTCCGTCTCAAAAAAAAAAAAAAAAAAAAAAAAAAAAAAAAAAAAATATATATATATATATATATATATATATGTATATATATATGTATATTTACATGCCTATGGGTCATCTTATATGTATTTTAAAAATGAAACTGAGGCTCAGAAGCCAAAATAAGTTGCTCAAGGTCACATAGCTAGTAAGTGACAGAGTAGAAGGCTACCAGGAAGCGTGGCTTCATTGAACATAAGAAAGGACTATTTTATCATCACTGTGCAGATTTTTTTTTTTTTTGCTTGTTTGCTTTTCTTTCTTATGAGGAGAACAATTTCTATCATAGGCACTATGTCATTGTTCTTTAACTATATCCAGTATATAGTAAATCTGTAATTTCCAGTGTGCTCTGCTTTTATGACCCTCATCTCCATGTTGTATACCGGGAATTGTTCTTATGGGATGGAGAGAGACAGTCATCTTTGGGCTTATGAGAGTGAGGCAGTACTGGTTACTTCAGGACCTGTCAGAGTAGATGGCTGCCATAAACCTATGAGCAGGTAATACAGAAGGGGCTACACTCACGGTTACACTCAGGCTGCCTGGGATTTTTCCTTTATAAGTGGACTAATTTTAGACCACCATTATATCTGCCTAACTCCACAAATGTATTAGTGGGTGTTCTCCCCTGTATCCTGGCAAGTGACTAAATTGTTTCACATCCGTGCTTTTTACTGCTTTTCTTTTGCATTTTTTTGTGCTTTTATTGAGTACTTTAATGAAACTTGGGATATGACAAGTCAGGCTGATAACCTGATTATCATTAATAGTCTTTAAACAGAAATCTAATTTATAAATACTAAAAGTCTCCTTCTTTTAAAATGTGTGGTTGTCATAGTGCCTACCTATTCAATCAACTTAGTCAAAACAAGAAAATTTGTAGCCATTTTTGCATCCAAGGCATATCAATAGCTGAGACAGCATAGGTATACCTGGCTTCGGAGCTGCGTATATGTGCACTTTTATAGTTATCTAATAGTAATACCCTGTACTCTGGTGGCTTTATGCATTTCTAGCTGTGATATTGCTTTAACAATGTAACAATGTGTATGGTAAAAGCCACATCGAAGCAATCTAATAATATTTGAGCTCTGACAAGGATAAGTCTAGGCTTATATATGAAAGGATAAGTCAAGAATGCCTACGTTAAAGAAATATAGGGGTGTTGTAGCATTTGTAGGAATCTTGTGGTTATTTTTATAACATCTAATGTCATATTCTTATTTTGACATTTTCCAATCTTACTATAGAATAATTTGCAGGACATTCATCTATGATGTTGCCTGAAGTTAGAGCTCTATTTTCAAAGTACAGATTCCTGAAATAAGTATTGTACAATAATTTCCTTTCTGCACATAAATCGTACATACTTCGTGGAATAATTACTCATTTGTCTATACATACCATGTGTTTCTGAAATTATCTGTAAATACAAGATTTATATGTACAAACACATTAAAATGAGATGTTTAAATAAAAGAGATTTCTGGGTTTGGAGCATTTTCTTGGACAGGGAGGTAATTGGTACAAATTTAAGTTAAATTGCTTTATTTTTATTGTAATTACTAGAAGTTTTAATCAAAACTGACAGTAATTTAAGCACTTGGGAACAAAGTACACTTAAATCTTCAACTAATTTTAATGTCTAAAGCTGCTTCTCTCAATAGCTCTGAAATCAGTTTGGCCCTTGATTGCCAGAAACTGCACAAACAAAATGGAAACTCTTAATGATTCGTACCGTGTGGAATGAATACTGACTGAAGATGGCAACAAAGAAGCTGAGGAAGAGATGTAGTGTGATCTGCAAATCATACTTAAAGCAAGTCAGAGAAGTTAAAAAAAGTCCTCTCTTATTACTGCAGAAAATGATGCAAGCCACTTTAACTGCTTCTATTCAACAGAACTCCTACAAAAAAAATAAATAAAAATAAAAAATTAAAAAAAAACCAGATTAGTTGGGTGTAGGATAACATCATCGGTAAGATGTTTCCAGAAAATGCTCAGGGAATCATCATCTACTAACAGAACAATGCTTGAGTGGTAGGTTATGAACCAGGACATAGGGAGCAAAATCATGCAGATATCATTGATTCTGAAGTAAAAGTTTTATTTCTTAGTGAGCACACGCACTTCTACAGTTCATGGGGGGAAAACTACCAAAAATAGTTAGAAGATGGCGTAGTTTGTATGATCAGTTGTCAGAGATCATGTGTTAACACAGCTGAAGAAAAATCTCATGCCAGGCTTACAGGATATTTATTTAAGAAAGTAGAAAATGCTTTTTAAATGGCATAAAAAAACTGACGTGCCTTGAAAAGGAGCTTACTTATATACCAAATGAGCTTTATTATTTTAGTCTAGTTGTGGGTAGGGGAAAAAAGAAAAAAAGTAGAGAAATGGAAAAGACGCATGTTTTTCAACAAATAGAAATTATATAGCTTTATAAAAAAGTCCAGTTTTTAGCCATGGTTGCTGAATATAAGCTTGAGTTTGACACCTTGCCATATTATACTTCTTATCAGAAAGGTTGACAACTAATATATCTTTTTAGAGTTGGCGATAGATAACAATGATATTGTGTTCTTTATTGTAATAGTCATATTTAAAATCATGAACTGTTATTTTTTAAAATTAACCAAGTAAGTCACAATCATTGCAAAAAAGTTGAAATTACTGTTAAGTTTAGCTTAAAGCTTCTTCCTTACATATTTTAAATTTGGCCTAAAGGTTCCTCCATACACAGTGAACCGTAACCTAACTGGAAGTGTAAACAGACTATAAGATACTCTTGTAGCAATCACTAAGTTTCGGCAAATCACACAGAGCCAATTATTTAAACGGTATTCAAATGAGGCAAACACTAAGCTGTAACCAATCCAGCTGTTTCTGCACCTCACTTCTATTTTCTGTATGTTATTTTCTTTTTCTCTGTCCATAAATCCTCTCTAATCATGCAGCAGTGCCAGAGTTGCTCTGATCCTATTCTGGTTTGAGGGTTTCCTGATTTGCAATTCATTCATTGCTCAAACTCTGTTAAATTTAATTTGTCTAAGATTTTTCTTTTAAAGGTATATAGATACATCTGAAGTAAAAAAAAAAAAAAAAAAAAATGAAAGTTCTAGTCTCCCAGCTCATCCTTGAAGGTGAATGAAAATTAAAAGTTTGGGATAGATCCTTTCAGACTTGTTGTGCTTATATAAATACATAAACAGAGAAACATGCACTACAGTATGTATGATTCAATTAACATCTGGTTTATGGGTAATATTTTCACTTGTTAATGTATTACTGGACATTTAAGTAGACTTGTCATTGTTGCTTCACAAACAAGGCTGAAATGGACATCCTTATACATACATCCTTTTGCACTCTTGAAAGAATAGAGAGACGTAGAAGATAATTGCTGAGTCAAAGGGAATATGTATTTTAAGTTAGGATAAAACTTCTCAATTTACTTCCATATATGTATATCCCACTAAGAGTGTTTGAGTGTATTCTTTATTCTACACTCTCCCCAAAGAGGAATATACCAGTTTTGTTTTTCTTCTTCATTCTTACAGAATAAAATAATATTTCAATAAACTTTCAAATATTTTATGTAAAATATATTGCTGCTTTAATTTTAAGTCTAAACTCCCATCTTTAAAAAGCCGTCATTTATTTAATTCTAAATTCCCTTGAATCTTTAACTTTTCCCCTGAGTATACTTAAAAACTAATAATAATATCTGGTTGGCAATGTTCCATAGTTCTTCCTGCTGTAGTCTAATCCCTTTAAGTTAAAAAAATATTCAAAATCACACATGCCTCTAAAGATCTGTCATTTAGCTCTCATCTTCCATAAGAACTTGATCTATGGGCCAGGCGTGGTGGCTCACCCTGTAATCCTAGCACTTTGGGAGGCCGAGGCAGGCGGATCACTTGAGGTCAGGAGTTCAAGACCAGCCTGACCGACATGGAGAAACCTCATCTCTACTAAAAATACAAAATTAGCCTGGCATGGAGGTGCATGCCTATAATCCCAGCTACTCGGGAGGCTGAGGCAGGAGAATTGCTTGAACCCAGGAGACGGAGGTTGCAGTGAGCCAAGATCACACCTTTGCACTCCAGCCTGGGCAACAAGAGCAAAAACTCTGTCTCAAAAAAAAAAAAAAAGAACTTGATCTATGGATTATCTATCTATCTATCTATCTATCTATCTATCTATCATCTATCTATCTATCATCTATAAAACTTTTACCGCTCCACTGACTCTTTTCTTCAGCCTTAATATATTGTCACATTTTTTCTATTTAAAAGTAATCCTCTTGTGGAATGTAACATCAGTTAAATGGCAGAGTAGGCAGCTCTAAACTACTGTCCTCCACAGAAAAAACAAACAGAAATTGTCCAAACCAAGTTTACCAGAACTCTTGAAAACAGTCAAGGGTTTACCACAACAAAGTGAATGCTGAATCAAGAAAAAGGCAACTTAGAATAGTAGGAAAGCTTTATACCAGTTTTGCTTTCCCTTACCGTACTCTGTCCAGAGCTCATAGGAAGTCTTGACACAGCAGCCCATATTCCCAATGAATACCCCTGGTCCCTGGCAACAAATAAAGTAGGAAATAACTTAACTACAATTTATTATGTTTGTGTAGCTCCCATCTAACCAGTTTGGGAGCTACCTGAAAGATTGAGGAAAACCTATGGCTGACACCATATCAATAGAGAAAAGCTGAAATATTTTCTCTTGACATTAGGAATAAGACAAGGATGCCTATTTAACCACTGCTATTCAACATTGTGTTGGAAGTTCTAGCCCAAGAACTAGGAAAGAAAAAAAATAATAAAAGCCATTCTAATTGAAGAGGAAGAAGTAAAACTCTTTCTGCACATAACATGATCTTATATGTAGAAAACTACAAGGAATCCACAAGAAAGCTGTTACTACTAAAATACAAATTCAGCAAACTTGTAGGATACAAGATTAGCACACAAAAACGAGATATATTTCTATACACCAGAAATAAGCCACCCATAGAGCAAATTAAGAAAATAATTATATTTACAATAGCATACAAACAAATAAACTATCTACTAATAACTTTAAACAAGAAGGTGAAAAACTTGTTCACAGAAAAAATAAAACATTGCTGAAAGAAATGAAAGAGGACGTAGTTAAATGAAAGCCATCCCATGCTCATGGACTTTATATTGGTGAGAGGCAAATACTACTCAAATAAATCTACAGATTCAATGCAATCCTTACCAAAATTCAATTTTTTTAAATTTAAAAATGGAATAACTGATTCTCACATAAATAGGGTATTGTTTGGGTATGCAAATAGCCGAAATAATCTTGCAAAAGAAGAATTAAGTTGGAGAACTTACACTTCCTGATTTACTGTAAAATTTATTGTATAAAGGTACAGTTATCAAAACAGAGTGTTACTGGTATAAGAATAGACATATAGGAGAGTAGAAAAGAATTGAGAGTCCTGAAATAAACCTGTGTATCTATGGTCAATTGATTTTTAACAAAGTTGTCCAGACCATTCATAGAAGAATTTACATTATTTTTAACAAGTGGCTTTGAGACGACCGGTTATCCCTCATTCAAAAGATTAATGTTGGACCCCTTACCTAACACTATATACAAAAATTAACTCAAAATGAGTCACTAACCTAAATATGAGAGCTAAAACCTTAAAATTATTAGAAAAAAACATAGAAGCATAGAAGTAAATATTTGTTATCGTGGCTTCGTCCATCGATTCTTAGACATGACACCAAAAGCGTGAGCAACAAAAGAAGATAATAAAAATAAATAATTTTGACTTTATCAAAATTAAACATTTGTGTACATCAAATGATATTATCAAGAGATATAAATATTATTTGCAAACATATATCTATCTAAGTGTCTCGTATTAAGAATGTATAAAGAACTCTTACAAATCAAAAACCAAAAATTAAACTTTTTTCAAGATGGAGGAACAACAACTTTGCAGTGGACCTCACCAACTTAGAAATAGCAAAATAGTGTGTGCAGATTCACACTGTGAACTTTTATCTAATACAAAACATGTGAATTCAACATAAAAACAAGGTAAAACTTTGGTTACTGGAAAAAAGAAGGCAAGCTACAGCATTTGTGGCAGAGTCTTGTGGAAAACCATCAGTGAATTTCCAAAACATGAGATAGGGAGTGAGTGTCTTTGTGATACACATTCCCACTGGATAACTGGGAGATCCTGGCCATGAGGGAGCTCCTTGTCACTCCTAAGCCTTGTATCTGACTTGCAGAGCAGTGGGAAGACTGTAACAAGGAAAGGACTGGAAAGTGTTCTACATGAGCTTCTCAGTGCGAAGAGAAGGAAGCTATTCCTGGTTCTACCTCATAGTGGGTGGTGTGGAAACCTGCCAGCTAGCAAGTGGGGCAATCAATGGTTTGGAGAGTCTTGGGCCAGGAATTGGTTATCTAGTCTTGAGTCGGAGATGGGCCCCCACAGACAGACCTTGGAGATGACTGTGGCATGGGTTCCAGCCAAGGGTGCTGGAATTGGGCAGCTCCTCTTCATAGGACTGGACTGAGATGAGATATTTCTTAGAGGCATTGTTTTAGCCAAAATGTTGAGTATTACAGCCTGGAGCAATTTCATGGGCTTAAAGCAAACTGCATGTGATTTAACTCTTCCTAATTTGCTGCCAAAGTTGGGCCATGGGAGGATGCCTTGGCAGGTCTGGAGTATAGAAGAAAAGTGTATCCCATTACTGCTCACTAAGCTGTGAAACTGGAGATACCCCTCTTGTGTACTTATGCTCCTTTTTAGTCTTGCAAATTTCTGCAGATTGCTTGAATTTCTTCCCTGAAAAAGGGGCTTTTCTTTTCTACCACATGGCCAGGCTGCAAATTTTCCAAACTTTCGCTGTGCTTCCCTTTTAAATATAAGTTCCACTTTCAGGTCATTTCTTTGCTCATGGATATGAGTTTAGGCTGTTAGAAGCAACCAGGCCACATCTTGAAAACTTTGCTGCTTAGAAATTTCTTCCACCAGATATCCTAAATAATTACTCTCAAGTTCAAAGTTCCACAGGTGTGGTTCCTAAGATGTAAGCATAGGTTATTAATTTTAGGACTTTCTTATTTTCTTACATATATATATATCATATATATATATATGATATATATATATATTCAATGATGTAAATTTTCCTCGAATGTTGCTTTTTCTGCATTTCGAATTTTTATGTTGTATTTTCATTTAGTTCAAAATAGCTCTTAATTTCTTTGTGACTTTTTCTTTGACTCATTTTTCCACTTATCTTTCAGTTGTTGATTTTTAATTTCATTTAATTCCACTGTTATCTGAGAGCATACTTTGTATGATTTCTGTATCTTAAAATTTATTAACATGTGTTTTATGGTCCAGAATGTGGTTTATCTTGGTGAATATTCCATGTGAGCTTGAGAAGAATGTGTATTCTACTGTTGAATAAAGTATTCTACAAATGTAAATTAGATCTATTTGATTGATGGTGCTGTTCAGTTCTCCTATGTCTTTATTGGTTTTCCGATGGATCTGTCATTTTCTGTTAGACAGGTGTTAAATTCTCCAACTGTAAGAGTGAATTTATTTATTTCTCCCTGCAATTCTGTTAGTTTTTGCCCCATGTATTTTGATACTTTCTTTTGAGTAGTGTTAGCACATTAAATCTTTTTCTATTTACTTTAAAAAAATTATATATTGAAAAATTAGCATATGTTTATGGGAGTATATTGTGATGTTATGATCTTAAGTACAATGTAAAATAATTAAATAAAGCTAATTAACTTTTAATATCTCTGTGTCTTTCTATATAAAGTGGATATTTTTCTAGACAGCATATAGTTGGGTGTGAAGGTTAATTTTATGTGTCAACTTCACTGGGCAAAAGAAGGCCTAAATAGTGGGTAAAACTATTCGTGCGTTTCTGTAAGTGTATTTCTAGAAGAGATTAGCTTTGGAATCAGTAGACTGAGTAAGGAAGGTCCGGTTTCACCAGTGTGGGCAGGCATCATTCAAGTCCTTGAGGGGCTGAATAGAATAAAAAGTAGAAAAAGGGTAAATTTTCTCTTTTCTTAAGCTAAGACATCCATCTTCTTCTCTCCTTGGATATCAGAGCTCCTGGTTCTTGGACCTTCAGATTCAGACTGAGCTACACCACTAGTTTTCCTGGTTCTCTGATTTGTAGACAGCAGATGGTAAAACCTCTCAACCTCCATAATTATGTAAGCTAATTCCCCTAAAAATTTTATATCCATATAGCTATAGATTTATCATATTGGTTCTATTTCTCTGGAGAGCCCTCAATAATAGAGTTGGGTCTTGGTATTTTATCCACTCTGTCCGTCTGTTTTTTCATTGGTGTATTGTATTTAGAACACTGAAGTTTAAAATAATTATTGATATAGTTGAATTACCATCTACCATATTTGTTACTGTTTTCTATTCTTTTTGATTCATAATTTTGTCTATGACTCTTTTTCTGATTTTAATTGAGCACATTATATATTCCATTTTTTCTCCTCTCTTAGTTTGTCTATACTTTGTGAAATGTTATTCAGTGGTTACTCTGGAGTTTTCAATGTACACTTACAATTAATCCAAGTCCACTTTTAAATAATACTATACTATTCAGAGATAATGCAAGTAGTTAATAGAGATTCACAATTATTTTCTGATGTTTCTTATACCATTGCCATTTATTTCAATTTATCACAAACTATATTCACTGTAAAACATTATTACTGTTATTATTTTGAACAAAGTGTTATCTTTTAGATCAATTAAGAATAAGAAAAGTAAAATAGGTTAATTTACCTTCATTTATTTCTTCTCTAAGTCTCTCCCTTTCCTCATATATATCTGAATTTATGACTTACATCATCTTCTTTTATTCTCAAAAAATTTCTATTTTTTTAAGGAAAGACTTTATTTGAAAGACTTTTGCACAAGGGAAGGATATAATTACAGTAAAGAAAATATTCTGACCATAAGATCTGCAAGCATTCAAAGTTTAGACAAAAATAGTTTTTATTTTCCTTTTTTTAATTCTCTGAAGGATTTCTTCTAAAATTTCTTGTATGGCAGGTTTGCTTGTGACAGATTCTCTCAATTTTTGGTTTTCTTAGAAAGTCTTTATTTCTCCTTTGCTTTTGAAGGCTTTTTAAACCATCCTTTTCAAAGGAAATGAAGTTTTAGTTTGGCTGATTATTTTCTTTCAACACGTTTAACATTTCACTCCACTATTTTGTCTTTTTTTTTTTTTAACTTTCATGGATTCTGAGGAGAAAGTCTGATTTAAATCTTATTTTTGCTCCTCTGTTGCTGTACTTTTTTGTCCCCTTCTGGCTTCTTTCAAGATTGTCTCCTTACCTTCGTTTTCTGCTATTTGAACATTGTATGCCTAGATGTAGGATTTTGGTATTTTTTATGCTAGGTGTTCTCTGAGCTTCCTGAATCTGTGGTTTTGTGTCTTTCAATAATTTTGAAAAATTCTCAATCATTATTACTTTATACATTTCCCATATTCTTTTATTTTTTAATCTTTTGGTATTCCCATTATGTGTATTTTATACCTTTTGTAACGGTCCCACAATTCTTGGATATTATCTTCCATTTTTAAAATTCTTTTTTTCTCTTTCCATTTCAGTTTTGGAAGTTTCTATTGACAGATTTTCATACTTACTGATTCTTTCTTTGGCTATGTCCATTCTGTTTATTAGCCCATCAAATGCATTCTTTATTGTTTTTACAATGTTTTACGATCACTAGTATTTCTTTTTAATTGTTTCTTGAAGTTTCCATCTCTCTGCGTATATTACCTGTCCTTGAATGCTTTCTACATTTTAAAAATACACTACTTAATATATTAATCATACTTGTTTCAAAATTTTGGATGACAGCTTTCTGCTATAACTGTGTTTGATTCTTGTACTTGCTTTCTCTCTTCAAACTATTATTTTTGTCTTTTAGTATGCTTTGTAATTTTTTATTGAATGTAAGACATGATGTACTGGGTAAAAAGAGCCTAGGTAAATAGGCAGTTAGTGTGAGGATTTTGCTTAGCAGGCCAATAATTCATCTGTATTTACTATTTGCTGTTGTTCTATGGGTCAGAGGCTAACATTTCCTCTGTCATCCTACTGTCTGCCTCCCCCTTTGCCTTTGGGTTTTCCTAGAGACTTCTTTTTTTTCTTTTTTTTTTTTTTGAGACAGAGTCTCGCTCTGTTGCCCAGGCTGGAGTGCAGTGGCGCGATCTCTGCTTATTGCAACCTCCGCCTCCCAGGTTCAAGCAATTCCCATGCCTCAGCCTCCTGAGTAGCTGGGATTACAGGCACACGCCACCACGCCCAGCTAATTTTTGTATTTTTAGTAGAGACGGGGTTTCACCACGTTGATCAGGCTGGTCTTGAACCCCTGACCTCATGATTTGCCCACCTCAGCCTCCCAAAGTGCTGGGATTACAGGCGTGAGCCACCGCGCCTGGCCGAGACTTCTTAAATAAGATCTGAGCCATGCGGTTCTTTCAGTTTTAATCCTGTTAGTTATAATAGAGGAACCCATTTGACGTGGTGGTAAGGTTGGGGTAGGGGAAACATTTTACAGTCCTATGATAATGTCTCAGTCTTTTATTTAGCCTTTGTGCCTGGGCAGTGCTTATCATTTGTGCCATAAGTGCTTATCAATTGTTTCTTATTTTCTGCCCTCCCCGCAAGGTGAAACAAGAAGGCTAGAAGTGACTGGAGTTGTTGATGGATGGACAGAGACATCGTGCTGATTGCCATGTTCTGATTGAGCTTAAAAGATGACTGGAGTCGGGTAATTTTTGCCTCCAGTTTGGTCATGCTCTGGATAAACTCAATGTGGTCAGATTCTGGTTAAATAGTTTTCTTTGAGGGCAATTTTTTTGTTGTTGTTGTTAAGGAGAGCAGAATGCTCTAGACCTATTTTTAAATGGCAATTTTTCTTTCTCTCTATTGGCAGAAGGGAATTTTTCTTCATAGTACATTCTCCCCAACGACTTGGTGGGGATCCTAGAGGTAGCATTCAGGAACGTGTAGGGGCTACCACTAAAACTGGGACTCACCGCAATTTTTAAATCTCAAATGTGTCAAGACTGAGCCTCCAGCAATTTGTCAATTACATTTTAAGTGTTTATACTCTGGTTCCAGTGGTAGGCTTCTACTTCTGAGTTTCTGCTCTGGTAATCTGTTATTCTCTGTATTCATCTGTATTTCCAATTTTGGAGCACTGATTTGCCCAGTGACCTAAATTCTCTAATGCATCCAAGAAGAGCTACTGACTTTCGGCTTATTCAACGTTTTTCTTCATGTTGTTGAGGCCAGCATGCATTAGCTATTTATCCTGATGCTCTCCCTCTCACTGCCAATCCCAACAGGCCCCAGTATGTGTTGTTCCCCTCCCTGTATCCATGTGTTTTCATTGTTCAGCTCCCACTTATAAGTGAGAACATGAGGTGTTTGGTTTTCTATTCCTGCATTAGCTTGCTGGGGATAATGGCTTCCAGCTCTATTCATGACCTGCAAAGGACATGATGCATAGTATCATGCATCATGATATGATTCCTTTTCATGGATGCATAGTACTCCATGGTGTATATGTAGGATATTTTCTTTATCCAGTCAATTACTGATGGGTGTTTGGGTTGATTCTACATCTTTGCTAGTGTGAATAGTGCTGCAATGAACGTATGCATGCATGTGTCTTTATAATAGAATGATTTATAATCCTTTGGGGATATACCCAGTAGTGGGATTGCTGGGTCAAATGGTATATCTGGTTCTAGGTCTTTGAGGAATTGCCACGCTATCTTCCACAATGGTTGACCTAAATTACATTCCCACCAACAGTGTAAAAGCATATCTATTTCTCCACAGCCTCACCAGCATCTGTTGTTTCTTGACTTTTTAATAATCACCATTCTGACCGGTGTGGATGGTATCTCATTGTGGTTTTGATTTGCATTTCTCTAATGATCAGTGATATTGAGCATTTTTCATGTTTGTTGGCCTCATGAATGTCTTCTTTTGAGAAGTGTCTGTTCATGTCCTTTGACCACTTTTTAATAGGGTCATTTGTTTTTTCTTGTAAATTTGTTTGTTTCTTGCTGAACAATATCGATCAGTTCACAGTGAATATTTTTTTAAGACCATTAGCTTCAGTATGAATTAAGAGACATTGATGATTCCTTTGACCAAAAGCATTTTCCATCCTATCTCCAGCTTGCTAGGATGTCCAAGTTAGTCATTTCTATAAGCAAAGGCACTGAAAATATTTTTAAAGACAACATTCTATTATCATCAGTTACTTTATCAAATTAGATATTCAACCAACCCATTCCTGAAGGGAGGTGAGATGAGGTAAGTTTTTATGAGTGAGAGAAAGGATAGGAAATGAAAAAATGCAGAGTAAGGACAGGCTTATGTGATTCTGTCATCAGAAGAGAGCATGAGGACCCTGGATAGACAGACATGAGGGTACGTAATAAAATTTAGAAAAACAGTTGCCAGACACATTTAAAGCAGTGTGTAGAGGGAAATTTATAGCACTAAATGCCCACAAGAGAAAGCAGGAAAGATCTAAAATCAACACCCTAACACCACAATTAAAAGAACTAGAGAAGCGAGAGCAAACACATTCAAAAGCTAGCAGAAGGCAAGAAATAGCTACTATCAGAGCAGAATTGAAGGAGATATAGACAAAAAAACTCCTTCAAAAAATCAGTGAATCCAGGAGCTGGATTTTTGGAAAGATCAACAAAATTGATAGACCACTAGCAAGACTAATAAAGAAGAAAAGAGAGAAGAATCAAATAGATGCAATAAAAAATGATAAAGGGGATATCACCACCGATCCCACAGAAATACAAACTACAATCAGAGAATACTATAAACACCTCTATGCAAATAAACTAGAAAATCTAGAAGAAATGGATAAATTCCTGGACACATACACCCCCCCAAGACTAAACCAGGAAGAAACTGAATCTCTGAATAGACCAATAACAGGCTCTGAAATTGAGGCAATAATTAATAGCTTACCAACCAAAAAAAGTCCAGGACCAGATGGATTCACAGCCGAATTCTACCAGAGATACAAAGACGAGCTGGTACCATTCCTTCTGAAATTATTCCAATCAATAGAAAAAGAGGGAATCCTCCCTAACTCATTTTATGAGGCCAGCATCATCCTGATACCAAAGCCTGGCAGAGACACAACAAAAAAAGATAATTTTAGACCAATATCCCTGATGAACATCGATGCAAAAATCCTGGCAAACCGAATAAAATACTGGCAAACCAAATCCAGCAGCACATCAAAAAGCTTATCCACCATGATCAAGTGGGCTTCATCCCTGGGATGCAAGGATGGTTCAACATATGCAAATGAATAAATGTAATCCATCACATAAACAGAACCATCAACAAAAACTACATGATTATGTCAATAGATGCAGAAAAGGCCTTTGACAAAATTCAACAGCCCTTCACGCTAAAAACTCTCAATAAACTAGGTATTGATGGAACATATCTCAAAATAATAAGAGCTATTTATGACAAACCCACAGCCAATATCACACTAAATGGGCAAAAATTGGAAGCATTGCCTTGGAAAACTGGCACAAGACAGGGATGCCCTCTCTCACCACTCCTATTCAACATAATGTTGGAAGTTCTGGGCAGGTCAATCAGGCAAGAGAAAGAAATAAAGGGTATTCAGTTAGGAAAAGAGGAAGTCAAATTGTCCCTGTTTGCAGATGACATGATTGTATATCTAGAAAACCCCATTGTCTCAGTCCAAAATCTCCTTAAGCTGAGAAGCAACTTCAGCAAAGTCCCAGGATACAAAATCAATATGCAAAAATCACAAGCATTCCTATACAGCAATAACAGACAAACAGAGAGCCAAATCATGAGTGAACTCCCATTCACAATTGCTACAAAGAGAATAAAATACCTAGAAATCCAACTTACAAGGGATGTGAAGGACCTCTTCAAGGTATCAAGGAGAACTACAAACCACTGCTCAATGAAATAAAAGAGGACACAAACAAATGGAAGAACATTCCATGCTCATGGATAGGAAGAATCAATATTGTGAAAATGGCCATACTGCCCATGGAAATTTATAGATTCAATGCCATCCCCATGAAGCTACCAATGACTTTCTTCACAGAATTGGAAAAAACTACTTTAAAGTTCATATGGAACCCAAAAAGAGCCCGCATTGCCAAGTCAATCCTAAGTAAAAAGAATAAAGCTGGAGGCATCACCCTACCTGACTTCAAACTATACTACAAGGCTACAGTAACCAAAACAGCATGGTACTGGTACCAAAACAGAGATATAGACCAATGGAACAGAACAGAGGCCTCAGAAATAACACCACACATCTACAACCATCTGATCTTTGACAAACCTGACAAAAACAAGAAATGAGGAAAGGATTCCCTATCTAATTAATGGTGCTGGGAAAACTGGCTACTCATATGTAGAAAGCTCAAACTGGATCCCTTCCTTACACCTTATACAACAATTGATTCAAGATGGATTAAAGACTTAAATGTTAGACCTAAAACCATAAAAACCCTAGAAGAAAACCTAGGCAATACCATTCAGGACATAGGCATGGGCAAGAACTTCATGACTAAAACACCAAAAGCAATGGCAACAAAAGCCAAAATAGACAAATGGGATCTAATTGAACTAAAGAGCTTCTGCACAGCAAAAGAAACTTCCATCAGAGTCAACAGGCAACCTACAGAATGGGAGAAAATTTTTACAATCTACCCATCTGACAAAGGGCTAATATCCAGAATCTACAAAGAACTTAAGCAAATTTACAAGAAAAAAACAAACAACCCCATCAAAAAGTGGGCAAAGGAGATGAACAGACACTTCTCAAAAGAAGACATTTATACAG
Organism: Homo sapiens; assembly: GCF_000001405.40. NCBI lineage: Eukaryota > Metazoa > Chordata > Mammalia > Primates > Hominidae > Homo > Homo sapiens. The sequence continues at coordinate 94,151,383 of NC_000023.11, forward strand.
CCAACAGACACATGAAAAAATGCTCATCATCACTGGTCATCAGAGAAATGCAAATCAAAACCACAATGAGATACCATCTCACACCAGTTAGAATGGCTATCATTAAAAAGTCAGGAAACAACAGATGCTGGAGAGGATATGGAGAAATAGGAACACTTTTACACACTGTTGGTGGGAGTGTAAACTAGTTCAACCACTGTGGAAGATAGTGTGGTGATTCCTCAAGGATCTAGAGCTAGAAATACCAATTGAGCCAGCGATCCCATTACTGGGTATATACCCAAAGGATTATAAATCACATATACATTAGGTATTTTACATTAGGTATTCCTCCTAATGCTATCCCTCCCCCTGCCCCCCGCCCCATGACAGGTCCCAGTGTGTGATGTTCCCCACCCTATATCCAAGTGTTCTCATTGATCAATTCTTGCCTATGAATGAGAACTATAAAGACACATGTACATGTATTATTATTGCAGCACTATTCACAATAACAAAGACTTGTAACCAACCCAAATGTCCATCAAAGATAGACTAGATTAAGAAAATGTGTTACATATACACCATGGAATACTATGCAGCCATAAAAAAGGATGAGTTCATGTCGTTTGCAGGGACATGGATGAAGCTGGAAATCATCATTCTGAGAAAACTGTCACAAGGACAGAAAACCAAACACTGCATGTTCTCATTCATAGGTGAGAATTGAACAATGAGAACACTTGGACATAGGGTGGGGAACATCACACACTGGGACCCGTCATGGGGTGGGGGGCAGGGGGAGGGATAGCATCAGGAGGAATACCTAATGTAAATGATGAGTTAATGGACACAGCAAACCATCATGGCACGTGTATACCTATGTAACAAAACTGCATGTTGTGCACATGTACCCTATAAATTAAAGTATAATTAAAAAAAAAGAAAAGAAAAACAGTTGCTAACTTTATACTTTTCTGATATTGGCTGCATTTTTTATATCTTATTTTTTAAGTAATGCATTACTCAAAAGTTATCTTTCCTACCTAGCTTTCCTTGATCTTCAAAACTGTGTATTTCCCCCTTCTTCTCCATAACCCTGGTTACACTCTGCCTTATGTTTAATTACATATCTCTATCTCTATATCTATCTATCTATCTATCTATCTATCTATCTATCGATTGATCTATCTTCTCTCCCCATTCTAGATTGTAAGCTATTTTAGGGCCAATCAGGTGATTGACTCTAGGCTGAAAGTTGCTGGAGCTGAGTTGCATCATAACCAAGTGAGGAAATCCTTATTTATAGATTCCTGGGCCTATCCCAGATCACCTATGTATAGTTAGAATTTTTTATGCTAACATAACCTTGACACATGATTATGTGGGGACAAGAACAGAACAGAAAATTAGCTTTAATAACAAGATGTATAATTAATTTTTAGGCACATTAAAGTTTGAGAAGCCTTTATCTGGGGAAACTGCCTGGGAAATGCTTGCTGATCAAGAAAAATAATACTTTTTGCAGTGACTTCTTTAGTTTCTGCAGCCAGTGGTCATTTTTTTTAGCTTGGAGCAAAGAGTAGGTGAAGTTTGTCTTGAAACCCTATTCTTTCCCCTCTTATTATGTCCCTGGCATTTCTGCCCAAATCCCCTTGCTTCCAGAACCCAATTTTTTCTCAAACTGATCTAGTGATCAACTAATATCTATGTTGTTAATTGACACTTTTCAATTTTATTTATTTATTTTTAGAGACAGAATATTCCTTTGTCACCCAGGCTAGAGAGCAGTGGCATGATCATAGATCGTTTCTGCCTTGAACTTCTGGGCTCTAGGTATTCTCCCATCTCAGCTTCCAGAGTAGCTGGGGCTACAGAAGTGTTCCACGGTCCCTGGATAATTTAATACATTTTATGTAGAGGGAGGGGCTTGCTATCTTGCCCTGCTAGTCTTGCACTTCTGGGATCAATTGATACTCCCACCTCGGCCTCCCAAAACATTGGGATTATAGATATGAACCACTTCTCTCGGTCTACTTTTCAATTTAAAAAGAGATAATTTTTATGGACAATAAGGCTTTACATCCAAAAATAATAATTTTATAAATGAGAAATTATAGATTTTATGATAGGCAATGAGAGAAATATTAGGGTGTTAGGGGCTTTTTCTGGTACTATTTAGACTTCACACTGTTTAGATATACATTCAGCCTATACCCAAATGTAGCCCTGCTCATTTTTTGCAGCCACTTCTGCACAATATGCCTTATAAATTAGAAGAGGTCACAGACATTTTTTAAAAAGAAGATTTGGGAGCTCTAAATATGCTGGACTGAATGATTCATGAGTTTCCCTGAAACTCAATGATTTAAAAATATTCTATAATTGTTTTTCAGATGTTTTCCCTGTGGGCTCAGACAATTCAAGTACAGTTGAGAAGAACAGAAAAGGCAAAAGGGTTTCACATATCTCAAATTACAGAAATGCATACCTGCAAAAACATAGGACTAACAAGACAAAAGACAGAGGCATCATAGAGCCTATTTCAAAGGCTATTTCAGCCAGATATTATGGTATGGATGTATAGCAGTACAAGGTAATTCAGATAAATTTAAGAGTATTAAAATGCCAATAAACATAAAATTATCAATTCAGTAGAGATCTATTTCACTTCATTTAGTAATGTTAACCAGCACTCCTAAACCTAAAATATAACCTTTCAGTTCTCTTTGCAAATGCTATTCTTTGCTGTTACCATTAAAATCATTTTAATGGGGCTATTTCTTAGAGTGTTAATAATCCCTCAGAAAGAATTCATGTTAAGTTATAACATAAGTTACAATATCTTTATTAATTAATTTTATTTTATTATTATTTTTTGAGCACGATCTCGGCTCACTGCAAGCTCCGCCTACCGGGTCCATGCTATTCTCCTGCCTCAGCCTGCTGAGTAGCTGGGACTATAGGCGCCTGCCACAACGCCCGGCTAATTTTCTTTCTTTTTTTTTTTTTTTTTTTTGTATTTTTTAGTAGAGACGGGGTTTCACCCTGTTAGCCAGGATGGTCTCGATCTTGGACCTCGTGATCTGCCCGCCTCGGCCTCCCAAAGTGCTGGTATTACAGGCGTGAGCCACTGGGCCTAGCCTATTAATTAATTTTAAACCCTGAATATTTTCTTCCTCCACCCTGTTACAATGCAGAATCTCTCTCTCTCTCTTTCTCTCTCTCTCTCTCTCTCTCTCTCTACCCCTCCCTCCTTTCTTTCTTTCCGTGGTCTTCAATTATTTAGCATACTGACTTTTGCCTTTAGGCTTGTCTCTTTAGCATTACAGAATAGCTACTGCAGTTGCAAATATCACATTGTCCTCACATTTCCTTATTACCATTATTTAGAATGAGAATAGCTTTCTCAAAAGCTACCTGGGTGGAATTTTCTTCGTGGCTCATTGGCCATGACTTTGCCAATGAATATCAAAAGAAGATGAAATTACCGTGATTTACTTAAACTTATCAATATTCGTCTCCTGGGATGTGGAGAAGGCACAACCTCCGTATTAAAGCACCTGGCTGTCCAGAGCCTGACCAAAATCAGGGCTCTGTTACTACGGAGTGTACAGAGTTGGGTAGGATAGAAAATGGCTATTGTGAGATAAAAATATCAGCAATAGGGGGTTTAAATATGGTATTTTGGAAAAAAAGCCTCAAGTCTCTGCTTTTCAACAAATAGCTGTTTGATGTTAAGTATTTTCCTCAATTTTCTCTTCAGTAAATGACAGTTTGACTAAATCAGTGATATTATGTGGTAACTGGCATAACATCTCAGAGGAAAATACCCAAAATACCTTGGAGAATTTTTCAGAATGCATACCCAAATAGCATCCCTTCTCAGAATCATGAATTCTGAGTTCCTTCTACCAAAATAAAGAAATGTTTTTGAGAGTAACTATTTTAACAGTCATACTCTTCAAGTATATTAAGGCAAAAAGAATGTTTGAGAATTCTTGGAATAGATAATTTCTAGGTCTCCTATAAGTACTGTCCTACTTTGTGTATATATTCTAAAACAATGCATTTCATAAAAGGGTTTATGTATTTTTATGTCAGTTAACAAAATTTAATTTAATTTATATTTTTAAAATATAGCTAAAATTCAATTTACAGAAATGCATTTCTCTATAACCATTATCCTGAAGTTTGTCATATAGTTCTCATATGTTTGATAAAATAGAACATTCCCAGAATTTTCCTCAAATAGCAGTTCAGATAAAATAAAAAAGACAAAATCAAATACTAGTTTCAAATACAATATTAGATATGAGGAATGATGCTGCAAATATAAAGCAATAGATGACCTCTAAGGTCTTGTTCAGTTCTAAAATTATTTATATCTAGGCAATCTTCAGGCAACCACTTACAGAACTGTTGTTTATTTGTATGCCGTCTTTGGATAAATTTCTATTCTATTCATTTGTGCATTATAAAATGGGATTATCATGTTTTTGTTATTGAGTTGTTTGAGTTCCTTATATATTCTGATTTTTATCCTTTTCAGATGGATAGTTTTCAAATACTTTCTCCCATGTTGTTGTCTGTGGCTTCACTTTGTTGATGTCTCCTGTGCTGTGCAAAAGCTTTTTAGCTTGATGTAATCTGTCTCGTGTTCATTTTTGCTTCTATTGCCTGGGCCTTTGAGGTATTACCCAACAAATCTTTGATGAGAGTAAGGTTCTGTTACATTTCCCCAATGTTTTCTTTTAATACTTTCATAGTTTCAGGTCTTACATTTAAGTCTTTAATCCATTTTGAGTTGATCTTTGTCTATGGTAAAGGATGGGGACCTAGTTTCATTCTTCCATGTGCAGATATCCAGTTTTCCCATCACCATTTATTAAAGAGACTGTCTTTCCCCAATGTATGTTCTTAGCACCTTTGTTGAAAATGAGTTGGGTGTAAGTGTGTGGATTTACTTCTGGGTTATTTATTCTGTTCTGTTGTTCTGTAAGTTTGTTTTTTGCCAGACACAATGCCATCTCTTTTGGTTACTGTAGCTTTGTTGTATAATTGGAAATCAGGTAGAGTGATGTCTTCAGCTTTGTTTTCTTTACTCAATACTTCTTTGGCTATCTGGGGTCTTCTTTGGTTCCATATTAATTTTACAATTGCATTTTCTATTTCTGTGAAGAATGTCATTGGTATTTTAAAAGAGATTGCATTGAATCTGTAGATTACCTTGGGTAGTATAGCCAATTTTACAATATTAATTCTTCTAACACACAAGCATAGGATATCTTATCATTTTTTGTTTCCCCTTCAATTTTGTTCATCAGGGTTTTTTTAGTTTTTGTTATAGAGATCTTTCACTTATTCAGTTAAGTCTATTACCAGCATTTAATTTTGTTTGAGGCTATTTTAAGTGGGATTGCTTTTTATTTTTTGTTTCAGATTGATCACCTTTATCATATATGAATGCTACCAATTTTTCTATGTTGATTTTGTATCCTGAAACTTTACTGAATTTGTTCATTAGTTCTAAGAGTATTTTGGTGGAGTTGTTAGTTTTTTCTTAGTATAAGATCATGTCATCAGCAAACAAGAATGATTTGACTTTTTCCTTTCCAATTTAGATGTTTTTATTTCTTTCTCTTGCCTAATGGCTCTGGTTAGAACTTCCATTGTTATTTTGAATAGAAATGGTAAAAATGGGCACCCTTATCCTATTAATTGGATATAGTTTTAAATTATTGTCAAAAAGAAATCTTTGCAGTGTGTAGTAATATTGATGAGATTGTTTGCTTTTTTCCATCATAATTATACCCAAATAGTTATCTATATGAATATTATACTAGAAACAATTTAGAATTAATAAATGGTATACATAGCTGCCACAGGAAAGAAGTTGAGTCTTAAAAAATGTCTTAAAAAATGTGGAAATTATATGATAAAATTGCAGATTTATTTATTGGGAAATATTGTGAATGTTCAGCATTTTATTTATATTAGTCAATGTGAGCATTTAATATTAAGCTGATTTAATTTGTATAAAAAGTGCACATTTTTAAATTACTATAATAATACATATTAGAATATTGATCCAGTTCCCAATTGATACAACAATGAAATGTTTTATAATTCAAAGAGGTAAACTGTTTTAGCTTTGTAACATTGAATTTAGAGTCCAGGTTGATATCTTTGATTTCCCACTTATTATCTAGGGGATTGTGGGCAAATAGTTTAATTTCTGTTTTCCCAGGCTCTTTTTGAGGATTAAAAAAGTTAAAAATTATAAAGGACTTTAGAACAGTACATGGCATATTGTGAGCATTCAGAAAATGATAACATTTATTTGTCTATTACTTTATTTATATGAAAATGGCCGTAGGAATGTAGCTAAACAAAAAATAAGAACAATATCTTTTAAAGCATCAGAACATTAAAAGGCGTAGTCAATGCATCCATAGGTATAAATGAAAGATAGGAATTTATTCTTATTCAATTGCTCAATTTAAAATATCCTTAGTGAAGTGAACTTTTTTTTACGCTACTGGTGAGAGTGTAAATTAATAGTACGAATTTTTTTTTTTTTTTTTTTTTTTTAGGCAGAGTTTCGCTCTTGTTGCAATGGCATGATCTCGACTCACCACAACCTCCGCCTCCTGCATACAAGCGATTTTCCTGCCTCAGCCTCCCAAGTAGCTGGGATTACAGGCATGTGCCACCACCCCAGCTAATTTTGTATTTTTAGTAGAGATGGGGTTTCTCCATGTTGGTCAGGCTGGTCTTGAACTCCCGACCTCAGGTGATCCTCTGGCCTCGGCCTCCCAAAGTGCTGGGATTACAGGGGTGAGCCACCGCGCCCAGCCTAATAGTACGAATGTTTTGAATGAAAGTTTAAGAATACTAACAGAAGCCTTAAAAATACCCATACCATTGACCCAGAAATTTATTTAACTTAGGAAGTTATACTAATGAAACTGCAAGAAGACTTCTATGCTGTGTGATGCAGTTTCACCACTGCCATCATTGTCTTTTCTATCGCTGCAGGTTATGTCATGCTCAACTATCACTCTCAAATATGTGGTCCCTTACCTGCTGAAATGCAGTCTCCCAAATCCCTAGGAACTAAAGTTTCAATATCCTAACATCTTAACTTTATTGCTTGTGTCTCCCCTGGGCCCCTTCAGGTTTCCAAGATCAAGAAAATAGAGCCCTGGCAGAGTGATACTTGAGGTTCTTGACCCCAGTGCAGAGATCCGCAAAGGTACACTGCTTGACCTCCCCTGCTTGGTGAGTTTGTGCTCTGTGCCTTCTTATTAATAAGGTGACAGGTTAGCAAAGAAGCATAATTTCAATTGGCTTTTCTAATGTGACCTTTGTCAACTGTATTTTGATATCTCACTGGTGAATGATAGGAGACATGAAGGCATCTATGATCTTTATGAGGCTGAATGTATCAACCTTCAAAACATGTTGGCAGCAGCATATGCCAAAAAAAGAGTATGGATACAGGGATACCAGTTCAGGCCTGTTATTGTATGTGAGGAATGATATTAGCTTAGCCTAGACTGCTGTTAGTGTAGAATAAGATAATTAGAAAATGTTAAGAAGTAATTTGGAAATAAAATCAACAAGACTTAGTTGATTAATTTGGTGTGAAGAGTATGAGAATAGAAGGTCTTATCAAGGTATCAGAAATGACTTTTAGCTTTCTGATTCAAGAATCTAGCTGTATAATGGTGTCATTTCCATAGATGGGGAAGTTTATTGGGGAAAATAAGATGGAGATGAACAGTTGAATTTTAATTATTCCTATTTGAGATTCACATGTGTTTTCCAAGTAGGAATGTAAGATATGCAGTTGTAACGTACTAATTAGGGTATTTCTAAGTCTAAGGTGTAAAATTGAGATACATCAGCAAATAGATGGTATATAAAGCTATAGAAGTACATAAGGTAGCTAAGGAATAGTTGTGAGCATGAGAAGAAAATAGGGCTTAGCATAGAGGCTTGAGTAATTTTAACAATAATGTGTCAAGTCTAATAGAAGAGGATGAACTGGCAAAGGACATTAAAAGAAACAGATAAAAAGATAAGAGGAAATTCAGGAGAGTGTGATTTACTAGAATCCAAGAGCAAATAATGCTTTAAGAACAATGTTGTAAATACTGTCAAATGTTTAGAGGCCAAGACCAGACCAACTGAACTGAGAATAATGATATGAATATCATTGGTGAAATTAGCATAAGTTTTAGTAAAATATTTGGAACAGAAGTCAAATGAGTTGGTTAAATATTGTTCAAGAGGTAAAAATGGCAACAAAGAGTGCAGAAAACTCCTTCTACAAGTTTGGCTATGAAGGGCAGGAGATGGAGCAGTAGCTGGGAGAGGACATTGAATCCAGGGAATTACCATTATTTAAAAAGAAAGAGTAGGCAAATGGGCAGTACAGAAGAAGAAGCTGAAAATACAGGGATGGGGTAAAAACTGATAAGACCTCTGGGTCTCTGATAAATGAGAGAAGGATCGAGGAATGAAGGATCAAGAGTATAGATGTTGTAATCATGCTTCTATTTAGTTTTCTCCCATGATTCTTGCAATAATTTTCTCACCATTCCTCTTTCTTATGACCAACTAAGAATTCCTTTATTCTGGTCTGTAAAGTTTTTGTGTACTATGGTCTTGGTGACTCTTACAAAGTTAGAATGATAGAGTCTTTAGGAGATGGGCTTTGGAACCAGTCAGGCCACTTTGAGTCATTTTTTCTGCTGCTTTATTACCGCTTAAACTTGGGCAAGTTGAAAAATCTTAAAGTTTCTTCATATTTAAAATAGGAACAATAATAACTTACTACTAGGAATAATGTATTAAATAAGATAATGCATGTGAAACACTTAGCACAATATCTGATATATAGTAAGTATTGGTTCCATGCAATGCAACAGATTTGCTGCCACTTTACAATAATGGCATCTTGGCAAAGCCAGTTGTGAACTTGAATTGTAGATATATTAACTGCATCCCTATTACATCCACATTTTAAACAGTTTGCAACCTTGTGGATCAAATTGAAATCACCAAATATATTTTGTTAATTCCATAGAATTTTAAATATACTTTACATTTTTGCCAGCATTTAAATGTCAGGGGATTTTACATATATATTTGGATTTTTGACTTCTCATGAACATTGATAGATTTGCACTTATGTATGAAAACACAAGATCATGCTAATAGCTTCATTAGTTCAGTTTACCTGTTTTACTCCTGAAGGCACCAGAGTTTACAGCCCCTATAATAAGACATCCCTAAACCTTGAGGCTGTTGCTCAGCAAGAGATCAAATTTATGACTTTAGCAAAGTTTTCGTAGACATTCATTCAGCTACTTGTAAAATAATTGAAGACAAACCTCTAAATATTTTAAACTGTATTTTGGTCTAATACATATAATTTACAAATGAAAAAAATCAGAAATCAAATTCTCTCCTTAGACACATATTTTTATCTGGAGTATTTGCAAGTAGGAGGACTGACAAGAGAGAAATAACCTTATTTTTAATTTTTAAAGCTAGCTACGAATGTCGTTTAATTTTTTTCTCCCAACTATAATTTTAGTTTCAGGTGCTACATGTGCAGGTTTGTTACATGGGTAAATTGTGTGTCATGGGGTTTTCTTGTACAAATGATTTTATCACCTAGGTACTGAGCATAGTACCCAATAGGTAGTTTTTTGATCCTCACCCTTCTCACAGTCTCTACCCTCAAGTAATAGCTAGTGTCTATTGTTCCCCTCTTTGTGTCTGTGTATACTCAATATTTAACTCCCACTTATATAGGAGAACATGCAGTATTTGGATTCCCGTTCCTGCTTTCATTGGCTTAGGATAATGGCCTCCAGCTGCATCCATGTTGCTACAAAAGACGTGATTTTATTTCTTTTTACGGCTGCATAGTAGATACATGCATGCATTTGTTCATTGCAGCACTTTTCACTATAGCAAAGACATGGAATCAACATAGGTGCCCATTAATGGTGGACTGGATAAAGAAAATGTGGTACGCATACACCAATAAATAACTTTAGACTTTGATTAAAAATAATCTCTTCAACATCCTCATCTACCTTCATGTCTAGATTTAAAATAACTTTTATAGGGTCAGTCAGGAAAGCACTTCACCAAAATTAAAGCTCAGAAATAACATATCAAAATGTTCAGGCCTATTGCCCATCTTACTATCTATTGTAAAATGACCACTTTCCAATAAATGACCCTCACCGAGTGAGAACAGAGAGACCAAAGGTTACGTGAGCTTTTCTTTTATTTGAAAAATGGTGTCTAATATTATATCCAGCAATCTTTATCTGTCAGTTTTGCTGCTAGGCAATGACCAGTGCCTTGGGAAATCAATAATACTGTTCAAGTTTATTTTAATTAGAAAAGTGTTACAGTTTATTCCTTAATAATAGGTGGCTGTCATATTTAATACCTACATATTAAAATTAAAAATCAGCAGAGTCATTTCAACTGTAAAAACATATTCTCCCACCTCACACTAATGTTCCTAAATTAGGGGAGTCAATCATATGTATATACCAGAGAAACAAAAGGAAAAATATTACCCAGAACCCTTTGTGATTCTGTTTTTCCAACACTTGTTACCAAATCTCTGAATTGAATTTCCATGTCTTGAAATATCTAAGGTAGTTTCTATTTTCCTGATCAGGTACTGACAGATAATTCAGATGACAACAGTAAGTAGGTGTAGCAGCAAGGAAATATTAGTGATATGGTTTGGGTCTGTGTCCCCACACAAATCTTACTTCAAATTATAATGCCCAGTATTGGAAGACGGGCCTGGTGGGAGGTGATTGAATCATGGGAGTGGATTTTCCCCTTGTTGTTCTTGTAATAGCGAGTGAGTTCTCATGAGATCTGGTTGTTTGAAAGTGTGTACTACCTCCCCCTTCTCTAACTCTTCCTCCTGCTCCTTCCACATAAGTCGTGTCTGCTTCCCCTTACCTTTCTGCCATGATTGTAAGTTTCCCTAGGCCTACCCGGCCATGCTTTCCATACAGCCTGCAGAACTGTGAACCAGTTAAACCTCTTTTCTCTGTAAATTACCCAGTTTCAGGTATTTTTGTATAGCAGTGCAGTAACAGACTAATACAGTTAGTTACAGTGAATGCCTCCTACCCCCATTTAAGCACTGATTTTCTATTTTAATCTCACCACATGCATACAAATAAACATATACAAATTAGAACTACTGTATATAAAATGGCGAGCCTCAGATATCAACACTGGCCAAGTCTATTCATAGCTAAGAAATATAAAAATCTTAGCTATCAGAATTTCAACATTTCTAATTCCATTTGTAAGAACATATCAGGTTATCGTAAACTGATATCACTTAGTATTTTGTTCATCTAGCTTACATTGTGTTGATTCAAAGCACAGAAAACAACCTAAGTATGATTTAATTTCCAGTGTTTGGTTACTTACTGGAAATAATGTGCCAAAAATAATTACACTTAATACCAGATGTTTTTGGAGTCGAATTAATATAATATTTTTAAAATTTAGATTTGTTTTGTGTTTGGCTTAATTGCAAGGAGAGAATGCACTGATAATACCAACACAAATATTTTATTTTGTGTGATAGTAAGTAAGTTAATGATCTGGAATCTTGTTCCCCAGGTCTTCGGTGTCTGTGACTAGTTTTAGTTGGACTTTCAGGTCCTGATTCTATCTGGACAAGAATGTATGTTTGAATTGTAAAGGGATCTTCAGATTCTAGAATACGGTATTTCAAAGTCAGATATTGCAAAACTCTAGCCAGCTTTCCCCTGGGCAACATTGCTAGGGGGATATGACAGTGGGGAAAACTGCACTGACATGTACTTGTTTACTGTTTTTGTTTTACTTCAAAACAAACAAAGACAGAGGAAATATGAATTGAGAGGACATAGAAAGCATAGACTCATGGATTTGAAGATACATTGCTTAATATTTGTCCAGTGTTATAGGACTAAGCCTGGTAAAAAACACAAAGTTAATAGTATCTTCTTTTTAAAGAACATATCAGAGAGAGCAATGCGCTCTTAAGTAAGAAGATACAATTAACTGTGTATTAGTAATACTCAGTATGATAGTAATGTGTACCAAAGTGTTAAATCTCTAGAATCCTACAAGTATCCAATGATTTTCAAGAGGCAAATAGGTATGTTGTGCAAATTGAAAACAAGAAGATATTCAAACAGGGTTCCAAGGATATTGGGGAAATATTTGAAAATGATAGACTTCACTCTATTAATATTTTTGACTTTACTGTGGTAAGAATACAACATGAGATCTAACCCTTTGGTGGACTTTCAAGTGTACAATACAGTATTATTAGCTATAGGTACAATGTTGTACCTATAGTTAGGTACAGATCTCTAGAACTTACTCATCTTGCATAACTGAAATTTTATACCCATTGATAAGCAACTTTCTATTGTCCCCTTCTCCCAGCCCCTAGCAATCAACATTCTCCTCTCAGCTTCCAGGTGTTTGACCATTTTAGAAACCTTATGTAAGAGGAATCAGTGTTTGTCCTTCTGTGACTAGTGAATTTAACTTAACAAAATATTCTCGAGTTTCATCTATGTTGCCATATATTGCACGATTTCCTTATTTTTTTAAGCTGAGTAATAATAATGTTCCATTATATGTATAAGCTACATTTTCTTTTTCTATTCATCCATCAACAGGCACTGAGGTTGTTTCCATATCTCGGCTATTGTAAATAATGCTGCAATAAACATGGGAGTTTAGATCCTGATTTCAATTCTTCTGGATATATACCCTGAAGTGGGATTGATGAATCATATAATAATCATATTTTTAATATTTTATGTAATGTCCACTTTGTTTTTCACAGTTGCTGTGCTATTTTGGATTCTCATCAACAGTGTCCATGGGTTCCCTTTTCTCTACACCCTCATCAACATTTATCTCTTGTCTTTTTTTAATAGCCATCCTGATAGATGCAAAAAATAATTGTCAAGACCAATATCAAGAAGTTTTTTCTCTATTTTCTCTTTTAGGATTTTTTTGCAGTTTCGTATCTTACATTTAAGTCTTTAATGCATTTTGAGTTGGTTTTTGCATGTTGTAATCTACTTCTATTCTTCTTAATGTGGATATCTATTTATCCCATCACCATTCATTAAAGAGACTGCCTTTTCACCATTGTGTATTCATGGTACCCTTGGCAAAGAGTAGTCAAAGATATAGGTGTGGGTTTATTTCTGGGCTCCCTATTCTGTTCCACTGGTTTATATGTCTGTTTTAATGCACTGTCATAGTATTTTGATTACTATACCTTTGTAATATAGTTTGAAATCAAGGAGTGTGGTGCCTGCAGCTTTGTTTTTTCTTGTTAATATTGTTTTGGCTTTCTGGCATCTTTTGTGGTGCCATATGACTTGTAGGGCTTTTTTTAATATCTGTGAAAAATGTCATTACACTTTTGATAGAGATTGTATTTAATCTGTAGATCACTTTGAGTAGTGCAAACATTTTAATAATAATAATTCTTCCAATCCATGTTCATGGGATATCTTTTTATCTATTTGTGGCTTCTTTCATTTTTTTCATCAATGTCTTACAGTTTCCAGAGTACCAATCTCTTACCTTCTTAGTCAAATTTATCCCTAAGTATTTTATCATATTTATGCCATTGTAAATGGGATCATTTTCTTAATTTATTTCTCAGATAGTTTGTTGTCAGCATATAGATGTCAGGTAATTCATATATCTCTGTTTCCTCAGGGTCAGGTTCTGGAGTTTTGTCTTGTTCCTTTGTTCAAATCTTGCTTTCCTTTTCTTCAGTTTTCTTAACTCTTTGTATCTGTGTCTAAGCATTAGAAAAAAACACTACCTATCCCAGTCTGACAATTGGCTTCGTACAAGAAGAAACCTTCACCAGTGAATGCAACCAGTGCTTCTGTGGGCTTGTCAAACCTTATACTAGTCCAAATCATCAATGTTTTTCTTAAGGGCCTGCTAGTGTATACAGCATGTCATACCCTGTTGGTATTTTAAGACAAGTGAAACAGAAACCAATCCTTTGTGTAACATTCAGAGAAGTTAGAATATTGGATGTGCAGAACTGCTCATTTCCTTCTCAGGGATAAACTGGGACCTGGAGTTTTTTCCTGCTTGCTTTTTTTCTCAGCAACGGGGAGGGGCTGTGGCAACTGCTTGCATGGTCCTTTAAACCACCTTCTTTGTTCTTGGTGATCCCCAGGTATTTAGAATATGTCATGCCCCATCAGTGTTCCAAGACAGGCAACACAAACTAGTCTCTTGGGTAGCACCTGAAGAAGTTGGAAAATTGGATGTGTAGTCTAACTCTTTACTTGCCCAGGTATAACCTGGGAGCTTAGTCTGTGCTGAACTGAGGAGAGGAGCTGTGGTGGTTGCCCTCACACTATTTATTTATTTATTTAGAGACAGAGTCTCACTCTTATCACCCAGGCTGGAGTGCAATGGCATGATCTTGGCTCACTGCAACTTCCGCCTCCTGGGTTCAAGCGATTCTCCTGCTTCAGCGTCCTGAGTAGCTGGGATTACAGGCACCTGCCACCACGCCTGGCTAATTTTTGTATTTTTAGTACAGATGGGGTTTCACCATGCTGGCCACGCTGGTCTCGAACTCCTGACCTCAGGTCATCTGCCTGCCTCGGCCTCCCAAAGTGCTGGGATTACAGGCGTGAGCCACTGCGCCCGGCCACCGTCATACTATTTCAAACCATTGGCTTTGTTCTCTGCAGCCCTAGGAATCTATGGTCTGCCTAGTCCAAGACAAGTGAGATGGATGATAGCCCCTTGGGTAGCCCCTGGAATAGATGGGATGTTTGATGTGCTGTCCAACTCCTTCCCAACTCAAGAAGAAGCTGGAAACTGAACATTTCCTCCTGATCATGTGGCACTGTGCCAGGGGTGGGGATTGTGGTGAGAAGGTGTTTCTAAATTTTCTGTAGGTTGCAACGTAGCTGGTTTTGCATTCACCCATGGTGTAGGAACTTCTCAACCAGTTTCTGAATTTCTTACAAAAGAAACAAATCCGTGTATTTATCTTGAATTCATGTGTCTATGGGGTAAGGAGTGTCCACAACTTCCTATTCCATCATCTTTCTAATGTCAGTCACTAGACATTCCTTTTTGTCAAGTAAAGGTAGGGGATCTGCTTTGGTTTCCTTCATACCCACAATTTCTCTAAGATACCTTATTGATAGATACAGAAATAATTCACGTATACTTGTAGCAAGTAACCAACCACCACCTATTCAACGGGAACACAAATAGAATACATTTTACATCTATTACATAATAAAATACATGAATAATCTTAGATAGAACAATGTTGGAGAAGAATGTTTTGCACCTAATGCTCTTTTAGAACATTAGAAGAGGCACTTTAGATGGACCTGTAGAAAACACAGCTTTTAATCTTGTTAGATCCTAATGACAGATGTGTATAAGTAGATTCAATAATCAGATATACAGTAAAATATATATATATATATATATTTAACTTAGATCCCAAGAAAAACAGCAAAATGTACATATAATTTACTCTCCCTAAAGAAATTACAATATAAATTGGGCTAACTGAAATTTAAGTGAACATCTGAGGAGCTATTTCATGTAAATGTGGAACAAGCAGAAGTTAGTTTGGGAACTCATTTTCATATGAATATAACTGAATCACATATACCTAATATTAAATATACATATATATGTTTATTACTAATATGAATATAACTGAATTTCATATTTATAATATTAGCTTATATATATTAATTTGTGGATGGAACATTCAGAATGGAATTCATTCACTTACTTGTCTTTTATAGTTACCTGCATGTATACCCTGTTAATTCATTTTATATTGCATTTTAAAAATCATTTATGTAAAATAAACATTTTATTGTGTGAAGATAGATCAGTTGACCTTTTCAGTTCTGCTGCATAGATATAGTTGGACATGAATTAAGGATGAAGGAGAAAAGCATGAGAGGGTCAGAAATAGAGCCAACCAGGTTTCTTCTCTCTGGTATGACACTAAATTTTTATGATTATACTTTTCCTTTTATTATTTTTCTGATTAAAAATTCATATACACATTTTTTAGAAAAATATCAAACTGCAGCGAAATCTAGAAAAAAATCACTCTGTCATATTTGGACGTTTATTTGCACATATATTATTTTTTGTCATTTTTTTCTATGAATGTTTAATATTGTTGAGATTATACCATATTGACTGTATATAGTGCTCTTCCCCAAATCCCCCATTGTAAAATTCTCCAATAAAATAATGCATTTAAAGCAAATAGTAACATGACTAGTTTATTGTAATCACGCAATACTCACTATAAGATATTTTCTAGTTCTTCTTCCAAATCACTGTGAATTCTTTGTAAATATTTTAATAGTTTTGAAATCTTCCATAATTTACCTTAAGACTTCCTTTTTGTTGGATATGCTTGCTGTTTACAGCGTGTTCTAATGGTATTGCCAAAGCAATCTTGGTGTCTGATTGTTATCTTAGATTTGTTAATTATGTTGGCCAAAATCAAGTGTATATACTTCCTGATGTAGTTTGGATGCGTGTCCCTGCCCAAATCCCAGATTGTACTGTAATCCCCAATGTTAGAATTGCGGCCTGGTGGGAGGTGATTGGATCATGGGGGCAGCTTTCTCTTGAAAAATTTAGCACCATCCTACTTGGTACTGTCCTCATGATAGTGAGTTAGTTCTCATGAGATCTAGTTGTTCAAAAGTGTGTAACACCTGCCACTTTGCCCTATGTCTCCTGCTTTTGCCATGTAACATGCTTGCTCCACCTTTGCTTTTCACAACGATTGTAAGTTTCCTGAGGCTTCCCCAGAAGCTGAGCAGATGCCAGAGCTGTTCTTCCTGAACAGTCTGAAGAACCATGAGCCAATTAAATGTTTTTTTCTTAAAAATTATCCAGTCCAGGTATTCCTTTATAGCAATGAAAGAACAACCTAATACAGAAAATTGGTGCTGAGGGATGGAGCATTGCTGTGAAGCTACCTGAAAATGTGGAATCAGCTTTGGAACTAGGTAACAGGAAGAGGTTGGAAGAGTTTGGAGGGCTCAGAAGAAAAGAGATGAGGTAAAATTTAGAACTTCTTAGATACTGGATACATGGTTGTGACCAAAATGCTCATAGTGATATGGACAGTGAAGTACAGGCTGATGAGGTCTTAGATGGAAATGAGAAACTTGTTGGGAACTGAAGCAATAGTGAGTTTTGTTATGCCTTAGCAAAGAACCTGGCTGCATTGTGCCCCTGCCTTAGATATCTGTGGAACTTTGAACTTGAGAGTGATGATTTACAGTATCTGGTGGAAGAAATTTTTTAATAAATTACCCAGTTTCAGGTATTTCTTTATAGCAATGTAAGAATGACCTATTATGTTTTCTTAATATAGGCTTCTGATAGGATTTAAAATGTCAAACATATAAGCCTTTTTCTGTCCTTAATTCATATTTACTAATTGCTTTACAGGAAGGTTGCTTCAGTTTATATTCCTAGCAATGGTGCATATCTATTTTTACTATATCTTTACCAGGCTTGGATATTGTCATTAGAAAAAAACTTTGCTAAATTAATAAACATATTTGACTCCATTTATTTATTTATTTATTTATTTATTTATTTATTTTTATTTTGCCCACACTACACAGATATACTGTATTTGACTCTCAAACCAGTGTGCCTTACACTACTTTGTTTTGGCTTTGGAATGGTTAAAGAGATTATTGCTTAGTAGCTTTACAAGCAAATTGATTTTTATATATGCCATTAATAATTTTACATTTAGGTGAACTATTTTAGGAACAAAATAAGCATGAGTCTTTATATGCTGTAAGTATTCATAATAATCATTCCTCTCTAGCCACAGAATGTCAGACTGAAATATCTTCAAGGCCCCAGGCAATTAAGGTAAAGGAGTAAAGCAGAAAATATAAAGTGGTGAGAAGGGGTTGGACCTGTGATAAAATGGAGAGTGCATGCCCACTTAAGGGCATTCAACTCATATATATATGCACACTCTAAACAAAACATGTCTGCAAGTTGTGAGTTTACATTTCTATGGCTAGTACATTAGGGAATCATGACTTTTAAAAAATAGTCTGAATCATAATGCTGAAATGAGCATCTCAAGGCTGAAGTTTGCCAAATAGCTACATTCTTCACCTTGATTCTCTCTTTCTGACTCCATATATCCAAGTGGGGTAATAAAAAAAAAAAAGCTTGTACCATTATCACACCAAAGTTTCAACTTCTCAATCAACCTATGTCATCTCTAGAGGAAAATTGCTCTTCTTAGCTTTTGGCGTTTAACATCTAGATAGATTGCAGCTACCTGTAGTCTCCCTGTGGTGATATTTCATTGGCATGTTTCTGCTTTTGAACAAAAGAAAAGCAGCTGTGGGCATCCTTTGTCTCACACACAGTGATCAAGCTCTTATACACTTCTTCATTCTATCCTGTGAATTCCTTAACCATTTAATTTTAGATAGGACTCACATCTAGAACTCATTAAGAAGGCAGTTGGTTGAACATAATATTCACATTATAGTTAATTGGCCCTGTTTTTGAATATTTTGTATTTCTTTCTAACTTTTTAGTCAAATTTATCTATATTCAAAATGAATACACAGTAAAACTGGTTTTGTTGATTAAAGATAATGTGTTGTTGATTACAAAATGTTTATGAAAGAAGAATATTTTGTTCTCTTCTATGCATAGCAAATTAGCTGAGATTAGGAGCTGACACTGTAAGTGCAGTGTCAGGTAAAATGAGAGAGAATTCTGTGTCAGGACTTGGGAGCAGTCCCTGAACCAAAGATTTCTTGGGTCTGTACAACAGTTTAACTTCATGTTGTATTAACTATTCTTTTTAGAAATAGTAATCATAATAAGAACTTGAAATAAAAATATCTCAGAAAATAAAGTTATTTTATGTTAATGAAATTGATAGGGAAAGACTGTGTATTGTTAAATATTGTTACTTCCAACAGACCCAAGCCTCCTTGTTGCCAAGAAAACATAATACTTTGCACAAAAGAAGCTTTATAGTAAGGGTTCTTAATTTTTATATAGTCAGGGCATAAATGGAATTTGGAAGGATTATGAACTACCTGAAATGAAAAGTTATGCAAAACTCTGTTTTATTTCATATATATGAATCACCCTCCCTGGAGAAAGAATTGGTAGGGGTCAGCTTCTCAAAAGAGTCTATAAGACAGGAAAGATTTGGAACTACTGCTTTATAAGAGCAAAATCATCTGCAAAGCAACCGAGGATGGACACCAATTGCCCACTTAACGAAACATCTATCCATCAACATAGGCTCCAGATTGTATACAGGACCCCATAGGTTCACCTTATACCAATGGTTTTCTAATGCATGTATGAAACAAGACCTTTCTTTTTGCTTAGTTCCAGTATATAGGCGTCTTCTAATCGATATAAAAATAAAAAGAATAAGAATTCTCTGGATCCATCCAAAAACCTTGCTCCACTGGACTTATACTTTTAAAGAAGTGCCACAAATACCTGTGAAATGAATAAAACACTGGCCACATCATATTGTAACTACTTTGTGAATGAACATATTTTTCAAATTAAACACTACGTGCTATTACTGTTTGGAGATTTCTTTGATTTAGATCACGTTTAAGGATACCATAGCATGGCATAGTGGCAAAAAACAAAGGCTTTGTCGACAGACATGGATTCATATACTTTGTCTATTAATTGGCAGTTTTAAATAGGAATAATAATGTTCACTTCATAAGACCTTTCTTAGAATTTTAGAGACAAGATGTGGAAAATCCTAGTGCTGTGTCTCCCACATCATAAATATTCAATAATAGGTAGTAATCACATCTTAGGTAGCAGAAATCTTGTCTTTCTTGTGAAATTGTCAACAGTGACTAGAATACGTTGTCATCCAGTCACATATTTTATACAGCAATTACCTGGATTTCTCCATGTAGTGGCCAAAATAAGGTAACTAACCTTTGCAAAGTTGTATTTGTAATTCATGTGTGAGGAGGACAAAGCTGAACACTTCAGCTATAGAAGATTCCTAAATTTATTGAAATATACTTATTCAAATTCCATAAAACTTGTGAGGTTTTGTGTATGTCTACATTTCAAAAGTGCAGATTATGTTCTATAAAGTAGTGTTTATATATCAATATGTGGTGGTACGTTTTACACTGAAATGAGGATTTGTCTTTCAAGACAAATAAAAAGCATGAATTTCAAATAGTGTTATAAGACTGATGAGCATTCTTGTAAATGAAGTCATTGTCACAAATGCATGTTGCATAAATAGCAATTTCCTGACTTTTATGATGTGGGTTTTGACCCACAGGGTTTAATACCATGCTAGAATGAGCAAGGAATAAACAAGATTTTATATTATAAGCCTAAATCTTTTGAATAATAATCTTTTATTTAACATAAACTTGTTATTATGCCCATTTCAATAATATCCAAAATGTAAGACAAATATCTGAAGCTATTATGAAGTGCACTATAGCAATTTTGTTATATGAAAAAGTTATTTGAGATTTGTTGTAAACATTTAAAATTAGGTATATATATGTGTGTGTATATATATGTGTGTGTGTATATATATATATATATATATATGTTATATGGAAAAATAAATTACCTTTCTTTTACAGCACTGAAACTTGAAAGGCAATTTAAAAAGGTAATTATACAATTTATCACAAACACCAAACAGGCCAATGATTTTGGTAATTATCAAGACAACACAATTTTTGCTTTACAATGCAAAACTTGTTTGCTGAACTGGAGATTATCAAAATTACTTACAATATACTCATTATCAAAGCATGAGAAAATTAGACTGTTAACAAACAGTTAAATGAACTTACTAAAGCTTTTAAATTATTTTGGTTTATTAGCATTTCTTTGAGGTTAATGATGTGATCTTTTCTTGACAAGAAGAGACAATTTAAAATTTTAGAAGAAAATTAATCTGTTTGGAAATAACCAAGACTCCCTAACTGGTAAACAACAACTTATTCTTCTGACACAAATACTGTTAAAAGACAAAAAAACAACAACCCTGAACACACTAAGTTGATATATTTGTACTCTTTGTTAAACATTTTGCCAACCAACACTTTTTTGTATTTTGAATAACTTGGAAGTTCAAGGTGTCTGTGCTAATGTGTTTTTCTGATGCTACCAGGGCAATACATAGAAGAAATTGCTTTTTAGACAAGTTCAATCTTCTGACTAGGGCAGCCATTTTGCAATCTGGTATACACTCTATAGTACCCGTGGAGTTCATTTTCTCTCTCTAGAGTTAAACCCTGCCTAGAGTCACCTGTGATAGGAGCTTTTGCTCTTTCCTGTTTGACCTTCAATTGGAAAAGTGGTTGGTTTTATTAGTAAAAATACCTCCTCCTTCTCAATTATATTTTTATTTATTTATATATTTTAGTGGAGAAATAAAAACTATAAATAGATATTTATGATGCACAACATGATGTTTAGAAATATGTAAATAGTGTAGAATGGCTAAATGAAGCTATTTAACAAATGCATTGCCCCAAATACTTATTTTTTTTGTGGTTAGAGCACTTAAAATTTACCCTTAGCAATTTTCAAGTATATAAAACATTGTTATTAACTATAGTTACCAAGTTGTACAACAGATATATTTAATTTATTCTTTCTAACTCAAATTTTATACTTTCTCTCATCTTTTTGTCTTCTTCTGAGCCCTTTGAACTCTTCCAATCTCTGCACATTACTGACTTCCAAAGCCACTTTCGATTGTTAAATATTTTTATAGAACACCCCACTCCTGATACAAATGTTCTGTCTTAGTCCATTGAGTTACTTTAAAGTAATACCTGAAGCTGAGTAATTTAAAATGAAAAAAGTTTATTTGACTCACAGTTCTAAAGGCTGTACAGGAAGCATGACACTGGCATCTACATGGCTTCTGGTGAGGGCCTCAGGCTACTTCTACTCATGGTAGAAGTGAAGGGGAGCCAGCATGTTGACAGAACACTTAGCAAGAGAGGAAGCAAGAGTGGGAGGGGGAGATGAAAATGATAAAGTTATCTATGACAATTGAATATACTCCAAAGTTGCTCTCGTAAAACACACATGTTGAGCTTTTACTTAATTGTGTCATCTCTAGTTACATAAGTAGAAATTTTCTCTGGAGAAACATTAGGATTGTATACAATCTGATCCTAGTTCATTCTCTGCTAACCTCAAATATTGCTGAAATCCTTAGCAACTGGATTAAGAGTTCTAAGTAGAATTATGTGTTGTTAGCTAAATCTTCAAAATTCTACTCTGTTTCCTCCTTTGAGACTCAGCCTCTTTACCAAAAGGAAACGAAATAATTAGCATACTTTTTTCCCTTGGAAGGAGTCTTATATAAATAAGCATTTTGTCTTAATGGTATTTGAACACATTATCAGAAAGCTAAGTTCAGTTAAGTAACAAAGTGAAATGTAAATAGACACTTAAAAGAGTTGATTTTAGTTTAAGAAATATAGAGTGTAATCGCTGTTATCATTACTTTAGTTGGAACATACTTATGGTTCTTATTTCCCTCTCTATGAAAATGTTATAATGCACAGATCATTTCAACAGACTGTGTTAGATACAATAATGGGGTGGGGTGGCGCTTGAAGAATGCCACAGGAGTACTTTTTAGGGGCACTTATCCTAGTCTTGGAAATTGTGGAGAGTTACTCTGAAGAAATTACATCTTAATAGAGGACATTGAATATTTATGGGACTAATAAGATGAAAAGAATGTAGGCATAAGTGTGTATAAGGTAGAAGGAATAGTTTAAGCAAAAGTGAGAACTTATAGAACGTAGGAGGGACTGCATGCACTTTGTGTGGTCAAAGCAAGGCAAACAAGTGAGGAGAGGTAAAGGATGAAGCAAAAGAAGTAGATAGATCCAGGCCATGTGGGATCTTATAGATCATTTTAAGGAGTTGGGACTTCATTGTGTGGATAATAAGAGTATCATTCAAATGTTATAAGCAGAAGAATTACATAGCAAGACTAATATTTTAGAAAGTTCCCTTAAGCTGAGGGATGGAGACTAGGTTAGAGAGAAGCAAAGCTGGAAGCAGGGATATGACATATCTGAAAACTGACAAGATTTTCTTTTTCTTAAAAAAAGGCTTATGAGTAGTTAAATTATATTTACGCTTAGACAAAAGTCAATAAATTGACATAAAAATTAACCCACCAACAACCATATTCTTTAAAAAATAATGGACATGCTTATATAGTGTAGGAAAGATGATAGTCATAAGTTTTCTAAAAGAATGCACCTGGGACACTGAACCAACAAAGACTTAAATGGAACCATTATGTAATTCAACATTTATTGTTTCTTGGCATTAGCCCAGTGCAGACTGACTGGCACATTTTAGCCCATATGGACAGTTAGTTGGAAGAATAAAGAGGAATAATTTGTTTAAATAATGAGTTTACAAAAGGTGCACATGGACATGCAGAGTGGAATAATAGACATTGGAGACTACAAAAGGTGGGAGGGTGGGAAGGGGCTGAGTGTTCAAAAACGTATTGGGTATGATGTTCACTATTTGGGTGACGGGTATACTAAAAACCCAGGCTTCACCACTATGAAATATATGCATGTAAGAAACCTGCACTTGTACCCTCTAAATATATAAAAATTTAAAAAATGTAAATAAAATAAGTAATTGGTTTAAACATTTATCCAGAATGTGGAGGATTTCTTTGCTATGGAAGAATCACAATCTTTCAAACAACAAATTAATTACATTAACAAATTAATTACAGCAAATATAATGTCCCTGAGGTCCACTTGACATTTTTGATGAACTGTGAGGAGACCAGTATGGAGATAAGTTTATGGAGGGTATAAGGGAACCAGGCCGTGTAGTGCAATGAACAATACAGTAACAGGATTTGATTTGTATTTTAACTGGATTACCCAGGATAGTATCTTGAGAATAGCCAAAGTGTTTAAGGGCATACCTATAAGAAGCCTACTGCAATCATCCAGGTGGTTACAGTGACCTTATAAGTTGCAGCTTGGAAGGGTGGTAGCAGTGAAGGTGGTAAGAAGTGGTCAGATTCTGGATATATATTGAAAGTAAGTTCGAGAGAACTTGTTTATGGATTTAATGTGAAATAAGAGAGAAAATGATATGAAAGATGACTATAAGATTTTTGGTTTCAGGAAAAAGGAAGGAGTTATTTACTGAGATGGAGTAAATGATAAGACGAACAGATTTGGTGGTGGAATTCAGAAGTTTGATTTTAGATAAGTAAGGTTTTAGATGCCCAATAGACATTTAAAAAGAGTTGCCAGGAGAAAATTTGAATACACACATTGGAAATTCATATGTAAGAACCAGGAAAGAATTATAACATATAGATATGACTTTAAAGTTTATCTTTAATAAAGCCATGGGACTGGAGGTGATCATGTAGAAAGCAACCATAGATGGAAATGAAGTCTGAAGTCTGAGTCTTCGATTACAGAGGTAAATGAGGGGGAAAAAAACAAAGGAGACTGAGAAGGAAAAGCACGTGAAAGAGAAAGGAAACAATGCCCTTGATTGAATAAAAAGGGAGGATAGTTCTAAGTAGAGGCCTTGTATGTAGGATTATGATTAGTTCATCCACAGTAATAATCTTTCTAGGTAGACTACATGGGGATAGATGCACACAGGTATGTGGGGAGATGTGGTGACAGGAGCATGAGAAATTTATTTTCTTATTGCTTCTATTTTCTCAGTGATCAAGGAAGAAAGTTCATCAGGGGGAAGGGAGGAATATAAAGAAGATTTTGGAGCTGTGAAAAGAAAGCTGTGTGCTATTGCCTTCCAGGAGAGAAAGATAGTGAATGGAATAGTGAAAGAGACTAGAGAAAGATGAAAGGACAACACTGAAGTCCTGCTTGAAGTTAGCGGTCATAAGTTTAAAGTGAGGCCAGTCAGCATAGATGTGTTTTACTTAACTGTGTTCAGCAATGTGAGTCTGGCCTTAGAGTGTTGAATTTAATTAGGGTTAAGGTTTTGAAACTGAGTAGTTTCACCCCAAAATGCATTTTAAAACTTTTTCCTTGTCTCCTTTCTTCCAAGACTCCAGACATAAACTTGAAACAACATATAAAAACCTTTTTTTCTTAGTCTTAAAATATAGCCTTGAAACAAACTTTGAAACTCCACTCCCTCCTATTACCCACCATGTACTTCTTTATTCTATGCACATTTGTCTAATTAGATGCTTGTATCTAATCATGTTCTTACTTAGAATTTCCAGGGGTTAATCTTGAGACAAACCAAGGATGGAGACTGAGCTTCCAAATTCCACAGATTACCTCAAGGCAGTTGGTCAACAACTAAGCCATTGTTGAGAGGATGCCAGTCCATGCTCCAAATGGACCACGGCTCAAGATAGCAACTGGAACAAGACACACAGACCTTGTGCTCAGCACTCCTCCTGCATGCCTCCCATTGTATCTTCCGTTTTCAAAGCCCCTCCTCCAAGCCTAAAGTTCGAAGTCATTTCTGGAGTTGTAAACTGGCTGCTTCCCCACTGCTAGCTTTGGAAATGAAACCATTTTCCTTTTGCTGTACTTCATCCTTGTTATTGGCTACAAGCAGCAAGCAGCCAAACTTGTGCTCAGTTACAGTTTTGTCAGGTAAATAAGATGAAGGGAAAGTGTGCATACAAGAGAGTGACCATCATTGTGGGCCATAAAATCTAAGCTGGATAATAAAGTACGTAAGGACATGAAATAGGTGACAGACAATGAAAAGGTGATGAAATCAGTGAATGGTTGATGCTAATGTTGTTGAATGATATTTGGAAATAAAATACATCTTGCAGAGAAAGAATTGCAAATAGTGACAGTGGTCATTTGAGATGCATGAAACTACCATTATGGAGGGATCTAGGGAATGAACCATGGGAGAGAATGGCTGAGGTCATTAGAGGACAAGGTCATTAGAAGAGAAGAGGTTTAGAAACGTAGAACCCAAGCATTTAAAGAAATCACTAGGAATTATGACGTGAGTAACATTGTAGTGCATAATACAGGCATCCCTCAGTATACGTGGGGATTGGTTCCAGGGCAGGCCCCCTTATCCCACATATACTACAATCTGACCATATGTGAATATGCAGCCCACATGTAAATGTACCTATACAATTCAAGACTGTATTGTTAAAGAGTCAACTGTAGTGAGTCAGGAGCTAAAATCTTCATAGAATAAAGAGAAATTATCCCAAAGTCTAGAATACTTCAAGAAGTAGCAGTAAAGAGTGGTATAATCTGAAGATAGGAGATTCAGTGTTGGTTGAGACAGGGAGGGAAGAAGGGTAGATTATCTAGAAGTGGACAACTAACATACCTCTAGGCTCAGTGACATGAGATCACATACATAAAACATTTAGCATAGTTTTTGGCACAGAGTAAGAGTTAATGAATATTAGCTATTGCTAAATATATTAAATAATGTATTTTAGTCTGGTCCAAGTGCAGTAGTGTTTAAAACTTATTGGTCACAACTGGTTATGGATTTCTCTTTTCCTTCACTACTCCCATTGCTTAAATTGACTAGCCTAAAAAAATTAAATAAACAAATATTTTAGAAATATATAAAACTTCTAAAATTTTTGAGATTCCCTTCTTTCTAAAAATGGTTAAAGACAATAATTCATACTATTTTGTGTAGTACAGCTATTGTCCTACTGAAGGCAGCAGGATGAAATAGATGCCTCTTAGAAGTATAAGGAATTTTGATTACTGAAAGTTGTTACGTAAGCACGAATGGCATACACCAGCACCAAGGCCAGGTCCTGGACAGGGAATGTTCCTTCAGTGCAAGATACGACACATCCCACTACGCATTACTCGCAGTCCCAGTCAGGTATATATTGGCAGCAGCATACAAGACACAAAGCTGGACTGTTAGGACAATTTTAAATTGAATAATGTCATGTTAGTCGACAGGAGGAAGGAATAAAGCAAAGCCTCCTTAGCACAGAGAGATGCCGTGGCTGAGTCTGAAAGGACTAGGATATTCCCCCATTTACTATGCTAATGACTCACCAGACATTAGTCATGAGAGCGTCTCGTGTGATATGAAAGCCACAGAGTTTAATGGTCCTGAGCTACTTCCTGTCCTTAGCTCTCCATTCAGAAAAGCTTTGCAAAACCCCTATATTTGAAGGTGTTCAATGTGCAGATTTTTTTTAACTTTGCAGTTATCCTTAACATAACAACAACTACCTGTTGAAAATGTAAATCACTTAGGAAAGCAAATTATTTTCAAGAACCTTAAAGTTTTTCAGAGTGTTTCAGTTGTTTACTAATAATGAATATGTCAAATCTAACATTTTATAATGCAATATTTTTGTTAGAGTTATTCTGGTTCTTCTATGTATCTGGATCAGAATTTATGTTAGTAATGTGTCACTAAGCCTATGCTTTTCTTTTTTATCCTCAATATTTATTTATATTTAATAATCACATTATTTTTTAGTTGACAAATAGTAATTGTATATATTTACTGTGTACAACATGCTGTTTTGAAACATGTATACATTGTGGAATGACTAAATCAAATTAATTAACTTCTATGTTACCTCATATACCATTTTTGTGGTGAGAACACATAAAATCTACTGTCTAAGCAATTTATAAGATGGCTGTGCTCCTTTACTAGAGAAACAAACTAACTGTATTTCTGATTCCTGATAACACTTTCCACAACTGAGCACAAGTGATTTAAGCATTATTTATATTAAGCTCTTCATCAGCACAGACATTTAAAAGGTTTTTGAAGCGATTGATCATCCTGAAGTGGCTTAGGAAATGTTTTTTTAACCTGTCAATCTGAATCCTAAGTTGATGCATGCAAAAACATTACCTTTTCAATAAACTTATTTTCTTCGTTGGGGACCTGTTATGGAAAAGCAATTCCACTGCAGAAATTAATTAGCTGACAGAGAAATCTTCCCATACAAATGAATGCATATTGATTCTTATAAAGGGCCCTTAAAGTTGAAGTACCTAAACATTTTCAGTTCCTTGCTTTACTAAGTACTCTCTTCCCCCTTTATATAAGCCACATATAGCAATATGGAAACATTTATAAAATATTAGACTTTGTCTTCCCAAGAAGATATATTTCCTGCATATGGAAAAGGGAATTACCAAGATTCATCCGAATGTTCAGTATCATAGAATAACAGCATAATGTGATAGAAAGAACACTGAACTAGCATTCAGGCAACCTACATCTAGTCCTACTTCTGCCAGTGGTAAGCGACCTTAGAGCAAGTTATTTAATATTCTATGCCAGTTTTCATATTAGTAAAAGAAGGCAGTCAGACTACTTGATTTAGTAATTCCCTTCTGACTCACGTCCTCTAATTATTTTTTAGTCACCCATGGAGGAGCACATTTGTATGTATCTTACACTTATTTCTAGCATTTTTTGTAAATAGGATATTGCTCCTTGTAATCATTTTTATTGAACTGTAATTACTTGGCCAATATCTGACTTTCCCATTAGCTTCTCAGCTCCATAAGGTCATTGGTATTGTCTAACCAGTATAATTTGATGCTATGAGTATAGTATCAAATACAGGTAACATAGTGAAATAAACACATAGCAAATATATACTTAAATACTAAACACATAGTACATACGTACTATATATATTAAAATGAATTAATGAAATTCGAATGTTGTATTTGCAAAATAAGGTGTGCTTTTTGCTGTGGTCTGAATGTTGATGTCCCCCCAAAATGCATATATTGAAAACTAACACCAAATGTGATAATATTAAGAGGTGGGACCTTTGGGAAGCGATTAAGCCGACAGCACTACCTTCATGAATAAAACTAGTGCCCTTATAAAGGAGCTCCAGTGAACTCCTTTTGCTCTTTCACCATGTGAGGACACACAGAATGTGCCATCTATTAGGAACAGCCCCTAACCAGATGCCAAATATACTGGCTCCTTGATCTTGGACTTCTCAGTCTCCAAAGCTGTGAGCAATAAATTTACGTTGTTTATAAATTACCTAGCCTAAGGGATTTTGCTATAGCAGCCTGAACAGATTAATGGACGTCATTTGACTATGTCTTCATTTTTCTTTCTCCAGCGTTGCCAGATATTGGATTAAGACAGTTGCCTTTTCCACCTGGATACTTAATGTACCATATTATCCTAATTTCACAAGAAGATTTATTTCAGTTCTTATTCATTTGCAATGCAAGTTGAGTCCCAATACTTGCAAGTTTCAACAGCTTTATGAGTAGGCAATTCCAAGAAAAATAATATTCTGAATAAAAGGAAATACATGTTAAATGCCGTAAAATTAAAACATAAAGCTAAGCTCACAAGACAGCAGAG
Organism: Homo sapiens; assembly: GCF_000001405.40. NCBI lineage: Eukaryota > Metazoa > Chordata > Mammalia > Primates > Hominidae > Homo > Homo sapiens. The sequence goes on from NC_000023.11 coordinate 94,180,906, forward strand.
TCAAATACTATTAGTTGCCGAAATCACTAACAAAGGACAGTCTTGCATCTCCAAACAATGGAGATACATCCTGAGAAATTCATTGATTGTTAGGTGATTTCTTCATTGTGTGAACATCATAGAGTATACTTACACAAACATAGATGGTATTGCCACTACACACCTAGGAAAGATGGTATAGATTATTGCTTCTAGGCTACAAACCTTTACTGCATGTTACTGTACTGAATACTGTAGGCAACCGCAACACAATGATCAGTATTTGTGTATATACAGTTATTCAAACATGGAAAGGGTACAGTAAAAATGTAGTATAAAAGATAAAGAGAAGTTTCACCTATATAGGGAACATCCCACGAATGGAGCTTGCAGGACTGGAACTTGCTCTTTGTGAGTCCGTGATCGAGTGATGAATGAATGTGAAGGCCTAGGGCATTACTGTACATTACAGTAAACTTTATAAACATTGTACACTTGGGCTACAGTAAATTCGTTTTTTAAAATTTTTAACAATAAATTAACAGCATACTGTGACATTTTTACTTGGTAAGCTTTTTAATTTTTTAAACTTTTTGATTCTTTTGTAATAACACAGCTTAAAACAAACAATTACACAGCTATACAAAAATATTTTCCTTTATATCCTTATTCTATAAGCTTTTTTCCTATTTTTAAATGTTTTAATCTTGTATACTTATTTTTAAAACTTTTTTGTTAAAAACCAAGACACAAACACATTAGCCTAGTCCCGCACAAGGTCAGAATCATTAATGTCACTATCTTCCTCCTCCACGTCTTGTCCACTGGAAGGTCTTCAGGGGCAATGACACACGAAGCTATCATTTCCTGTGATAGCTCAATGCCTTCTTCTGGAATACCTTCTGAAGTACCCGCCTGAGGCTGTTTTATGGTCAACCTAAAACAAACAAGTAGAAGGAATACACTTTAAAATGATGATTAAAAGTGTAATATAGTAAACACATAAACCAGTAACAGTCATTTGTTATCATTAAGTATTGCGTATGGTACATAATTGTATGTGCTATACTTTTGTACAAGTAGCATCAAAGTAAGTTTATTTACGTATTACCACAAACACCTGAATAATGTATTGCACTATGACATTAAGATGGTTATGACTTCACCACGTGATGTAAATTTTCCAACTCCATTATAATCTTATGGAACCACCATTGTATTATACATGCAGTCCATCATTGACTGAAACATCATTACATGGCCAACATGACTGTATTCTAGGTCATTAAGCACGCATTAACATTAGTTAATTTTCCTATTTCTGATTAATCATCTCTATTTATCACCTATAGTTTATTTTTTAATAAGAAATGTAAGAACTAGGATCACGATAGCACCTGTGGTACGGAATATTCATTTTTAATTGGAAGACTATTTAGAAGACATGATTAAACCATTATTTTTAATTGTTTATTGTCGTAATTCAAAACTCCCAAGAGTGCCCCTTTGCAGAGTATGGGGAAACTATGGATATCACACATCATTTGTAGCATATCATCTCAGGAAAATTGGACAGTGATAAAATTTCTAATCAAACTGTGTATTCAAGAACAGAGACCTACATTTTGCGCCTCTTCAAAATACAGAGTATCAATAATTTTAGTCATATAAAGCCTACTTAACTCTGAAAGTCTACTTTTGGAGTCACACAATTTCTTATATTTGCTTGCACTAACTTTGCAAAGGGATCTGATGTCCATATTTTCTAATGGTAAATTATGATTTTTAAATGTTTATCTAGATTCAGCTGGAATTTATTTTCGTATAAGGAACAAGGTAGGAAATAGTTGTCCTGACACAACTTACTGAATAATAAATGTGCCATCAATCGGAATGATTTAATTTTCAAGTAACAGAGATTCTGATTAAATGAGTCAAATATTAAAGGAGATTATTGACCCATGTAATTGGAAGTCCAGGGTTCAGGTGGAATTCAGCATTGGTTCTTCTAGTAGACCCAGTTTCTATTAAGGGAAACTTTGCTATGCCACATACAGTTTTAGCTTTGTCCTAATGTCAGACTCTGTCTTTGAGGCAAATTAGCTGCAGCAGTTCCAAGCTTCACATCCATATGCCACATCATCAATAAGGACATTAAGAAGGACAGAGAATACTTCTGAGAGTCACACCTGTAACATTACCCTTGATTACATGCTCTCCTCTTTCGGGAAAATGAGTGACCAGAGGCAGGAACGAACTGGGTGAATTTTTGGACTTATGGAAATCAGTGTCCACATTTGGAGTTGATAGTGAGGTCAGATACTCTAAAAACACATTGTCTATGTGGAGAAGGAGTGAATGCCACAGCAAACAATCTGGGTCCTATTAGAAAACTCAAAGGGGGAAAAAGGTAATTGTCCATTATACCATGTTTTGCCCACTGATTAGAAAGGGCGCTTTCTACCCTGTTCCATTTATTTATTGGTCTGTTCCTTTGGCAATACCTTACTGAATTATTTAATGTTTTGTTATACTTTCATATATAGTAGATCAGCCTTCTCCGTTAGCCTTTTTTTTTTTTTCTTCAGAATTTGACTTGCTGTTCACACATGTTTTTCCTTTCAGTTGTACTTTAGATTTATTTCCTCAGTATATTTACAAACATTTCATTGGGATTTAATTGGGGGTTTTACTGGATTGTTGATTAATTAAAAATAAGTGACATATTTAAAATAATGTGTCTTTTTTGTCTAAGGAGGGATGCATATTTTCCTATTTAATTCTTTTTAATATATATCCATAAATGGCTTTAAACTTTTCTTTGAACTGGTCCTGCACATTTTCTGCTAAGTGTCTTCCTAATATTTTGTTTTTATTTTGATTTCTTTCATTATAAATTTAACTGACAGTTGTATTATATAAATGGATAGTTATCTGAACCTTTCTATTGTTTCTAATAGTATTTGTAGTTGGTTTTTGGATTTCTCCATACAATCGTAGCATCTGAATAAAATGATAATTGGGCTTTTCCCTTTTTCCCAATATTTTCATATCATATTTTATTTTTTATCTGGTTAACTTGGCTAATGCTTGTAGAATTAAATTTTAAAAGGAGTATTTTACTTTTGAAAACTAGAATGATTTTCTAAATACAAGTCAAGAGCAGCTTTCCATCTACTTAATGAAGAACCTTCTTTCACAGAGTGTTTATATATATTCTATTTTTCATCATTCTGTGAAATACGTTATCACTGCAATGTATTGTAAATTTAAAGCACTTTTGAGTGTAATGGATTTCAAACTTCAGGTGCATCAAAATTACTTCGAGACTTATTAAAATTAACATGCTTGCTTCTAGTCCCAGGGGTTCTAATCAGTAGACATGGACAATTTTAAATAAAGGCAATGTATCAAGCAGCTTTTTATGCTTCCTTACTTTAATTCAAATGCTTTTGTTATTTTACTCTAAAATATTATGTAGCTCTTATTTATATAAACAGGTATAGACTGTAAAGTCAAAGGAATTGTTTTATTAATATTAATATATAAAATTGTCTATAAATTATATTTGTGTATCATCCTTGTCAGATTCTGGCATCAGTGTACTGGCTTTATTTTAAAGAATAGAAAGATTTTCTTCTTTTTAATAGCAAGGAACACGTTCTAAGCATCAGAAGTAACTTTTTCCTGAAGTTTTTAACAATTCTTTGTTAGCCATCTGGTCTTTACATGTTTTTGTAGGGTAAAATTTTGACCAATTTTCTAATTATTTTTATTGTTACTAGTCTATGCACTTGAGTTACTATGAGTTACTTTTGTTATTCATACTTACTTAGACAAAATTTCATTTCATCCACATTTTTAAATGTATTAGATAGAGTTTTATAATGTATTTCATATATTTATTTCTTTTGTATTTATGGTTGTTTCCTTTTTCTCATGTCTAATATTCTAAATTTGTATTATCTTCCTAATTTGATTATTTACTGATTTGTTTTTCCCAAGCATGCAGACTTTATATATATTTTAGTTCTACCATGTTTGTTTTCTGATGTATTATTTTCTGATTTTTATCTCTATGGAATTCTTGTTTTCACTTACCTTAGGTTTATTTTATTTTTCTTACTATAACTTCTGGAAACGTATGTTTAATTTATTTTGTTTAAAACTGTAAGTGCTTACGACTATATAGTTTCCTATGAATATAGCTTTGGCTCATAAAATAAGTTTTAAATTAAAATTTTCTCATTATTTTCTATTTTTTTACTTTTATTTTAAGTTCCAGGGTACATGTGCAGGATTTGCAGATTTGTTATATAGGTAAATGTGTGCCATGGTGGTTTGCTGCACCTATCAACCCAACATCTAGGTATTAAGCCCAGCATACATTAACTATTTTTTCCAATGCTCTCCCTCCCCGCAACGGGCCCCAGTGTGTGTTGTTCCACTCCCTGTGTCCATGAGTTCTCATTGTTCAGCTCAAACTTATAAGTAGAACATACGGTGTTTTGTTTTCTGTTCCTGCTTTAGTTTGCTGAGGATAATGGTTTCCATCTCCATCCATGTCCCCGCAAAGGACATATTCTCATTCCTTTTTATGGCTACACAGTATTCCATGGTGTATATGTACCACATTTTCTTTATCCAGTCTATCATTGATGGGCATTTGGGTTGATTTCATGTCTTTGCTATTGTGAATAGTGCTGCAATGGGCATGTATCTTTGTAATAAAATGATGTACATTTCTTTGGGTTTATACCCAGTAGTGGGATTGCTGGGTCAAATGGCATTTCTGGTTCTAGATCTTTGAGGAATCACCACACCATCTTGCACAATGGTAGAACTAATTTACATTCTCGCCAACAGTGTAAAAGTGTTCCCATTTCTCCACAACCTTGCCTGCATCTGTTGTTTCTTCACTTTTAAATAATCACCAATCTGACTGGCATGAGATGGGGTCTCATTGTGGTTTTCATTTGCATGTCTCTAATGATCAGAGATGTTAAGCTTTTTTTCATATGTTTGTTGGCCACGTGAATGTCTTCTTTTGAGAAATGTCTGTTCATGTCTTCTGCCTACTTTTTAATGGGGTTGTTGGTTTTCTTCTTGTAAATTTGTTTAAGTTCCTTGTAGACTCTAGATATTATCCTTTGTCAGAAGGATAGATTGCAAAAATTTTCCCACATTCTGTAGGTTGCCTGTTCACTCTGATGCTAGTTTCTTTTGCTGTGCAGAAGCTCTTTAGTTTAGGTAGATCCCTTTTGTCAATTTTTGCTTTTGTTGCAATTGCTTTTGGTGATTTCTTTGCCTGTGCCTATGTCCTAAATGGTATTGCCTAGATTTTCTTCTAGGGTTTTTAAAGTTTTGAGTTTTACATTTAAGTCTTTAATCCATCTTGAGTTAATTTTTGTATAAGGTGTAAAAAATGGGCCAGGTTTCAATTTTCTGCATATGGCTAGCCAGTTTTTCCAGCACCATTTATTAAATAGGGAATCCTTTCCTCATTGCTTGTTTTTGTCAGGTTTCTCAAAGATCAGATGGCTTAGATGTGTGGTCTTATTTCTGAGTTCTCTATTCTGTTCCATTGGTCTATGTGTCTGCTTTTGTACCAGTACCATGGTGTTTTGGTTATTGTAGCCTTGTAGTATAGTTTGAAGTGTGGTAGCATGATGCCTCCAGCCTTGTTCTTTTTGCTTAGGATTGTCTTGGCTACACAAACTCTTTTTGTGGTTCCATATGCATTTTAAAATAGTTTTTTTTTTTCTGTGAAGAATATCATGGTAGTTTAATGGGAATAGCATTGAATCTATAAATTATTTTGGGCAATATGGCCATTTTCACAATATTGATTCTTCGTATCTATGAGCATGAAATGTTTTTCCATTTGTTTGGGTCCTCTCTGATTTCCTTGAGCAGTGGTTTGTAGTTCTCCTTGAAGAGATCCTTTTCTTGATATTTGTAATAATGGTATTGATTCCCTCATCCACTTGAATTGTTTGGGAGAATATATTTAAATTTCCAAACTAGAGAGTTTTTTATTATTGTTGTTTTTATTTCTACTATTATTCTTTCTAGCTATATAGTAAAAGAGGAATGTGATATTTAAAATAATGTTTACTTAAAACAGTTATTCATGTACATCAAGAGTCCAATGATTGTACAGACAGTCCTTGACTTACAATGGTTTGACTTACGATTTTTCTACTTTACAATGGTGCAAAAGCAATATGTATTCAGTAAAAACTATACTTTGTGTACCCATAAAATCATTCTGGTTTTCACTTTCAATACAGTATTCAATAAATCACGTGAGATATTCTATACCCTACTATAAAAGAGGCTTTTTATTAGATTATTTTGGCCAAGTGTAGGCTAATGTAAATGTTCTGAGCACATTTAAAGCAGGCTAGGCTAAGCTACAACATTTGGTAGGTTGGATATATTAAATATATTTTTGACTTTCTATCTTTTAATCATATGACAGATTTATCAGAATGTAACCTATTGTGAGTTGAGGAGCATCTGTATAAGCATTGTTTAAAACAAGCACATTAACGACAGTTTTCTACCCCTCCTCCCAATTACCTTTACACAGAAGCAACTACTTTTAACTTTTTAAACTTTTTTTTTAACCTTTAACTTTTCAGCTGATTCTTTTGGTATTTACCTCCATATCTCTAAATAGCACACTTTCATTTTTGCTTCTTAATTTTTCAGTTTTAATTATTTTCTGTGGACTTTTCAGTATGGAAGATGAAAATTATCTTCCCTCCTCACAAATTCAACATCCACATGCACCCTTACCAACCATTCTAATTATAATTATATCATAATTTTGGTTCAATTAATATTCAGTTCTTGCTTTCCCAAGATAGTGGCAGCACTAGAGCTCATCCATGTAGAAAACTGTTGTTAATTTTTCTTTTCTGCAAAATCCAAATTTTGTGCCAACTTTAAAAGAATCTCTTTTAAAGCTGTTGAAACATCTATCTGGTGTTCTATTTCTTTCATTTCCCCTGAGAATTCTCACCGAGAGCTTTCTCATATATCCCAATCTAGGCTCTCCACTTTTGCCCAGATGTCTTCCTGGGATCTTCCTTCACCATCTTCCTTGGGGTTTTGTTCATCTCTCTCTTTCTTCTGTTTTGGATCTCTTATATCTTGTATTCCACATCTTTTGCTTTAAAAAAAACTCCCTCTTTTTGATAAAGTATATTTCTAGTAGATTATTAGGAAAATGCTTATGGGACCTAACTGTGACATGAACATCTGAAAATGCCTTTTACTTAACCTCATCTCGACTGATGGTTTGTTTGGGTGGTAGATAACTAGCTTTCCAGTTTTTTTTTTTCCTTGAGAGAGGATCACATTCCCTCACCCAGGCTCAGTTGCAGTGGTGCAATCATAGCTCACTGAAAGCTGGAATTCCTGGGGTTAAGGGATCCTCCCACCTCAGCCCCTCTAGTAGCTTGGATTACAGGTGCACACTACCATGCCTGGCTAATTTCTTTTTACTCTTTATTTTTGTAAAGACAGGGTCTATGTTGACAAGGCTGGTCTCGAACAGCTTGCCTCAAGTGATCATCCAGCCTCAGCCTCCCAAAATGCTGGACTGCTTAAATTGCAAGTATGAGCCACTGCACCCAGCCTGTTTTCTTTAGTTTCTGACATTACTTTTTAAAAAACTGAAGGCCATTCTGATTTTTCTATTCTGTATGTTACTTCTTTTTTCTGAAAACTCGATAAATCTTTCCTTTTTACTTAGTGTTTTGTAATTTAATATTAATGTGCCTTGCTGTCTGTGTATTTTAAATTTTGTGTGCTGTACTTAGCAGCTCCTTTTGATCATATTCTTCATTTTTGAAAAATATTTTTGAATTATCTTACTGATGATTATTTACCTTCTATTTTCTCTCTTCTCTCATTCTGAAATTTCTATCTTTTAGATATAGGACCGCCTGGACTTGTCCTCTACTTTTCTAATATTTTCTCACTAAATTTCCATCTCATTATCTTTTTGCTTTTTCCAGGTTACTTCTTAAACTTTATCTTCTGATACTTTTAAATTTCTGCTAACATTTTAAAAAATTCTAAGAGTACTGTAAAATTATCAGAATACTTGTTTCTCATAGTTTTATTTCAGATTTCTTATTTCAAAAAGTCGTTATTTCCTCCAAGATGCATTTTGTCCCTTTTTTGTCTTCTTCTTTTAGGCTTTCCTGAAATATCTGATAATCCTCAATTGCTTGCTCATAATTGAGAGTGGAGAATAAAAAAAACTAATTTGAAGTTCTAAGCATGACTGCGAGTTGGTTTGGCTAACTATCTGTGAATTACTGATGTCATTATAGGTTGAGCACCCCTAATCTGAAAATCCAAAATCAGAGATGCTGACAAAATCGGAAACATTTTGAATGCTAACATGACACCACAAGAAGAAAATTCCACACTGAACTCATGTAACAGGTAATGATCAAAACAAAATTGCTCAACACATAGTTTATTTAGCATCATCAAGAAAAAAAAAAAAGACCCTCCAAACCTTTTTCAGGTGTAATATATCTTTTCCACACATGCCCAGATTCTCACTTAAAAAATAAAATGCAGTGTACAGTAAGCTTTTAATCAAAAAACAGCATCATAAGTGGAGACTGAAAGCCTGCTGTTTGTTGTTGCTGTTGTTTAATAGCGGATACAGTTATTCTCGTGATGCTATTGTGCTGCTTAGTTACCACGGACACATTCTTTTTTCACTGTATTAGTGATATGTCATTTTTTTTTTTTTTACTTTTAAGTATTGATGTGTGAATGCATGGAAGAAAATGATTGCTTATCAGTAGCCTACAAATTCAGAATAAGTAATTATGGTGATGCCAACAGCAAGATTGTCCACATGGGTAGCTGAGAAAGGAACCCCTTTGCTTACTGATGGTTCATGTACACAAACTTTGCTTCATGCACAAAATTATTTAAAACGTTGTGTAAAATCACCTTCTGGCTAAGTGTATAAGGTATATATGAAATATCAATGAATTTCATATTTAAACATGGTTTCCACCCCCACGATTTCTCATTATATATGTGGAAATATTCCAAAGTTCAAGAAACCTCTGAAATCGAAACACTTCCCAAGCATTTTGGTTAAGGGACACTCCACCTGTATCTTGACTTTATCCTTGGGTCAATCTGTTTCTATAGATAAGATACTTTGTATTTTCTGACTGCAAGTAAATATAGATGCCAGCCTTCTGGGAGCCAAAGAGCTGAAAAAGGCTGGGAGGGAATGACTCACAACTCAGGAAGTAATTGCACATTCAGTCCCCTTTATTTTCAGTATGTTAATCCCATACTGGTGTTCCTGGTGCTCTCTAATCCATAGGACCTCTGTTTTAGCTGCTCCAAAAAATAAAACATTTTTTCCTTTGCTGAGATGGAAGATTTCATTTGGGATTCTATTTCTTAAGCAATTTTTCAAATTATTCTCCTTATTTTAAAATCCTTTTCTTCATTTCCAGAGGCATTTGCTGCTGTCGATTCCTGAGTCTTTTAGAGCATTACTAATTGGATTGGCTCTAGGTTTTCTTCACCTGTAGGTTCGGATTTAGTTTTCTCCTGTTAGTTAAATCATTTATCACTCAACCATCTTCTTTCTAGTTGTCTCCCTTTACACTTTAAAAGAATTATACTTTATAGTTTGTGTGTGGGAGGAGAAGAGTGGGGACTGGGAGAGAGTAAAAATAGATGTATGTGTTCAACATCCCTAACTGCAAGTCAGGGAGATGAATCTTCCTTTTTCTGTTTGATTGTTATTGAGATTTCCTTTGTTGTGTATTTACATGATTACTTCTACAAATGTTTTGCGAAAACTTGAAAAGAAACTGTATCCTCTGTTTCTGAATTGTAGGGTCTGAATTGTAGAGTCATATATATATTTTTTTTCAGTGTTTTATAGTGCTCAAGATATATTCTGTAACACTAAAGGTGTTTCACTAAAAAAAAAGGGGTACAAACATTCAGTTATAAGATGAATAAGTTATGGAAGTTTAATTTACAGGATGATAGCTGTAATTAATATTAATGTATTGTATACTTGAAATTTGCTAAGATAGAAGATCTTAAGTGTTCTCACTACAAAAAAAATGTAATTATATAAGGTGAGGGATATGTTAATGAGGTTGATTTTGGTAATCATTTCACAATGTACAACTACATAAAACATATCATGTTGTATATTTTAAATATATCCTTTTTTTTTTTTTTTTGAGGTAGGATCTCACTCTGTTTCCCAGGCTAGAGTGCAGTGGCATAATCTCGGCTCACTCAGCCTTGACCTCCTGGGCTTAAGTGATCCTCCCACCTCAGCCTCCTGACTAGCTGAGACTACAAGCTTGTGCCACCATGCCCAGCTAATTTTTTTATTTTTGGTAGAGACAGGTTCTCACCATGTTGCCCAGGCCGGTCTCAGACTCCTGGACTCAAGTGATTCTCCCACTTTGATCTCCCAAAGTGCTGGGATTACAGATGTGAGCAAATGCACCCGGCCTATATACAATTTTTGTTTGTCAATTATACCCCAGTAAAGCTGGGGGAAAAATAAATAAATAAAAAAATAAGATTTCCGAATATTTGGGGGAAACTGCTTATGCAGTCAAGTTCTGGGTGCTGTTAAATGTGTATTAGCATATTAAAGGCCTGTGAATACCTGCAATTAAAAAAACATTTACCTTTGAAATGTTTCTCAAATGTATTTGACCATGAAATTTTTTTTCATAGCAGCTACTCATCCCACACCATTCAGAGAAATGCTGTATTAGGTCACCCTTATTTCATTATTCAGAGCCTCTGTTATCTTCTTTGGTATCTATATTCTTTATCCATTAAATATCAAAAGAAATATGCTAAAGTCTTCTCATATTAATTTTTAGTGTGCTTTTCACTTTGTGTTCACACAAAAAATACATTCCTGGGTGGCAAACTTAGTTTATAGTCGTTCTAAGACTATATCTTTTCTTAAGGAAGTTGGCTGTAGTTAGTTGATAAAATGCTGGATGTTTCAGTTTGCATTTTTTAACTTGTATTTTTGTTAGCTGTTATTACTGATATTATTGTTGTTTCAGGCTTATGTCTATATTAGGCTTTCATAGACGTGTCATGAATATCTGCTTTCCAAACTTGAATATACATTAAGTAGAAAGTAAACTACTAGACTATGAATATTCTTGGCAAAATCTAAAGTATATACTGGTGAAGAGCACAGGGTCTGAATTTAGACTACTAGATTTTAGGCATGGCTTCATCAACTATTAAATAATTATAAAAACTCTCTTACCCCCATCTGTGAAATAGGAATAATAAGATCACATGACATAGGGTTGTGTCTAGGATAAATAAAAATACTGTAGGAGACCAGAATCTGCAACTCATTTTGGCATAAGGACTATATTGAGCTGAAGGCAATTGAAAAGAAGCAGATAGAAGAAAATCTCTCTGCCCTCCTATTTGCCTAAAAGCAGGGCATACATTTACCAAAACAAAGGTGTACTACTCCCCTCTCTACCAGGAATGACAAAGGTTGGTCACCAAAAGCACCCTTAGACTCCAAAATTAGCATGGAGATAGCACCAGAAGAGTCTTCATTAACCAGATTTATTAACTAGCCTTTATCTATCATTTATTTGCCTTCTCACAATTTTCGGCCTGTAGAAACTCAAAATTCTTAGCCTTTGTCTGTCACTTCTCTAAAAATTTACTGTTGTTTGTTGAAATGCTATTTAAGTCATACTTCCAGGCCCTCTCTTTAAGAATTACTCATGCCACGGGTATCTCCCAAGGACATGTGGAATATACATGTTAATAAATTTCTATTGGTTTTTGTATTGTTAATCTGTCTTTTGTTACAGGGATCCATCATAGCTAACAACTAAGGGTAGAGGAAAACTTAATTTTTCTTCCCCTGTGATATATATATAATCTGTCTGATGCATAGCAGTAATTGCTCAGTATTAAGACTTGTTAGAAGTATATATTCTGAACACTTTTTAAAAAATTAATGAGTATTATTAGTGAAATAAGGGGTAATTTGGTGTCACCCAATTTCTATATGACTAACTCCAATAGTGACATTGGTTCACCTTACAAAAAAAAATTTCTTTCTTTTACAATCTTTTGTGTCTTCACTTTCAGTTCATAGAATTAGTTTGAATGTTAGAGAGACTAGTTTTCACATAGTGGGCAAAAGACTCTCAGACTGTCAGTCTAATCAAATATCCTGCTAAATACAAATGTAGAACAATCAAGTTTTAAAAAATAATGAAGACTTTTTATTTAGCAAAAAGATTACAGAAAGTTTTACATGACTTTTTAAGGAGGAACATGCTGAGGAATAATAATGAAGCCAAACAAGGAAAATTCCCCAAAAATCTTTTTAACATCAATATTCATAGCAACTCCATAAACTTGCCACCAGGTTTTACTATGAAAGAAAAAAAAAAAACTAGTATAGTAATTGAACAGCAATCGTCAATGGAGAGTATGGTAGAGGGGCATGCACATATGCTTGATGATAGGCCCAACTGCTGTGGTTACTTACTTTAAGTTATCCTTGCCAACAGTTTAACATTCCAGAAGACAGCGTGTGTTTATCTCAACAGGGCTGTTTATTTTATGGTGCTTTTCTCAAATGTCAACATAACTATAAAAAAAGAATTAAGGCTTTTAGACATGTTATAACTAAAATATTTTTGACACTACATACTCTCTAGCTGATGAACATCAACTGAGGCTTTGCGTGGTGTTCTTAATGAAAGATATTAAATCAGCTAAAAAAATACAACCGTAGCATTTTGCAAAATACAAGGGTCACAGCAGAGTAGCTAACTCTTCCATACATGTCAATTTCACTTCAGCCATTTGATAGAGAGAGTCTTCAGGTTCAGTTGAGTAGACATTGACATTTATTTATTACCAGAAAGGACAAAAGGTTCTTCTTGTGTTCTTTAAATGAACTCCTTTGACATAATGGTTTGTGTGCCAGATTTCTGCACTATAGAGAAAAATTTTCTTCTTTCTAATTAATTGGTAAGCTATTGGTAAATATTTTGAATATATATCCTTCTCCTCAGCACACTCTCACTCAATAAAAAAAATTCAAATCCATTGACAGAGTTTTCCTGAATAAGTTACTACTACGATGGCTGTAAAAATAATATTCTAACTCTATCAGTCCTTTCCACTTCTTTGTTGACATTTTGTTGGCTTTATATATAACAGGTCTTTATTGCCATTGACAATTGGAAAAAAATTGTAATGGGCCCCACTTTTGTCATTCACACATTACCAATCGCATATAAGCAATATTCAAGTTATAATTATTTTGTTTTGTTTCCTATATATTTTATTTTAAAAATGTCAAATGCTAACTGGACAGCCATGTGTTAGCCAATGTATCAATTATTTTGACTGATTTATGAAAAAAAGGGATAATCAGTATACCCCAAGTCAAGGTTATCTAATATGTTGATGTTTAAATCAGAATTATAAACTTGGAATTTCAACTCATTCTGTGTGTCTTTTCTATCATGTTTTACCGTTAAATTATTCTCACCATCACTATCATTGCTTACTTTTGTCAATCATAGTACAGTATCTATGAAGTGCTTTGAGTGCCTTGAAATAAAGTTGCATTTCACCACATGTCCCCATTATTAAACTTAAGAATAATACCATTGTTAGAGGTTATCCCTAAATGATTTAAAATAAACAAATTTTGCAGTAGTATGCTAATTAAATGGAGATTAAATGGTTTCATTTTGGAGCTTTTTGGAAGGGCAGAGGCTATTGCTTCCTTGTTTTACAGTAATTGTATTCTTTTTTTTTTTTTTTTTTTTTGAGACAGAGTCTCGCTTTGTCACCCAGACTGGAGTGCAGTGGTGCGATCTTGGCTCACTGCAAGCTCTGCCTCCTGGGTTCACGCCATTCTCCTGCCTCAGCCTCCCGAGTAGATGGGACTACAGGCACCCACCATCACGCCCGGCTAATTTTTTGTATTTTTAGTAGAGACGGGGCTTCACTGTGTTAGCCAGGATGGTCTCGATCTCCTGACCTCCCGATCCACCTGTCTTGGCCTCCGAAAGTGCTGTGATTACAGGCGTGAGCCACTGCGCCTGGCGGCAATTGTATTCTTAAGGAGTATGATGAAGTATTTCCTATGTATTTAGATCCTGACCTTTAAATGTTTGCTGTTATAAAATGCACATAGAATTGTTTTTTATGCTGATTATTAAAACCTACAATCTTTCTGTGACATTGGATTGCATTTTATCATTTTTCAGAAATTTCTAATGGCAATGATAAATAACAAATCTTAACTGATTATGGCACTTCATTTATAAACAACAGCTTAAATTAAATGTCTTGATTCTCTAATCTAGACTTTATCTTCAATGTTTACCCTTAGAAAAGACTAATCAGTGCCAACTTTAGTTAACTGAAGATAAAAAGAGACATCCCTTAACCATGAGTAATATTTTATCATAATATTTTACTCCTACATTTCAAAAAGATTGGATTAAACAGCTATTGAAAAACATCTGTGCATGCCATACAATATGGTTATATCAGTCAGTTTTTAGTTGCAAGCAACCAATATCATGACAAGTTGAAGCAGAAAACAAATCTGTTAAGTAATATTAGGTAGTTCATAGAATTATTAAAAGTTGATATGGTTTGGCTGTGTCCTCACCCAAATCTCATCTTGAATGTTAGCTCCCATAATTCCCATGTGTCGTGGGAGGGATCCAGTGGGAGGTAATTGAGTCATGGGGATGGGTCTTTCCCATGCTGTTCTCGTGTTAGTGAATAAGTCTCATGAGATCTGGCAGTTTCATAAAGAGGAGTTCCCCTGGACACACTATCTTGCCTGCCACCATGTAAGACATCACTTTGCTTCTCATTTCCCTTCCACCATGATTATGAGGCCTCCCTAGCCATATGAAACTGTGAGTCAATCAAAGCTCTTTCCTTTATAAATTACCCAGTCTCAGGTATGTCTTTATTAGCAGTGTGAGAACACGCTAATAGAGTAAGTTGGTACCAAGAAGTGGAGTGCTGCAGTAAAGATACTGGAAAATGTGGAAGCGACTTTGGAACTGAGTAACAGGCAGAGGTTGGAACAGTTTGGAGGGCTCAGAAAAGGACAGGAAGAGGTGGGAAAGTTTGGAACTTCCAAGAGACCTGTTGAATGACTTTGACCAAATGCTACTCATCTCAGATGGAGATGAGAAACTTGTTGGGAACTGGAATAATGGTGACTCTTGCTATGTTTTAGGAAAGAGACTGGTGGCATTTTGCCCCTGCCCTAGAGATTTGTGAAACTTTGAACTTGAGAGAGATGATTTAGGGCATCTGGTAGAAGAAATTTCTAAGCAGCAAAGCATTCAAGAGGTTACTTGAGTGCTGTTAAAAGCATTTAGTTTTATGTATTCACAAAGATATGGTTTGGAATTGGAACATATGTTTAAAAGGGAAGCAGAGCATAAAAGTTCAGATAATTTTCAGTCTGACAAGGCAATAGAAAAGTAAAACACATTTTCTGAGAGGAAATTCAAGCTGGCTGCAGAAATTGCATAAGTAACAAGGAGCCAAATGTTAATTGCCAAGACAATAAGGAAAATGTCTCCAGGGCATGTCAGAGACCTACCCAGCAGCCCCTCTCATCACAGGACTGGAAGCCTAGGAGGAAAGAATGGTTTCATGGGCCAGGCCCAGGGCCTTCCTGCTGTGTGTAGCTTAGGGACTTGGTGCCCTGCATTCTAGACATTCCAGCTGTGGCTAAAAAGGGCTAAGGTACAGCTCAGGCTGTGGCTTCAGAGGGTGCAAACTCCAAGCATTGGCAGCTTCCATGTGGTGCTGAGCCTGTAGGTGCACAGAAGTGAATAACTGAAGTTTGGGAAATTCCGCCTAGATTTCAGAGGATGTATGGAAACAACTGGCTGCCCAGGCAGAATTTTGCTGCAGGTGTGGGGCCCTCATGGAGAACCTCTGCTAGGGCAGTGCAAAAGGAAAATATGGGGTTTGAGCCCCCACACAGACTCTCCACTGGGCCAGTGCCTAGTGGAGCTGTGAGAATTGGGCCACCATCCTCCAGACCTCAGAATGATAGATCCACCAACAGCTTGCACCATGTACCTGGAAAAGCCACAGATATTCAATGCCAGCCCATGAAAGCAGCCAGTAGTGGTGGCTGGACCCTGCAAAACCACAGGGGCAGAGATGCCCAATACCATGGGAAACCACCTCTTGCATCAGCGTGACCTGGATGAGAGCCATGGAGTCAAAGGAGATCATTTTGGAGCTTTAAGATTTGGCTGCCCTGCTGGATTTCAGACTTGCATGGAGCCTATAGCTCCTTTAATTTGGCCAATTTCTCCCATTTGGAATGGGTGCATTTACCCAATGCCTGTACCAACATGTATCTAGGAAGTAACTAACTTGCTTTTGATTTTACAAGATCATATGCGGAAGAGACTTGCTCTGTCTCACATGAGACATTGGACTGTGGACTTTTGAGTTAATGCTGAAATGAGTTAAGATTTTGGGGGACTGTTGGGACAGCATGATTGGTTTTGAAATTGGAGGATATGAGATTTGGGAGGGGCCGGGGGCAGAATGATGTGGTTTGTCTGTGTCCTCATCCAAACCTCATCTTAAATTGTAGCTCCCATAATTCCCATGTTCTGCGGGAGAGACCTGGTGGGAGGTAATTGAATCATGGGGGCAGGTCTTTCCTATGCTGTTCTCATGATAGTGAATAAGTCTCACTAGAGCTGATGCTGTCATAAATGGTACTTCATCTGCACACACTCTCTTGCTTCCCACCATGTGAGATGTCACTTTGCTTCTCATTCACCTCTGCCATGATTGTGCAGACTCCCCAGCCATGTGAAACTGTGAGCCCATTAAACCTCTTTCCTTTATAAATTACCCAGTCTTGGATATATCATTATTAGCAGTATGAGAACAGACTTATGCAGAAGTGCAAGATAAATAGACTTGAAGATAAGCTTCCACTAACGATACTGAGACACACATCATAGAATTGAACTGATAAGGAGGCTGTTGCCAAGACTGCCATTGTTCAGCCCATATACAAGTTGCCAAGAACTCAAATCTATTGTAGCTGTTAGAGTTGACTTTCAAACCTGGATGCCTGTGTCATGACTTAGGCCAGAACAATGCATGACCCACTCAGAGCCTGATTCCTTATGCTACTGAGTTCTGAATTGAAGTCTCAGATTGATGTATCTACAAAATCACTTATCTTCAGCCTAGCTAAAAGGGAGAGCAGCAAAATAAGTTTTCTGGATTTGACTCTGGCAAGGTGGGAACCAATAAGTGTAACACTATCAATATGTAAAGAAGATATTCAGAAGATGTTGGGCAGCCACAAATGACAGTTGACAGTTATATGTAATATTATAAAGAACACACATACTTCCACACATACACTTACATACATGTGTGCATACACATACAAAATCAACACAGGACAAAACGTTATCACAAGGTTTGAGTTATTCTGTTTGGTGGCTGGGTGGCTTTTGGTAAGATATTTAACCTCTCTAAGCCCTAGTTTTCTCTTTTAGAGGGGATTAGCAATAGCATCTATTTCACAGGGATTTTGTTAGGATTAAATGAGATAATTCACATAAAGCTCTTAGCACTCTACCTTACACATAGCAATAGCTACGCTATTTTATGTAATTATTAATTCTCATTTCAGTCCCTTCTCTCTGCCTTTGAATTGTATCTTTTTTCTTTCATTACTATGTATAAAATTAACTTACAAGTTTAGATCATGAAGGGTTAGAAAAATGTTTTTAAACCTTAAAACCAACAGGAACAAAAGATGGTTAAATCAGCAATATAGGAATGAATCATTCCAATTTCTGATTAATAGTAAATGTAACTTATAGAGTTCTCTTGCATTGTGTTCCAAAGAATATGACTTTTTTCTTTATTCTTTGTAGTTAGTTCAATCTTACAATTATACATGGTAAAACTTGTTCTCTGTGATTACAGCCTAGTCCATGCACTAACAATAATTCAAAACTTTTCATTCATATGTGTTCTCTGTAATAGTTTAATCCCACATTAAAATAGTCATACAAAATACTTTTGTCAATCTTCATCTAGGCAGTCCGAAGAAAGAACAAAAGAGAGAGTAACATATATAAATATGTTAATTCTAAACCTTTTAAATCAGTTCTCCAATAAAAAAAGATTGTAAGGAACATAAAGTTTTTGTAATTTGATAAGAAGCAAAAGAGCCTACCTGCTGCATTCTCTTTCCTGAGATCGACTTTATAATTTCTTATCAATTACCACTGTGCTATCAATAGCAATCAACAGTATAAGAAATAGGGACACATTTTATGATTATAATAATTATAACCAAAGGAATTATATATCAAAAGAAGACCACAAGTGGACATTTGGATTACATACTCCATAGGGTCAACTATCATGTCTTGTAAATGTACATACAATTCTTTTTTTTTTTTTTTTTTGAGACGGAGTTTCGCTCTTGTTGCCCAGGCTGGAGTGCAATGGTGTGATCTTGGCTCACCTCAACCTCCGCCTCCCGGGTTCAAGCAATTCTCCTGCCTCAGCCTCCAGAGTAGCTGGGATTACAGGCATGTACTACCACGCCCAGCCAATTAGAAGACAATTCTTATTTAGTGTTTACTATACTTTCCTTCAGCTCAACATCATAGTATCATCTTGGTCTGGCCAGGTTTATATGTTCTGTGCTCTATGAACTATACGATAAAAATACGTCAGATTTGAACCATCCTAAGTAACTGGAAAAGTGAATATTTTCTTCCAGAGACTGAAGACCAAATCTTTACAATAATAATTGGGTGCTAAAATCAGGCATTTATTATTGTGTGTGTGTGTGTGTGTGTGTGTGTGTGTGTGTGTGTGTTATTGGTTCTGTTTCTCTGGAAAACCCTGACTAGTATAGATGGCAATTCTCCTCAAATTGATCTACAGATTTAATGTAATCATTATCAAAATTATAGAAATTGACAAGTTGATTTTAAAATGTATATGAAAATGCACAGGTCCAAAAGTAGCCTAAATAATCTCAAAAAAGAAGATCACAATGAAAGAGCTCGCACTTGCCAATTTTAAAGCCTATTAAAAAACTGCAACAGTCAAGATAGCATAATAATGAATAAAGGTAGTCGTTTAGATTGATAGAATAGAATATCAATCCAGATATTTGACTTATTGTGAAGAATTGGCTCGTGTGATTATGGAGGCTGAGAAGTCCCATGATCAGTTATCTACAAACTGGAGAATCAGGAAAGTCAGTGCTGCAATTCAATCTGAGCCAAAGCACCTGAGAAAACAAGAGGAGCCAAATGTGTAAATTTCAGTTCAAGGGCAAGAGAAGACGAGTTGCGCTATCTCAACTCATGCAATCAGGCAGGGAAAAAACGATTGAATTTCTCCTTCCTCTAACTTTTGTTCTATTCAAGACCTCAGTAGGCTGGATGATGTTCACTCACATTGGGGAAGGCAATCTGCTATACTGAGTCCATCAATGCAAATGCTATCTCATCCAGAAATACCTTCACAGACATACACAGAAATAACTTTTTATCTGAGCGCACTGTGGCCCAGTCAAGTTTACATAAAATTAACTATCATAAATCCACCCCTTGTCCACTTGGCACCCACATACATCCTTAAGCCATATTTAATCTTCAGATAAAGATAATAACAAGGTCATAATTTCCCTAACGTGATACAATTATCTTGCATACAACCAAAAATGCACTAACCCCTTTTTAAAACTTAAATACTGTGATATAAAATTAATAATACTTAAGTACTATCATAAAAAACCAATACATTTTATATCACATGAAAAGAGAGGAAAGAAAAGAAAAATATACAGTTGTCCCTTAGATACCTTGAGAAATTCATTCCGGGACAGCTCATGAACACAAAATTCTGTAGATGATCAAGTTCCTTATATAAAATTGTATAGTATTTGCATATAACCTACACACATTTTCCCCTATGCATTAATTAATCTCCAGATTACTTAAAAAAGTTAATACAATGTAAATGCTACGTCAATAGCTGTTATGCTATATATTAAAATTTGTATTATTTTATTGTTTCACTGTTAATTTTTTCCAATATTTTCTATCTGCAGTTGACTGAATCTGAGGATGCTGAACCTGTGTATATGGAGGGCCTACTATATATATAATGTCCTACTTGTATTTTTGTAGATATCATCAGATTTTCTACATAGATGATAATGTTATCTGCAAATGAAGACAGTTTTTAATTTCTCATCTTCAGTCCGGATGCCTTTTATTTATTTTTCTTACCCAATTGCACTTGGCTATATCTTTCAGTGCAATGTTGAATAGAGTTGTTGAGAGCAAATATCCTTGTCTGGTTACTGACCTTAGGAGGAAAGCATTAAGTCCCAAATAAATATAGGTCATGCTCTGACACATGTGTGTTATATCTAAATCACTGGCTGTCAAACTCAGGGGATTTCTTTCCCCCTCCTGAGGGATATTTGGCAATATCTGGGACAGTGCTGGTTGGTAAAACTCAGGGAGAACTACTGGCATCAAGTGAGTCAGGGCCAGGGACACTGAAACATAATTATCTGGCCCAAATTGTCAACAGTGCCTAAATGGAGAAACCTGATATAATTTATGCCCTTTATGTTGATATAAGTAAGTCATTACTTGTAATTATAGTGTGGCCATGAATGTTTAAAATAGCCTGTGTTTGCAGTTATAATTTACAGTTTCTATCTCTGTTTCAAACATTGATTCTTGATTTGTATCAGTGTACATACTCATATTCAAAACTAACAAAGTTTTAGTTCAATTTCTTTCCCTTAATTCTTACAGCTCAGCTGCTTACCCTCAGCTTCCTTTTTTTTAATAAGGAATGGAGGAGAGAAACATGATTCAAATGAATTAGGGATACTTTTTTACAAAGTAGTTTGCATAATTTAAGTACAAACTTCCAGAAAAAGTAATAGAAATAAATATAGTTTTATTTTATACAGGATATATTTGTAGTACATTTTTATTTATAAGTAATTCAATGACATGAATGTTCTCTACCTGTTGCCACAGTTTCTAAGTAGCTAGCCATTGTTTATATCCCATTAGCAGAGCAGTTGGTAATAAATCCCTCTACCAGTCTTCCATCTCCAAGCTCAAAGTGACCATCAGCTAGAGCTAGTGGTGCAAGATGTAAGATTCTCTTTCACCCAGCAGACTGTGATTTCCTTAAGGGAAATATACCATTTTGTTCACCATTGTATAACCAGTACCTGGAAAAATGCCTGATGCATAACAGTTGCACAATAAATATTTGTAAATTGGATTTAACCTATCAGTAAACTACTGACTTTCAATTTTTGTTATAAGGACTTCTAAATGTTCAAAGCTAGGGCTTCAGTGGCTTTTGCTTTTAAACATATTGGATTGGTTGATGGTCAAGTGATAGGCTTGATAGTCACTTTACATTGGGATCATTTGATTTTTTCTTAAGATCCTCGTTATAATACATCAAAAAATTATTAAGATTTTGGTAATTAACAAAGATAAACTAATATACAACAGAAAAAATTCACTGCAAGCACAACATATTTAACAGTGTTGCCCAATTTTCAGCCTAATAATTGTTCTTCTGACACTATAGGGTGTATCTATATTTCATCACAAATCATAAATTGATTAAAATTCACCAAAGGCAACATATTTTTTATGGCTATATCAATCATTGAAGGGATTTATAAATAACTTCCAAAATCTTACAGACAACTTATCCTCTAGTTTGCTAATCGAATAACCAATCTAATAAAAATACAACATAGAATACATGTAGATATATAAATACATTACTAGATTAGTGATGATCTGTCTCTGAGATGTCTTAGTCCATTTGTGCTGCTATTACAGAGTATCACAGACTGGGTACTTTATGGCAAACAGAAATTTATTGGCTAACAGTTCCGGAGACTGGGAAGTCCAATATCAAGGTACTAGAATCTCGAGAGAGCCTTCTTGCTGTGTCATTACACAGTGTAAGGCAGAAGGGCTAAGAAAGAGAGCAAAAGGCCAAATTGCCCTCTTATGGTAGCATTAATCTTACACATGAGAGTAGGGCCCTCATGGCCTAATCACCTTTTAAAACTGTTTCAATGGCAATCAAATTTTAACATAAGTTTGGAGGGGGCAGATGTTCAAACTATAGCAGAAAGTAAACTTTTAAATGAGAGATTTTACTTATTTTACTAATTTTTCCCAGCTATATGGCACTTACTTATATTTGACATTAGCTAATTCATTTTATAGTTAAAAGGCCTATCAGTACATGATATTTAACTTGTTTACAAAACTATAGACATATAGATATGAGTTTCAAAAACTGAAGTCTATGATTCTTATATTCTGTATTCTATATTTATAAAATTCTGCACAAAACAGTTACATTTTCACAGTGATTTAGTCAATGCTAGTGACAGCTGACCCATACTCATCATTAGTGTAGTGGAAACCAAGCAGAATATAATGTTTTATCAGACCATAACTAATATGAAATGTGTATCTCCTTTCTTTTCACATCATATCTGTCATATTTTGAACAGGGGCATAATGCTCTCAAAAACCATTTTAAATAGGCCAAACAAAAATGTTTAATCAAACATAGGATACAATCAACGTTATTTTATCTAAGGAATCTTTATTTTGGTCAACAAATATATTTTAGGTCAGGATGAATAAGTTATGTCTCTGTAGAACAACTAATAGCATTTTCATTTGTTTTTAAAAGTCACAAAACAAATCATTCTAGTTACTATGTTACAGTTCTATTTGAAATTCATTGGAAACCTCTAAAGGCTATCATTTAGATTTGATAGCAATCAGTGTTTGCATTCTTCTTTACTGAGGTTAGAGTTATGACTGGGCTGTAACTTTTCTGATTGCTTTTTTCACCGTTGTCTTAAATCAGCTTCCTTTGCTTTTGTCACTTAAATTTATGTTTAGAAATAGTTGGTGATTAAACTATAGGACACCTATATGAAAAGGATGTCTTTCTTATTAAATAGCACACAATTTAAAATTTCTCTATTTCTTTCTGTCTAGAGAATGTTTGGTTCTGTGTTTGGTAACTTCACCAAGCATGGGGTCTCATCCATCATGTGTGGGTTTTACCTAAGTAGGAATCAAGACATTATAAACGTTTTATATTTTGTTGTAATTTCGTGAAATTCACAGTCACGTTGTTACTGGGAAGTGTGGGGGTCCTTAGGGCTTTGTTTTCTTGGAAGAAATAATTTGGACAACAGACTAATTAGTACAGTAACCAAAAATTATATTAAGGAAATAAAAGAACATTCCAAGAGTGGTCTGATACATCTGGAAGCAGCCCTTAGCGTGCTGCATTGCAGTTTTTATTATGTTGGACATTTTCTTTAAGTTCCAGCCTCTGTCCTAAGTCTCTGTCATTGTCTAGTTTCCAGCTTCTGTCTTAAGTCTACGCCTTGTCCCTGCCTAGTTCCTGCCCGTATTTACGAGATGCTCTCTTACTGTCAGTTGATGCACATGAGCAGAGCCCAGTGACCAATAGGAATCCCACCTAACAGCAGAGTTGCTCGTTACCGCCACCCCAGGAAGGTCGTAGAGCGATTAAATCTGTACTTTTTGTGCCTCCGTATCTCTTAGAAATTTCCTTTTTGTCCTTTTCCCCTTCTTATCAGCATGTGGCTAGCTACATCCTGACAGGTTAACCGCAGAATGAGCCATTACTGGGTGCCTTAAGGGGCATTTCTGAGTGCTCTTTGCTGCCTAGGTATTTCCTCTCCTCTCTGCTCATGTTTAGCATGCCTGTTTCGGGTGGTCTCTGGGCAGTGAGATTCTCCAGAGCTTTCTCTCCTAGAGTCTCCCTTTCCTGCTCATGCCTAACTATCTGGCTACACTAACAGCATGATAAATGAGATTATAAAATAATATTCAAATACATACAGTGTTAAGCAATGCATCCTGTTAATTTTATGTATCTGTTTAGTAGCTTCACAAGGATCTTTTATTACGCATATCAAAGCAGATTGGTCACTGCTAAAACATGTGAAGAAAATAAATAAGAATAAGGAATTTAACAGCATACAGACTAACTTTTAAAAAATGAAGTCGTTTTCAGAGGAATATAGTAGATTGTATAGTTAAAGCATTAATATTAGAATTAAGATAAACTAAAATGATAAACTCTAAGGTTAAAACTAAAGAAAGTAGTGCTGAATCAATTAAGTGATTGATGATGTGGTCATTTTTACATCTATTTGCACTGAGTAGCATAAAATGTGTAACTAAGGAAAAGAGTAGAAAATTCTATTTTAGCATATGGAACAGAAAATAAAATGAGGAAAAATTCTATCTGAAGATTATTTGTATTCCCTAACAGAACCTTTCTTAAGGTTTTAGATGTCCATTCCTTTAAACGAACCGTTTTCCATACCTGAAATTCTATTTCTCTGTCCAAACTCAGTTTTCTCTGCTTGGTAAATTACCCATTTTTCAAAACCCAGCTCAAATATCACCTCTTCTTGGAAGCTTCACTGATTTCCCTTGCTCCTGCCCACTTAGCAGTTGAATATTTTATTCATTCCTTCATTTAGCAAACAGTTTTTGAATGCTTACTAAATGTCAGGTCCTGAAGTAGGAGCTGGGGATAAACTAATGGACAAGACAAACAAGGACCATGATATTATAGAACTTACATTTTAGCTGGGCGGATGTAAAATAAACACATAAGTCAATAAACAGATGGATAAGATAATTTCAGAGTAATAATTTATGTAAAGATAATACAATTAGATGATGTGACAGAGTAGAGGGGGATAGAGGATGATTTTAGGTAGGGTGATCAGGAGAAATCTTTAAGGAGGTGAAATATGAATAGAGTCCTGTGTGAAACAAGTGAGATAGCCCTTGGAAGATCAAGCAAAAGAGCCTTTCAGGCAGAGAAAACAAAGATCAAGGGCTGGAGGATCTTCGAGTTTTTGAGAAATGGAAAGAAATCCAGTGTGCATTCTCACAATGTATTTTAATTTTTTGTTTCCATTTTCTTTGCCATACTAGTTAGTAACGATTTATGTCTTCCCATGTTTAAATTTTTTTAAGCCTGGTACTATATTTGATTATATAACAGGATCTCATAAAGTGTTTGCTGAATTAGTTTGTGGGGCAGGTAACTAACATTTATTGGACACCCATTTTGTGTCGCAGGCATTGTGCTGAGTGTTTAAGAAGGATTGTCTCAGTTAATATATCCAATTATCACAATACGAACCCAATAACTATGTATTTTTAAACATTGTGTATTCTACTTAGGTGTTAAAATATCTATTTCATGATAAATATTTAGATTATAAAAGCCAAGTAACTTACCTGGGTTTATGTAGCTACAAAGAGGCATGGTTAACTGTTGATACCTAGCCATCCTGACTCCAAAGTCTCCGTTCTTTCTTTTACCTCTAGTACCCTCCCTTATGATGTATTTAAATGAGGCCTCTTTCACTGTGTATTGATGACCTCATCTGTGCCTAGTGATCAGGTCATTGAAAAAGAGATTTATAGTTAGCATTATGCTATGTCGTGAAAAATATAAATTCTTTGTACATACTTGAAAAAAACTTCCACACCTAGGTTTCTATATTTTATACCGAGGTACCCTTGACTATGATAATTTCCTTCTACAAATAGAACAATATTTAGTTAACTGAAAATTGAAAGTGATATCTCTGAAAACTGCCAGGTACCAAATTGGAAATCCATGACTTCGTAAAATTGCTTTCATCCTATAGAGCAATAACTCACTTTTAAATTCACCAAAACAATGGTGGAGAGAGAGAGAGAGTGATAGATATGGTTTGGCTCTGTGTCCCCACCCAAATCTCAACTTGAATTTTAATAATCCCCACATGTCATGGGAGAGATGCAGTGGGAGGTAAATGAATCATGGGGGTGGACTTTTCCCATGCTGTTCTCGTGATAGTAAATAAGTCTCATGAGATATGATGGTTTTATAAAGGGGAGTTCCCCTGCACATGCCCTTTTGCCTTCTGCCATGTTAGATGTGCCTTTGCTTCTCCTTTGCCTTCCACCATAATTTTGAGGCCTCCCCAGCCATGTGGAACTGTGAGTCCATTAAACTTCTTTCCTTTATAAATTACCCAGTCTCAGGTATGTCTTTATTAGCACTGTGAGAACAGACTAATACAGAGAAAGAGAGAGAGAGAGAGAGAACAAAAGTGGGAGAGAATATCAAGTTTTGTTATCTATACAGGTATTAGAAAAATAGGATAAGCCTATCATGAAATATTCAGCTATATATTTTTATACTTGTTTTGAAACTTATTTATTTACCTTTTTTCTGATTATATATGTTCATTACAGACCAGTTTGAAACTATGGACAATGAATTTGTAAATTGCATCACAGAGAAATATTATTAATATATATGTGTTCTTTTCCCATTATTTTTCTATGTGCTTCTGTGTAGAATATATATATATGTATATATACTTGTATTTTGTTCATATCTTTTAACATCATACCATTAGCACCTGCTTACATCAAACTATTTACAAACATTTTTAATGGGTGCATAGCACTTCACAGTAAGGATCCACCACGATGTACTTAACCAATCTTCTGTTTCAGGACATCATTTCTAATGTTTAGTTTTTCTATGATCACTAGTGTGTATAAGTCATGTATATAAAACTGCATACCATAAAGGTTATATTTTCTTATGTCCCTTTTATTTTGAATGCCAATGTTTTTATAAATAATTCTGAGTGCAATTATTTCAAAGTCTGAGTTAACATCATGTTTTCAACAAACTAGAATTTTTAAAATGCCATAGTATGCTTTCTCAGTTTTAAAACCTAACCTAAAACCCTATCCTGTGATTGACAAGACAATATAATGTCTTAAAGCTCATGTATGAGATCTTAAAGCTTGTGCACTCAATCTATGTGAACAGCCAATCTGTTTCAGTCTTTCATATGGTATGATCTGTTATATTCCTAGATAAATAAACACTGAGAGAATTCATTGTTAAGAAACTTGCCCTATAAGATAGACTAAAGGGAGTTATCCAGGCAGAAGGACTGGCAGAATAGAGTTTTATTTTTTTTTATTTTTTTGTATTTTTTATTACTACAATGGTCTGACTATATACTATTAATACGGGAGTGCTGGGAAGCGAAGAGGGTAATTTCTTTCAATGATACGAGAGTGGGGAAGGGAAGTGCTAGGTAGAGGAGGGCTCCACCCCCACGGACCGAGGAGAGGTACTCCTGACTTCACGCCCAAATGTCGCATTTCCCAAGACCATCCTGGCCCACCACATCCCCATCCTGTGCCTATAAAAAGCCCCAAGACCCTAGCAGGCAGACACACAGCGGCTGGACGTTGAGAGGAGCAGATCAGCGGAAGAAGACACAAGCTGCTGGATGTCGAGAGGAATGCACCAAAGGCACTGGCACACCAGCAGGCCACACACCAGCAGGCCACACACTGGAAACTTTTTGGTTTGAAGAAATCCCACTTGTATATTTTTGGCTTTGTTGCCTGTGTTAAAGTGTCATATCCATGAAATCACTGCCAAGACCAAAGTCATGAACCTTTCCTCTTCTATTTTCTTCAGAGCTTATGTTTAGTTCTTTCATCTATTTTAAGTTAATTTTTGTATGGTTTAAGACAAGGAACCAATTTTATTCTATTGCATGTTGATATCTAGTTTTTCTAACATCATTTGTTGAAGAGACTTTTCTTCCCCCATCATGTAGTGTTGGAAACCTTGTCAAAGATTACCCGATCATTTAAGTGGGTATTTTTTTCTAGGCTCTCCATTCTGCTTCACTGGTCTATATGTCTGTTTTTATGCCAGTATTATATCCTTTTATTTTTTTTATTACTGTAGCTTTGTAATAGATTTTGAAATCAGAAAGCATGAGGCCTCTAGCTTTGTTCTCCTTTCTCAAAATTGATTTGGTCATTCCTGGCCTTTTGTGATTCCATATGAATTTTAAAACTGTTTTTTTCTATTTCTGTAAAAATGCATTCGAATTTTGGTAAAGATTACATTGAATGTTTGGACCACTTTGGGAAGTAAAGACATTTTAACCATATTACATTTTCCAATCCATTAGCACAGGATGTTTTTCCATTTGTTTGTGACTTTTAAAAATTTGTTCTATGTTTTTTGTCCTTCACTTCCTTAGTTAAATTTGTTCCTAAGAATTTTATTCTTTTTGGTGCTATTGTAAATGTGATTGCTTTTCTAAACTCCTTTTACAATAGTTCATTGTTGCTCTATAGAAACACAACTGATTTTTCTATTTACTTATTACTTCTAAAGCTTCTTTTTAAACTAAGTCTTTAGGGTTTTCTATATATAAAATTTGATCATTTGCAAAAAGGTACAATTTTACTTGTTTCTTTCTTATATGGATACCTTCTTTTTCTTTTCCTTGCCTAATGGCTCTGGCTCAGACTTCCAGTACTCTGTTGAACAGAACTGGGGAGAAGTGGCAACCTTGACTTGTTCTGGATCATCAAGGTAAAACTTTCAATATTTCACAAGTGAGTATGACGTTAGCTCTGGATTTTTCATGTATGACCTTTATTTTGTTGAGGTAATTTTCTCTCATTTCCTGTTTGTTGAGAGTTTTTAACATGAGAAGATGTTGAATTTTGCAAATACTTTTTCTACATCTATTAAGATGAACATATTATTTTTATTATTTATTAGGCTAACATGGTATATTACATTATTATTTTTTGAAATGGAGTCTCGCTCTGTTGCCCAGGCTGGAGTACAGTGGCACTATCTCGGCTCACTGCAACCTCCACCTCCCAGGTTAAAGCAATTCTCCTGCCTCAGCCTCCCATTTAGCTGGGATTACAGGCGCCCACCACCATGCCCGGCTAATTATTGTATTTTTAGTAGAGATGGAGTTTCACTATGTTGGCCAGGCTAGTCTCAAACTCCTGATCTCAGGTGATCCACCTGCCTTGGCCTCCCAAAGTGCTGGGATTACAGGCGTGAGCCACCGTGCCCAGCCAATGTTAATTAGTTTTAATATGTCGAATCTTCCTTGCATTACAGGGATAAATCCCACTTGGTCATGGTGGAGAATATTTTAACATGCTGTTAGAATTGGCTTGTTAGTATATTGTTCAGGATTTTTTCACCTATATTTGTCAGGGATATTTGCCAAAGGTTTTCTTTTCTTGTAGTTCCATTGTCTTTGCCTTCAGTATGAGGGTAATGCTGGTCTTATAAAATGAGTTTGGAAGTGTTCCTTTCTCTTCAATGTTTTGAAAGAATTTGAGAAGGATTGTCATTAATTCTTATTACAAGTTTGGTAAAATTCACCAGTGAAGGCATCTGTTTCTAGACTTTTCTCTGTTGGGAAATATATCCCACTTTCAATAGTGGGCAGAATATCCAGACTGAAGATCAGTAAGAAAATTGAAGACTTGAGCAACACAATAAACCACATGGACCTAATAGACATTTAAAACATCTCATCCAACTGCAGCAGAATAAAATTCTTCTCAAGTATGCAGTAATCTTTCTTTAGGAGAGATCACAGGATGAGTCATAAAATAAATCTTAATAAAATTAGTAAAATCACACCAAATATGTTTTCTGACCACAATGGAATAAAATTATAAATTAATAGCAGTATGAAAACTAAAAAAATCACAAATGTATGGAAATGGTTAAGTATTTTTGGTTATAAATATTTCTATTTTGTGAGTTCATTCTGTTACAAATAACTGTGCATTTGAATATTCCTTAACAAGTGTTGTGTCAAATGTGATAAAATTACTCCTGATAAGCATTTCTAAATCTAAAGTACGTTTTAAGTTTGTATTTAATCAGTGTTTATTTTAATATATGTTATGTATGTAACATTTGTTCTTCCAAATAACTTGGCATTTTAATCTAAGTCCTGAAAACTTCATAATTTGAGCTAAAGAGTTTATCAACCATCAACTAATTTCAATAATATGATAAATATTTAGATCTGAAGTATTCACCATTAAGTCTAAAATACAGATTCCTTAAAGATTTTAATAAAATTATGCTTGTTTCATTCTTCATAAATTTTACTTGTAAAATTAACAAGGTATGTTTTCATTGTTAAATATTTGGTGTTGCATCCTTTTTGCTAAAATTCTGTATGTCTATTTCAAATTTGTGTATATTAATGATCAGAACAAATGCCAAGAACATAATTCTAAGGGTACTTGGAGCTGATCTAGGGACCATTCCAAAATTTCTGTCACCAAGTGCTCCAATTTAACTAGGAAATTCAACCAAGGACAATTCAAAGAGGAGGCTCAAAATCTGAGTGGCAAAATTTAATGTTACTATGTAGTAAACATTTGTACAAAATAGAACCTTGGTACAAATCTATATATTTATGGGCAGAAAAATGGAGCGTTAAGATGTGTCGGATAGAAAAAAAAGGTGTTGTGAAAATGGAAATCAGGCCGTTCGGGTGGCTTTCTTATTTTATTAATGGCATGGATTTTTGAAATATTATTTTACAAAAATTCAAATGATATATTTTTAGATGTTATTTTATATTGTATACTTGAAAATTTTTAAGAGAGTGGACTTTAAAATTTTATTTTTTATTTTTAAATTTTAGATTTAGAGGGTGCAGGTGGAAGTTTGTTACATTGATATATTGTGTGATGCTGAGGTTCAGGCTTCTAATGATCCTATTGCCCAAGTAGTGAACTATCCAATAGGTAGATTTTTAACCCTTGCCCTGCTCCCCATCCCCACTTTTAGAATCCCCAGTGTTTATTGTTACCATCTTTGTGTCCGTGTTTACCCAATATTTAGCTCCAGCTCCCACTTATAAGTGAGAACAGGCACCATTTGTTTTTCTGTTTCTATGTTAATTTGCTTAAAATAATGGCCTCCAGCTGCATCTATGTTGCAGCAAAAGACATGATTTTGTTTTATGGCTGCATAGTATTTTATAGCATATGTGTATCATGTATTCTTTACCAATCCACCATTGACATGCACCCTGGTTGATTCCATATCTTTGCTATTGAGAATAGTGCTGCAATAAACATACAAGTGCAAGTGTCTTTTTGGTAGAATCATTTATTTTCCTTTGGATACATACTCAGTAATGGGATTTCTGGATCGAATGGTAGTTCTGTTTTAAATTGTTTGAGAAATCGCCAAACTGCTCTCCACAGTGACTGAACTAATGTGTATTTCCACCAGCAGTGTATAAGCGTTCTCTTTTTTCCCCAACCTCAGCAGCATATTTTATTTTTTGACTTTTTAGCAATAGCCATTCTTACTTGTTAGTATCTCACTCTGGTTTTGATTTGCAAGAAGAGTAGAGTTTAAATGTTCTCACCACAAAAAAAGTAAGTATGTGAGGTAATGGATATATAATTAGCTTGATTTAGCCATTTCACAACATACATGTATCAAAGCATCATGTTTCATACTCTAAATTTATACAATTTTATCAGGCAAAACATTAAATTTTAAAAATTTTATGTGTTATTAATTCTCTGGAATTACAATAAAAGTTCACAAGCAAGCCTAATTTGGGTAGTCCCCCAAAACAATTTGCAAGACAAAAATGGTATCAAAAATGACCTGCTTAGTTTAGTATAGCACCATAGTGGCACATGCAAAATAGTACATGTGGATACCAAGAACACACTAAAAATATGTATGTTGGAAAACCACACTAAACACACACTGGTAGAAGGATATTTTCTCATTTTAAGGGAGCACACAGTGAAAGTCAGTAATGTAATGTTTTGGTGTAATTTGAGCTATAATTATGATGTAATGAATTGAAAAATTTTAACTGCTGAAGCCAAATCTGTACTACATTTAAGGATTGAGGAGTGCCTTGCATATTATTCTCAAGATCCTTAATAATTCCTCAATTTAAAACATTTGTGTTGATGAGGTTGCATAGAGAATGCATACCCTTAACCCTTGCAAGTATTCTAGCAAACAGGTTTCTATAGATCATATAAGTGAGAAAGAAAAATGTGATATATTGTGAAAGCTACTGTATTTGGGTTGGTGCAAAAGTAATTGCGGATTTTGCCATTAAAAGTGGCAAAAACCACAATTACTTTTGCACCAACCTAATAACATACATTTATTTCTAATACTTAAATATAATACATTGTTAGCCTTACTAATAATACTACCACTACTTCTAGTAGTTATAATTTTGTCAATTCTTACAATATACCTGGAATAATACATACACTCTTTCATTCCTACAACAACCTCAAAAAGTACACATTTTTTATATTTTATAGATAAAAGACTAGGGTTCAAAGAATTGAAGAAATTTGCCCAAATATCCTCAGTTACCAGGATATTTGAATGTTGGCCTGTCTGATTTTGAATTCTGTGCTCATCACCACTGATACTGTTATGGGTCAGTCATGTCATTTTTTTTTTTTTTTTTTTAAGATGAAGTTTCACTCTTGTTGTCCAGGCTGGAGTGCAATGGCGCGATCTCGGCTCACCGCAACCTCCGCCTCCTGGGATCAAGCAATTCTCCTGCCTCAGCCCCCCGAGTAGCTGGGATTACAGGCCGGCACCACCACACCCAGCTAATTTTGTATTTTTAGTAGAGACGTGGCTTCTCCATGTTGGTCAGGCTGGTCTCAAACTCCTGACCTCAGGTGATCCGCCTGCCTTGGCCTCCCAAAGTTCTGGGATTACAGGTGTGAGCCACTGCACCCAGCCAGTAGTGTTGTCTTAGTATGTGAAGCTGAGATATCATTTGTTATCAGAAAAATTGTTATCAACATTTTTTGAGAAACACTCAGTTATAGAGACAGGTACATAAAGCAAAAGGAGGTAAAGAAAAATTAAAAGAAGAAAAGGAAAGGGAAAAAAACTAGAGTTCAAAGAACAGAAACCAATATATAGCCAATATATTTGTACCAATGTATCACTATGTAGCCAATGATTAACCAAAATATTGAAATAAACTGAAATTACTTGCTTTCTGCTCTTGCAGTTGGTAAAACTGCTAGTGAATGATGTGAGAACTAGTAAACTTGGACAAACTTACTAAATCAAGTCAAACTATAAGTTTGAATATGATTTATCATGTGAGATAGAAAGTACTATACAGGCTTTAAAGAAAAACAAAAGCAGGTTCAGTTGATAATATCAAAAAGGAATACTAAAAAGTCACCTAATGTCTTTCAAAGATAGGAAACCTGAATCTAAAAAAATATCAGTTAAATTTCATCTTCAAATAAGGTAAAATGAAATTATTTTAGATTGTGAAATGAGCTAAGTTACATAGAAAGAACACAATTCCAAAGATGACTCAACAGTTTAACAAGCTGCCAAGCCATCGCTGTTTGCTGCCATCATTAAGTACCACCTAGACTAAATGGTGATCACTTTGGTCCAATGGTGTGTTAAGAGTCAGGACACAGACTGACTCATGAGATCCAACTGCACCCACCTCTCCCAACTCTGTGCCCAGTGATCACTGAAATATTGGTAGCATGCAATCAACAATGAAGGGAGTATTGATATCACAGAAATTAGAAAACCCTACAAGTCAAGTCTTTATATTTATGGAAAGCTATTTTGGTTAAACATTTACCAGCACACCACTACTTTGAGTTGAACAAATTTTGGAATTCTCTCCTTGTTTCATGATTCTCTGAGTGTGTCTTGAGTCTATGATCACAAAATCTATACAGACAATCTGTTTTGTGGAACATTATTTTAGGGAATAAAGGGGAGATTACAGAGTTGTGGAAAAAGAATGGGTACTGTATCCATAGAGGTCAATTATTGTAGAATTAAATAGATGATCAGCTGGTATATTAACATCTCACTAAGAAGGTTAAAATAATCTGATTATGATTAGTTTTGTTTATTTTGATTATTGATTCAATTATTTGATAATTTGTTATTTCAACTTTCACCCCAGTTGTTACTCTCTGTTACTTCAAATCCAAATCCAAATCAATTGATTGTGCCGCATATAAATTTGACTGATACACAAATGTTTAATATGTGATGTCTAGTATCTTCAATGTGTATAGTTTTTGTTACTATTATTGATTGTCTGCTCACTCAAAAATTGGAAATGTATCAGGATAAATGCCTGTCATTAGTCAGTTAAATGAAGCACTTGAGCAAGATAAAGAATGATTTCCCCTTAGTAGTGACCTTAGAAATGTATTTATTACATGAGTACATTATAGGAGCATCAAATCATATAATGGAGCATGTCATTGATGCTGTTTTTCAAAAACTGCATAAAATCACATCAAACGGATTACACTAAAAGCCCAGGCTTTACCCTACACAGTATATACACATAACAAACCTACACTTGAACCACCTTAATTTATACAAAAAAACTATATTTTGTTATCAATGCTTTTAATAGCCCAGCTGTGAGGAAAGCAAGATGGCACTGTCCTTCAGGTTCACATAGATCAATTTCTTTATGTGCTTTATAGCCATAGTTTCCCTAGGGCATTTACATGATGGGAGAGGGGAAGTTATTAAATAATATTATAGGAAAAGTACAGAAGTGTTGTTACTTTAGTTTCTATTTCTAGTACCTATTTATTAATATATTTTTATAAAGGGATTCAGGCTGAGAGGCAATATATAGGAAAGAGTCTATAATTTCTGAACCTCTCTAGGGATAGGGACTGAACTGTTTAGATCTGGGATATGAGCACAGAATCTAAATTTAATTTTAGGAGTTACTTCAAAATAGTTCCTCAGCAGGATAAATTCACAGACAAAATAAAATAAGACAAGACACTTTTCAGTGTGTATTATGCCTACCACTCTTTTCAAAATAATATCTATTTTTCAACAGATATCAATGTACATCTTTAAATATCCAAATGTAATTTAACACATAAGTGAAATATATTCTATGGTTATAATTTTGAAAATGAAACTTCTGGAGAAACTAAATAACTTATTAATAACAAATATGTGATTCCAGCTATTCAACTTGTCCTACTCAAAAATCATTTATTGTATTACAATAGATGTATCTTTTTTAATACTTACTGGTTTGCTACAAGTTTCTATTACACAGTGAGCCTGGTAAATATCATGCAGATGAAATCTCTAAGAACGTACAGTGAATAGGAGGTAACTGTCTTCTGTATCTGTTGCTTAGGGTTCAGACTCTATCAGATAAGTTTTCCAAAATGCTGCCATTCTTTAGCAGGATTCTTAATGTAAATTTATCAAATTCAATCTTCAGCTGGAAATCAACAGAATGTCTTAAGGAAAATATTAAATTAGTCATCCACATCAATCTTTTATTTTAAAACAATCAAGCAAATAAAACAGCATACAAATGAATATAAACACTTTCAATGTAAGAGATGAAGCTTGAGGCTGATAATGCTGTAACTGAGAATACAGTTAATGATCCAGTTCAATAAACCTTCTGTGTAACAGCACATGCAATATTTTGCCCAAGGCCTAGCATATGTGCTGAAAGTGTGCAAAACTATAATTAGAGTATAAGCCAATCTGCTTTGTGATTGCATTGGGTAGCATGGAAAGTGTGTTGCTTGATTATGAAAACAGAATGCAGTGTAATGTGGCTACTTGTTCTTCTGCATGGGAAAAAAGTATTCCTGGCAATGATTTTTATACCATTTCAAAATTGCTAGCGTGATTAGATGATACTCAAAGAAAACCAACTACTTATGCACATTTTGGACAGATAGGCTTTTTCCAATATAGGCTCTGATGTTATAGAAATAAGGAACTACTCAAATCCCCTGACACATTCCCCGCAAGGCATTCCAAATGTTGCCTTTTTCACTGCCTTAAATTAGCATTGTTCTATAGCTTTCTGCTTTAGGTCTTTTACTGGTAGCTCACCTGCTGTCACTCTGCCTCATTACATAGTATTCATGGTAGGCATCCTGCTGATCAAATATCCATATTTTTACATGACAACAATCTAGTGATAAAGATGCACATGAAATGAGCAATAAACTCCTCAGAATAAGTTAGAGGCATATGAAATAAGCAATAAGCTTTTTAGAATAAGTTAAAGTAATGCACTCAAATATTTCAGTAATTAAGGGTAGTTGTTAAAGCGGAGTAACATGTGCACTAATAGTTTAAACTCAAAGAATTTTAGAAAAAGAGAAATAAAAAAATTATAAAGGAGTTACTGTGTTACTGCTACCTAGGTCCTAAAAGCTACTATGGTTTTTGTTTCTTAGAAGGCCTGGCTTTACTTCAAGTCTAAACTATCTGCATATGCTTTAAAATAATTATTTATCTCCCCCATACTTTTGGTGTTTCTGCTTCTGTTACTTGCACTTAAATAAACCTATCTGATATATATAATTTTTAAAACCTCTATGAAATAAATACCATATTAATCTGTGTGAGATCACCTGGACTTTAAACAGGAAAACTGAAATGGTCAATTAATCAGATTCTTTGAATATCTTTGCCCTTCTTCTGACAAAAGATAATCAAAAGCTTTGCCATCCTGTTATAAAACGTAAGTAATTGGATTACCAAATAGCTCTTGGCATGTTCCTTCTTGTAAGCAAAGTGATAAAATCCTGATAAAAATTTGGGTCTGACACAAGGACCATGTGTTTTCTTTCCAATAACCCTATATTCACTCTCCCCTAAGTAAAGGCTGAACATTTCTAATCCAAAAATTCGAAATCCAAAATGTTCGAAAATCCAAAACTTTTTGAGTGCCAATGTGATGCCACAAGTGGAAAATTTCACGCCTTACCTCATATGTCAGGTCACAGTCAAAATGCAGGCAAAACTTTGTTTCATGCACAAAATTATTTACAATATTATATAAAATTACCTTCAGGCTATGTGTGTAAGGCATATATGAAACATAAATGGCCAGGCGCAGTGGCTCACACCTGTAATCCCAGCACTTTGGGAGGCCGAGGCGGGCGGATCACCTGAGGTCAGGAGTTCGAGACCAGCCTCAACATGGAGAAACCCCATCTCTACTAAAAATACAAAATTAGCCAGGCGTGGTGGTGCATGCCTGTAATCCCAGCTACTTGGGAGGCTGAGGCAGGAGAATTGCTTGAACCCGGGAGGCGGAGGTTGCAGTGAGCCAAGATCACGCCATTGCACTCCAGCCTGGGCAATAAGAGCGAAACTCCATCTCAAAAAAAAAAAAAAAGAAAGAAACATAAATGAATTTTATATTTAGACTTGGGCCACATCAGCAAGATATCTAACGATGTTTATGAAAATATTCCAAAATCCCAAAAAAATCTGAAATCTGAAACACTTCCGATGCCAAGAGTTTTTAGAAAAATGATGTTTAACCCTTACTGTCTCATATGTGGCAGGCTTTAATATTCACAATGATTTTATATTTAGTAATTGATATTGCTTCAAGAGCAAATACAACTTCTTGTTTACAAATAGGTTTTTCTTTAATTTGTAATTTTGGTTTTGCAAACTTAAAATTACAATGAATTTCTCATGTTCAATTATGTGCCAGATAATATACAAAATTTTTGATTTTCCCCTTCTGACTCTTCTGACTCCTCTCAATATTCAGAAAATTAGCCTTGTGATCCAGCTATAGGAACTGTGGTTTTGAGATGTTTTCATATATATTGCTTAGTACAATATATTGTTTTAATATATACATAAACCTTCACATCTAAATGCTTAGGTACCCAGTGGAAAGTTTAGAATAAAAAATAATGTGGGCAAATTCTGTTGTAAAGCAAAAGTTGAGGCTGTAATTTACTGTTTTCATAAATCAACACTGTCCTCTTGTGGTTTACTTAAATTGAAAATTATCTGTAGTTAGAGTTTCACATGCTTATTGAGAACCTTCCATTTTCAGGGTGCTTTTAGAGGATTTGGGATTAGAATAGTGTTAAAACCTAAAAGGTCTCTGCTCTCATAGATTTATAGTCCAGCAAAGGATGGTTTCCACTGATAAAGGACACCTGTTGTGGACTTCACATGAATGAGAAAGAAATTTCTATTGTATTAAACCCATGATTTTTCAGTGATCATCTATTATAGCAGCTAGTATCACACAGGACAGTCACTAATTTGCAAACACCCTCAGTACCTATCCCCCTCACCTTTCACTGTGTTCACCTAGTAAAACTTTAATTCTTGCTATATTTAGCTTCACCAACTGTATGCCAACCTGCAAGAGAGCACCTGAAAGTGATGGGAAAAAAAAAAAAACACCACACACACAAACATTTTGTCTGAACTTGCTTTTATATTGATGTCCATTCAGATAAAGTAGGAAATTAAAGATGCCCAGCAATTCTACTCCATTTGCTAGTTAATCCATTCTTCCACTCCCCTACGTGGTGACAATTTCACATATCTTTCACCCTTCTCATTTTTCACTGATGACCTTCTGTTGTGCCAGACCCCTATTAACTTCAGTAGGGATGGCACCAGGTTTGAAAGGCCAGAGAAGAGACCCAGAGCCAGCGAACAAGACATGGGGTTTATTGGGAACTTATATACAGGGATGGTCCAGTGGCTGTGGGCTGGACAGTAGAACCACCATCACCTGCAGATAGTATGTCATTTATATAACATTTTCACTTAACACCCTCCCTCTAGCAACTTCCATGTGGCAACGCTCATTTCTTATGTTAAATTATTGCTGTCAGCTGTGTCTGCCAGCGAGCGTATGCTAACGTTATTGCTGTCAGGTGCATCTACCATACATCTTCCTTTCTATTTTTCTAAGAAAATAGAAGCGATTAGAAAATAATAGAATTCCACGTTCCTCCAACATCAGTTATACCTTCTAACATCTCTACCTATACACCCTGCCTTTCTTCCTGTTGGAAGGATCAACCATTGATGCTTCTACTGTAGACTAACTACTTCTCTTATTCTCCAGATTGCAACTCACTTTACTTGCACATATAACATGGCTCCTATAGTTGTCTCTTTTCTCTGCAGATTCATCATGGTTGTTTTTCTTTTCTACTGAATCATTTGCATCAGGATACCAACAAGCTATAATTTCTGTCATCATTAAAAACACTCCCTTGACTTCACATCACTTTCTAGCTAGCTGCCACAACATTTCTCTGCTTTCCTTACAGCAAAATACCTAGAAATAATTTTCCATATATGCCGTCTTTGTTTTTCTTAAATATTCTCACTGACTGCATTCCAATCAGGCTTTTGTGCCCTCCATTTTTCTGAAAATACTGCTTGTCACAGTCATAAAGGACTTCCATGTTGCCTAATCTAAGAGTCACCTTTTGGTCTTTATCTTATTTAACCATTCAGCCACATTTAACCAGGTTGATCCCTCTCTTCCAGAAGTATTTGTCTCCTTTGGCCTCATGAACATTCTCAGTTATCTTTCTACCTTCCTGACTGGTCATTCTTTTTCTGATTCCTAAATATTGGAGTGCTTTAGTCCTGAACTATTGGAACTTCTTCCTTTTCTGTCCACATTCACTTCTTATTTCATTTCATCTAGTATGTGACTTTAAACACATTTATTTATTTATTGATATAGGTGGTATTTAAAGTCATACACTGGATGAAATAAAATAAGACATTAGGACACATTTTTATCTTTAGCCTTATCTATCCCCTGAAATCCAGACTTTTATTCAACTCTTGATTTAATATTTCTACCTAACATGTCTAGTAGGCATCTCAAACTTGACATGTGCCCAAATGAACTCTTGAGTTCTCTCCTCTAAAATTGTACTCTTGGTTACTTATTCTTCTCAGTAAATGGCAACTCCCCGCTACCATTGCCCAGACTAATACATTGCAGCTGTGCATAATTCCTCTCTTTTTCAAATCCCTCTGTGACCTGGCCCTCATCTTCACTACTTCTCTCACCTCATTTCTATTCCTGAAATACATGAAGCATGTTGCTACCTTAGCGCTTTTACATTTTACTGCCATTTCCCACCAGACGACTTTCCTTCTAACTGCATTCATGTCTCTACACACTTCTCACCTGCTCGGAGATGTATTTCCTGGCCTTCCTATATAAAATACCATTGTTTTCCTTTTAGCATTTAGCACCATCTGACATATTATATATTTGTTTATTGTCCGCCTTCCTATAATAAAGTGTTAGCTCCATGAGGGCACAATTTTACAAGCTTTATTCACTGCTGTTTTACTAATACTTGGCAAATGGTAGATAGTAAATGTCTATAATAAATGACTAAATGGGTAGATAAATAACAAAAAAGATGACTATATCTGGAATATAGCAAGCAAAAGAGCATAGAGAACAGGATGGAGGGATAGGAAGGGGCCAGATTTACATAGTCATTTTTAGGCCATTATAACCAC
This sequence comes from Homo sapiens, assembly GCF_000001405.40. Taxonomy (NCBI): domain Eukaryota; kingdom Metazoa; phylum Chordata; class Mammalia; order Primates; family Hominidae; genus Homo; species Homo sapiens. The sequence continues at coordinate 94,221,379 of NC_000023.11, forward strand.
TGTGGACTTTTTTAAAAAGTATAATATTAGCTACTTACTACTTGTAGGAACTCTGCTAGGAATGAGTGTGTATGTGTTTATGTGTGTGTGTTGGAAGGGTTGCAAAGAGAAGGAAGTCATGTTTTCTCACAATACAAAAGGATACTCTGGTTTGTAAAGAAAACAATAACTAATGGTTTCTTGAAGGAACAAAGAAAACTGGAAGAACAAAGTTCTTCTCAAATAGTTGTCATGTTAATAAAAGCAGAGTACATATGTGAAATACTTTTGTGAATTGTAAAGGTAGTGCTTACAGCATTTGGCCATTCAGACACACACACATGCCCTGCACAGTGCCTTATGTCAGGCCTCTGAGCCCAAGCTAAGCCATCATTTCTCCTGTAACCTGCACGTATACATCCAGATGGCCTGAAGCAAGTGAAGAATCACAAAAGAAGTGAAAATGGCCAGTTCCTGCCTTAACTGATGACATTACCTTATGAAATTCCTTCTCCTGGCTCAGAAGCTCCCCCACTGAGCACCTTGTGACCCCTGCCCCTGCCCGCCAGAGAACAACCCCCTTTGACTGTAATTTTCCACTACCTACCCAAATCCTATAAAATGGCCCCACCCCTATCTCCCTTCGCTGACTCTCTTTTTGGACTCAGCCCGCCTGCACCCAGGTGATTAAAAAGCTTTATTGCTCACACAAAGCCTGTTTGATGGTCTCTTCACACGGATGCATGTGATACCTTATAAATGTTAGATGCTAAATAAATGTCTTTATAATAAATTTATGAGGAAATGTCATCATTAGTATTAATAGGAAATGCTCCTAATAACAATATGCAAGAAGTAGATAGAAGTTAAAAAGTAACCAGTGCACTGCATCATAATATGTATTTCAAATGTCCCAAAAAGTTTTTCTTAAAGACATTTTTGCTTAAATTCTAATTTCATGAGTACACTCAGCTTATACCAGTGACTATGACTGCCCCAAACCACTCCAAGCTGCCTAAAATGATTGAAGTAGAAAATGTTTTAAATATAAATTTACTAGAGTTGGATAATGGCAATTATATTGTTGTTTTATATTTTCTTTAATCTGTTTTAATTAAGGTAAGCATCATTTTCCAAATACACAATTGCCATTCTTATTTCAGATTTACAATAGTTCAATGTATCATCAATATATACGCATTTTGTGAATGTTTCTACTTTTATAATAAGTTGCTTTTCCTTCATTGGCTTCTATGACAGTAGTCTTTCCTTGATTTCCCAAAACTCAATTTATTCATTTGTTCTTTATCATTAAGTAACTATATATTGGATAACTACTATATATAAGGCATAATGTTGGGTACTGGAGGATACAAATGTGAATATGATGGGAGGCTGTACAGTGAAGTAGTTCAGGTTATGGACACCTGTGTCAGATGGCCTGGGTCAACAGGCCAACTCTGGAATCCACTAACTTTGACGTTGGGTAAACTATTTAATATCTCTTTGAACCAGTTTTCCCACAGATAAAATAAGAGTAATAATAGTGCCTAACTCATGTATTTTTAATGAAAAACAAAGGAATTAATTAGTGCATGTGAAGCATTTAGAACAGAACCTGGCATATGGAAAGCACTCAATAAATGATGTTACTAATAACAAAATGCCCTGCCAGTATTGCTCAGAACGTAACTGAGAAAAGTCAGACAAAAGGAAATTAGTATAATACACACGCTACATCTGAGCTATGTAGTGGACACTTATTGCTTTTTGTCATTAATTCATCTTCTTTTGTCTATTCCTAAAATATGGGATCCACATTTTCTTCCTGGTTGATTTCATCTAGTTTCATGGTTTCATTTATCGACTCTTTGCATATACATTTTAACTGTGTCATAAAGAATTATTATAATTTTCCTGAGAGAAAAGCCTTGTTTTATATGTCTTTTATGACTTTCACAGTACAGTAAATATTGGGACTCAGTAAATACTTGCCGAGTTGATTTTATATCACTTGGCTGAAAAGACATAGTCTCTGAATAGGAATATAGTAGTACAAGTAAAAGTACTTTGAATCATGCATAGCAACAACTATATTTTTAGTGTGAAGCTCTCCAAATCTATGTTTGTGTGATTATTGACTAAATTTTTTATTTTGCTTACTCCAATAGTTGGTACCCCAGTTGCATAGGATGTTAACTGTTTCTTTTTGTAGTACTTTAATTATCTATATGTGAATATATATTATATCTACTATATTGTGTTATGTAATTTAATATATAATGTATTATATTCATAAATATATAGTATATATTATATATGTACATATATATTATAGGACATATATAACAATATATACTAATATTACATATTATAGTATATATAATGTATTATATATAACATAATTATATATCATATACATATGTATATATTACATATTTATGTATATAATATATATACATATATAGCTAAATTGCTTAATAAACTTAAATTTTTCATAGATGCTCCATATATCAACTTTAGTTTGATAAGAATACTCTAACAGAGGCCTAAAACATGAAAAATAAACAAAATCAAAGAGAAAAGCCTAGTCATTTGTATTCAGATATATGTGCACTGGTATATGTGTATTTATCTCAGTATCATTTTAATATGCAACCTCTTTATTAAAGCAACCATATTCTTTTCAGTCTGTACATAGAGAGTTATTTAGGGGTAACTGAGTTAGTCATAATCAAATAAATAAGGTTTATATGAAAGGATCTTACAAAGTTAATATGGGGGCCAGATTGCTTTAGTGTGCTGGAAACATTCATCTTCCATAACCTTCAAGTTTTTAATGAGTGAAATAGGGATTATTATTGAATATCATGTTGAGAGAGATTAACTAATAAGCCATAATAACTGACAGAGTTTCAGGCAGTTCATTCATTAGAGTGTGGACTCCTTGGGGACCTTGTTTTATTTGTCCTTAATGACCAACAAAGTGCTATCCATGTCTGTTGAATGAAGAAATAAATGACTGACTTCAGTTTTTTCCATTTTCACTTACCATGTCATAATTACCTAATCACTCTAGGACACTGTATGTTAAAGTATAGTCCAATGCAACTTGCAATAGAATCACCTAAATATCTTCTAAAAAATGCGTTATTCTAGGTCTTAGTTCCTATCTACTGAATCAGGATTGGGGAGAAGTGTTATCAAAGACTTTGCATCTTAAAAAAGTCTTCTAGGTGGTTTTTATGTAACTCTGCAGGAGACCTGCAAATCATTACTGATTAGAAAATTTATTAAAAAAATACAAGCAACAGGAAAAAATGCTTAACTTTCCTATTTGTAAGTTTCTTTCTTCATTTTGTGAACATTTGTGAGATTTGTGTAGAATTTGAGGATTAAATGTTCATTCTTTTCTGGCATAAAATAAAGAGCAGTCAAGACACACACACACACACGTGCACACACAAAGACACACAGAGACATATACACAGTGATTGCCCTCAGTCAAACACAAATCAAGCAGAAGAAAAAAAAAATCAAGATTGATTACACCCATTTAACACTTGACATTTTAATCAGAGTTGTTGGCAGTTCCCCGTTCCTGAGTAGCTATACTAACTTGCAGCAAAATCCTACGGAGCTCTGATTTCCTGAACACAGATTTTTTAAACTTTTTTAGAGATATATGTATGTGTTTTACAGGTGTCTTTTGAAATCAATGTTTATTTAAAAAGCTGTTTTGGCAGTATTTATAACTTACTAAACTGTGGTGTGTGGGTACTTATTGTGACCTTAGTGATGTTTTTAATATGTGGGTTAAAATTATCAAGAGTGTAAAAAAGAATGAAATAATGTCTCTTGCCGCAACTTGGATAGAACTGGCGGCCATTATTCTGAGTGAAGTAACTCAGGAATTGAAAACCAAATAATGCATGCTTTCACTTATAAGTGGGAGCTAAGCTATGGGTATCCAAAACCATCCCGAGTGATAAATGGATTTTGGAGACTCAGAAACGGTGAGGATGGAAGGGAGTATGGAATTAAAAAGTACATATTAGGAACAACATATGCTACTCTGGTGACAAGTGCACTAAAATCTCAGATTTCACCACTATAAAATTCATCCATGTAACCAGAAACCACCGGTACCCTCGAAACTATTGAAAATAAAATAAAATAAAATAATTGGTAAGGTATTTTGGACGGAAAATTATCATCAGTGTGTTAATATTTGCTGTGGTTTGAATGTGTCCCCCAAAGTTTATGTGTTGAACACTTTATCCCCAATGGAACAGTGTTGGGTGGTAGGGCCTAGTAATATGTGATTATTAGTTCATGAAGGCTCTGCCCTCATGAATGGATTAATGTCATTATTGTGTGAGTGAGTTTATTATAAAAGCAAATTCTACCACCTCTTGCACTCGTGCTCTCACCCTCTCTTCCCCTTCCACCTTTAGCTATGGAATGATTCAACATGAAGGCCCTCACCAGATGCTGGTGCCATGCTCTTGAATTTCCCAACCTCCAGAACCATGAGCCAAATGAATTTCTGTTCCTTGTAAACTACCCAGTTTGTGGTACTCTGTTATAACAACCAAAAATGAACAAAGAAGATACCAATAAAATTTGTTTTACACATTTAAGTCTATAAATAAAATACATTGCAAAAAAGTTATTCTGACATTACAACTTTTGTTCAGCTCATTGTCAAAGGAAATATAAGTTTCCCTGAAAAGGCTTATTTCATATTTCTGTTACATTTTCCATAATAGAGTAATGATTTGGATTCAGTAAATACTTGATGAGCTAATCTTTTATCTAACTAAATAGAGTATTTAAAAAATTCTGCTGGCAAAATAATTACAAAACACATGTGGGAAAAATTAAACATTAATATAATAATACTATTGGATCTACTACTTAAATTCACAATTTATTACTGTTTTCATTTTCTTGGTAGAACATTTTCAGCAAAAATCAAGGATTCATTAAGAATTAAGATTTAAAAATTTCTAAATGATTGGCTAAGAGAGCCAGAGTTCCAAGGGAATCCCAAATTAAATCTTGTTATATATTCAGCAAGGGATTAGTAAATGTGTTATGATCTAAATTGTCCATATTATCAGTTTAGTTATCAATAGTATTGAGAGGAGTTATGAAATTACAAGAATGGCAGAAACCATGGTGTGTGGTAGGTGGAGAGTAAGTCAAGAGCAAATGTGATACCAGCATATCAAAGATTAGAAAGTAAACTACCTTATTTTCTAATCCGTGTTTATGTTTAGGTCTTTGACTTAAGCAGAAGATACAAATATATCTTTTCAATGTTAAACTTTATATATATATATTTTTTTAAAATATTAATTGAAAATAGAAAATATTCATCTTCACTTCATAGGGGAAACTAATTCTACTTCAATCATACTTGGCTGCCAAAACAGTATTCTGCTCCTCTTGCTGATGTGATGAACACATGGATCATGCCAGGAATGTCATATTACTTTATAATGATGGATGGATGGCACCAAGCTTAAGAATATGATCAGAATCAAGTTAAACAGAGTTCTTCCCGGGAATTCTTAAATTGAACTGGAGGTAGAGTCTTCTTGCCTGCTAATCATTGGGCTATCTAATTGATTAAGAGAATCAAGACTCTTGTAGCAATTCTTCAAAGTTGTGCGCAATAAGAGATGATGAAATTAATACTGATTGCTACACACTTAGCAATAAGAGAAAATGAGAGAAATATGTGGAGGTAATGTGAGAGGTGTTCTGTAGAGAGTGATAAAGGAAAAAAGAAAAAAGAGATCAGAAATAAATGAGAAGAGGGAAGGAGAGAAAGAGAAGGAGAGGGAGAAAGAGCAAGAAAGACTGAGATCTAGAGCTCTAGCTTTATTCCTGGATATCCCAGTTATGTAAAATGATATATTCCTTTTTTTAAATTAGTTTCTGTTATTTGTAACAGAAATTATACTAACTACTAGAAAAAGGATTAGTGTTAGATGAATTAGGTGAACAGTTATCTCATTAAAAGATAAGCCCATCATGGCCTGCATGCCTTACCCTAAACAAGAACTAGACAAATCTTTATTTGATATTTGATCTGAAAACAAATATAAAGTGTTTCCAGAACACATTCTTCTTCTCACTATCAAAAAATCTGTTGCTTTTATTTAGTATAGAATGTCTAAATACATCTTCATCACTGAATACCTTTGAAAACTCAGATAATCTCTATCTTAAAGATGTTTTTCTTTTAAATGGGGAAAAAGTAAGACAATAATAAAATGTCACAACTTCACGGAACTTTTAAAATCATCTTTTATATTTTGCCCGAAATACTTGGTATATTTACATATTTTCTTGAGTAAAAGATTCTAGGGTAAAATGGTAAATGTAGGTTAAAAAAAGTTGATCATATTTTGATGAATCATAGGAATTTTCAAAGCCCATAAGATATTAATTTCCATTGTTAATTTCCAAGAAAAGGATAAGGGTAACCATGTTTCCAAAAAAGTATTTGTTTATGCAAAATTTGTATTAAAACATAAAACCACTGACTTTAGTTTGGTACTTTTTCCCTTACAATATGGGGTACTAACTTATCCTTAACATTATAAAATATTATATTTTTATGAATGTTAGTAAATTAAGATACAGCGAAATACTACATACCTGTTAAATACAATAAACGATGTATATTTTTGCTGATATTAAAAGATCCTATCATGAATGATGGTAGTCATCTGTCAGGTAAAAGGCTTGGGATGAATTCTGGATGATCATGTGTTACTGCTCACTGGAAAGGGTTTAATATGTGTCTTGGTCTGTTTGTGTTACTATAAAGGAGTATCAAAGGGCAGGTAATTTATAACAATAAAAAGGTTTATTTGTCTTACAATTCTGATGTCTGAAAAAGGTCAGGATTGGTCATATGCATCTAGTGAGTGTCAAAGGCTGCTTCCACTCATGGTAGAAGGTGAAGAGGAGACAGTATGTGCAGAGATCACATGGCAAGAAAGAAAGCAAGACAACAGTGGAGGGAGGTGCCTTGCTCTTTTAAACAACCAGCTTTCACATGAACTAACAAAGTTCATGTGAAACAAAGAACTCCCTCACTACTGCAAAAATGACACCAAGGCATTCATAAAGGATTCACCCACACGACCCAAACACCTCTCATTAGGACCCACCTCCAACATTGAGGATCAAATTTCAATATGAGGTTTGTGGGTACAAACATTCAAACTGTAGCTATAGAAAACTTACACACCAAGGATGCAGAAAGAGAAAGTATAGGTCTCAAATCTTCCCATATCCCACAAAGATGCATGCCAGGGCCAGGTGCTGCTGCTGGACATAGTTTAAGTCAGTGTTCTAGGACAAGCATACTGCCGCTCTGTTTTCTCCTTATAACATAAGCATGAAAGCAATCTCCGTTAATGAGAGAACAAATAGGCTGCTTGGCAATATGCTAAGTTTTTACTAGAAACATCTGGGGAGTCATCTGCCAATCACCTTGGGAGCCTGTAGGAGACTGGCTTCAAAAATGGCCCTTACCTCCAACAGAAAACAACAACAGCAACACTGGCTTCATGGTATGTGGACTGAGTTTAGCTCCTCCGTTTGTGAGAAGGTCCTCCACTCCACAGGCAATCCTAGCTTGTTTATTGTGCTATTAACCCAGGGAAAGCTTTCTGGTTCATTTTATGAAATTCCAGGTCACATCACAGATTTATAAAATATACTTTAGGTAAAAAAACAAAGCAAGGTGTGGGACAGCTTATATTTTATGAAAATATTTGACTAATTTACATTTTTTTCCCTAAAGGCAATCTATCAACAATCTTAACTTTAAAGAGTGATAGAGTTAAATTGGGAATGTAGGAGGGACTTTTTAAAAAAAATTTTTATAACTTTCTATGCTGTTTGAAATTTTTGAACAATGAATACATATTGCTTATATTGAAATAATATTTTAAATTATTTTCTCAAATATCACATATCTAAGACATTATATGTTTTCCTTTAATTAACATAAATCTTAATAAAATGGGAATAGACAAACATATTTAAACTCCTGAAGAAAAGTACATGGTATATTTTATTCTTTTTTTTAACTTTTAAGTTCAGGAATAAATATGCAGGTTTGCTGTACAGGTAAGCTTGTGCCATGGGGTTTTGCTGTACAGATTATTTCATGACCCAGGTATTAATTCTAGTACACATTAGTTATTTTTACTGATCCTCTCCTTCCTCTCACCCTACACCCTCTTCTGGGCCCCAAGTGTGTGTTATTCCCCTCTATGTGTCCATATGTTCTCATCATTTAGTTCTCACTTATAAGTGAGAACATGCAGTATTTGGTTTTCTGTTCCTGTATTAGTTTTCTAAGGATAATGGCTTCCAGCTCCATTCATGTTCCTGCAAAAAAATTTTAACCCATTATTTTTTAAGGCTGCATAATATTCCATGGTGTATATGTACCACAATTTCTTTATCCAGTCTCTCATTGATGGGCATATAGGTTGATTTCCTGTCTTTGCTATTGTGAATAGTGTTTCAATGAACATTCACACACATGTGTCTTTACGGTAGAATAATTTATACTCTTTTTTTTTTCTTTTTTTGAAACTGAGTCTCACTCTGTAGCCCAGGCTGGAGTGCAATGGCATGATCTCAGCTCACTCTAACCTCCGCCTCTCAGGTTCAAGTGATTCTCCTGCCTCAGCCTCCCGAGTAGCTGGGATTACAGGCATGTGCCACCACGCCTGGCTAATTTTGAAATTTTAGTAGAGACGGGGTTTCACCATGTTGGCCAGGCTGGTTTTGAACCCCTGACCTCAGATGATCCACCCGCCTAGGCCTCCCAAAGTGCTGGGATTACAGGCATGAGCCACCATGCCAGGCCAGAATGATTTATATTCTTTTGGGTATATACCCAGTAATAGAATTTCTGGGTCAAATGGTAATTCTGCTTTTCGCTCTTTGAGGAACCATCACACTGCTTTCCACAATGGTTGAACTAATTTACACTCCCACCAGCAGTGTATGTATGTTCCCCATTCTTTACAACCTCACTAGCATCTGATATTTTTTGATAATAGCAATTCTGACTGATGTGAGTTGGTATCTCATTGTGGTTTTGATTTGCATTTCTCTAATGATTAGTTTGTTTTTTGCTTGTTAATTGGCTTAATTTCCTTATAGATTCTGGATATTAGACCTTTGTTAAATGTAAAGTTTGAAAATATTTTCTCCTGTTCTGTGGGTTGTCTGTCTATTCTGTTGATAGTTTCTTTTGCTGTGCAGAAGCTCAGCAAAAGGTTAAATTAGATCCCATTGTCATTTTCTGCTGTTGTTACAATTGCTTTTGGTGTTTTCCTCATGAAATCTTTGCCCATAACTATTTCCAGAATAGCATAGCCTAGGTTGTCTTACAAGGTTTTCACAGTTTAGGGTTTTAAATTTAAGTGTTTAATACATATTAAGTTAAATTTTGTATATGGTGAAATAAAGGTGTCCAGTTTCAATCTTCTGCATATGCCTAGCCAGTTATCTCAGCACCATTTATTGAATAGAGAATCCCTTCCCGAGTACTTATTTTTTGTCAGTATTGTTGGAGATCGTATCGTTGTATGTGTGTGGCCTTATTTCTGGGCTCTCTGTTCTGTCCCATTGGTCTATGTTTCTGTTTTTGTAGCAGTAGCATGCTGTTTTGGTTACTGTAGCTGGGTAGTATAATTTGAAGTCAGGTAGTGTGATGCCTACAGCTTTGTTTTATTGTTTAGGATTGTCTTGGCTATTCAGGTTCTTTTTAGACTCTGTATAAATGTTAAGAATGTCAGTGGTAGTTTAATACAAATAGTATTAAATCTATAAATTATTTAGGGCAGTATGGCCATTTTAACAATATTGATTCTTTCTACTCATGAGCACGGAGTATTTTTCCATTTGTTTGTATCACCTCTGATATTCTTGATTGGTGTTTTGTAGTTCTTCTTGTAGAGAAATTTCACATCTCTCGTTAGCTGTAGTCCTAGGTACTTTATTCTTTTTGTCGCAATTGTAAATGGGATTGTGTTTCTGATTAGGTACTTGGCAAGACTTTTTGGTGTATAGGAATGTTAGTAATTTTTGCACATGGATTTTGTATCCTGAGACTTTGCTGAAGTCGTTTATCAGCTTAAGAAGCTTTTGGGCAGAGACAAGGGGGTTTTCTAGATATAGGATTATGTCATTTGCAAACAGGGTACTTTGACTTCCTCTCTTCCTATTTGGATGCCATTTATTTTTTTTTCTCTTGCCTGATTTCCCTGGCCAGGACTTCCAATACTATGTTGAAAAGGAGTGGTGACAAAGGGCATCTTTGTTTTGTGCCAATTTTCAAGTGGAATGCTTCCAGCTTTTGCCCATCTTGTATGGTATTTGCTGTGAGTTTGTCATATATGGCTCTTATTATTTTGAGGTCTTTTCCTTCCATACCTAGTTTATTGAGAGTTTTTAACATGAAGAGATGTTGAATTTTATCAAAAGCATTTTCTGCATCTATTGAAATCATATTGTGGTTTTTGTCTTTAGTTCTGTTTATATGATGACTCATATTCATTGATTTACCTATGGTGAACCACCCTTGCATCCCAAGGATAATACGTTTTTGTTCGTGGATGATAAGCTTTCTGATGTGCTTCTGGATTCGCTTTTCCAGTATTTTGTTGACAATTTTTGCATTGATATTCATAAGGGATATTGCACTGAAGTTTTATTTTTTGTTGTAGTGTCTCAGTGAGCTTTTGATATCAGTATGATGCCGGCCTCACAGAATGAGTTAGGAAGGAGTCCTTTCTTTTTTCATTTTTTTTGGAATAGCTTCAGTAGGAATGGCACCAGTTCTTTTTTGTACATCTGTTAGAATTCAGCTTTGAATCCATCAGGTCCTGGGCTTTGTTTTAGGCTACTTATTACTACCTCAACTTCAGAGGTGACTGTTGGTCTGTTCACAAATTCTATTTTTTTCTGCTTTAGCTTTTGGAGGGTGTATGTGTCCAGAACTTACCTATTTCTTCTAGATTTTCTAGTTTATGTGCATAGAGGTTTTCATGATATTCTCTGATGGTTCTTTGTATTGCTGTGAGGTCAGTGGTAAAATCTTCCTTGTCATTTCTGATTTTGTTTATTGGAATTCTCTCTTTTTTATTCTTAATTTATCTAGTTAGCAGTCTATATATTTTATTCATTTATTCAAAAAATTCACTCCTGAATCTTTTGAATTTTTTTGTGTCTTGATTTCCTTGAGTTCAGCTCTGATTTTGGTTGTCTTCTGCTACCTTTGGACTTTATTTGCTCTTGATTCTCTAGTTCTTTTAGTTGTGATGTTTGGTTGTTAATTTGAGATCTTTCTAACTTTTTGACGTGGGCATTTAGTGCTATAAATTTCTCTCTTAACACTGCTTTAGCTGTGTCCCAGATATTCTGGTATGTTGTTTCTTTGTTCTCATTAGTTTCAACCAACTTCTTGATTTCTGCCTTAATTGCATTATTTACCCAAAAATCATTCAGGAGCAGTTTGTTTAATTTCCATGTAATCGTAGGGTTTTGAGTGAATTCTTAGTCTTGATTTCCAATATGATTCGCTGTGGTCTGAAAGATTGTTTGTTATTATATCAATTTCTCTGAATTTGCTGAGAAGTGCTCTACTTCTGAATATGTGATCAATCTCAGAATATGCGTCATGTGATGATGAGAAGAATGTATATTCTGCTGTTTTTGGATGGTCAGTTCTATAGATATCTGTCAATTTTATATGATCCAGTGCTGAGTTCAGGTCCCGAATATCTTTGTTAACTTTTTTTCCAATTATCTGATTAATATTGTCAGTGGGGTGTTAAAGCCTCCCACTATTAGTGTGTGGGAGTCTAAGTCTATTGGAAGGTCTCTAAGAACTTGCCTTATGAATCTGAGTGCTCCTGTGTTGAGTGCATATATTTTTAGAACAGTTAGATCTTCTTGTTGAATTGAACCCTTTACCACTATGTAATACACTTATTTGTCTTTTTTGATCTTTGTTGGTTTTGTAAGAAACTAGAATTGCTACCCCTGGTTTTTTCTGTTTTCCATTTGCTTGGTAAATTTTTCTTTATCCCTTTATTATGAGCCTAAGTGTGTCATTGCATGTAAAATGGGTTTCTTGAAGACAGCATGCTGATGTATCTTGGTTCTTTATTCAGCTTACCATTCTCTGCCTTTTAATTGGGGCATTTAGCCAATTTACATTCTAGGTTATTATTGATGTGTGTGGATTTGATGTTATTTTGCAGACTTGTTTATGTGGTTGCTTTATAGTGTCATTGACCTGTGTACTACAGTATGTTCTTGTAGTGGCCGGTAATTGTCTTTCCTTTACATATTTAGTGCTTCTTCAGGGGCTCTTGTAAGGCAGCACTGGTGAATCATTTCAGCATTTGCTTGTCTGAAAATGATGTTATTTCTCTTTCACTTATGAAGCTTAGTTTGGCCGAATATGAAATTCTGGTTTGGAATTTCTTTTATTTAAGAATGTTAAATATCAGCCCCCAATCTCTTCTGAGTTGTAAGGTTTCTGCTGAGAGGTCTGTTGTTAGTCTCATGGCCATTCCTTTGTAGGTGATCTGACCTTTCTCTCTAGCTGCATTTAACATTTTTCTTTCATTTGGACCTCAGAGAATCTGATGATTATGTGCCTTTGGGATGATCTTCTTGTAAATTATCTTACTAGGGTTCTCTGAATTTTCTGAATTTGAATGTTGGTCTTTATAGCTAGGTTTGCAAAGTTCTCATAGATAATATCCTGAAATACGTTTTTCAAGTTGGTTCCATTCTCCCCATCTCTTTCAGGGACACCAATGTGTCATAGATTTGATCTCTTTACATATTTCCATATTTCTCAGAGGTTTTGTTCATTTCTTTTCATTCTTTATTCTCTATTCTTGTCTGAGTGTCTTATTTCAGAAAGTCAGTCTTCAAGCTCTGAGATTGTTTCCTTCATTTGTTCTATTCTGGTATTAATGCTTGTGATTACATTATGAAATTCTTTTAGCATTATTTTCAGCAACATATCTCTAGAATCTAGAGAATATGTTGAAAAAACTTTATCCTATACAATTATCTGGTGCTGCTTCACATGTTCCAGCAATATCTATCTATCAGGAAATAGACTATCCAAATAAAACATACTGTCAGCGGGAAAGATGGCTGACTAGGTGCAGCCAGGTGGAACAGCTCCCACTGAGGGAGCAAGACAACTGGCATGCTCCTAACCTATCTTCAGAGGGAAGGCATTGAGAGTGGACGGAGGAAAGACACAGAAACTAGGTTGAAAGGGGAGAAAGCTGGGAACCCTGCACAGGGTTACCATGAACTAGGACTCATTTCTGGCCCACAATGGCTCCAGGGGAATAGGTAAGTTGAACTGGCAAGCAACAACCCACTCTCACCACAGGCCTCTGAAACCCATCAGCCATCATGGACACTGGAGTTGGCTGGGAGAGCTGCTTAGAGAAGTTACAGGGGAGCAAGCCAGCTGATGTGGCGCCCAGAGGATTTGGTGCCAGAGCATCTGTAGCAGAGCACAGCCAGGAACAGTCACCCTCCTAGGCTGAACTCACTCCCAAAAGAGATTTTAGCCCTAGAGAAAATGTGAGAACTGATCTCTGCAGGGTGGTCTTGCACATCAGATGGAGCTAGCCCAACCTGGGCACCTCTTGGTCTCCTGGCCTTTTCTGGGACCCCAGCCTAACCATGCCTGCTTGCAGGACAATCTCAGTTGACCTAGGGGCCTGCATCATAGTTTCTGTACTGTCAGACTGTGGCTTAGCACACATGGTATTCACAAAGTACTCAATATAAAAAACTGCTAAACATGAAGAAGTCAGAAAATGTAACTCAAAATTAAGAAAAATTAAGCAAATTCAGTAGAAACAGACTTCCAGATGACCCAGATGTTAGAATTAGCATTGAAGGACGTCAAAGCAGCCTTTAAAATATTTTCAAGGACATTTTGGAAAATATGGTCATAATAAGGGAACCTCAGCATAAAAATAAAAACTATAAAAAAAGAACCCAATGGAAATTCTAGTACTGAAAAATACAGTATTTGAAAAAGAAAAAAAAAGTAGAAAAAAGTGGAGCATTTAGGTCTTTACATTCAGTGTTCGTATTGAGATGTGAGGTACCATTCCATTCATTGTGCTATTTGTTGCCTGCATAGCTTGTTTTTTGGTTTTTTGTTTTTGCTTTACAAATTGTATTTTTGTTTAAAGATCCTTTGAGATTTATGCCTTAAAGTGGTTCTGTTTTGATGTGTTTCCAGGATTTATTGCAAGATTTAAAGCTCCTTTTAGGACTTCTTGTAGTGGTGGCTTTGTAGTAACAAATTCTGTCAGCATTTGTTTGTCTAAAAGAGACTGTATCTTTTCTTCATCTATGATGCTTAGCTTCACTGGATACAAAATTCTTCACTGATAATTGTTTTGTTTGAGGAAGCTGAAGATAGGGCCCCAATTCCTTCTACCTTGTGGGGTTTCTGCTGAGAAATCTGCTGTTAATCTGATAGGTTTTCCTTTATAGGTTACCTGGCACTTTTGTCTCACAGCTCTTAGGATTCTTTCCTTTGTCGTAACTTTAGATAACCTGATTACAATGTGCCTAGGCAATAATATTTTGTGATGAATTTCCCGGGTGTTCTTTGTGCTTCTTGTATTTGGATGTCTAGGTCTGTAGCAAGACTGAAAAAGTTTTCCTCCATTATTCCCCCAAATATGTTTTCCTAACTTTTAGATTTCTTCTTCCTCAGGAACATTGATTATTCTTAGGTTTGGTTGTTTAACATAATCCCAGACTTCTGGAATTCTTAGCTCATATTTTCTTATTCTTTTTACTTTGTCTTTGTTGGATTGGTTAAATTTGAAGACCTTGTCTTCAAGCTGTGAATTCCTTCCTTCCTTCTTTCTTTCCTTCCTTCCTTCCTTCCTCTCTCTCCTTTCCCTTCCCTTCCCTTCCCTTCCCTTCCCTTCCCTTCCCTCCCCTCCCCTCCCCTCCCCTCCCCTCCCTTCCCTTCTTCTTTCCTTCCTTCCTTCCTTCTTTCTTTCTGACATGGAGCCTTGCTTTTTGCCCATGCTGGAGTGCAGTGGTGTGATCTCTGCTCACTGCAACCTCCACCTCCCAGGTTCAAGCAATTCTCCTGCCTCAGCCTCCTGAGTGGCTGGGATTACAGGCATGCACCACCATGACCGGCTAATTTTTGTATTTTTAGTAGAGACAGAGACAGGGTTTCACCATGTTGGCCAGGCTGGTCTCAAACTCCTGACCTCAAGTTATCCGCCTGCCTCAGCCTCCCAAAGTGCTGGGATTACAGATGTGAGCCACCACACCCCGCCTGAATTTCTTTCTTCTACTTGTTCAATTCTATTGCTGAGACTTTACAGAGAGTTTTGCATTTCTATAAATGTATCCAATGTTTCCTGAAGTTTTTATTATTTTTTTCTTTATGCTATCTATTTCCTTGAATATTTCTGTCTTTACTTCTTGTATTGTTTTTTGGGTTTTCTTGCATTGGGCTTCACCTTTCCCTGGTGCCTCCCTGATTAGCTTAATAACTTACCTGGTGAATTCTTTTTCAGGTAAATCAAGAATTTCTTCTTGGTTTGGATCCCTTGCTGGTGAGCTAGTGTGATTTTGGGGGGGGGGGTGTTAAAGATCCTTGTTTTGTCATATTACCAGAATTGGTTTTCTGGTTCATTCTCATTTGTGTAGCCTCTGTCAGAAGGAAGGTCTAGGGCTGAAGGCTGTTGTTCAGATTCTTTTGTCCCACAGGTGTTTCCTTGATGGAGTACTCTCCCTTTTTCCTGTAGGATGTGGCTTCCTGAGAGATGAGCATAGAGATTGTTATCTCTCTTTTGGGTCTAGCCACTCTGCAAGTCTGCCAGGCTCTGAGCTGATACTGGGGGTTGTCTGCGGAGTCCTTTGATGTGAACCATCTATGGGTCTGTCAGCCGTGGATACCAGCACCTATCCAGTGGTGGTTGCAGGGAGGTGAAATGGACTTTGTGAGGGTTCTTAGCTTTGGTGGTTTAATGCTCTGTTTTTGTGCTGGTGGGTCTCCTGCCGGGAGGTGGTGCTTTTCAGAGAGCATCAGCTGTGGTAGTATGGAGAGGAACCCATGGTGCGCGTGACCCCAGAACTCCCAAGAGTATATGTGCTTTGTCTTCAGCTACCATGGTGGGTAGGGAAAGATCATCAGGTGAGGGCAGGGCTAGGTGTGTCTGAGCTCAGACTCTCCTTGGGTGGGCCTTGGTGTGGCTGCTGTGAGGGATGGGGGTGAGGTTCCCAGTTAAATGGAGTTGTGTGCCTAGGAGGATTATGGTTGCCTCTGCTGAGTCATGCAGGTCGTCAGGGAAGTGAGGGAAATCTGGCAGGCACAGGTCCTCACCCAGCTCCCACGCAATCCGAAAGGCTGGTCTCACTTCCACCGTGCCCCTTCCGAACAGCGCCAAGTCTGTTTCCAGACAGTAGGCAAGCAGAGCTGAGAACTTGCTCCAGGTTACCCGCCTCTTAGCTGCAAAAGAAAAGGGCTTTAGTTCTTCTCTTGCCTGTGGAGTCTGCACACTGGATTTGCGCCTTCCCTTGAGTTCTTGCCATGGGGCTTCTCAGCCATTCAAATTGTTGCAAAGTTTACATAGTGACTTCCTTCTCCCTGTGGCATTTTCCCTGCACTACTGGCCACCCTCCTGAAGGATCCCTGTGATGCCAGGCAAGAATGGCTAAGGTCAGAATCTTCTCCACAAACTAGACACTCAGTTTCCCCCATGGGGGTGTGTAGTCGGGGGTGGAGGATGTCCCTTTCCCACTTCCACAGTTTGGGCACTCACAGTATTTGGGGTGCTCCTGGGTCCTGTACAAGCAGTCCACTTCCTTCAGAGGGTCTGTGGGTCCTCTCAGGATTCCTGATTTATTCCTGAAGTTGTTCTGGAACTAAAATTCCTAATGCAAGCCTCCATACGCTGAGCTGTCTGTTTGAGTCATAGCTGTAAATGGCCTAAGTGCTCCTCTTAGAAGATACAGAACTGCAGAACGGATAAGAATTCACCACCCATCAAATGCCTTCAAGAGACTCACCTAACACATAAAGACTCACATAAACTTAAAGTAAAGGAATGGAAAAAGGTATTTCATGCAAATGGATGCCAAAAGCAAGCAGGGGTAGCTATTCTTATATCAGACAAAACAAAATTCAAAGCAACAGCAGTTAAAAAAGACAATGAGGGACATTATATAATGGTAAAAGGTCTTGTACAACAGAAAAATATCACAATCCTAAACATATATGCACCTAACGTTGGAGATCCCAGATTTATAAAATAACTACTAATAGTCCTAAGGAATAAGATAGACAGAAACACAATAATAGTGGGGGACTTTAATACTTCACTGACAGCACTAGACAGGTCATCAAGACAGAAAGTCAACAAAGAAACAATGGATTTAAACTATACCTTGGAACGAATGGACTTAGCAGATGTATACAGAACATTCTATCCAACAACTGCCGAATACACATTCTATTCAACAGCGAATAGAACTCTCTCCAAGAGAGACCATATGATAGGCCACAAAATGAGCCTCCATAAATTTAAGAAAATTGAAATTATATCAAGCACTCTCTCAGACCACAGTGGAATAAAACTGGAAACCAAGTCCAAAAGGAACCTTCAAAACCATGTAAATACATGGACATTAAATAACCTGCTTCTGAATAATTATTGGTCAAAAACAAAATCAAGATGAAAATTTAAAAATTATTTGAACTGAAAGACAATAATGACACAACCTATCAAAACCTCTGGGATACAGCAAAGGCAGTGCTAGGAGAAAAGTTCATAGTCCTAAATGCCTACATCAAAAAGACTAAAAGAGCACAAACTGACATTTTAAGGTCACACCTCAAGGAACTAAAGAAACAAGAGCAAACCAAACCCAAACCCAGCAGAAGAAAGGAAATAACCAAGATTAGAGCAGAACTAAATGAAATTAAAACAAAAAACAATACAAAAGACTGCTTGATTTTTAAAACTTATTTACACCTCTTTGTTAAACTTCTCTGATAGGATCCTGATTCTTTTCATTGTCTAATATGAAGTTTTTCTAGCTTCCTCAAAACATTTACTTTGAATTCTCTGTCTGAAAGGTTACATATCTCTCTCATTCTGGGAGTGGTCACTGATGTCTTATTTAGTTTGTTTTGTGAATTCATATTTTTCTAAACTGTCTGGATGCTTGTGGATATTCATTGATGTCTGGGCATTTAACAGTTAGATATTTATTGTAGCCTTCACAATCTGGGCTCATTTGTACCTGCCTTTTTTGGGAAGGCTTATTAGGTATTCAAAGGGATTTGGGTGTTTTTACCTAAATCTTTGGTCAGTGCAGCTATATCTGCACTATGGAGCAGCCCAAGCCCAGTAATGTTGCAACTCTTGCATTCCCATAGAGGTACCACCTTGGTGGGCTTGGGCAAGATCAGGGAGATTTCCCTGAATTATCAGGCAGAGTCTCATTCTTTTTCCTCACTTTCTTCCAATCTGGAGTTTCTCTCTCCATGCTGCGTTGCCTAGAGTTGGGAGATGGATGATGCAAACACTTTCACGGTCAGCATAGCTGGGACTGTGCTGGGTCATGCTTGAAGCCAGCATAATACTTGGTCCCACCCAAGGCCTGTAGTGACTACTGTCTATCTATCACTGACATTTATTCAAGGTCCAAGGGCTCTTTAGTTAGGTGGTAAATCCTTCCAAGATTAGATAATTTCTTTCAGTGTACTAGGTTCCTCCCTGGCCCAGAGTGGGTCTAGAAATGCCATCCAGAAGGAAGAGCCTGCAATCTGAATCTACTTTGTGCTTTATTTTACTTTGGTCCAGCTGGTATTCAAGTTGCAAAATGAAGTCTTTTTTACTCTTCTCTCTTTTTTTTCCACAAAAGGAAGGGGTCTCTCACTGTGCTGCACTGCCTAGAGTTGTGGGATGAGTGACAAAATACTCCCTTGGCCACCACAACTGATGTATCACTGAGTTGCATGCATTCCAATTCCGCTGGCTTTAAGCCCAGCCCCAGATCTGTCCAAGAACTACAGTCCTTGTGGCCTGAATGCCCTTCAAATTTATTCAGGACCCCAGGGCACTTGAGTTAGCCAGTGGTAGAGCTAGCCAGAATTCAGGTTTTAACGACTAGTGTGGAGGATTCCTCTCTGACTGGAACTAGTTTAAATGTTCTCTCCATGGGCAATGACAATTATGTCCTTTATTGTGTTCCACTGTGACAGGACAGCACTGAGTTCCAATGCAAAGTCCCATAATTACTTTGCTGTCTCTCCCCCAAGCACACAGATTCTCACTCCACAGTGCTGGAGGATAAAGAATGGGTAGTATAGTCAATGCAAGACTTCTTTCCTACTCTTTGCAATGTGTGTTTCCTTGCTATATAATGGTAAAAACAGGTACTGTAATTACTCCCCTGATTTTTGGTTGTTATGAAGGTGCTTTCTTTCTTACATGTGAAATTGTTCAATCTGGTGTTCCTGCGAGGGGATAATTACTGGAGGGATTCAGCCATCTTGCCTCAACTCCTCCAGTTTAGGTCTCTGATATGTCTGTCGTGAATATTTTCTTTAGTATTCTTCTTATGGTAATGAAACTGTTCTAAAATTGGTGTGGTATTTTTTGCACAACTCTGAATATTCTAAAAAAACATTAAATAGTACACTTTAAATGGGTGAATTGTATGACATGTGAAATATGCTTTAATAATGCCACTATTTAAAAAAATCTTTATAGAATTAACAGCAGATTAGAGACTACACAGGAAAGGTTTAATGAACTTGTAGACAGATCCGTAGAAATTATTAAATCTGAAGGTCATAGTACACACACAAAACACAATATTATGGCATATGACATAATACCAAGTGGTCTATAATAGATGTAATTCAAGCCCCAGAGATTAAAAAAAAAAAAAAAAAAGAAAACTGGGGAGAAAAAGTATTTGAAAATATAATTGCTAAAAATGCTCCTAAATGTGGTGAAAACAACAACCTTTGCTTTCAAATCTAAGAAGCTCACACACACACACACACACACAAAATTACCATGGCATTGTAGTGGAGAAAGAGTTTAATACACACAAGGCCAGCCACGCCATGTGGGAGATGGAGCTCTTACTTAAATCATGTCATCCAAAGCTCATAGATTAGAAGTTTTTCAAAAATAGTTTGGAGGAAGGGGTGGGGGTGGCCAAGTATCAGGTGCTTGCTGCTGATTGGTTGGGGTGGAGATAAAATCATAGGGGGTCAAAGCTGTTCTCCTGTGGGCTGAATCACTTCTGGGTAGGGCCACTGGAATGAGGTTAGCAGTCCAAGGTTTGGTGGAGAGAAACTGTGCCATTCTGAACCATACTTAGATAGAGTTTAAATTAGAAAATAATTCATAGAAACAGAGAGTAAAATGGTGGTTACCATAGGCCAGGGAGTGAGGAGATTTTAAAGCTATCAGTCAAAAATACAAAATTTCAGTTAGACAAGAGGAATAAATTCAAGGGTTCTACTGTACATCATGGCGAACATAGTTGATAACAATATGTTGTATAGTCAAAAATTGCCGAGAATAGATTTAAGTGTTCTCACCACAAACATTATAAGCATGTGAGGTAATGCATATGCCAAATAGCTTGATTTAACCATTCCACAATATATTAAAAAATCATGTTATATCTCATAAGTATATTCAGTTTCTATTTGTCAATTTAATAAACAAGAAAATAATCCTGTGTAAAATCCATTCTTTCATAGTTTGATATTTCGATTTTTTTAAAAAACTTTTATTTTGAAAATACCTAGTTGTCTTAAATGGCACTTAATTTACTGTATTGCCAACTCAGTTCAAGTCATTTCCATTTCTTTTGTAAATTTTCTTTTATGGCATTACTATTATCCAAGGAAAGTGGTTTTCAGGTAGGATCATTAATCTTTCATCAAATGAAAAAAAAATTTTAAACAATTTCTGTCAATCAGGAAGATCCAGCTACCAATCCCAAGTGAAGACTCCAGCCGTCTGGAGGACTTCGACGATCATAACTGTACCAACCGCAGACCTCAACTCACTGCATCTTCTATGGGTTCAGAGTTGCCAAGGAGGACTCAACACTGAAGGCAGTGGTTGGAATAACGCTTTACTCACAGAATGAAGATGCAGTGGGGTCAGCATCTGCAGTATGCACTTGTCTTTTGTGGCCAGTGGGTCCCTCCCCAGCAGTGAACTGCATGCACCCCTTTACTCCTCTCTTCGTGCTGCAGGCAAAAGCCCCATTCCCTTCCCTCAAGGAGGCAGATACACTGGTGGGACTGGCCAGGGGCCATATGGCCAGCCCATGATTAAGCAGTAAAAGGAAGCTCACTACATACCCAGAAAAGGGGAAGGGTTTCTCCTAATAAAGAAGAATAATCTGGGGCCAATTAATAAGTCTGCACTCGGGTCCACATGGGGAAATATTCCAGGCCCAGGATATTTACTGGGCAATTCCAGAGAGGGCAGGAGGTCCCGAGATGGCTGCTGCTTCCTCCAACAGTTTTTAACATGTTAAGCATGAAATAAATACTAAAGACTAGGGAACATTTTGTTTTATAGAACCCTTAAAGGGATTGAGAATTTGTATGTGGTTCAGTGGACAAGAATCTAAGAACAATATAAAGTAAAAAAAAGAAGTGATACAAACTTATCAGTTTGGCCTGCTGCTTAAAAGTATGGTAAGCATAAAAGTAAACAGCTGAAGAGTGAAAAGGCCGAAACAAATGTATAATATCTAATTACATATTTCTTGTAATTTGAAATTATAATAAAAGATAACTAGCTATATTAACATTCTATCAGTGCCATAACAAATCACCTAGTAATTTAGTGGTTTAAAACATCACTCATTTATTAGCTCCTTGCACTGTAAGTCAGGAGCACGATCCAGTCTGGCTAGATTCTCTACTTAGGTCTCACAAGGCTGAAATCATGGTGTAGGCCAGAGCTGCGGTTCACATATGGGGCTCAGGATCTTCTGAGCTTAGTAGTTGTCGACATAATGTATTTCCTTTTCATGCTCTCCACGTAGCTTCTTCATCTGCAAGCCAGTAATGACATGTTGAGTCTTTCTTATGCCTCAAATCTATATGACTTCCCCTTCTGTTGCATCTCTTTTGACTTCATATTCTGCTTTTAATGCCTCATGTGATTGAATTGGGCCCACTTGGATAATAAAAAATTATGTTTTTTTTTTTTTTTTTTTTTTTTTTTTTTGAGACGGAGTCTCTCTCTGTCGCCCAGGCTGGAGTGCAGAGACGCGATCTCGGCTCACTGCAAGCTCTGCCTCTCAGGTTCACTCCATTCTCCTGCCTCTGCCTCCCGAGTAGCTGGGACTACAGGCACCCGCCACCAGGCCCAGCTAATTTTTTGTATTTTTTTTTAGTGGAGACGAGGTTTCACCGTGTTAGCCAGGATGGTCTTGATCTCCTGACCTCGTGATCCGCCCGTCTTGGCCTCCCAAAGTGCTGGGATTACAGGCATGAGCCACCGCGCCTGGCCTAATCTCTCTGTTTTAAGATCAACTGAAAGGTAATTTAAATTACATCTTCAAAGTCCCTTGCGCCATGTACTCTTAGCATATCCATGGGAGTAACACAAGGGACTATGGTCAAGGGGCTCAAAATTCTATCTACCACACTGGATAAATCAGGGGGCTGACAAATACATCATGATAGTAATGGAAGGGAGGCAGTATAATGTAATGTTTAATAGTCCTGCTCCTTGGAGTTTTAAGTCCTGACTATGCCGTTTCTTAACTGTTCTTCTCTTTAAGCTTTATTTTCCTTACATAAAAAACAAGGATAATAATGGTAACCAACTCATAGTATTTATTACTGAGAGGACTAAATCATAAATATATTTAACCATCTGTCAGATAGTTTATTCTCATATATGTTAGTTATTATCACTTGTATTTTCTATATATTGTATTTTATTTTTATTTTCATCAAAGTAATACTTGCAGGTTGCAAGATGATATGTACTAAAGATCAGATTGAAAAGGAAATCAGTTTACACTTCTATCCTCACTTGTCAAAGGAAACTGTTTTAATCAATTCTGGTTATAGTTCTTTTGAGAATTACCTCTGTGCTCTAAATGTGTTTTCATAATTATTTCTTGGCACAATCTGTTGAATCCATGCTATGAAAAATAGACTTAGATCAATAGAATCAATAGCACTATTCCCATCTCTTTTCCTTTCCCTTTCCAATTCTTGATAGTTTTTTATTATTTGTATTTCTTCTATTTGTTACTTATATAATTCTTAGTAAATATTTGCTTCTTGTTCTTTAAATTTTAGATAGTTCTCTTAATGCCCCACAATATAAGAAAGGATATTAGAGCCCTAATCTTCTCTCCATTGCTTCTCTTATTTTCTGTCAGCTGTAATTTACTTTGCATTGTCAATATTGATGTTCATATTGACATCATTTTCATTTTGAACTGTAGTCTTAGTTAGATATTTATAACAACCTTTATGATACCACAGATTTATAATTACTGTTCACTAGAGAGGTAATGATATGGTTTGGCTGTGTCTCCACCCAAATCTCATCTTGAATTCCCACATGTTGTTGGAGGGACCTGGTGGGAGGTAATTGAATCATGGGAATAGGTCTTTCCTGTGCTGGTCTCATGATAGTGAATAAGTCTCACGAGATCTGATGGTTTTAAAAAGGAGAGTTCACCAGCACAAGATCTCTCTCTTTGCCTGCTGCCATCCATGTAAGACAAGATTTGCTTCTCCTTGCCTTCCAACATGATTGTGAGGCTTCCCCAGCCACGTGGAACTGGAAGTCCAATTAAACTTCTTTCCTGTGTAAATTGCCCAGTCTCTAGTACGTCTTTATCAACAGTGTCAAAAAGGGCTAATACATTAAATTGGTATTGGGGGTGGGGCACTGCTGAAAAGATACCCGAAAATGTGAAAGCAACTTTGGAACTGGGTAACAGGCAGAGGTTGGAACAGTTTGGAAGGCTCAGAAGAAGACAGGAAAAGGTGAGAAAGTTTTGAGCTCTCTAGAGACTTGTCAAATGGCTTGATCAAAATGCTGATAACGAGATGCACAATGAAATCCAGGCTAAGGTGGTCTCAGATGGAGATGAGGAACTTGTTGGGAACTGGAGCAAAGGTGACTCATGTTTTAGCAAAGAGACTGACAGCATTTTGCCTCTGCCCTAGAGATTTGTGGAACATTGAACTTGAGAGAGATGGTTTAGAGTATCTGGTTGAAGACACTTCTAGGCAGCAAAGCATTCAAGATATGACTTGGGTGCTATTAAAGGCATTTTGTTTTATAAGGGAAGAGAGCATAAAAGTTTGGAAAATTTGCAGCCTGACAATGAGATAGAAAAGAAAATCCCATTGTCTGAGGAGAAATTCAAGTGGGCTGCAAAAATGTTCATAACTAACAAGGAGCCCAATGTTAATCCCCAAGGCAATGGGAAAAATATCTCCAGGGCATGTCAGAGTTCTTCACAGCAGCCTTTTCCATCGCAGGCCCTGAGGCCTAGGAGGAAAAAGTGGTTTTATGGGCCAGGTCCAGGGTCCCTGTGCTGTATGCAGCCTAGGAAGTTGCTGTCCTGTGTTCCTGCTGCTCCAGCTGTGACTGAAGAGGGCCAATGTAGATAGAGCTTGAACCATGGCTTCAGAGGGTAAAAACCTCAAGCCTTGGCAGCTTCCACAGGGTCTTGAGCCTGCCAATGTACATAAGTCAAGAATTGGGATTTGGGAACCTCTGCTTAGACTTCTGAAGATGTAAGGAACACCTGGATGCCCAGGTAGAAGTTTGCTCTAGAGCCTCTGCTAGGGGAGTGCAGAAGGGAAATTTGGGGTTGGAGCCCCCACACAGAGTCTCTACTGGGGCACTGCCTAGTGAAGCTGTGAGAGGAGGGCCACCATCCTCCAGACCCCAGAATGGTAGATCCACTGACAGCTTGCACCACATGCCTGGAAAAGCCACAGACACTCAATGCCAGCCCATTAAGGCAGCTGGGATGGAGGCTGTACCCTGCAAAGCCACGGGGGTGGAGCTGCCCAAGACTATGAGAACCTACCTCTTGCATCAGCATGACCTGCATGTGACATGGAGTCAAAGGAGATCATCTTGGAACTTTAAGATTTGATTGCCCTGCTGGGTTTTGGACTAGCACAGGGACTGTAGTCCCTTGCTCTGGCCAATTTCTCTCACTTCGAATAGCTGTATTTACCCAATGCTTGTACCCACCATTATATCTAGGAATTAACTGACATGCTTTTGATTTTACAGGCTCCTAAATGAAAGGGACTTGCCTTGTCTCAGATGAGACTTTGGACTGTGGACTTTGAGTTAATGCTGAAATGAGTTGAGATTATGGGGGACGGTTGGGAGGGCAACCGTCTTGTTGTTTCAAAACCGTGGTTTTGAAATGTGAGGACATGAGATTTCGGAAGTGCCATGAGAGGAATTCTATGGTTTGCTGGTGTCCTCCAATCTCATCTTGAATTCCCACGTGTTGTGGGAGGTACCCAGTAGGAGGTAATTGAATCATGAGGGCAGGTTTTTTCCACGCTTTTCTCGTGATAGTGAGTAAGTCTCATGAGATCTGATCATTTTAAAAAGAGGAGTTCTCCTACACAAGCTCTCTCTCTCTGCCTGCTGCCATACATGTAAGATGTGACTTGCTCCTCTTTGCCTTCTGCCATGATTGTGAGGCTTCTCCAGCCATGTGGAACTGTAAGTCCAATTAAACCTCTTTCCTTTGTAAATTTTCCGGTCTCTGGTATGTCTTCATCAGCTGCACGAAAGCAGATTAACACAGGTAAGTAATGTGATAGGATTCTATTTCCCTTTTTATTGGCCCAATGTCATGATCTTTATGCCACTCAGAGGAGACTATTATTTCTTCTTTAAATGAGGAGAGTTCATTCCTCATAATATGAAGTATTATTCAGAAATGATACATAATGTATAAATGCAGAAAAACCATTGACAAACTTAATACTTTAATTATTGGACTACAAATGTTTATTTTCTAAGTAGCTATACTATGTAGCAAAACTCATGTAGCACCCTGAAAGGATATAATCCAATTTGCTCTTAAAAATAAGGTTTAACCTTTGATGACTGTGGTTAAAATTATACTTATTCTTTACCATTTGAATTTAGAAATGATGGTTGCAATTTGTCATTTTGATGAAATGAAAAAAATGGCACCACTTATATAAACTACTTTTTAAAAAGTAGATTTCTTTCAATTCCATTCTTGTTCATTCTTTGGTTCCATGTGAGTGTTCTTTTTCCCACAACATTTTTTTTGTTCAAGATGTGAACAGAAATAGAATGAAATAGAATATCAACTCTTAATTTATGCAGTGAATTGAGCAATAAATTATTTAGTGCAGTGAGAATTAATTTGTAATCTCACAATGATGTACACAGTCTTACTTATGTACATGCATGTGATAGAAAAAAACAATAATTGTGAACTACTAAATTCCAGGTCTATTTGCTATATTTGTCACAAACTTCAGAAAATAAGAAAAGTCAAAACATATTTGTTCTCTGGAAACACAACATTTTCCACCAAATAAAAAATAATCTGATTATGGTGAGTTCTATTTGCTTCTTCTAAGGGGGCCCAGTGAGTCAAAAATTATATATTAAGAGAGGATCACACTCAAAATTGATATGATGTAAAGATGGAAATAACAGACACTGGGGATTCCAAAAAGGGAGAAGGTGACAGGAGGTTGAGGGTTAAAAAATTACCTGTTGGGTTCAATGTTCACTATTTAGGTGATGAGAACACTGGAAGCCCAATCTTCATCATTACACAATATACCCATGTAATAGTCATGCACATATACCCCTTTGATAGAAAATACATTTTTAAAAAAATTATGTGATCAAAAGATGTATTCCCACTTAATCTCATTCATTTATATGAATAAAAATAAACATATAAAATTGAAATAGAAACATAAAATAAACATGAACCCTGGCTTATAAATATTTACTTTTGTAATGCTGAACAAAAAGTCAAACATCAAAAATGTTTTAGTTATAGCCAGTTCTGTGGTGGTTATATGGAATATGATAAAAGATCAGCTATTTGTTAATAGGTAGGAAAATGGCAAAGTCTTCAACAATACATTTACTTATTGTACATTTTACTTGCATCCAATGATTTTATATACAATAATTCGGATTCCACAGAATCATTTCTCTCTCCTGAATATGATATTAGTTTCCAAAAGCAGATCAGCCAACCAACCAGTTGTACCACAAAGGGGTGTTACATTCCATTCTAGTAATTATTTTATTTTCTTATGTTTTGTACATTTTGTATAAAAACAAAATCAAGTAATGCCTTCTGAGAAAAAATTATGCTAAAAACTCCTGTCTTGAATAAATTTAATGATTTCAACTGATGAATTCACAGCTTGAGAAAGGAGATTACATCATTATGTGGAGAATATAAATCAATAACATCATTCTATTTTTTATTTCAAATGAGGACCATGCAAATTAATTATAAAAAATAGAAGATCTTCAGTTAGCTCTGAAAACGGTGCTGTAGCAATCACAAATTTCCTAAAAAACCTGTCTTTATTAAATTTTCAGATTAAGTTTCAAATGCCAACCTTAAAGATGCCATCCAAATCCCTGCTTGAATAATGCTAGTAATGTTGCATAAACACTCCTAAGCTTTATAAAGTAGGCTATATTCACTAATACTTATTTAAACAGATAATTCCTTTTCTTTTTTTCTATGTATTATCTAAAGAGCTAGTATGCTCCACTTCTAAGATATTCTTGTATATCCTAAATCTAATGATTTCAAGGAGAGTGACTAGCATTGCCACAGATGTTTGTAGAATTTTAAATGTTGCTAATTAATGAAGAGAATAAGACCAGTGCTGTGAACAAAAACACAAAGCAAAACAAAACGCCCACTGTGATTGCTTCACCATTCATTAGCCCAGGACATCAACATCTTTTTCACAAGTTGTATTCCAGCACAGTGGAGATACTGATTAAAGGGTCATCCATATGTTAGCAATATGGATAACCTGCTGAGCAACAAGAGTGAATTCTACAGGTCAAATGACAAATTTATTTTGTGATTGTGAATAACTTCACATTTCGACGTTTTCTACACAGTTGCATTAGTGAAGTCATGTACAATTTTTCTTAGAAAGAAGCACAGTCAAGAGTTTTTATTATTTTAAGAATAAATGTGAAAAACAAATCGATTTGTACATTGAAGTCATTCTAATCTTTAAGACTCCAGTAATAAATTTCTAATTAAAAACCTCAAGTTAGCCCCTGACTGGGCAGCTCTCCATCCCAATTGGTTTATATATACATTATCTGCATCATCACCTAAACAAAATCTAAAGCAGAATACATTTTCATGTTCTAAAAAGTTTACAGACTATTTTGGAAACAAACATCATGAAATTAAATGAGATAAATCAATATATCCACAGGAGCAAAGAAGCCACTGAAAACTTAATTTGAGTACTAAGGGAATGTAGAGTAATTACTGAGTTTATCCTCTCAAGGCCCTCTTTCCCATAGGACCCCAAAATCTCCATTTCTAGTCCTGGCTTATCATCCTCTTTCTGTTCCTTTATGTCCCATTGCTCAAGTAATCTCATGACTTTTGTTGTCCTTTAATACCAGAACAAGGCAGAGAACCTTAAACAGGAGAGAACTTTACTCAATTTCTTCATTCCACTTACTGGCATTGCATTCTTTTATCTTTCTCAGCATCGCAGTTTGTGAGAATTTTTTTTTTAATAAACTTTTCTCTCTTCCTCTTGAATCACAACAAATCCACTTTTTTGTTCAACAAGGATTTTTCTTTCTTTGCAATATCTCTGTAATTAATTTTATACTTTACTTTTCTATATTTACTATGGTAATACTATCTTTCATGGCTGGATTAACCGAAGCTTCTGTCTTCCTCAGATAATATCACATCACTCTCCCTCATCCTGATTTAAAAAGCTATACTGACTCCCTCTTGCCTACATTATCAAATAGAAATTCCGCAGACTGACATCAAAGGTCTTCCTGTCCTGCCTCATTTGCCTCTCCATCATTTTTGAAATTTATTTGTAATCAAACAAATTCTTTAATGTAAATATGTGAATCACTTGACATTTGCACAGGTAGTTTATGAAAACACTCAAGTTAGCACTTGCTCTTATGGTTCTCCTGGATCAGGATATGCTGTCTGCTAATCTACGTCCTCTCAATGAAACCAGTTCATGTTTATCATGAATTTTCTGAAATATACAAGGCCATTTTTCAGTGAAACTTTCATCAACCTTGACACACTCCAAACATTCCTGTCTTTCGTGTTTCTCCAGCAATTAAGTATTCAGTTTAATAAACTACATTCTCCATTGTTTGGGGATTATGTTACAAATCCCAGGAAGACAAAAAGTCCTGTCATGGTGTATTGAGACATACTGACTCAGCTAAAAAAGGAGGAGATGAGGGATAAAAAGAGGTGTCTGCTTTTTCTCTCTTGTCTGCTTCTCCTCCCAAAGTAGGTTACGGCACAGATAGATAGGTGACACTGTCACCTGTCTGTTAGTTTAGTCTAGTAGTAATAGACAAAATGGAGAAACCAAATCGGAAAGCCTAAATGAAGTGACTTTTCCTGGCCTGGAGAAAGCTGAAATGTAAAAAGTTCAAATATTTCCTTAGAAGTCCTAATTTGATCTTCTCTGAACTATAGCAGAGTTTCAATGGCATACAGATTGTTAACACTACAAAGCACACAAAATTTGTCATTGTCACCCTACCTTCTGTGTGGTTCTCCTGTTCCCTCAGTATGAAAGTTCAGTGCCTATATGCTGCTTTCTAGCTGTCTTTCAGGCCTTCCCTGCACACCCTTCCCAACCCTACCCCTTGCCACCACCTAAAAAATAAATGCTGTCACCGTGTTTTCCACTCAAACCAGAGAGCACATTTTTATCAGAGCTACAAAACCCTCAGAGAGGTATTACAATTGATTAAGGCATGAATGAGGAACAATGCAAATTTGTATTTTATTTAAAAAAGCTTTTTAACCCAAATGAGACCCTAATTAGTAGAATGTGAAGCAGAAATATTGTTGAACAAGTTTAATGGAGGGAGTCTTCAAGTATATCTTTGCCTATACTTCCCCTAACCCTCCACTTTCCTGAAATGGCTACAGAATAATGTTCTTGGGTCTCTGCAAGTATACATCACCTATCCTTACCACCATGCTAATCTGTGAAAGCACCTTTATTCCTATTTGGGTGCAATAAAACAGAGTATTTTGGGACCAATTATGTGTTGTACTGCAAATATTCCAAAAAGTAGACTGACATATGTAATTGTAATATATTCTGTTTATCTTACTAAGTTTTCTAAGAGTTCTTCAATCAATTCGTGTATTGTCTCACTCTCACCTGTGACAGAGTAAGGGTACAAGAGAAGGGACTATTCTATAAGCACATGTGTAGCAGTGTGTTAAAGGAAAGAAGATAAATTTGTACTCAAATGTTCCTTGATTGGAATTCTAAGTTCTGCCACTTACAAGCTGTGTTACATGGCAATTTACTTAAGCCCAATAGGCTTTATTTTACCAGTCCATAGTGATCATATCTACCTCAAGCAGTTGTTGTAAGGGTTAAATAAAATAGTATTTAAAGTCAAATCTTAGCAAAGTAACTTTTCCTTATCGGAGACTCAATAACCTCCTCAAAACTTCCCTACTCCAGTCAGTCATCCTATCAATAATTTCCCTCCAGAATATCTGCTGCACTCTTGTAACCTCTCATTTTTTCTCTTTTTTTCTTGAAGAAACAGTGGGGCATGCCAGGAAGTATGTTGACCTTAGAACCAAATGTACCTGGGTATGAATTCCAGATATGCCATTTACCATTTGTGAACTTTGGCTAGTTATAAACATGAGTCTATTTCCTCGTTAGCAAAATGGGATTAATGATATTACCTAACAGTGTAAGAAGAGAAGAGAAACACAACACACACACACACATGCATGCACACAGTTCCAGTTCATGAATGGTAGAGGAAGCCTTACCACTTCTCTAACTGCAGGCCCTCTAACCTTTATGATTAGATTTCTTTGACAGTTTCACATGGAGCCTTTACAATTCATTTTTTTTTTCTCATTCTGATAATTCTGCTAAAAACTTCTCTTATAGTTAGAATAAATTCCAAACTCTGTATCACGGCCTGTAAGGCACCATGTGATCTTATCTTTGCTTACTTCTACCATATCATCTCTTGCTACTCTTTTCTTTGCTCTTCAAGTTATAGCCACAGAAGCCTTCTTTCAGTTTCAGCAACATGTAAAGCTTTGGAACCTTACGGCCTTTGCAGATACCTTTCTTTTTGGCTGTAGGGTATTCTTCCTTCTCTCCCAAAACTTTTTTGTACATATCTTTTGTCTCATCTTTCTGGTCTTCTCATAAATGCCCTCCTCAAAGAGGTTTACTTGATTGCATAAACTAGATTAAGTGTCTCTGTTATTTATTTTATATTTTCTTATATCAAGCTATTATTTAATTTCATGTCACTTCAGTGTATAGCAATATATTTCCATTTGTTTGTCTGTTTTCTGTCTTTCCCTAGTAGACTATTAGCTCTATTGAAGCAGAGGTTGTATCTGGTTTGTTTACTCAGAACCAAGCAGTTTCTGGCTAATGATAGATGTTCTTGGTTCTATCTTTTTCTCTTCAGTCTTCTCCACCCTCCTAATGTGTATAGAGTACAACACAGAGCAATTTTGCCTTTTATGTCTCAGGTAAATCCAGAAAATTTGGATTATCATCAGAAGATTGGAAGGAAGAAGATGAGTGAGTCAGGTTATTTATTCTCCTAGGCTCCTCCCTTCAGGGTCACTGCAAAATGGTTGCTTCCTTCGACCAGTGACCAAGTGACCTTTTACATCTCTCTCTCTCTCTCTCTCTCTTTCTCTGTCTGTCTTGCTTTAAAGACTCCCTCCCATGGCTGTCACATCTGACAGAAGGGAGAGTTCAATAAACTCTTGAATACTACTAGCCCCTGTGTATTTCACTCTCTTGTGGTTTTCCTACACTCTGTTCATAGATAATTTTTTTTTTATTAAACTCTTCTCAAATTACCCAGTCGTGAGTGCCATTCTTTCCTGTCAGTACCCTGACAGATCTACTGTGTGTCTGTTAGTCACTTACTGCTGCTGTAACAGATCACCACAAACTCAGTCACTTAAAATGACACAGTTCTAGAAATCAGGAGTCTAAAATGAGTCTCACTGAGCTAAAATCAAGGCATTTGAAGGACTGAGTTTCTTCTGGAGGCTCTTCAAGACAGCACCCGCATTCCTTGGCTCAGGGACTCTTCAACGCACATCATTCCAACCTCCGCTTCTATTACCATATCTCCTTACTGGACCCTGATCCTGCTTCCTTCTTATAAAGATGCTGTGGTTGCACTGGGACCACCCATATAATTCAAGATAATCTTCTCATCTCAAAATCATTAACTTAATCACATCTTCAAGGACCCTTTTGCCATCTAACGTGACACATTCACAGATTCTGTTAATGTCATGGACATATTTGGGGCAGGGGAAATATTCTGTCTAACATAATGTCTAATGATTATTTACTGAATAAATAAATATCACTATCAGAATAACCTTCTCAAATAGCCCTTTACTCCTCCTTATCTTAGCTAATATTTATTGAATGTTTACTGTTTTCAAGACTCTATGCAAATAGAATTATATACACAATCTCTTTTAATCTTCAAAACAAACCTATGTAGTGGATATTATGAATTTTCCTATTTTATAGCTGAGGAAACTGAGGACAGAAGAATTAAGTTACTAGCCCAATGTTGCACATATAGTAAGCAGCAGTATTGGAATGCAAACCCTGCTTTTTCTGACTGAAATATCCATTATTGGTCTAAGTTTGGTTAACTGAGGACATGGTGAACAAGCCTAATGCCTCTTCTACATAACATATGTCAAAATATTTTAAGACAAAGAATAGCTGAGGAGTGCAAAGATGACTGACTAGAAGCAGCTAATCTTTCTGCTCTCACAGAGAGAAGAAAGAGTGGCAAATGAACACTAGCTCTTCAACTGGATTGTCCATGTGGGTACATTGGTATTTATCAAGGGAGTAATGAAACCCATGGATAACAGAGAGGAGGAAGACAGAACAGCTGCCAACCCAGGATTGGTGCAGAGCTAGGCGAGGCTTCCCACTGCTGGGAAATGATGAGTGAGTGAGAATCCTTGGGGAACCACATTTTTTTGCTGTGGACCTTTACATCTCTGGGTTCAGGATATTCTCCATGACCATCCTTCACTGGGGCCTCCAGACTGACACAGAGAGATATATGGAGTCAGCCACATCTCAGACACATGCAGAGACTTGGGGCCTTGAACCCCTGGGCACCCTGGTGCCAGCTGCAGCAATTCAGGAAACGGGGAAGGATGGGCTCCCTCACACACCCACAAAGTAGAGGCCAAATCTATGGGGCTGAGCAGTGGACAGACTGCAGGTTTCACCTCCACTGCACCTTGCCAGACAGGGCCACTGGCCTGGGACCTTAGAATGGTTGGCCCAGCCCCACCTTAGCTCTTGGGTTGGTTAGCAGCTCTGCTCTTCCCTGGGATGAAGCTCCCAGTGGTAGCAAGTGGACCCACCAGTTTTGCTGCTCCACAGCTCCCTCTTCTCCTGCCCTCAAGTTCAAGAGGAAGCAGAGTGATTAACAACTAACATGGGCCTCCAGCACAGCAAAACTGCCTTATAGAAAAGTGACCAGACTGTTTTCCACGTGGTCCCTGCCCTTGCTACTCCGCAATGGGCAGGGCCTCCTGACCTGGCACCCCAGCTGTCCCACTCCCCAGCCTGGGTTTTCAGACAAGTAGCAACTCTGCACTTCCCTGGAATGGTGTGCCCACTATTGGCAGGTGGGCACCACTGGCAGGTGGGCACCATTTTTCTGCTCTGTAGATCCCACCCCATCTGCCTCCAGGCTCAGGAAGGAGCAGAGAGATTAAGGACTAATTTGGACCTCCAGCACAATGCAGTTGCCTTACCAGAAAGGGGCCAGACATTTTTCCATGTGAGTCCCTGCCTCGTTCCTCTTCATTGGGCCTTTTGTTATGCTCCTCAGCATAACCATCCTGCCCCTGCATAAACACTTCTTTCAATGGCAGCTCTGTGATGCCACCTTTATTC
This sequence comes from Homo sapiens, assembly GCF_000001405.40. Lineage (NCBI taxonomy): Eukaryota > Metazoa > Chordata > Mammalia > Primates > Hominidae > Homo > Homo sapiens. Next base: position 94,255,742 of record NC_000023.11, read on the forward strand.
AATGGTACTCTGTAGTGGTACCACCTTTACTGACCTCAGAATGAGGAGAAACAAAAGACCTGATCACATCATGGCACACCACAGCCACAATAAAGAGAGAAGCCTAGTCTCTCTTCCCTGTTGAGTTCCCATCCCCATTTTCCACCAAGCATGGCCCCAGACATGGCCCCATGGCAGAGAAGCTGCCCCACCACTGACTGAACATTCCCACCGGTAGTGGCTCTGTGTTTCTCTGGGGTGGAGGTCTCAAAGGCAAATGAAAGTTTCTCTGCTACTGCCACTGCAGTGGTTCTGCCCTTGATGCCTTTGGACTAGGATAGAAACAGAGAGCCTGAGGGCATTACTCACACCTCCAGCACACCACAGTCACCATATGGAGGGGAACCCAGTCTCTCTTCCTTGTAAGCTCCAAACCCTTTGCTCCTCACCAAGCAGGGCCTGCAGCAATGCTGCCCTCCCCACTGGCTGAACATTTCCATTGGCAGCAGCTCTCTGTTTTTCTGGGGTGGAGATCCCAAAGGCAAATGAAATTTTTTCTGTCATTACCAATACAGTGGTACAGCCTTGCTCCCCTTGGACTGGGAAAGAAACAAAGATGCTGAGTGCTGCATCCACAACACCCTTATCTGATTGCTTTCATTGGTAGCAGCTTTGCCTTTCTATAGGGTACAGCCCCAAGAGACAAGTGAAAGGAACTCTGCTATTGCCACTACCAAGGTCCCTGCCCCTGCTGGCCTCAATCTGGGGAGAAAACATAAAGGCTTAAATTGCTCCAAGGCTGCAGAGTGCAGCCTGGGAGTGCCAAGCCAAGATCTGCAGCAAGCACACAAGTGGGAGAGGAGCCCACAATCACAGAGCGCTGCCAGGGAGAACAGCTGCAAATACAAGGAAATAAATGGAATGAAATGAGCCACATGGCTGAGGAAAAGCCTACCTATTGGCCATTACACTTAAGCACCATCTACTGGATCACAGCCCAAACTTCAACACCAAAAATGCTTTGCTTTTATAATCCCCTTGAAACAAAGGACAAGAATTCAACTACAGAATTCAGCTAAAGACCCTGTACAAAACATCAGCCCTCTGAAGAAGTCAACTGACTGAACTCAAAATATACCTCAGTTAAAAGAATATCATCCCACACGGATGAGAAAGAACCAGTGCAAGAATCTGGCAACTCAAAAAGGCAGTGTCTTTTTTCCTCCAATGACAACACTAGCTCCTAAGCAATGGTTCTTAACCCAGCTGAAATCACTGAAATGACAGACATAGAATTCAGAATATGGATAGAAAATCACTGACATTCAGGGGAAAGTCAAAACCCAACCAAAGAAATCTAAGGATTACAGTAATACAATACAGGAACTGGGAAGGGAAAATAATAGTGGACAGCAGGAAGGACTGACTTGTAGCTTCCACTCAGATGAGCAGAATAGCATGTGGAGACTCGCATCATGAACTTTTGCTCCAAGAAGTACCATAGAAACATACCAGGAAAACCAAAAGAATTCACAGACCCTTTGAAAGAAGTGTCTTGCTGCTGGAAACTCCGTGAGACAGCCAAAAATCTGTGAGTGGCCAAAATGTGAGAGGGGCAAGGTCTGTCTCCAAACACACATCCTCACTGGGGAACCTAAAAATCTAGATCACAGGAGAGGGATTTAACCTCACCTAGAGCTGAAACAAATTTAGAAAGCCAGGCAAAATATAAAAGTAAAAGAAGCAATGGGAAGAGCTCTGTAGGCACTCCAGTCCCCAGGGAAGCCATTTCTGACTTTATCTCACAGGGTTTCTTGGGGAGGGCTGCCAGTGGAATTGGGAAAGGACCACAGGGAGAAAGAAACTTTCAGCTGAACATTATAATAATTTTGACCAAGTGTAAATTTTCCTGTGCGAAATCTGTGGTAGGGACCAATGGGAAGTGCAGATATGAGCACAGAAGTTGCAGCAGGTGGGAAGCTGCAGTGCCTGAAATCCCTGCTTGCTTTCTCAGTGGGGAGGCTTGTAGCCTGGGACAAGATCTCAGGCCTGCTCACCAGCTTGCCTGGATATAAGCTCAGTGCTCTTGGCCAGGTATGGTTAGAATGAGACTGGCCTTGCTGGCTGTGTGGGAGCTGGGTGAGGCCTGTCACTGCCAGCTTTTCCCTACTTTTCTGGAGACCTGTATGATGCATCAGAGGCAGCCATAATTTCCCTGGAAACATAACTCCATTAGCCTGAGAACCACACCTCTTTGCCCCACAGTGACCAAAGCAAGCCCTGCACAAGGCAGACACACCCAACCTCCCCCACCTGATGGCCTTTCTCTACCCACCCAAGTAGCCTAAGACAACAAACATAATCTCCTGATAACTCTATGTCCCCACTCATCACCTGAGAAACACAAATACTTATTCAGGCAACCTTAGGGCAAGCTTATATCCCCCCTATACTACTGCAGCTGACGGCTCTTAAAAGCACCACCTTTTGGCTGGAGAATAACCAACTCAAGCCATTACAGCAACTCATAAAAGAACAAGCCCACTCTAAGAAAGGAGAAAAAAGCAGCTGATTCCATCACCTGTAACATTCTGACTAACTAGAGGTCCTGAGTCTGTCCATGTGAAAACTTCACTGCTAACACAAGCATCATTAGAGAAAACAAGCACACTAAACAAAACTACAACCAAAGACTGTCACAGAGTCCACTTCACTCCCTTGCTACCTCCATGGGAGGAGGTGCTAGTATCCATGTCTGAGAGACGTGAAAACAGATCACATTACAGGACTCTGCAGACACTCCCCAGTACCAGCTCAGAGTCTGGTAGCTCAACTGCGTGGCTGGACCCAGAGGAGCAATAACAATCATTGTAGTTAAGCTCTCAGGAAGCCCCATCCCTAGGGGAAGGGGAAGAGCACCACAACAAGGGATCACCCTGTGGGACAAATAAATATGACATCAGCCCTTGAGCTCCAGATCTTTTCTCTGACATGGTCTATCCAAATGAGAAGAAACCAGAAAAACAATTCTGGTAATATGACAAAGCAAAGTTTTTTAACAACCCCAAAAGACCACACAAGCTCACCAGCAATGGATCCAAGCAAGAAGAAATCTCTGAATTGCCAGAAAAAGAATTCAGATGGTTGATTATTAAGCTACTCAAGGAGGCACCAGAGAAAAGTGAAAACCAACTTTATAAAATTAAAAAAATAAATACAGGATATAAACAGAAAAAAATCTCTAGAGAAATAGATAGCATAAATAAAATACAATCACAACTTTTAGAAATAAAAGACACACTTAGAGAAATGCAAAATACACTGGAAAGTTACAATAGAATCAAACAAGCAGAAGAAAGTTATAAACAAGTAGAAGAAAGAACTTCAGCAGTTGAAGAGAAGGCTTTTGAATTAGCCCAATTCAACAAAGAAAAAGAAAAAAAGAATTTAAAAATAATGAACAAAGCCTCCAGAATTTTGGGATTATGTTAAATGACCAAAACTAAGAATAATTGGTGCTCCTGAGGAAGAAGAGAAATCTAAAAGTTTGGAAAACATTTTTGAGGAAATAACCAAGGAAAACTTCCCTGGCCTTGTTAGACATCTAGGCATCCAAATACAAGAAGGTCAAAGAACACCTGGAAAATTCATCACAAAAATATCATCATCTAGGCACATAGTCATCAGGTTATCTAAAGTCAAGACAAAGGCAAAAATATTAAGAGATATGAGGCAAAAGCATCAGGTAACCTATAAAGGAAATCTTATCAGATTAATGCAGATTTCTCAGCAGAAACCCTACAAGCTGGAAGGAATTGAGGTCCTATCTCTAGCTTCCTTAAGCAAAACAATTATCAGCCAAGAATTTTGTATGCAGCAAAACTAAGCTTCATAAATGAAGAAAAGATACAGTCTTTTCAGACAAATTCTGAGAGAATTCGCCACTACCAAGCCAGCACTAAAAGAACTGATAAAAGAAGCTCTAAATCTTAAAATAATACCTCAAAAAATACACCAGAATAGAATCTCATTAAAACATATATCTCACAAGGCCTATAAAACAATAACACAATGAAAAATACAAAAACAAAAACAACAACGACAACAAAAAACCAAGGCACTCAGGCAACAACTAACACAATGAATATAATAGCACCTTACATCTCAATACTAATGTTGAGTGTAAATGACCTAAACACTCCACTTAAAAAATACAGAATGGAAGAATGGATGAGAATTCAGCCATCAAGTTTCTTCTATCTTCAAGAGATGCACCTAACACATAAGCACTCACATAGCTTAAGGTAAAGGGGTGGAAAAAGATACACCATGCAAACGGACACCAAAAGTGAACAGGAATAGCTATTCTTATATCAGACCAAACAGACTTTAAAGGAACAACAGTTAAAAAAGACAAAGAGGGGCATTATATAATGATAAAATGACTAGTCCAACAGGAAAATATCACAATCCTAAATATATATGTACCAAACACTGGAGTTCCCTAATTTATAAAACAATTACTACTAGACCTAAAAAATTAGAGAGACGAAAACACAATAATAGTGTGGAATTTCCATACTCGACTGGCAGCACTAGACATGTCATCAAGACAGAAAGTCAACAAAGAAACAATGGGCTTAAACTATACCTTACAACAAATGACTAACAGACATTTAGAGAGCATTCTACCCAACAACTGCAAAATATATATTCTATTCATCAGCACATGGAACATACTCCAAGAAAGACCATATAATAGGCCACAAAAGAAGTCTCAGTAAATTTACAAAAATTGAAATGATATCAAATACTCTCTCAGACCACATGGAAAAAAATTGGAAATCAACTCCAAAAGGAACCCTCAAAATCGTGCAAATAAAAAACAATTAAATAACTTGTTCCTGAATGATTGTTGGGAATCAAAGAAATCAAGATGGAAATTTAAAAATTCTTTTAACTGAATGATAACAGTGATGCAACCTATCAAAACTTCTGGGATACAACTAAAGTGATGCTAAGAGGAAAGTTCATAGCCTCAAATACCTACATCAAAAAGTCTAAAATAACACAAATAAACAATCTAAGATCACACTTTAAGGAAGTAAAAGAACAAGAACAAACCAAACACAAACCCAGAAGGGGAAAGAAAATAACAGAGATCAGAGCAGAACTAAATAAAATTGAAACAAAAAAACAAACAAAATACAAAAGGTAAATAAAAAAGATTTTTTTTTCAAAAAGATAAGCAAATTTGAAAGACCATTAGTGAGATTGACCAAGAAAACAAGAGAACAGATCCAAATAAGTTCAATTAGAAATGAAACGAGAGATATTACAACCAATACAACAGAAATACAAAAGATCATTCAAGGCTACTATGAACACCTTTATGCACACAAACTAGAAAACCTAGAAGCGATGGATAAATTCCTATAAATATACAACCTTCCTAGATTAAACCAGAAAAAAATAGAACTCTTAACAGTCCAATAACAAGCAGTGAGATTGAAATGGTAATAAAAAAAAATTCCAACAAAAATAAGTCCAGGACCAGATGGATTCACAGCTGAATTTTATCAGACTTTCAAAGCAGAATTGGTGCCAATCCTATTAGCACTATTCCAAAAGATAGAGAAAGAGAGAATCATCCCTATATCATTCTATGAAGCCAGCCTCACCCTAATACCAATACCAAGAAAGGACATAAGAAAAAAAGAAAACTACACACCAATATCCCTGATGAACATAAATGCAAAAATCCTCAACAAAATACTAGCTAACCAATTCCAACACTATATCAAAAAGATAATTAACCATGCTCCAGTGAGTGTAATATCAGAGATTCAGGGATTGTTTAACATACGTAAGTCAATAAATGTGATACACCACATAAACAGAATTAGAAACAAAAATCACATGATTATTTCAATAGATGCAGAAAAAGCATTTGACAAAATCCAACACTCATTTATGATTAAAACTCTCAGCAAAATCATCATATAAGGGACATACATTTGGGTAATAAGAGCTATCTATGACAAACCAATAGCAAGCATTATATCAAAGGGGAAAAGTTAAAAGCATTACCCCTGAGAACTGAAACAATTAAAGGCTGCCCTCTCTCACCACTTCTATTCAACATAGTACTGCAAGTTTTAGCCAGAGCAATTAGACAACAGAAAAAAATAAAGGGCATCCAAATCAGTAAAAAAAAATTCAAACTGTCACTGTTCACTGATGATATAATTGTATACCTACAAAACCCTAATAATGTATCCAAAAAGCTTCCAGATTTAATAAATGAATTCAGTAATGTGATAAATGAATTCAATAAAGTTTCAAAATATGAAATCAATGTACACACATCAGTAGCACTGTTATATATAAACAGTGACCAAGTTGACAATCAAATCAAAAACTAAGTTTCTTTGAGTTCTCAACCCTAATAGTTGCAAAATAAATAAATAAACAAACAAACAAACAAATAAATGAACAAACAAACAAATAAATAAATAAAATACTTAGAAACATACCTAACCAAGGACATGACAGACCTCTACAAGGAAAACTGCTAAACACTGCTGAAAGAAATCATAGATGACACAAACAAATGGAAACACATCTCATGCTCACGGATGGCTAGCATCAATATTGTGAAAATAACCATACTGCCAAAAACAATCTACAAATTTAATGCTATTACCATCAAAATATGATAATCATTTTTTAAACAACTAGAAAAACAATTCTAAAATACATATGGAACCAAAAAATAGCCTGTATAGCCAAAGCAAGACTAAGCAAAAAGAACTATTTTGGAGGCATCACATTACTCAACTTCAAACTATACTGTAAGGCCATAGTCACCAAAACAGCATGGTACTGGTATAAAAATAGGCACATAGACCAATGGAACAGAACAGATAACCCAAGAATAAAGACAGATTCTTACAGCCCACTGATTTTTCACAAAGCAAGCAAAAACATAAAGTGGGGAAAGGACACCCTATTCAGCAAATGGTGCTGGAATGATTGGCAGGCCACATGTAGAAGAATGAAACTGGATCCTCATCTCTCACTATATACAAAATACAACTCAAGATGTATCAAAGACTTAAATCTAAGACCTGAAACAATAAACACTGTAGAATATAACAAACTTTTCCAGACATTGATTTAGCCAAAGACTTGATGACCAAGAACCCAAAAGCAAATGCAACAAAACAAAGATAAGTAGATGAGACTTAATTAAACCAAAAAACTTCTGCACAGCAAAAGAAATAATCAGAAGAATAAACAGATAACCAACAGAGTGGAAGAAAGTATTTGCAAACTGTGCATCCTATGAAGAACTAATATCTAGAATCTATAAGAAACTCAAACAAATGAGCAAAGAAACTCAAACAAATGAGCAAAGTAATAATAATAATAATAGTAATGATAATCTCATCAAAACATGGGCAAAGGACATGAATAGACAATTCTCAAAAGAAGATATACAAATGGCCCAAAAATATGAAAAAATACTCAACATCACTAATTATCAGGGAAATGCAAATTAAAACTACAATGCAATACCACTTTACTCCTGCAAGAATGGCCATAATTAAAAAATAAAAATCATAGATGTTTCCATGGATGTGGTGAAATGGGAATACTTTTACACTGCTGTTGCGAATGTAAACTAGTGCAACCACTATTAAAAAGCTGTATGGAGATTCCCTAAAGAACTAAAAGTAGACCTACCATTTGATCCAGCAATTCCATTCCTAGATGTCCAGCCAGACAAAAGAAGTTAAAAGACACTTGCACACACATGCTTATAACAGCATAAGTCACAATTGCAAAAATATGGAACAAGCCCAACTGCCCATCAATCAATGAGTGGATAAAGGAAATGTGACATTTATATACATATATACACACACACCATGGAATACTACTCAGCCATAAAAAGGAACAAAATAATGGCATTTGCAGCAACCTGGATATAGTTGAAGACAATTATTCTAAGTGAAGTAACTCAGGAATGGAAAAGCAAACATTGTATGTTCTCACTTACAATGAGAGCTAGGCTAGCTTATAATGCAAAAGAATAAAAATTATACAATGGACTTTGGGGACTCAGGGGAAGGCAGTGAGGGACAAAAGACTACATACTGGGTACAGTGTACACTGCTCGGGTGATGGGTGCACTAAAATCTCAAAAATCACCACTAAAGAATTTGCATATGTAACAAAACAACACCTGTTCTGCAAAAAAACTATTGAAAAATAATACAGGAGCTGAAAAAGAAAAAAATATTTATACATTTAAGAAAGAACCAAACTGATCTTATAGAGCTGAAAAACATACTGGAATAATTTTATAATACAATCACAAGTATTAACAGCAGAATAGAACAAGCTCAAGAAAAATCACTGAGATCAAAGACTGGTTCCAGAACAAACAGTCATGCAAATTAAAGAAAAAAGATAAAAAGTGAACAAAATCTCTTAGAAATATGGGATTATGTAAAGAGACCAAAACTATGACTCTTTGGCATCTCTGAATGAGAGCGAGATAAACAACTTTGAATACATATTTGTGGATATTGTTCATGAAAATTTTATTAACCTCACTAGAGAGGCAACATTCAAATTTAAGAAATGCAGACAACTTCTATGAGATATTATACAAGATGAACATCTCCAAGACACATAGTAATCAGATTTTCCAAGGTCAAAATGAAAGGAAAGATATAAAACGTAGCTAGGGAGAAGGGGCAAGCAAACTACAATAGGAACCCCATCAGGCTAAGAATATAACTTTCAGCAGACACTATAAAAGACAGAAGGAACTGGGGACCTATATGCAGCATTGTTAAAGAAAAAATCTTCAACCAAGAATTTCATATCTAGCCAAACTAAGCTTGTTAAATGAAGAAGAAATAAGATCCTTTTCAGACAAGCAAATGCTAAAGGAATTTGTTACCACCAGGCCAACCTTATAAGAGGTCATTAAGAGAGTCCTAAATATGGAAATGAAAAACAGTTACTGGCTACCACAAAAACACAATTAAATACATAGACCATTGATATAATAAAGCAACTATTATTATGCAGAATCAAGTCTGCATAATAACTAGCTTATAACACAAAGACAGGATCAATATTAGCCTTGAATTTAAATGGGCTAACTGCACCAATTAAGAGGTACGAGGGGTAAGTTGGATAAAGAAGCAAGAACCACCAGTATGTTGTCTTCAAGAGACCCATCTCACATGCAATGACACCCATAGGCTCAAAGTAAAGAAATAGAGAAAAATCTGAGAAAAATCTACTGCAAAAATGGAAAACCAAAACAACAACAACAACAAAACAAACAAACAAACAAAAAAAACAGGGGTTGCTATTCTGATTTCAGACAAAAGAAACTCTAAACCAACAACCATCAAAAGAGAAAAAGAAGAACATTATATATTAATAAAGGGTTCAATTCAAAAAGACTTAACTATCCTAAATATATGTGCACCCAACACAAGAGCACCCAGATTCACAAAGTTCCAAGTGGCCTACAAAGTGACCTAGAACACCATAGCAAAATAGTGGGAGACTTTAGCAGTCCACTGGCAGTATTAGACAGGTCTTTGAGGCATAAAACAAAGATATTCAGGACAAGATTTGACACTTGACCAAATAAACCTCACAAGCATCTACAGAAATCTCCTTCCTAAAAAAACAGAATATTCATTTGTCTCATGTGTACTTGCAACATACTCTAAAATCAACCAATCAGCCATAAAAACATACTCAGCAAATTTGAAAAAAAAAAAGGAATCACACTAACCACACTCTCTGACCACAGTGCAATAAAAAATAGAAATCAATACCAAGAACATCTCTCAAAACCATACAATTACATACGAATGAAGCAACCTTCCCCTGAATGAAAATGAAATTAAGGCAGAAATCAAGAAATTATTTGAAACTAATGAGAATAATACTAAAACATACCAAAATCTCTGGGACACAGCTACAGCAATATTAAGAGGAAAGTTTATAGCTGTAAATGTCCACATAAAAACGTTGGTAAGATCTCAAATTAACAGCCTAATATCACACCTTGAGGAACTAGAAAAACAAGAGCAAACCAAACCCAAAGCTTTCAGAAGAGAAGAAATAACTAAAATCAGAAATGAACTGAATAAAATTGAGATGTGAAAAACCATACAAAAGACCAACAAAACCAAAATTTGCTTCTTTGAAAGAATGAGTAAGATAGACCACTAGCTATACTAATAAAGAAAAAGAGAAGATTGAAGTAAACACAATCAGAAATCTCAAAGGGGACATTACCATCAAATCCAAAGATATACGAAAAACCATTAGAGACTATCATGAACACCTCTATGCACACACACTGGAAAAACCACAAAAAATTGATAAATTCCTGAAAACATACAACCTCCCAAGACTGAGCCAGGAAGAAATTCAAACCCTGAGCAGACCAATAATGAGTTTCAAAATTGAATCAATAATAAAAATACCCACCATCCAGAAAAAGCCCAGGACTTGATGGATTCACAGCCTAATTCTACCAGACGTATAAAGAAGATCTGGTACCAATCCTACTGAAATTATTCCAAAAAATTGATAAGTAGGCACTCCTCCCTAACTCATTCTCTGAGGTCAGCATCATTCTGACACCATAACAGGGAAAAGACAAAACAAAAAACAAAAACAAAACAAAAAAAACTTCAAGCCAATATCCTTGATAAACATAGATGAAAATACCTTTAACAAAATACTAGAAAACCAAATGCACAACAAAAATTAAAACCACCATGATCAAGTAGGTTTTATCCCTGGGATGCATGAATGGTTTCATGTACATAAATCAATAAATGTGATTCATCACATAAACCGAACTAAAAACAAAAACCATATAATCATCTCAATAGATCCAGAAAGGGTTTCTGATAAAATTCATCATCCTTTCACGTTAAAATTTTCAATAAACTAGGCATTGAAGGAATATACTTCAAAATAATGAGCCCTCTGTGACAAACCCATAGCCAGCAGCATACTAACTGGGCCAAAGCTGGATGCATTCTCCTTGAGAACCGAAACAAGACAAGGTTTCCCACTCTTACCACTCCTATTCAACATATTACTGGAAGTCTTAGCCAGAGCAATCAGGCAAGAGAAAAAAATGAAATGCATCCAAATAGGAAAAGAGAAAGTCAAACTATCTCTGTTTTCAAATTATATGATTTAATGTCTAAAAAACTGCATAGTCTTGGCACAAAGGCTTCTAGGTCTCATAAACAACTTCAACAAAGTTTCTGGATAAAAAAATAAATGGAAAAGAATCAGTAGTATTTCTATACACCAACAATGTCCAAGCTGAGTTCACAACAGCCACCAAAATATAGAATGCTTAGGAATAGAGCTAACCAGTGAGGTGAAAGATCTCTAAAATGAGAATTACAAAACATTGAAAAAAATCAGAGATTACAAAAACAAATGAAAAAATATTCCATGTGCTGGTGGATAGGAAGAATAAATATTGTTAAAAGGCCATGCTATACAAAGCAATTTACAGATTCAATTCTATTCCTATCAACTACCAATAACATTTTTTATAGAATTTAAAAAATTCTAAAATGTATATGGAACAACAAGAGAAGCCATAATAGCCAAACTAATTCTTAGCCAAAAGAACAAAGCTGGAGGCAACACATTACCAGAATTCAAACTGTACTACAAAACTACAGTAACCAAAATGGCATGGTACACACATATAGCCATTTTATCTTTGATAAAGTCAACAAAAACAAGCAATGAAAAAAAACTCCCTATATAATAAATGGTTCTAGGATAACTGGTTAGTTACATGAAGAAGATTGAAACTGGACCCCTTCCTTATACCATATACTAAACTCAAAATAGATTAAAGACTTAAATGTAAAGCCTAAAGCTATAAAAATTTTTGAAAAAATCCTGGAAAATAGTATTCTAAACATAGACCCTGGCAAAACTTTTATAATGAAGAAACCAAAATTAATTGCAACAGAAACAAAAATTGACAAATGGCATCTAATTAAACTAAAGAGCTTCTGCACAGGAAAAAAAAAACAAACAAACTATTGACAGAGTAAATAGACAACCCAAAGAATAAGAGAATATATTTGCAAACTATGCATCTGACAGAGGTCTAACATCCAGAATCTATAAGAAACAAATTAATAAGCAAAAAACAAACAACTCCATTAAAAAGTGGGCAAAGGACATAAACACATAAACAGACACTTTTCAAAATACAAATATATGTGGCCAAAAAGCATATAAAGAAATTCACAGCCTGGTGTGGTGGCTAATGCTTGTATTCCCAGCACTTTGGGAGGCCGATGTGGGTGGATTGCCTGAGGTCAGGAGTTTGAGACCAGCCTGGCCAACATGGTGAAACCCTGTCTGTACTAAAAATGCAAAAATTAGCTGGGCGTGGTGGTAGGCGACTGTAATCCCAGCTACTCAGGAGGCTGAGGCAGGATAATCCCTTGAACTCAGGAGACAGAGGTTTTAATGAGCCGAGATCACGCCACTACACTCCAGCCTGGGCAACAGAGCTAGACTCCATCTCAAAACAGAGAAACAACAACAAAAAAAGAAATTCACAGTATCACTAATAGTTTGAATATTTGTCCCCACTGATATCACCTGTTGAAATATAATCCCCAGTGTTGGAGTGGGGCTTCAAGGGAGGTGTTTGGATCATGTGGGCAGGTCCCTCATAGCTTGGTGCTGTCTTCTCAATAGCAAGTGAGTTCTCATAAGATCTGGTTGTTTAAAAGTCTGGCACCTCGGCCCAGTGCAGTGGCTCACGCCTGTAATCCCAACACTTTGGGAAGTCAAGGCGGGCAGATCACGAGGTCAAGAGATTGAGACCATCCTGGCCAACATGGTGAAACCCCATCCCTACTAAAAATACAAAAATTAGCTGGGCGTGATGGTGCGTGCCTGTAATCCCAGCTACTTGGGAGGCAGAGGCAGGAGAATCGCTTGAACCCAGGAAGTGGAGGTTGCAGTGAGCCGAGATCACACCACTGCACTCAAGCCTGGCGACAGAGGGAGACTCCCTCTCAAAAAAAACAAAACAAACAAACAAACAAAAAAAGAGTCTGGCATCTCTTTCTCCTCTCCTCTTGTTACTGTTCTTGCATTGTGCCAGCTCTCCCTTTGTCTTCTGCTATGATTGAAAACATCTGACAGTCTCCCCAGAAACTGAGCAGATGCGGACATCATACTTCCTGTACAGCCTGCAGAGCCATAAGTCAATTAGACTTCTTTTTTAAAATAAATTACCTGGTCTCATTTTTTTTTTTTAAGGACCTACTGAAGCCCAATTTTCTCTAACTCTTGAGCATGCTTCTTTGCCATTTGATATCTTCCATCATGTTATGATATAGCAAGAACACCCTCACCCAATGAAGACCCTTGATGCTGGACTTCATATCTTTCAGCATCATGGGCCAAATACATTTTCCCTTATTATAAATTATCCAGTCTGTATTATTATGTTGTAGCAGCAGAAAATGGACTAGGACAGTTATTACACACAAAAGCTTTGGTATGTCTCCTTTTCAACCATCAACTCAAAAGATCTTGGTCAAAACAACACTTTGACTGTAAGTCAGAGGAGTTTTAAAATAACATTTCTCCCAAGCTCTTGCAGTAAAATAAGTGAAATATTGATTTTCTTTTCAGTGGGTCTCTATGTTTCCAGTTCCGAGAAGATTCAAAGCAGTCTATAGGATGCCTCCAATCCTGCTTTTCCACTCCCCTCCCAATAGAATAAAGATACAGGTAAGCTGAGGATTGGGAAATTTTTACATATAATTAGGAGAAGGCTGATTAATAAAATAGTTATAATTATGCCAAAACTTTGTTAACCAAGAATTTGTCATAGACTGGGGCCTATGTAATGTAGAATCTATTCAGATACTATCCAAGTTGGTTTTATAATTGAAATACCAAAATATAGCATGAAATCACTTACAGTGTCACTGTATTTAAATGGTATTTTAAATTTCACTGCATTAAATTTTATTTCATGACTAAACAGAAGTTTGCAAGAAAAAGTTTTTTTTCATCACTCACAAAAAATATGAGGGTATAAAATTGTTATTAAGCAAGAGAAACTGAAGGGCTATAGTTTAAACAAAGAATGGAGAACTTACCCTCATAAAATATTTGTTTTTCAAAATATGGTTAAAATTCTATTTCTAAGAACAAAATTGCATATGTTTATAATGTTTTCAGTTCCTCCCTCTTTAAACAAAATAATTTATAAATGTATTCTCAGAAATTACATATATCCATGCAATCATTAATTAACAGGCCTATGAGAATGCACACAATTTCCCCAATTTCATGGAAAGAATGGACAAAGCAATAAAAGGAGTTTATTTATGAGTGACATTTTGCGTAAGCCAAGCTCAAATGGTTTACTTTTGCAGCGGAGGAAAACACATAGACAACCATAGGTGAAGTATAACAGAGTACAAGACAAATGCTTTATAGCTGTATTAAGCATCTCAAACAAGTCATAATGACACTAGAAAAATCAGATTAGCAATTACTGTTCAGAGTGGAAACTGCAGAGGAATAAAAATTTGGAGCTCTGTATTTATTACATTAGGTCTTTGTGTCTCATCAGACTTATTCTACCTCTCAATTTCCATAAATAAGATTGATTGTTATATTTCAAGTTTTAAAAAATCAATTTTCCTTCCTTTAACTTTATTCTTTAACTATTGAAGGAATATGAGTATTACTCATATGAGCACCAAGAGAAAGTCTAGTATGGTTATTCATTTAGAGTGGAGTAAACAGAGCTTAATCACAATCCGAGGTCACAAATATATGCAGATAAGTTATGTCCTTATATATCCCTACAATAATGGTCAAAATGGCTTGGGCTCAGGTTCCCCGTATATTTGATTCTATATTGTTCTGGGTATTTTTTCAGGGTGTTTAGGATGAGATTATTATTTAAATAGGCAAACTTTTGAGTAAAGCAGATTGTTTTCCATAATGTGAATGGGCCTAATACAATCAGTTGAAGTCGTGAATAAAAAAAATAAAGACGGATCTTCCCAGAACAAGAGAAAAATCTCTAGCTGACTTTCCTTGGACTTCACCTGCAATAACAGCCTTTCTTGTATCTACAGCAGATGATCTTTTTACTGGAATGAAATATTGGCTCTCCCAGGTTTCCAGCCTGTCAGCCCACCCTGTGTATTTTGAACTTGCCCACCTCCATACTTGTTTAAGCTAATCCCTTGTAATAAAGGTCCTATATTGACTATTGTTTGAATGTTTATCCGCTCAAAAACTCATGTTGAAACTTAATTCCCAATGTTGCAGTATGGAAAGGTGAGGTCTTTAAGAAGTGATTGGGTCATGAGGGCTCTGCTTTCATAAATGGATTAACATATTTATGACTTAATGAATTAATAGGTTCTCATGTGAGTGGAACTGCTGGCTTTATAAGAAGAAATACCTGAGCCAGCATACTCACCTGCCTTACCATGTGATACCCTGCACTGCTCCAGTACTCTGCAGAGAGTCCTCACCAGTAAGAAGGCCCTCACCAGCTGTGGCCACTTGACCTTAGACTTTTATTAGCCTCTATATGTGTAAAAATAAAAAGATAAATTTCTTTTCTTTACAAATCACGCAGTTTCAAGTATTCTGTTAAAAGTAGCAGTAAATGAAATAAGACAGAAAATTGGTACCAAATAGTCAATGATAACAATGAATACCTGAAAATGTGAAAGCTGCTTTGGGACTGGGTATTAGGCAGAAGCTGAAAGAATTTGGAGGAGCAGGCTAGAAAAAGCCAAGATTCTTGTAAGGGCTTAGACAACAAGAAGACTAAGAAAAGTTTGGAAATCCTTAGAGATTGGTTAAGTGTTTATGACAAAAATGCTGATAGAAATCTGGACAGTAAAGATCATCTAGTGAGGTTTTAGATAGAACTGAGCAGCAAAATATCAGAAACTAGAATAAAGGCCACTCTTTTTATTTATAACTGGATAATATGCTTTGGCTGTATCCCCATCCAAATCTTATCTTGAATTATAGCTCCCATAATCCCCATGTGTCATGAGAGGGACCTGGTGGGAGGTAATTGAAACATGGAGGTGGATTTTACCCATGCTGTTCTTGTGATAGTGAATAAATCTCATGAGATCTGGTGGTTTTATAAAGGGCAGTTTCCCTACACATGCTCTCTTGCCTGCCACCATGTAAGACATGTCTTTGCTTTTCTTTTGCCTTCCACCATGATTGTCAGGCCTCCCCAGCCATGTGGAACTGTGAGTCCATTAAACCTCATTTTCTTTATAAATTATCCAGTCTCAGGTACGTCTTTATTAGCAGCGTGAGAACAGACTAATACACTGACAAATAACTTGGCTGCATCATATCTGATGTAGGGCTTTATGAATGCAGAACTTAAAAGCAAAGAATTAGGATATGACATAAGAAATTTTTAAGGAACAAAGTGTTTGGGCTGCTACATAGCTACTTTTACAGCTTATATTAAGCTGTGAGAAGGAAAAATTGATTTAAAGAAAGAATTTATAATCAAAAGGGAAGCAAAGTGGAAATATTTGGAAAACTCTAAGCCTGGTCATGTAGAGTGAAAAAACATGTTTGTGAGAGGAAACAAAGGGTAAAGTCAAGTGAATTTGCTAAGGAGATTAGTCCAGAGAGAAGGGATTATCAAGAAAATGGATAAAAGACCCTGAAGTCTCTTTAGAGATCTTTGAGTCTTCCCTTCCCATCACAGGCTCAGAGACCTAGGAGGGCATAATTGTTTTTGTGAAAAGACCCAGGGTTCCCTCCATGGGCTTGCCGCCCAGGTCCCCTTGATGTCTCTGCCCTGCATTCCAGCAGAAGACTCCTTGGCCACCCAAGCCATGGCTCACGTAGCCCCAGGTGCAGCTTGACCAGCTTCTCTGAATGATAGAAGCTGTAAACCTTTGAGGCATCCATGTGGTAATTATGTGGGCCCACAGAATGCAAGAGCCTGTGTAGGCATGGCAGCTTTCACTTAGATTTCAAAAAATGTACCAAACAGCTTTTGAGCCCAGCAGAGACTTATTGCAAGGACAGAGTCATCACAAAGAGCTCCCACGAGGGCAATGCTGAGTAGAAATGTGGGGTGGAATTTGCCTTAGACAGTCCCCACAGGGCAATGCCTAGTAAAGTGGGAGTGGGACTACCCAAGACCCCAGAACCGTACAGCTACCAGTGTGCGCAATGCCAATTTGAGGCAGCTGACACGTGGGCTGAGCATCCTGTGCACAGGATGCTGGGCACGGAATTAAGAAAAATTATTCTCCATCCTTAAGATTTAATGTCAGCCCTCTTTGGTTTCAGACTTTCTTGGGGCTTGTTACCCTGTTCTTTTTGCTTATTTTTCCCTTTCACAATGGGAATGTCTACCCTATACCTGTCCTACCATTGTACCTTGGAAGTAGATAACTTCTTTTAACTTTACATATGGGGCTTTGGACTTTTGAGTTAGTGCTGATATATATGACAATATTGGGACTATGGGAATAGAATAAACATATTTGGATGTGAGAAGGTCATCATGTTCTGGGGGCCAGAGGAAGAATACCATTGTTTTAATGTTTGTCTCCTCCAAAACTTATGTTGAAATTTAACCCCCAATGTGGCAGTATTGAGAGCTAAGGCCTTTCAAAGGTGATTGGGTCGTAAGCATTCTGCCCTCATGAATGTATTAATCCATTTATGAATTAAAGGATTGATGGGTTAATGGATTAATGGGTTATCACAGGAGTAGCACTGCTAGCCTTATAAGAAGATAAGAGACCTGAACTAGCATGCTCACCCCTCCTATCATGTGATGCTCTGAACCAACTTGAGACTTCAGAGTCCCAACCAGAAAGAAGACCTCCATCAAATGTGGTCGCTTGACTTTAGACTTCTTAGCTTCCATAACTATAAAAAAAAAAAAAAATCCTGTTTCTTTAATAAATTACTGCAGTTTCAGGTATTCTGTTATGAGCAACAGAATATAAACTAAAATCATGTGTACACACATCCTGTTGGTTTTGTTTTTCTGGAGAACCCTGATTAATCCATCTATACTTTATCAAGTGGACCAACATACACATGAGGCAAATGTGGATTGTTAGTTCCTGTATGAGCACTAGCATAGTTACCAGATGACTCTGAGAGCCCACCCAAGTCAGGTCTATTTTTCTGTTCTCTTTGTTTTGACAATCCTATTTTAAAATCTTATAGTTATCTGGATCTATTAAGCTTGCTAGTTATTGTCCCTAGAAGTGTTTCTGCCCAAAATTTTGTAAAATGCCTCCTCAAGTGTGTTAAAGTATAGCTAGTTTTATTATTATTTATGTTTGTGCCACTTGCTATTAATACTTACAACATCATGGTGTGTTTCTCTTGCTTTCTACTTTTCTAATGCTTTTTATCACTTGCCTCCCTTAAACGTTTTTTATCTATTTGTGCACTAAGAGTAAGTGCTGTCTTATGATCTACTGCTCCTTTTGCTGTACTTTTTCTCATAAAACTTAAACTTATTCTCATTTCATGCTTATCTCTCTACCTCCTATTAAAAAAAAAAAAACAACCCAGTAAATGGATCAGCCTGGCTTTCACAAGAGAAGAAAAGTAAAAATATCAGTGAAAATAAACACTTTCTCTCTAGTGCTTCCTGTATCGCCACTTGAAAATGTCCACTGTTTAAATATCTCAATAGTATTGCTATGTCATTACTCTCTCCTTTGATTGTTTTATGGTCAGTTTCTGGGGCTTACTTATGTGCAGTATCAAGTTGGAGATTAGGGCATATCATTATTTTTTATACTGGCAAAGTTGTTTCCTTCATCTAGGCCTCAGTCTCTCTATCTGGAAAATGAGAGGGTTTGCCTGAATGTTCTCTAGGGAAACTTTCAAGTCTGATAGTCTGTCCTCCCATGATTTTAACCTTAATATGTATAATATATATATACGCATATAAAATGAGTAAAATGAATTTCACATTCACTTTTACAGGCTTTCATCCAGATAATTAGCATTGTTTAGGTTTAGCTGGATTTCATTAAGGTATAAATGCCTGATTGTACAATGAATGTAAACATCATAAAGAGGAGGGAAGAACTGAAAAATAGAATACTACTTTTCAATTTGAAATTATTTGCACATCTCTGAGATAGCAAATTCAAAAATCTGTATACTATTAAATATGAGCAGTTGCCATATTTCACAGAAGCAAAATGAACTATTTTCCTCCATGGTGTTTTTAAGTAGGACATTTTCTAAGCATAAATAACCTGAAATGCCAACTGTGATTCCAATATGCTAGAGGTCATGAGAGTATAACTTAATATATAGACTGATTTTGCACATTCCCTAGTCACGACAATTTTTACACTCAGAATACATTTATTTCCCAAAGGCATTCTACCCACACTTGCACGTCTTCATGATAAACATGTATTACTCAAAGAAAGATGCATGAGTATAATGCATAAGCACATATGTGTGTGTGTGTATATATATATATATATATATATATTTCTCATATGAAGGAGAAACACACTAAAACTTACTTAAAATAATTTTTAATTTTGCAGAATTTTTCATAAAAATATATAAAAAGAAAATACATTATGTTCATAATTACATAAAAGTCTAATCATCCGCATAAATCAAAGCAAGATTCCTATATTTTAAATCCCCAGGTACAGAGCACAGCATGTGACACCAGACCTTCTATCAGTTTTCTGCAACCAATAAAGATTAATGGTAAACTGTGAAAATGCATTTTATGGTAAGGAATAAGTGAAGCTTTGAAAAAGATCAGAATAATTTTCTCTCACAAATTGCTCTTTTGCAATATGACCTTGAAATCCTAGTCATCAATGGCTCTTACACACAGAGACACTAAATTTTGTAGGCAAACAGCTTAACTGTTGGTTTAACATTTTTATCTCATTAGTGAAATATTTTCTTATATAAATTAAGGAACAGTTTAAATCCTATAAGAATTAAAAATAGACCCCCTGGCTTTTGAGACAAGCGCCTTAAACAGAAGTGCTTCATTATATTTATAAGATCTTATGATAAAATAGAATTCGTATCATGTTAGCATTGTGCACTGACTGGCTTGAAAAGAGAAGCTACTTTTTCCTGCATGTTTTCTAAAGACCAAAAATATAAAATATCATACTTTCTCACTTCATCATGACCAAATCGTAAAAATGCATTTCAATACCTAAGGTTAAATATTAATCTACCCATATACTACCTTACCTAGAAGACATTGGGTAAAATTTTAGGACCAAGGAATTCCAGGGTTTGTTTCATGTTTCAAAATTTCAGATATTTCCATAGCATCTTTATGTTCCATAACAGCCTTTTGGTAATTTCTCTGATAGAATGAAAGATTAGTAAATTTTAAGCATACCTCTTTTGTTGAAATAAATGATTTTGACATAAAAGTTCTTCTAATTTTGCCTTAGAAACACTGTTTCTAAGATTGAAGTAGTTTTGTTGTTGTTTTTGTTGTTGTTTTTCATGTCTGTTAGCTTATTCTGGTTTTCTGTAATGGTGGGCGAGCCATATATTTGCCTAGCAGGTGCCTAGATATGCTCTAATAATAGAAGATATTTCAAGGTGTCTTCACATTGGCGAATGCTTCAACTTACCCGTTTAACCATGGCTTCTGGACTCCTGGAGGATGTAGTTGAAGTTTTCTAGGGAATGTCAATTAATGGAAATCAAATCAGTCCCCTCCACACAAAGTGATCTGCTACCTACTAGGTCAGTATGTTACCTCTGACTGTGATATATTAAACCGATAAAAACAATTGTATTATAACCTGTTGCTCAACTCTATTAACATGTTCTTAGAGGTGAGGAGGTGATTGCCCCCCAGAGGATACCTGACGATGTCTGGAGACATTTTGGTTGCCATAACTGAGAGAGGCGTGCTACTGGCATCTAGTAGGTCAAGGATACTACTAAACATCCTATGATACAGCCCATCATAGCAAATAATTATCTGGATCAAAGTGTCAATAGTGCCAAGGTTGAGGAACTCTGCCTTAAGGAGATGCTCACATTACGTATTTGTTATTTGAATGCTTACTACATGAAAAACACTGTATTTTTCCTTAACGTTTATCAGGCATATACTAAGTGCCTGACACTATACTAACTGATTTACACAAATCACTTCATTTAGTCTTCACAATAAACCAGAGAGGAAACTCAAGCTAAATAATTGTGTCATTTACCATGTATTACATATTTTATAGGTGATTGGGCTAAATCTAGGGTTTATGATCTTAACCACTGAGGTGCTCAATATCCAAATTATGATGGAGGTACTTCTTATGTCACATGGCTCCTTTTGAAATTCTGGTGAAGTATATTGAATCTCTGCCCAGAAAATGACATATTATATGTTCAAAGACATAAAGTGTTGCATATAATCTCACAAAGTGTCATCACACAGACCCACCCATCCAGACATCCCTGGATTAAAACTGGCTTACTGGGAGAGAAAAATGAGTAAACACATAATTTCAAAAAGCTTGGTAAATGTGATGAATCCCAGTATTACTCCTGACCTAGACAGGGTACTAAATATTTACTGGGTGAATCTTGGAAGATTGGCCAAGAATGAGAAGGGTAGAGAGAACAGGGTGTACTTGTAACTTCTATACTGTAAGGAAATAAGAGTTACTTAGGTAGTAATTTGCTTTGATAGGAACTAATCCAAGTATACCCCATCCACAATTTTAAATGAGCATATACCAAGAGTTCAACTGCAGGGAATATCTCTGTAAGACTGGACTCTCTTCTGTGGAATAATAATGTATCTTATTTTCTTGTTTAGATATTGTTTGATTCTTATATTAAACTGCACATTCCTCTAACTCAGGGAATCTCCTACTCATTCTCATTTTTTATGTTGTGCTACATTTTAGAATATATTCTTCTACATAATAGTCAGTAAATGATATTCATTGAAATATTTAAGGACTAGAAATACAGAGAACAGAAAATCCAGTGGTTTATACACCTTTTTATTCTTGAGTAGTAGAACCTTTTCACAAAATGGGCTATACCATAAAACATAAACATAAGAGATTAGAGAAGAGAAGGAGGAATAAATAAAAGAGACAGAAGAGATACAAGAAAGGAAGAAAAAAGGGAAGAAGAAAGCAGAAACAGAGGAAGAAGGAGACAGGGACATAAGCAGAGGAGAATAAAAGCAGGAGAGGAGACGAGAGAGTGTGAATTCTAGTGCTGTGTAAGCTTGGGCAAGTTAACAGCTCTTTTTCAGTTTATTTATTTTAAGGTGGAGATGATAACATTAGTACCTCACAGGACTATGGAGGGTCTAAAATTTGTTTGTACTTATAAAGTGCTTAGAACAGTGCTTGACCCATAGCAAGTACTTGTCATTATTGGTATTATTCAGTTCTTATCCCGCTGTACTCACTTAGAGGATATGAGGACAAAGAAAGTTTAAAACCTGACTCCCACTCAAAATGAGCATGTGATCTAGCTTGTCATGGACTTGAAAAAGACAGACATCCCTGTATTAAAATTGGCTTACTGGGAGAGAAAAACGAGTGAAATAGTAAATTAGTCGTTAATTTAATTATCACCAGCTTTTAGTTGTAGTAAACATATTTCCTAGTTTGCTTGGGGGAGGTCTCGCCTTTGCATGTTATTCTACCACTATGATTAATTGAGTCTCTATTCACTCTCAAAAATGTCCCATTTTGGACACTATATTTAATAGTAATTCTGCTTATTTGTATGTTGGAAACTCTGAAGGCCTTAATATTTGAGATAAAATAAGTATACTTGAAAAGTCAGAGGATTAAAATCAACAAACACATTGTAGTAAAACTGCTCTGTCTTCTTAAAATCTTTGGTTTGTCTTCTTAAAAGTCTTCGATTTTCCCTTAAGACTAATTTCATTGGAATGTTCCTTTGATGTAATCTTCAGAACAAAAAATGATAGTAATAGGTGTTTTTCTAGCTTTTAAGAACTGTACTTAAAGGTAAATAAAAGGGTCGTTTAAACATATATAGCATCTATGGAACATTTGTCATATCCCCTAATATAGTATGTTTACTCTTCCCTACACACAGACACACACACACGCGCGCGCACACACACACACACAGGTGTGCACCCACACTGAGAAAAAGAAATTCAAATTCCATTTACTACTTTACCACAACAAGATAAAAAGTATTCATTCAAACACATATAGGAATACTGTTTTTTAATTTTTTTTATTTCAATAGCTTTAGAGGTACAAGTGGATTTTGGTTACACGGGTGAATTGTATAGTAGAGAAGTCTAGGATTTTAGCACACGCATCACTCAAGTAGTGTACTTTGTACCCAATATGTTATTTTTCACCCTTAGCCATCTCTTACCTTTCTGCATTCTGAGTCTCCAATGATCATTATGCTACTCTGTATGACTTTGCATACCCACAGCTTAGCTCCCACTTATAAGTGAGACAAAAGATATTTGGTTTTCAATTCTTAAGTTACGTCACTTAGAATAATGGCCTTCAGTTCCATTCAAGTTGCTGCAAAATACATTCTTCAGGCTGAATAGCATTCTATAGTATTCACCACATTTTATTATTTTTATATTTTTTACTTCAGTATGTTTTGGAGGAACAGGTGGTGTTTTGTTACATGAATAAGTTCTTTAGTGGTGATTTCTGAGATTTTGGTGCACTCATCACCTGAGCAGTGTACACTGTACCCAATGTGTTGTGCTTTATCCGTCACCACCCCCACCCTTTCCCGAGTCTCCAAATTCCAATGTATCATTCTTATGCATTTGGGTTCTCATAGTTTAGCTTCCACATATGAGTCAGAACATATGATATTTGGTTTTTCATTCCTGAGTTACTTCACTTAGAATAATAGTCACCAGTTCCATCCAGGTTGCTCAGAATGCCATTACTTTGTTCCTTTTTATGGCTGAGTAGTATTACATTGTGTGTGTGTGTGTGTGTGTGTGTGTGTGTGTGTGTATGAATGCTAACAAAATGTTATATATATATATACACACACATACCACATTGTGTACATATGATGTGTGTGTGTATATATATATATATATATGAATACTAACAAAATGTGGTGTGTGTATATATATATATATATATATATATACACACATACCACATTGTGTATATATGGTGTGTGTATATATATATGTGTGTGTGTGTTTGTGTGTGTGTATATATATATATATATACACACACCACATTTTCTTTATTTATTTATTCACTCTTTGACTGATGGACATTTGGGTTGGTTCCATATTTTTGCAATTGCGAATTGTACTGCTATAAACATACGTGTGCAAGTATCTTTTTCGTATACTGACTTCTTTTCCTCTGGGTACATACCTAGTGGTGGGACTGCTGGATCAAATGGTAGATCTACTTTTAGTTCTTTAAGGAATCTCCACACTGTTTTTTATCACGGTTGTACTAGGTTACATTCCCACCTACAGCCTAAAAGTGTTCCCTTTTCACCACATCCCCGCCAACATCTATTATTTTTACTTTTTGATTATGGCCATTCTTGCAGCAGTTAGGTGGTATTACATTGAGGTTTTTATTTGCATTTCTCTGATCATTAGTGATCTTGAGCATTTTTCCATATACTTGTTGGCCATTTGTATTATCTTCTTTTGAGAATTGTCTATTCATGTCTGTAGCCCACATTTTGATGGGATTCTTTGTTTCTGTCTTGCTGATTCATTTGATCTTTTTGTAGATTCTGGATATTAGTTTTTTGTAGGATGTACAGATTGTGAAGATTTTCTTCCACTCTGTGAGTTGTCTGTTTACACTACACTGTGGATTATTTCTTTTGCTGTGCAGAAACTTTTTAGTTTAATGAAGTCTTATCTATTTATCTTTGTTTTTGTTGCATTTGCTTTTGGGATCTTGGTCATGAAGTCTTTGCCTAAACCGATGTCGAGAAGGGTATTCTCAAAGTTATCTTGTAGAATATTTATGATTTCAGGTCTTAGATTTAGGTCTTTTATCCATCTTGAGTTGAATTTTGTATAGGATGATAGATGAGGATTCAATTTTATTCTTCTACATGTAGCATGCCAATTATCCCTGCACCATTTGTTGAATAGGTTGTCCTTTTCCCACTTCATGTTTTTGTTGGCTTTGTCAAATAGATGTTAGCTGTGAGTATTTGGGTTTATTTCAGAGATCTCTATTGTGTTCCACTGGTTGATGTGCCTGTTTTTATACCAGTACCATGCTGTTTTGGTGACAATAGCCTTATAGTAAAGTCTGAAGTCAGGTAATATAATGCCTCCAGATTTTTTCTTTCTTTCTTTCTTCCTTTTTTTTTTTTTTTCGCTTAGTCTTGCTTTGGATATGCAGGCTACTTTTTTGGTTCCATGTGAATTTTAGGATTTTTTTTTATAGTTCTTTTAAAAATGATGGTGGTGTTTTGATGGGAATTGCATGGAATTTGTAGATTGCTTTTAGCAGTATGGTCATTTTCACAATATTGTTTCTACCCATCCATGAGCATGGGATGTGTTTCCATTTGTTTGTGTCACCTATGATTTCTTTCAGCAGCGTTTTGTAGTTTACTTTGTAGACATCTTTCCTGTCCTTGCATAGGCATATTCCTAAATATTTTATTTCATTTTTCTTTTTTGCAGCTATTGTGAAAGGAGTTTAGTTCTTGATTTGATTCTCAGATTGGTCAATGTTGTGTATAGCAGAGCTACTAACTTATGCAAATAAATTTTGTATCCTGAAACTTTGCTGAATTCATTTACCAGTTCTAGGAGCTTTTTGGATGAGTTTTTTGGGTTTTCTAGGTATACAATCATATCCTCAGCAAACAGTGACAATTTGACTTCCTCTATACCAGTTTGATTGCCTTTTATTTCTTTCTCTTGTCTGATTGCTCTGGCTAGGACTTCCAGTACTATATTGAATATAAGTGGTGAGAGTGGGCATTCTTGCCTTGTTCCAGTTCTCAGAGGAAATGCTTTCAACTTTTCCCAATTCAGTATAATGTTGGCTGTGGGTGTGTTATAGATGGCTCTTATTACCTTAAGTTATGTCCCTTCTATGCCAATTTTGCTGAGGTTTTTAATCCTAAAGTGATGCTTGATTTTTTTCAAACGCTTTTTCTGTATCTATTGAGATGATCATGTGATTTTTTAATTTTAATTCTGTTCATGTGGTGTATCACCTTTATTGACTTACGTATGTTAAACCATCCCTGCATCCCTGTTAAAAAAAAAAAACACTTGATTATGGTGAATTATCTTTTTAATATGCTGTTGGACTTGTTTCTCTAGTATTTTGTTGAGAATTTTTGCATCAATGTTTATCCGTAATATTGGTCTGTAGTTTTCTTTTTTTGTTATTTCTTTTCCTGGTTTTGGTATTAGGGTGCTACTGGTTTCTTAGAATGATTAAGGGAAAATTCCCCCTTTCTCCATCTTTTGGAATAGTGTCAGCAGGATTGGCACCAATTCTTCTGTGTATGTCTGATAGAATTCAGCTGTGAATCTGTCTAGTCCTGGACTCTTTTTTGTTGGCAAATTTTTATTACCATTTCAATCTCAATGTTTATTATGGTCTGTGCAGAGATTCTATATCTTCCTGGTTTAATCTAGGAGGATTGTATATTTCCAGGAATTTACACATCTCCTCTAGGTTTTCTAGTTCATATGCATAAAGGTGTTCGTAGAAGCCTTGGATAATCTTTTGTGTTTCTGTGGTATCAGTTGTAATATCTCTCATTTCATTTCTATTTAAGCTTATTTTGATCTTCTCTCTTCTTTTCTTGGTTAATCTCACTAATGGTCAATCAATTTTATTTATCTTTTCAAGGAACTAACTTTTTCTTTTATTTATCTTTTGTGGGTTTTTTGTTGTTGTTGTTGTTTCTATTTTATTTAGTTCTGCTCTTATCTTTGTTATTTCTTTTCTTCCACTGGGTTTGGCTTTAGTTTGTTCTTGCTTCTCCAGTTCCATGAGGATTGATCTTAGATTGTCTGTTTGTGCTTTTCAAATGATCATTTAGGAGCAGGTTATTTAATTTTCATGCATTTGTATGGTTTTGTGGGTTCCTTTTAGAGTTGATTTCCAATTTTAGTCCACTGTGGTCTGAGAGAGTACCTGATATAATTTTGGTTTTCTTGAATTTATTGAGATTTGTTTTGTGGCCTATCATATTGTCTATCTTAGAGAATGTTCTATGTGCTGATGAATAGACTGTATATTCTGCACTTGTTGGGTAGAATGTTCCATATATATCCATTAAGTCCATTTGTTGTAAGGTATAGTTTAAGTCCATTTTTTCTTTTTTGACTGTCTTGATGACCCGTCTAGTGCTGTCAGTGGAGTATTGAAGTTCATCACTCTTATTGTGTTGCTGTCTATCTCATTTCTTAGGTCTAGTAGTAATTGTTTTATAAATTTGGGAGCTCCAGTGTTAGGTGCATACATACTTAGAATGGTGATATTTTCCTGTTGGAATAGTCATTTTATCATTTTATAATGTCCCTATTTGTCTTTTTTAACTGCTGTTGCTTTAAAGTTTGTTTGATCTGATAGAAGAGTAGCTACTCTTGCTTGCTTTTGGTGTCCATTTGCATGGACCCCTCTACCTTAAGTTTATGTCAGTCCTTACGTGTTACATGAGTCTCTTGAAGACAGAAGATACTTGGTTGGTGAATTCTTATCCATTCTGCCATTGTCTATCTTTCAAGTGGAGCATTTAGACCATTTATATTCAATATTAGTATTGAGATGTGAGGTACTATTCTATTCATTGTGCTATTGGTTTCCTGAATACCTTGTATTTTTGTCATTGTGTTATTGTTACATAGGTCCCTTGAGATGCATGCTTTAAGGCGGTTCTATTTTGGTGTATTTTCAGGATTTATTTCAAGATTTAGAGCTCCTTTTAGCAATTCTTGTAGCGCTGGCTTGGTAGTGGCAAATTCTCTCGGCATATGTGTGTCTGAAAAACACTGTATGTTTTCTTCATTTATGAAACTTAATTTTGCTGGATACAAAATTCTCCGCTGATAATTGTTTTGTTTAAGGAGGCTAAAAATAGGACTCCAATCCCTTCTAGATTGTAGGGTTTCTGCTGAGAAATCTGATGTTAATCTGATAGGTTTTCCTTTATAGGTTACCTGATGCTTTCGCCTCACAGCTCTTAATATTCTTTACTTTGTCTTGACTTTAGATAACCTGATTAGTATGTGCCTCAGTGATGATCCTTTTAAGATTAATTTCCCATGTGTTCTTTGAGCTTCTTATATTTGGATATTTAGATCTCCAGCGAGGCCAGGGAACTTTTCTGTGATTATTCCCTCAAATATGTTTTCCAAACTTTTAGATTCTTCTTCTTCCTCAGGAACTCCAATTATTCTTAGGCTTACATATTTAACATTGTCCCAAACTTCTTCTAGGATTGGTTCATTTTTAAAAATTCTTTTTTCTTTGTCTTTGACAGATTGGGTTAACTCAAAACCCTTGTCTTTGAGCTCTGAAGTTCTTTCTTCTGCTTGTTTGATTCCATTGCTAAGACTTTCCAGTGCGTTTTGCAATTCTCTAAGTGTGTTCTCGATTTCCAGAAGTTGTGATTGTTTTTTATTTATGCTCTCTGTTTCATTAAATAATTTTTCTTTCATATCCTGTATCATGTTTTTGATTTTTTTAAAGTTGGACTTCACCTTTCTCTGGTGCCTCCTTGATTAGCTTAATAATCCACCTTCTGAATTCTTTTTCTTGCAATTCAGAGATTTCATCTTGGTTTGGATCCATTGCTGGTGAGCTGGTATGATCTTTTGTGGGTGTTAAAGGACCTTGTTTTGTCATATTACCAGAATTGTTTTTCTGTTCCTCTCATTTTGGTAGACTATGTCAGAGGGAAGATCTGGGGCTCAAGGGCTGCTGATGTGGTTTTCACTCCTTTCCCCTAGGAATGGGGCTTCCTGAGAGCTCAACTGTAGTGATTATTTTTGCTCTTCTGGGTCTAGCCTCCCAGCACAGCTACTGGGCTCCAGGCTGGTACGGAGGAGTGTCTGCATAGAGTCCCGTGATATGGTTTATACTCATGTCTTGCAGCACCTGCTCTGGTGGAGGTAGGAGGGGAGTGAAGTGGACTCTCTGAGGATCCTTGGTTGTGGTTTTGTTTAGTTTGCTGGTTTTGTGTTGGTTGACCTCCAGCCAGGAGGTGGCGCTTTCAAGATGGAATCAGCTGCAGTCCTGAAAGGAGGTTGCAAACTTGCCCTAGGGACATATGATTAAGTATTCAGGTTTCTCAGATGGTGGGCAGGGCCATAGAACTCCCAAGAGATTATGACCTTTTTCTTTGGCTATCAGGGTAGATAGAGAAAGATCACCAGGTGGGTGCAGGGATAGGTGTGTCTAAGCTCGGCCTTTCTTTGAGCAGAGTTTGCTGTGGCTGCTGTGGGGGATGGGAGTGTGGTTCCCAGTCCAATGGAGTTAAATTCCCAGGGGGATTATGGCTGCCTCTTCTGTGTTATACAGGCTACCAGGGAAGTTGGGGAAAGCTGGCAGTTACAGGCCTCATCCTGCTTCCATATAGCTTGCAGTCCTAAAGGTCAACCTTACTCCCATCATGCCCCACCAACAGCACCAAGTCTATTTCCAGGCAGCCAGTGACCAGGGCTGAGAACTTGCCCCAAACCACAAGCCTCCCAACTAAGAAAGCAAGCAGACTCAGTTTTTTGACATGTCAGGAAGCCTGTAGAAGGGATTCAGTTCATTCAAAGGGTCTGTGGATTCTCTCAGCTTTCCTGGTATGTTCCTATGGTAGTTCTTGGATGTGGGTTCATGATGTGGGTCTCCACATGCTGCTCTGTCCATCGAGCAGGAGCTGCAAGTTGGTCCTGCCTCCTATCTGCCATCTCAATCCCCACATTTTCTTTCCTGCTCATCAACTGATAGGCATTTAGGTTGAATCCATATCTTTGCAATTGTGACTTGTGTTGCAATGAATATATGTGTGCAGATGTCTTTTAGATAAAGTGACTTCTTTTCCATTGAGTAGATACTCAGTAGTAGGATTGCTGAATTGAATGGCAGATCTAAATTTAGTTTTTTGAGAAATCTCTATACTGTTTTTCATAGAGGCTGTACTAATTTACATTCCTACCAGCAGTGTTATAAACATTCCTTTTTCAGCATATCCATGCCTATATATATATATATATATATATATATATATATATATATATGTATGTATTTACTTTTTAACAATGGCCCTTCTGGCTGGGTTAAATTGGTATTTCACTGTGGTTTTAATTTGCATTTCTCTGATAATTCATGATGTTGAGCATTTTTTTCTCATGGTTTTTGGCCATTTGTATATCTTCTTTTGAGAAATGTCTTCTCATGTCCTTTGCCCACTCCTACGAGATTGTAACAAATAAGCGTTTGTCATGGGAACAACTACTTGTATACTTAACATATATTACAGAGGCAAATATTTTAGTTCCTTATTTGCTTTCTTGCATTTGTGAGTGAGGCCCACTAAAGAAATAAAAACATTTGGTAATAATTTCCTTACCAAGTCTTACATGAAATTTTTCAAGGTGTTTGTTATATTTCAATTTAACATTTGCTAATTTTTTAGAGCTACTCTTGTTCAAAAATAAATTACTCCTAGATAAGTATTAAGTTAGCTGAAACTTATTCAAGGCAGGGATTGAAAACTGGCTTTTTGTAATTATAGATTTCAAATGTCTGGTTTTTTTTTTCCTTATGTTGGTGGCACTAGAATCTAGGTTAACCCCTCACTACTTCTGTAAGCTGGATAATAAATAATCTTTCCAGATTTTTAATACAATTCAAGCCAGGACTTTTAAAATTTTGTCTGTTTTATTCATATGATTATCTCATGCATCTATACACTTGAGCTAACATGTTTGCTCTCAGGAAATACATTCATTATGTGTGTGTATATGTATGAATTCCTCATGAACCTAGAAGCAGGGATATTGGTTTCTTGTTTTGAATGTTAGAACAAAAAAAGTCCATGTGATTTCTAGAGTCCTTACTTAACATAGATTGAATTTTTTGAAGTATCACTAAATGCTTGGTTTCTTACTCCAGAACTATAAAACAATCATCTAAAATTACTTATTGCCACAAAAGTTTTCATAGCATGAAGAAAATATTTTCTTCATTAAGAAGGCGATGATAATGTTGAGTCGGAAAGGAAGGTGTATTTTTGATGCATTAATCTGGTAAACTTAATATCAACTCTAAGCAGAAATAGTATTTTAGAAGATATTAATAACATTGTGTTGCATGGCTAATGAAAGCCTTAAGATATTTCTTTGTGTTTCTGTGTATGTTGAATTAGATATTAAGTAAATTCATAAGTGAGAATTTACCATGCTTCTCTTTTGCAATCTAGAAGGCTTTAATGGTAAGCAACACAAAATGTACTTAATCTCACTGCTCCTCCTAAAAACAAGAATTTTAACAAAAGTATCTGAAACAGACCTGTTTTAAAGGGGAAGAACGTGCTCTTCAGCAATATAACAATGGTTCATCCTCCCATAATTTAGAGGCAGAGTCAGTGAGTTCATTTAACAATATATGGAGGAAAAAATAAAAATATATAATTTATTCTTTATTATCAATTCCTTGGTTTCCAAGTTATTGCCTCTCAATTTAATATTTACTGCCATTCAATCTTAGTTCATTAAGAATTTAAATGAGTAACAAATACCTTTAGTTAACTAAGAGATCATTTAACAAAATATTCATTAAAAATGAATGTGTGATATGAGTGAAGCTGATCATGGCAATAATGACAACAATAATAGCTAACACTTCTTGAGCATATACTATGTGTCCAAGATCATCTGAAATACTTTGCATGCATAATTTTATTTAAAATATACACCAAATCTATGAAAAGGTATTTTATAGATTCATCTATTTATAGTTGAGGAAACTGAGGACCAGAGAGATTAAATAACTTATCTCCATTTACCTAGCTTATTAGTGGCAAACTTGGGATTCAAGGTTAGGTCAATTTTACTCCAATATCCATGCACCAGCACTATACTATGAACATGCATAGAAATATCTGAATCATTCCAATGTCTTTTACCTCAATTACAAAAGAAGGCATGCCTCACAGACATAAAAATCAGATATCCGAATATATTCTTTTCCATTTGAGGGATCTTGGTTATAAAGTTGGAAGATGAATAGGAAAGCAGAAAAGAAACCACCAGGATTACATTTTGGGAATCAAGCGTATTTAAAAGTTATTGAGGGAAATTCACATCAGACTATAATCATGCTAGCTATATTGCCAGCCCAAACTGAGTTTTAGATGACAATAAAGTCGGTGAATCTAATTTGTGGTCTAAGACTGAGCATCATAATTGGAGTAAAACTTCTGAAATTGATTCCTGTGCACAACATTGTCAAGTGAACTGAAAAGCAAGTTTCACATATTCATGATGATACACCAAGCAAGCGCGCTATTTTTAACACTCTGATCCTGTCACCATCTTTGTTCAAAGTTCTTTGCTGACTTTTTAGCTGTTAAAATTGGCAAGAAACTTAAACTGCCTATAATATTACTTTGAATCAGTTCTTCCTATTTTATCAATAGCTTTTGTTTCTACTATTAGTTAGGACTGCCATCCAGTGTTCAGTTTGATTAATAACAACTGCAACAACTTCCAAATACTGCACTTTTTAAAAATGTTGTTTAAGAGTACAGTACTTTTAACCAGCCTGCCTTATTAAGAGAGGGAATATATCACATAAATAACAATGAGAAATACCAAAGACTAAAAGATTGTCCCTAAAATCTGATAGTGCTATTTAATAATCCAGACCAGGCTGAAACGAGGACTAAGGAAAAGGCAATGCAAATAGAGATATATGTACTTACTTACATTTTTTTGCTTCTATGTATTTGAGAACATTAGGTTTAATAACACCTCCAAAGTCTCAAATAAACTCACAACCAAGATATTACAAGACTTACAATAGAAAATAAGGAAAATATATTTTTTGGCAATTGAAAGCCCAGAGTTAGCACTTTCTTCACTGTGTTCATTATTATTTTGAGTATAGTTGATGTAGAGAAGGAGTAGATTCAAAGATTTAGAATTACAATAAAACCTCTCAAATTCTAATTGTTGGGTTTGGAGACCTTGGATTTTTAAAAGAATGTGTTTATTATAATGCATCCTCAGAAATGGGAATGGCTTGAGATTGACAGAAGCTGCATGCAAGAAAATGTAGAACACTTAGAGGGAGTGTCATCCTTTAAATTTACACAAAAAAGCATCTCTTTGTGTAAGGGGATTTACCAAGATCTCATTAGGTCTTCCTCAAAGTAAATACATCTTACATTTAAATGAGATGTTAACGAGGGTTTGAATTATCAGGCATACAAACAAAGTAGTTTACTAAACCAGAGTTTCAGATAAGCAATCATCATATACATGAATTTGCATTATACTTTCAAGTTCATATAACAATTTAAGTAAGTTCTTTTTGTTGCTTACAAATAGAGGCTTTGTTGTAATTAATAGATAGAACTTATACATGATTTAAAAAATGCATCTGCTTTTGGGCTTTTTTTTTTTTTTGGTAATAGAATGAATACCTTAAACTGTTATTTTTAATTGGTTGGTCATGAACTGTAATACTGCATATTGTGTAAGTAGGTTTGAGAAAACTTTTCTGAATGACATGCAATTTAATATAGTAATTAAGAATACTGGCTCTGAAGTCAGACTTCCAGGGTTCAAATTCTGGGTCCTAGTCTCACTAATATTAGGTATATTTCTTCTCTGTGTTTCTGTTTATTCACTTGATATAGGAACTTTAACACAGAATATTGCTGTGACATTGAATTAATTCATAGTTCTTAAAACACTTCCTGGCATATAATAAACGATCAATCAATGTTGCTGGGTATTATCTATTTATGTAGTAGAACAAAGAATGACTTCATCCCGTGTCAGAGCATGCAGTGTCACATGTATTATAACATGAAGATCACGTTAATTTGGTTTTCCTGTATATATATTATTCTATTTAACTGTGACAATATCACATATGAGGTAGTTACTACTATTATTCTCATTGTACAGATAAATAAACTGAGGTTCACAGAGATTACTTAAAAATTGCCCAAAATCACACATAATAAAGGGTAGTGCCAGAATTTAAACCCAGAAGTTCAACTCCAGAGGTCACCCTCTTAACCGCTTCGTTTTAATAATAGCTGTCATTAATATTATCAATGTGTCCTCATACTATAAGCTGAAACATTAAATAGCCATTGTCTTGGTTGCTATTCCTCAGCCTTCTCTTAGTGACTTGACAATATGAATGACAGTTCTATTCCGATAATGAAGGCTTAAGGAATTTCATTACATACTGTTAAAATATATATCTATCTAGGCATTTTATTAAAATAGACGATGTCAAAGCATAAAGTGTACTTCTTGGAAGTTGGCAGTGAGCTTTAGTTGAGAACTTTTACTCTAATCCAATTTATTTCATCGGCCATGACTGACAGTCCTCTGAGCCCAAGCTAAGCCATCATATCCCGTGATCTGCCCGTATACATCCAGATGGCCTGAAGCAACTGAAGATCCACAAAAGAAGTGAAAATAGCCTTAACTGATGATATTCCACTATTGTGATTTATTTCTGCTGATCAATGTACTTTGTAATCTCCCCCACCCTTAAGAAGTTTCTTTGTAATCTCCCCCACCTTTAAGAAGGTTCTCTGTAATTCTCCCCACCTTTGAGAATGTACTTTGTGAGATCCACCCCCTGCCCACAAAACATTGCTCCTAACTCCACCAACTATCCCAAAACCTATAAGAACTAATGATAATCCCACCACCCTTTGCTGACTCTCTTTTCAGACTCAGCCCGCCTGAACCCAGGTGAAATAAACAGCCTTGTTGCTCACACAAAGCTTGTTTGGTGGTTTCTTCACACGGACGTGCGTGACAGAGACCACTGAATTTTCAACAAATTATTAAACCACAAAAATATTTAACTTTTTCTTCCCACCCTTAGGTGTCTTGTCCTTAGAGGTGGCTAATTGTTGTCTGAAATAGTTTTGCCAATATAGCTACAGAATTTATGTAAGCATAACACTTGTTGAAAAGAGAAATTACTCTCTAATACTCTCCCCAAAGACTCCCCTCTTTTTGTTGTCATTCACGGCTCCACCATTTTTTTAGTAACCCTAACCTGAAACCTCGGAGTCACATTACTTCTCTCTTTTTATCATCTCCTATATCGCTTTTATCATGTACTATAGTTTCTACTACCTTAAATTTTTTCATTGTATGTTTACAAAAGCTGGAGCCAAGCAGATACATTGAAATGGAATTCAGTTGGGTCAGAAAATGTTTGCAAACATTTGGAATTCAAGGGTGTGAAATTCCAAGTGTAGTTAGAAGAAAGACTTGGTGATATGTAGACTTAAGGTGATTTCTTCGAGCATTTTGCATATCCTTGTATTCAATCCCTTATAAAAAGGCATAGGTTTTTGGAGTCCCATATAAAATAGAAGAACTCACCTGCCAAATCTTGAGCTTTTTCCATATATTTCTAATATTAGTATCAGACAACAATAATCTCTGATATTTAGAATGTAAATGTTTCTGAGAGTAGTTATTCCTGTCTTCTCCTAAGAGAGGTGAGAATCAACTGGTGAGAGAGAGCCTCAAAAATTATTTTGCACAGTTTCCCCATTATTCTAGGCAGAATATATTCCACCCATCAGGAAAATGGCTGGTTATCCTATGGTGATGGATATCTTATAGTCTTATGGGTAAGACTATACTTACACACTACAAAATCACGAGAAGCTTTCATTCTCTGTCTCCAGTTACACTCTCACTGTGTATTATTGTTTAGATTAGTGGTTTTCAAACTGTTCTGTGAGGACAAGACCAATCGGGCTCTGTAGAGGTGCTTAAGCAGTTGGGGTTGAACTTGATTTTCTTTAGGAAACATGTTACATTATTTACATTGTCCTCTTTTTTCTACATGGAAAACAAAGTATCAATTCCTTAATCATGTTATTTGTTAAGGCATTTAATTTTTCTTTGGTAATCTTAATCTTCAATCATTCATTTATGCATTCAGTATAAATTTACTTGGTGTTTATCTTGCAGATTCTGTGCAAAAAAAAAACTAGGGGTACAAAAAAAATAAGATTAGAACTTGTCTTCAAAAGAACAAGGTCATAGAAGCCAATAACCATGCTTGTTGACTCATCTCTGGAATCTTCGAAAGTTAACTAGGCATTTAATAAATGTGTTTTATTGCCATAGTATTGCCAACTAGGCAAGAGGCATGAATATTCCGTTTTGGTGGAAATTTCTTATTTACATAAATGCCCAGAAATAGGTTCTGTATTTAGTTCTCTATTTCTTTTATATATGTGTTTTTATTAAACTAATATCTAGGATAAATTATTTCTCCCTACAGATTAAATTCCTATCCTAATACATATGCTTCTAATCATAAGCTTATGTGGAAATGAGACACACTGTTCTACACAGTTGCCACTCCCATATCTGTGGGTTCAGCATTCATGGATTCAATCAACCATGAATAGAAGATTTTCTAAATAAAATTGTGTCTATACTGAAAAAAAATGTTTTAAATGTACCCTCTTCTTTCCAGTCCCATTACAACTACTCTATTTCACGTGTTCTTTATCTCCTGGCTAACTGCATTATTGATTTAGCTTGCATGCTGGCCCTTCTGTTTGGATTCTCTGTCAATTGACTTTACCCATTATTTGTAGATTAATGAACCCAAAATGCACTTTTAAAACATTTCTTCACCATTACATGCAAAACAAAACTTTCCATGACTTCTCATATTCTTCTCAATCATTACATACTTCTAACTTTGGCATTCAAAATCTCACAGAAAAGTGGTCTTGGTGTACATTCAATAATCGATTTCTACCAAATTGTATTACATTATATTGCTGATCATTCACCATGCTTTTTCCTCGATGTGAAATGTCCCTCTGTATTTCTACATGCCAATTGCCAATACATCCTTCAAAATTCATTCGAAATTCAACAGCCATGAAATTTTTCTATTCCCATAACTTAATATCATTTCTCTATTTTCTGAATCTTAGTAGCATACATTATGTAAACAGTTTATTGCACTCATTATACTTAGTGAAATAGTCATTTCTATTTTTATCTTTATGTCCTTTTTACAAATTGTTCAGGGAATATTTGTTAAATTGAGTCAGTCTCAAACATTAGGCAAAGATCACTAACTTCTTACAAGCAGCCATTTGTACACGCTATGCAGGGAAGGTTTAGCAGCACTTGGATGTTTACTTTTAATGTGGTTATACAAACATTGACATTCATTTAAAGAATTAATATATCTTTGAAATTTATAGTCTATAATTATGGTAGATTATATCTCTGATAATGCTGTAAGTATATATACAGATGTATGTAGATAATTTAATTATTATACATCTAGATAAACCAACCAATGCCATCTTATTTAGAACTTAGTAAAATTCTAATATATCTGTTTTCAAAGTCTTAATTATGGCATTTCCCCCAATGAAAAAATATATGCATATTTGTACAAAAATTTGAAATGAGGTATGCAATACACTTCACTTTATAATGGGTTGCTTTGGAAGAAAAAAGGTAAAGAGAATGACAGCAAAAAAAGGAATAAAAGCCACCATTTACTACTATGGAAAACTCTAGAAATCTAACTGACATGTAGTATTGATCACATAAAAATTATAGGTTGTTAACTTTTATCAATAAGGTACTCTCTTCAGCTTTTAGTTGAGAATGTTTCCTGCTCAACAGATTTTTTAAATTTAATCCATGAGCTTTACCTACTAATTGTTTTTGCAGTTTGATTATAATCTGCAGAACCACCTCTGAGATTCCTTCACTGCAATGTCAATCATCAGCCTGTCCCTAGGAGCAATAGTAGACTGAGCTTGATTGGCTTTACAAGCTGTGCCTAATTACTGGTCTCTCGTCTGAACCTTTTTCAGTTGTTATACATTCCTGACCGAGGCCAAAGAGGCCTGAAGACATATATTTTATGTTAACTAAAAAAAAAAAAAAAAAGAAAACACTAAATTTTAATCAGAAGCAGGAATATCAATAACCATACAAAGATGATACTGCAACAATCATCATAGAAGATGTTCAGCTACAGGAATCAAAGGCTTTTTCAAGAGAAAAAGCGCTATACGATTTAAAAAAAATACAAGACAACAAAGTTCACTAAAAATCTGTTTTAGGTTGGGATCTTAACTAGAGAGATGATTTAGTACATATATATATAACCAACATTGTGCACCTTTTTCTTAATGAAACAAG
This sequence comes from Homo sapiens, assembly GCF_000001405.40. NCBI lineage: Eukaryota > Metazoa > Chordata > Mammalia > Primates > Hominidae > Homo > Homo sapiens. Next base: position 94,294,272 of record NC_000023.11, read on the forward strand.
GATCTCTTTTCTCATAAAGGACTTGTGTTCCACAATGTTTTTAAATTCAAATTTGACTGCAACTCAGAAATTCATTCATGTGGAAATATAATTCACAATTAATGTGGTGTAGTTCTATTTGTGAACCTCATTGCTCTCTCATTCTATTGAAGGATTATTTGGCTTTAATATACTCTCTCAAGAAGGTAGCTGTAAAATTAAATTAAGTCAAGCCATCTGGGACCTGTGATATAAACTGAAGAGAATAATATTCTAAGAATCTTATAATGTTCATATAAGTTGTTGCATAGTAAGCGACATCCTCTGGATGTGCACAGAAGTCATATGGAATATAGAAAAACAGCTATACAGTTATTTATTAAAGCTGCTACAATTTATGAGAGAGGAGCACTCAAGAATTTTACACTATTTAAATCATTGAATTTTCTACTCGTCTACATAGTGACTTCAGATATGGTGATCAAGTTTAGAAGATATCAAAGCAAAATAACTTATTTCAACTTAATTTATTTTGAGAAATTAACAAAAGTTAAAAAAGACAGTGCATGTAAGTGACCATGTTTTTATTAACCAAATATATTCTTCTTGTAGGTGCGCTAATAACCTTATTTGGCTGAAAACAATGTTGCAGAATAATTGAATGTTTTATTCTATCCAAGTACATAATAAAATAATAAAGGACTATTACTTACTCTTTTATGAAAAATACCTAATCTTTGTGTTATAAAACTTGCAGGTATATTATATCATATTTAGTTGTCTTTCTAATAAGTAGTATATGTATAAGTTTCAGATCATGAATTTGAACATGTGTATCTTTTGCACTAGAATTCTATTTGCCTGGCCAAATTCAGTGAAACATAAAATTCACTTGAGATTGGACTGATATAGTCCTTATAGTTCTGTTTAAGGAAAACATTAAATTGGGATCACCAAGTTAATCAACCACTGACAATGAAGATAAAAGTACCATATTTATTCAATCCCAATTCAACAAAAATGTGAAACAGTATAACGAAGCTCATTTAACTCAAAACCCTCTGCATGAAATTAAAGACAAATGTACTTACATCTATTTTGAACAGGAGACACAAATTAAATACTGCATATGATCCGTCTTTATTATCTTTGTGTTTATTTAACAAAAATTCTACCAGAATAATAGCAGATCCACCCATGTTCCCCTAATAATCTTATCTATTTTGTCATATTTCTAATATCTACTTCACCTTGTGGTCTTACATTGAACAAATAAAAAATAGTCATGTCTTCTTTCAAATATAAAAAGCATCCCACTGGAAATGATTTGAGTTCTCCTTATAACAGGCCAACGGTCTCAAGAAATGGAGAGAAGGAGGAAAAAAATTACAAGTAGAAGAAAAAATATACGCAAAAGTACAATAGCAGAAAATTATGACATAACATGCACTCATTCATCTCTGAGCCTTTGACTGGGGCACTTTTTCTATCTGCGCCACCCTAGTTTTTATTAAACTGGAAAAGTTTTACTCATCCTTAGGTCTTAATTTGGAGGTCACTCATTGGGAAGTATTGTTCCTATCATTGGTCTTGTGGAGGTTTTGATCCCACTGTTCATGAAGACATTATCGTGCTAATGCTCTTTGCCCTAAGAAGTATAATCTATATATATTCATAATGAATATTACTGGTACTATCAATCCATATTAAATAAAATTTGTAATGGGTAAAATTGTTATTTTTGCATGTTAAGTTTATTATTATACTAAATTTATTACAAATATGAACTAAAAAACCTTCAAATATTGTTCATGAAAAATTAAACTTGGTATAAATAAAGACTGGAAACCACCAATGAAGGCTGATACTTCACATGGTTTAACTGGACTAGATAAACAATGTATCAAGCTCTTAACATGGCTAAATGGCTATTCTTGAAATTAATTTCCTATTAAAAATTCATGACCAGATATAGTGGCTCACACCTATAATCCAAGCACTCTGAGAGACTAAGGCAAGAGAATTGCTTGAGCCCACGAGTTGGAGAACAGCCTGTGCAACAAAATGGGATCCCATCTCTACAAAAAATCAAACATGGGGGGCATGGTGGTCCACACTTATGGTACCAGCTACATGGAAGGTTGAGGCAGGAGGATCACTTGAGCCCAGGAGGTCAAAGCTGCAGTGAGCCGTGTGTGCAACACTGCACTCCAACATGAGTGACAAAATGAGACTCTTTATCAAAAGTAGAAATATTTATGTTAATGTGGCTTTGAAAAAATAAATTTATAAATTTGAAGTCAAAATATTTATATTTTAAAACAATAAGGTCTAAAAACCTATCAAATTGAAATATGGTAGGATCAAACCTTTTATATCTCCACCTCTGTGTTCCAATAATGCACTTAAAACTTTTTTTTCAATTTTCTATTTCCATAGGTTTTGAGGAACAAGTGGTGTTTTGTTACATGAATAAGTTCTTTAGTGATGATTTGTGAGATTTTAGTGCACCCCTCACCCAAGCAGTATACACTGTACCCAACTGATAGTTTTTAATCCCTCACCCCCCTCCCACCCTTTCCATTGGGTCCCCAAAGTCCATTGTATCATTCTTATGCCTTTGTATCCTCATAGCTTAGCTCCCACTTATGATTGAGAACAATGTTTGGTTTTCCATTCTTGAGTTACTTCACTTAGAATAATGGCCTCCAATTCCCGCCAGGTCACTGCAAATGCCATTATTTTGTTCCTTTTTATGATGGAGTGGGATTCCATGGTATATACATACCACAGTTTCTTTCTTTATTTATCTACTCATTGATTGACAGGCATTTGGGCTGGTTCCACATTTTTGCAATTGTGAATTGTGTTACTATAAACACATGTGTGCAAGTATTTTTTTCGAATAATGACGTTTTTTCCTCTGGGTAGATATACAGTAGTAGGGTTGCTGGATCAAATGGTAGTTCTACTTTTAGTTCTTTAAGGAATCTCCACAATGTTTTCTGTAGCGGTTGTAATAGTTTACATTCCCACCAGCAGTGTAGAAGTGTTCCCTTTACACCAAATCCCTGCCAATATCTTTTTTTAAAAAAATTTTTGGTTATGGCCATTCTTGCAGGAGTAAGGTGGTATCGTACTCTGGTTTTGATTTGCATTTTCCTGATCATTATTGATATTAAGCATTTTTTCATGTTCATTGGACATTTGTATACTTCTTTTGAAAATTGCTTATTCATGTCCTTAGCCCTCCTTTTGATGGGATTGTTTTTTTCTTGCTAATTTGTTTGAGCTCCTTGCAGATTCTGGACATTAGTCTTTTGTCGTATGTACAGACTGGGAAGATTTTCTCCCACTCTGTGGGGTTGTCTTATTTACTCGGCTGATTGTTTATTTTGCTGTGCAGAATATTTTTAGTTTAATTAAGTCTCATCTATTTATTTTTGTTTTTGTTGAATTTTATTTTGGGTTCTTGGTCATAAAGTCTTTGCCTAAACCAATGTTTAGAAGGGTTTTTCTGATGTTATCTTCTAGAGCTTTTATAGTTTCAGGTCTTAGATTGAAGTCCTTGATGCATCTTGAGTTGAGTTTTGTATAAGGTGATAATGAGGATCCGATTTCATTCTTCTACATGTGGCCTACCATTTATCCTAGCACAATTTGTTGAATAAGGTGTCCTTTCTCCACTTTATGTTTTTGTTTGCTTTGTCAAACATCAGTTGGCTGTAAGTATTTGGCTTTATTTGTAGGTTCTCTATTATATTCTATTGATCTATGTGCCTATTTTTACACCAGTACCATGCTGTTTTGGTGAGCTATACTTATAGTATAAGTTTTAAGTATAAGTAAAGTATAAGCTATACTTACAGTATAGTTAGAGGTTGGGTAATGTCATGCCTCCAGATTTGTGCTTTTTGCTTAGTCCTGCTTTGGCTATGCAGTCTCTCTTTTGGTTCCACATGAATTTTAGGATTGTTTTTTCTAGTTGTGTGAAAAGTGATGGTAGTATTTTGATGGAAATTGCATTGAATTTGTAGATTGCTTTTGGCAGTATGTTCATTTTTACAATATTAATTCTACCCATCCATGAGCATGGTAATTGTTTCCATTTCCTTGTGTCATTCGTGATTTCTTTCAGCAGTATTTTGTAGTTTCCTTTACAAAGGTCTTTCACCTCCTTGGTTGGTTATATTCCTAGGAATTTTTTTTATTTTGACTTTTTGCAGCTATTGTGAAAGGGGTTGAGTTCTTGATTTGATTCTCAGCTTGGTCGTTGTTGATGTATAGCAGAGCTACTCATTTGTGTACATTAATTTTGTATCCTGAAACTTTGCTGAATTTATTCACCAGTTCTCAGAGCTTTTTAAATGAGTCTTTAGGGTTTTCTAGGTATACAATAATATCATCAGCAAATGGTGACTATTTGAATTCCTCTTCACTGATTTGGGTGTCCTTTATTTCTTCTTCTTGTCTGATTGCTTTGGCTAGAACTTCCAGTACTACATTGAATAGAAGTGGTGAGAATGGGCTTTCTTGTCTTATTCCAGTTCTCAGGGGGAATGCTTTTAACTTTCTCCTGTTTAGTATTATGTTGGCTGTGGGTTTGTCATAGATGGCTTTTATTACATTTAGGTATGTTCCATCTATGTTGACTTTGGTGAGGGTTTTAATTCTAAAGGGATGTTTGATTTTGTCAAATGCTTTTTCTACATCTATTGAGATGATCATGTGATTTTTGTTTTTAATTTTGTTTATGTGGTGTATCACATCAACTGACTTGCGTATGTTAAACCATCCCTGTTATGAAACCCACTTGATCATGGTGGATTATCTTTCTGATATGCTGATAGATTCAGTTAGCTAGTATTTTGTTAAGAATTTTTGCATCTGTATTCATCAGGACTATTGGAGTGTAGTTTTCTTTTTCTCTTCTTGTTTTTTTTTTTTTTTTGGTTATATACTTTCCTGGTTTTGGTATCCAGGTGATACTGGCTTCATAGAATGATTTAGGGAGGATTCCCTCTTTCTGTACCTTGTGGAATATTGTCAATAGAATTGGTACAAATTCTTCTTTGTATGTCTGATAGAATTTAGCTGTTAATCCATCTGGTCCTGGACTTTTTTGTTGGAAATTTTTAAATTACCATTTCAATCTTGCTGCTTGTTATCGGTTTGTTCAGAGATTCTACATCTTCCTTATTTAATCTATGAGGGTTGTATGTTTCCAGGAATTTATCCATCTCCTCTAGGTTTTCTAGTTTATGTACATGAAGGTGTTCATAGTAACCTTCAATAATCTTATGTATTTCTGTGGTATTAGTAATAATATCTCCTGTTTTATTTCTAACTGAAGTTATTTGGATCTTCTCTCTTTCCTTGATTAATCTTGCTAATGGTCTATCAATTTTATTTATCTTTTCAAAGAATCAACTTTTTGTTCCCTTTATCTTTTATATTTTCTTTGCTTCAATTTATTTATTTCTATTCTGATCTTTGTTATTTCTTTTCTTCTGCTGGTTTGAGTTTGGTTTGTTCTTGTTTCTTCAGTTTCACGAGGTATGACCTCAGATCTATTTGTGATTTTGCACACTTTTTGATGTAGGCATTTGATGCTCTAAACTTTTCCCTTAGCATTGCTTTTGCTGCATCCCAGAGGTTTTGATAGGTTGTGTCACTACTATCATTCAGTTAAAAAAGTTTTTAAATGTACATCTTGATTTCACTGTTGACCCAAAGAACATTCTGGTGCAGGTTATTTAATTTCCAGGTATTTGCTTGGTTTTGATGATTCTTTTTGGAATTGATTTCCAATTTTATTGCACTGTGGTCTGAGAGAATACTTGATATAATTTTTGTTTATTTATTTTTAATTTGCTGAAACTTGTTTTGTGGACTATCATATGGTCTATTGAATGTATCATGTGCTGATGAATAAAGTGTATATTCTGCAGTTTTGGGTAGAATGTTTCATACACATCTGTTAAGTCTATTTGTTCTACAGTATAATTTCAGTTCACTGTTCCTTTGTTGACTTTCTGTCTTGATGACCTGTCTGGTGCTGTCAGTGAAGTACTGAAGTCTCCTACTATTACTGTGTATCTGTCTATCTCATTTCTTAGGTCTAATAGTAATTGTTTTATAAATTTTGGACTTCCAGTGTTAGGTGCATACATATTTAGAATTGTGATATTTTCTTGTTGGACTAGTCCTTTTATCATTATATAATGTCTCTCTTTGTCTTTCTTAACTGCTGCCTGTTTTAAAGTTTGTTTTGTCTGATATAATAATTGCTACTTCTGCTTGCTTTTGGTGTCCATTTGCATGGAATATCATTTTCCACCTCTTTAAGTTTATGTGAGTTGTTATGTATTAGGTGAGTCTCTTGAAGACAGAAGATACTTGGTTGGTGAATTCTTATCCATTCTGTTATTGTGTATCTTTTAAGTGGAGCATTTAGGCCATTTAAATTCAACATTAATATTGAAATGTAAAGTACCATTCTCTTTGTCATGCTATTTGTTGCCTGAATACCTTGCTGCTTTTTTATTTCCTTATTGTCTTTCTGTTTTATTGGTCCTGTGATATTTATGTTTTAAAGAGATTCTATTTTTGTGTATTTTGAGAATTTGTTTCAAGATTTAGAGATCCTTTTAGCAGTTCTCGTAGTGCTGGTTTCATAGCAGTGAATTCTCTCAGCATTTGTTTGTCTAAAAAAGACTGTGTCTTGCCTTCATTTATGAAGCTTAGTTTCAATGGATGCAAAATTCTTGGCTGATAATTGTTTTGTTTAAGGAGGCTGAAGATAGCGCCCCAATCTCTTCTAGCTTGTAGGGTTTCTGCTGATAAATCTGCTGCTAATCTGATAAGTTTCTTTTGTAAGTTACCTGGTGGTTTTGCCTCACAGCTCTTAAGATTCTTTTCTTCATCTTGAATTTATACAATCTGATTACTCTGTCCCTAGGTGATGATGTATTTGAGATAAATTTTCCAGGTGTTATTTGAGTTTCTTGTATTTGGATGTCTAGATCTCTAGCAAGGCCAGGGAAGTTTTCCTCAATTATTCCCTCAAATATGTTTTCCAAACTTTTAGATTTCTCTTCTTCCTCAGAACACTGGTTATTCTTAGGTTTGGTTGTTTAACATAGTCCCAAACTTCTTGGAGGCTTTGTTTATTTTTTAAACTCTTTTTTTCTTTGTCTTTGTTGGATTGGGTGATATTGGAAACCTTGTCTTTGAGCTCTGAAGTTCCTTCTTCTGCTTATTCAATTCTATTGCTGAGACTTTCTAGTGCATTTTGTATTTCTCTAAGTGTGTTCCTTATTTCTAGTAGTTGTGATTGTTTTTTTATTTACGCTATCTATTCTACTGAAGATTTTTCCCTTTGTATCTTGTATCTTTTTTTTTTATTTCATCAAGTTGGGCTTCACCCTTCTCTTATGCCTCCTTGATTAGCTTACTAATTGACCTTCTGAAATCTTTTTCTGGCAATTCAGGGATTTCTTCTTGATTTCAGTCCATTGCTGGAGAGTTAGTGTGATCTTTTGGGGCTGTTAAAAAACTTTTTTTGGTCATATTACCAGAATTCTTTTTCTGATTCTTTTTCATTTGGGTATAGACTATGTCACAGGGAAGATCTGGGACTCAAGGGCTGCTGTTCAGATTTTTTTTTCCCCTGGGGTGCTTCCTTGATGTAGTGATTTCACTCTTTTCCTTGGGATGTGGTTTCCTGAGAGCTTAACTGTAGTGATTGTTATTTCTTTTCTGGATCTAGCCACCCAGTGGAGCTACCAAGTTTCAGGCTTGTACTAGGGGGTGTCTACACAGTATCCTGTGATGTGAACTGTCTTCAGGTTTCTCAGCCACGAATAGCAGCACCTGTTCTGATGGAGGTGGTAGGGGAGTGAAATTGACTCTCTGAGGGTCCTTAGTTGTAGTTTTGTTTATTGCACTAGTTTTGTGCTGGTTGGCATCCTTCCAGGATATTGTGCTTTCAAAAGAGCATCAGCTGTGGTAGCATAGGGATAATCAGGCTATGGGTGAGGTCCTAGAGCTCCCAGGAGAATATGTTCTTTGCCTTTGGCTACCAGGGTTGGTAAAGAAAGACCATCAGGTAGGGGCAGGGTTAGGCATATGTAAGCCCAGACTCTCTTTGGGCAGTGCTTGTTGCAGCTGCTTTGGGGGATAAGGGTGTGGTTCTCAGGCCAATGGATTTATGTACCCAGGGGGACTATAGCTGCCTCATTGTGTCATGCAGGTCACCAGGAAAATAGGGGAAAGTTAGCAGTTACAGCCCTCACCCAGCTGTCACGCAGACAAAAAGACTGGTCTCACTCCTATTTTGCCTGCTCCAACAGCTCTAAGTTTGTTTCCAGGCAGTGGGTGAGCAGAACTGAAAACTTGCCCCAGGCTACCAGCCTCCAAGCTGTGAAAGCAAGCAGGGCTTGGCTTCTGTGCTATGTCTGCATACCAGACTGAGTTTTGTCCAGGATACTATGTTTGGTCAAAATTGTTACAAAGTTCAATTGGAAGTTTTCTTTCTGTGTGGTCTTTTTCCAGTTCCTCCGGCAGCCCTCCTATAGGACTTCTGCAAGACAAAGTCAGAAATGGCATCCCTGGGGACTGAGAGAGCCCACATGTCTCTTCTCACTGATTCTTCTACCCCTGTATTTCACTGAGTTCTCCTAAATTGTCTCAGCTCCAAATAAGGCCAAATCTGGACCTTCAGGCTCCCCCGTGAGGGTGTGTGTTCATGCGCACATGATACTCCTTTCACACTTTTATACTTTGGGCACTCACTGTCTCTAAGGCCCTGCAGGAGCAATCTGCTTCCGTCAAAGGATCCGTGGATTCTCTCGGCTTTCCTTGTATGTTCCTGTGGTATTTATGGGAGAAAAAGTTCATGATGTGAGTCTCCACAGGCTGCTCTGTCCATCTGAGTGGGAGCTGCAATGTAGTCCTGCCTTCTATCTGCCATTTTCCCCAATAATGTACTTTACTGCTCCATGTTAGAGTTTTTTATATGATACTATAATTGCTTGTTTATCTTCATATTACACTAAAATATAAGCTTTTCAAAGGGAGAAACATTGTCATCTTTTTCTCTCACTATATCCTCAGTATTCTAGCAAAGTACCTAGCACATAACAATCACTATGTAAATATTTTCTAAATGAATTACATAATAATTAAAGGAAAGTTAATTGAATATTTGGAGAAAGACAAAAAAGTCAAGAGAGCTCAAGTGTAATGTGTATAAGTGCATTGGAATAAAGAGGTCATGAGTGGGAAGAAGTGTACTGGGGAACAAGATTCAAAAGGGAGTTGGTAAGATGCAGTGGGGCTTGACTATCTTTCTTAGGAATTTGAAATTAATTTTACATGCATAAAGAAACTTCTGAATTTTGTTTTATTTCTTAAGAAGAGAGAAATTTCCCACCACATGAATCTGAAAAAAAAAAAAAGAAAAAGGAAAAAAAGGAGGAAATGAGAAAAACACGTTCAAAGTGATTATAGTAGTGTGTTAAGTGTGTTAGGCCATTTTTGAATCACTATAAAAATACCTGCGGCTGGGTAATTTATTTTTTAAAAAGAGGTTTAACTGACTCAAAGTTCTGCAGACAGTACAAGAAGCATGGTGCTGGCATCAGCTACTGGTGGAGACCTCAATAAGCTTCTAATTATGGCAGAAAGTGAAGGGGTAGCAAGCATCTCACATGTGAGAGAGGGAAAAAGAGAGAAAGGGGGTGGTGCCACACACTTTTGAATAACCAGATCTAGTGAAAACTCACTATTGTGAGAGCAGCACCTCACTATACATGTGTGATCCACTCCCATGATCCAAACACCTCCCACCAGGCCCTACCTCCAACACTGTGGATTACATTTCAACATGAAATTTGGAGGGCACAAATATCCAAAGCATATCATACTGACCCTGGTCCCCCAAATCTCATGTTCTTCACATTTTGCAAAATACAATCACTTCTTCTCAATAGTCCTCCAATGTCCTAACTTGTTTCAGCCCAAACTCAAAACTCCCAAAGTCAAAACTCTCATCTGAGATCCAAGTTCCTTCTACCTATTACCATGTAAGATCAAAAATAATTATTTACAAGATACAATGGTGGTACAGGCATTAGGTAAGCATTCTTATTCTGAAAGGGAGAAATTGGCCTCGCAAAAATCTGAAACCCAGCAGGGGAGGCATTAAATCTTAAAGCTCCGAAATAATCTCCTTTGACTCCATGTCCTGCATCCAAGGCACATTGGTGCAAATGGTGGACTCCCAAGACCATGGGAAGTTCTGCCTCTGTAGCTTTGCAGGATGCAGCACATGTAACTGCTCTAATAGGTTGGTGTTCAGTGCCTGTGGCTTTTCTGGGCTCAAGATGCAAGCTGCCAGTGAACCTACCATTCCCAGGACTGGAAGGTGGTGGCCCCATTTCCACAGCTCCACTAAGCAGTGCCCACTGTGGACTCTGTGTGGGGAATTCAACCCCATATTTTCCTTGCCCCTGCCCTAGGACAGGCTCCCTGTAGGGTTTTTACTCCTGCAGCCGGCTTCTGCCTGGGCACCCAAACTTCTATACATCCTCTGAAATCTAGGTGGAGGTTTCCAAGCCTCCTTTACTCTTGCATTTTGTGTCCATGTAGGCTTAACACCACATAGAAGCCACCAAAGCTTATGGCTTGTAACCTCTGGGATGGCAGCCTGAGTTGTATCCGGAGCACTTTGAGCTGAGGCTAGAGCCAGAGCAACCAGGATATGGGAAGTAGTGTCTTGAGGCTGCATAAGGCAGTGGGAACCCAGGCCTGGCCCTTGAAACCATTCTTTCCTCTTAGCCTCTGGGTCTGTGATGGGAGAGGCTGCCTTGAAAATCTCGGAAATGCCTTTTAGGCCTTTTTTCCCATTATCTTGGATGTTAGCACTAGGACTCTCATTGTGCTAATTTTTCTAGCCAGTGGTTGCTCCACAGTCTGCTTGAATTCTTCCTTTGAAAATGGGCTTTTCTTTTCTAACACACGGCTAGGCTACAAATTTTCCAAACGTGTGCTCTGCTTTTGTTTTAAATATAAGTTCCAGCTTTAGGTGATTTCTTTGCTCCAACATCTGAGCATAGGTTGTTAGAAGCAGACAGGCCGCATCTTGAATGCTTTGCTACTTAGATATTTTTTTCTGCCAGATACCCCCAAGTCATCATTTTGAAGCTCAAACTTCCACAGATTGCTAGAGTATAAACACAATACAGTCAAGTTTTTTGCTAAGGCATAGCAAGGGTGACCTTTGCTTCAGTTCCCAGTATATTTTCATTTTCATCTGAGACCTCATCAACCTGTACTTCACTATCCATATTACTATCAGAATTTTTTTCAAGATCATTTATCTAATCTCTAAAGAATTCCAAACTTTCCCTCATGTTCCTGTCTTCTGAGCCCTCCAAATTCTTCCAACCTTTGCCTGTTACCAACTTCCAAAGTTGCTTCCATATTTTCAGGTATCTTTATAGAAACAGAACAGTTTGGAGGTTCCTCAGAAAAGTAAAAATTGAGCTGCCAAATGATCCAGTAATCCCACTGCTGGGTGTATACCCAAAAGAAAAAACATCAGTATATTTAAGAGAAATCTGCACTCCTACGTTTGTTGCAGCACTGTTTACAATAGCCAAGATTTGGAAGCCACCTAAGTGTCCATCAAAAGATAATGGATAAAGAAGAGGTGATACATATACACAATGGAGTACTATTCAACCATACAAAGAATGAGATTTTATCATTTGCAACAATATATATGGAACTGAAGTTCATTAAGTAAAATACACCAGGCACAGAAAGACAGATATCACATGTCCTCACTTTTTTTCTCGGATCTAAAAATCAAACAATTGAACTCATGGACATAGAAAGCAGAAGGATGGTTACCAGAGGCTGGGAAGGGTAGTGTGTGGGTGGGTGGGTTGGGGAGGTGCGGATAGTTAATGAGTACAAAAAAATAGAAAGAATGAATAAGACCTACTCTTTGGTAGCACAACAGGGTGACTATAGTCAATAACAACTTCATTATATATTTTAAAATAACTTAAAGAGTTTAACTGGATTGTTTATAACTCAAAGGATAAGTGCTTGAGGGTATGGATTCTTCATTCTTCATTATGCGCTTATTTTACATTGCATACCTGTATTAAAATATCTCACATACCCATAAATACATACACCTACTATATACCCACAAAAATTAAAAATTAAAAACATTTAAAAATCTGTAATAATAACAGTCTTCTCACTGAATTAATAGCCCCCAAGGTGGATAGAAATATCACCAACTAGAGAGATTTGGGGGACATTGACTTGAAATAAGCTCCTTTATGTGACTGTGAGCTAGGGATGTCAATCTCCTTCAATGTCTCTAAGAAAAAAGCCTGCTAAAATATTGTTAACACTTGGTGTCCGATGCATCTAATGCTCTGAATATCATCCTTAGACAGTTGTAATAGACTTCATTGTTTAATTTAATCAGTTATTTTAACATTGATTACCTAATGTTTTCCAAATGAAATAGGCTTACTTTGTTTGGCACTCACACTTCATTTCTGTCATTTTAAAAATAATAAATTCTGTTTTAATAAATCTTGTATGTGATTCGCATCAGTTACTGGGCTAAATACTCTATATTATTTTGCAGACATGAATTTAGTAGAATTTTAGTAATGTGTTATGTATTTCAATAATAAAACACAGAAATATCTTTCAGCTAAAACTATAGATTAAGTTGTTTCACCTGGGAAATTTCCATTCAGCTCACAAAACTCTATTCAAACATAAGTGCTATCAAACCTTCTCTGAGCACTTTCTTAGAAATACTTGACCCAGGGTACCCACAATCCCCTGGAGATACTCTGCCCAATATTATTTAATTTATTTTAATTATTTGCTTACATATTTATCTTTTCAACTGACACTAAGCTTCTTAAAAGAAAGATTCACCAATATCGTGAAAATGGCCATACTGCCCAAGGTAATTTATAGATTCTATGCGATCCCCATCAAGCTACCAATGACTTTCTTCACAGAATTGGAAAAAAACTACTTTAAAGTTCATATGGAACCAAAAAAGAGCCCGCATTGCCAAGTCAATCCTAAGCCAAAAGAACAAAGCTGGAGGCATCACGCTACCTGTCTTCAAACTATACTACAAGGCTACAGTAACCAAAACAGCATGGTACTGGTACCAAAACAGAGATGTAGACCAATGGAACAGAACAGAACGGAGCCCTCAGAAATAATGCCACATATCTACAACCATCTGATCTTTGACAAACCTGAGAAAAACAAGAAATGGGGAAATGATTCACTATTTAATAAATGGTGCTGGGAAAACTAGCTACTCATGTGTAGAAAGCTCAAACTGGATCCCTTCCTTACACCTCATACAACAATTAATTCAAGATGGATTAAAGACTTAAATGTTAGACCTAAAACCATAAAAACCCTAGAAGAAAACCTAGGCAATACCATTCAGGACATAGGCATGGGCAAGGACTTCATGTCTAAAACACCAAAAGCAATGGCAACAAAAGCCAAAATTGACAAATGGGATCTAATTAAACTAAAGAGCTTTTGCACAGCAAAAGAAACTACCATCAGAGTGAACAGGCAACCTACAGAATGGGAAAAAATTTTTGCAATCTACCCATCTGTCAAAGGGCTAATATCCAGAATCTACAATGAACTCAAACAAATTTACAAGAAAAAAACAAACAAACCCATCAAAAGGTGGGCAAAGGTTATGAACAGACTCTTCTCAAAAGAAGATATTTATGCAGCCAAAAGACACATGAAAAAATGCTCATCATCACTGGCCATCAGAGAAATGCAAATCAAAACCACAATGAGTTACCATCTCACACCAGTTAGAATGGTGATCATTAAAAAGTCAGGAAACAACAGGTGCTGGAGAGGATGTGGAGAAATAGGAACACTTTTACACTGTTGGTGGGACTGTAAACTAGTTCAACCCTTGTGGAAGTCAGTGTGGCGATTCCTCAGGGATCTAGAACTAGAAATACCATTTGACCCAGCCATCCCATTACTGGGTATATACCCAAAGGATTATTAATCTTGCTGCTAGAAAGACACATGCACACGTATGTTTATTGCGGCACTATTCACAATAGCAAAGACTTGGAACCAACCCAAATGTCCAACAATGATAGACTGGATTAAGAAAATGTGGCACAAATACACCATGGAATACTATGCAGCCATAAAAAATGATGAGTTCATGTCGTTTGTAGGGACATAGATGAAGCTGGAAACCATCATTCTCAGCAAACTATCACAAGGACACAAAACCAAACACCACATGTTCTCACTCATAGGTGGGAATTGAACAATGAGAACACATGGACACAAGAAGGGGAACATCACACACCAGGGCCTGTTGTGGGGTGGGGGGAGGGGGGAGGGATAGCATTAGGAGATATACCTAATGTTAAATAACGAGTTAATGGGTGCAGCACACCAACATGGCACATGTATATATATGTGACTAACCTGCACAATGTGCACATGTACCCTAAAACTTAAAGTATAATAAAATAAAGAAAGAAAGAAAGAAAGAAAGAAAATAAAAGTGGTTATATATGTCAAAAAAAAGAAAGATTCACTTTTTATTCAATATTGTAGTCTCTGTAATTGGCAAAGTACCTATTGTGTAGTATATAGTCAGTGAAATTTTGATAAAGGAATAAATGAATTACAAAGTAATACCCCGAAATAATAATAGCTATTAATAGCTATTCAGGTTCTGCCTGATTTGGTAGCTCTCTGACATCTTTAGTCTTTCAAATCCACTTATCTAGGTTGTTCTGGAAGTGGAGTGAGATGGAAAACTTGGTCATTTATAAGCTTTTTTAAACATAACTTCAAGTAAAATATCTTACTTTGGGTTCTTCCAAAGAAAGATCCTGAGACCAGGATGCAAACACAAGTAATTTATTTTGGTTAGGTTATACAGAAGCTCTAGTAAGAAAGTGAAGAAATGAGACAGACGTTGGAAAAAAGTCAATGAAGCATGCACCTTGAAGCAAGTTACAACGATGGCAATTTAAGCTTAATAGCACGGGGGAATCCTGAGAGCCAGCTTAAAATTTCAGTTTCTCCACTCAAGTAACTTGGTCAGGTGGGGTTTTTATTCACCAACTCTCACCAGTAATTGGTTAAGGGCTACTCCTGGGGGCTGTTAACTCTCCAGAATGTCTGTCTTGCCCTACATATTCGCAAAGTGAACTCCAGAGACCAGAGAAACTTCTTAGCAAACAGTCACAATTCCTGGAAGTCTGGCTGGTGTGCACAGAGATGGTAAGTGCTAAGAATGAGGTATTGACAATGTTCACAGCACAGAAATTTTTGAGGCTGCTTCTTTTGAACCAAAAATAATCACCCGTTAAGAAAACCTCTGTGATGCTTATGAGGATATACTTAATAGGTTTTGTTGAAATAATAGAATTGACATGTTTATTGAGCACATTCTATTCACTAAAATATATAGAAATCTGTGTCTGTAAGTAATATTTCTGCCTTCCACATTACTGTGGTAGTCTGTGAATTATCTGGTACTTTCTTTGTTGCTAATTTGCTCTTCTTTCTTCCTTATTCTTTTTTAAAATTTTCTACTTGAAGACTTAACAGAAAGGCATCATTTGCAATTCTTGTTAGATGGGCCATGGGATTGTTTTTCTTTTTTTTTTTTTTTTTGAGACGGAGTCTCGCTCTGTCGCCCAGGCCGGACTGCGGACTGCAGTGGCGCAATCTCGGCTCACTGCAAGCTCTGCTTCCCGGGTTCACGCCATTCTCCTGCCTCAGCCTCCCGAGTAGCTGGGACTACAGGCGCCCGCCACCGCGCCCGGCTAATTTTTTTTTTGTATTTTTAGTAGAGACGGGGTTTCACCTTGTTAGCCAGGATGGTCTCGATCTCCTGACCTCGTGATCCACCCGCCTCGGCCTCCCAAAGTGCTGGGATTACAGGCGTGAGCCACCGCGCCCGGCCCATGGGATTGTTTTTCTAAAGGCAGCAATTATATACTAAGCAGTAATAAATGCCCCCCCCCTCAAAAAAAAATCCAAGCCACCATGGATTTACAGATAAGTGCATCGTTCCTGCTCTTAAGGAACATATAGTCTGCCATGGTCTTGAGTAGGTAAAACTTCTATATGTCTTCATTCATTTATATGTTCAACAAATATTTTCAAATACTGATTAGGTATCAGGAAATGCTAGGTGCAAAAAAATACAATGTTAAGTAAAACAGAGCTTTTGCCTTTATGGAATATGCATTCTACAAAAAATGTGGACATTAATCAAGGATTCATATAAACATATAAAATTGCATATGTGATAGGTGCTATGCAGGGGAGGTACATGGTGCTATGAGATCCTTTTTTAGGTACTCAACCTAGTAGAGAAGGTCAGGGAAGATTTACGACAGCCAGTGAGTTTTTTAAAGTTGAGTAGAAGTTTACTAATGAAAGGGGAAGGAAGTGTCTTCCAGGCAGATGGAATAGCATAGGTAAAGTCAAGAAGGAGAGAGGTAAGTAAGATAGCATGAAAGAAAGTCAGTATTAATGCAACTGTAAAAGGTGGGGGAAGGGTGAGACTGGAGAAATATCTAAGGACTAGACCATGCAGGATTTTTTTTTTTCCATCCTAAGTGCAATGAAAATCCATTAACAATTTGATTTGTGTTTTAAATAGTCACATTGACAAAAGGGTCAAGAATCAATGCAGCTAACTGTTGGACATTTTAAGATGTTATTGTGCTAGTCCAGGTAAGAAATAATAACTAAGAAAAATATAGTGGTCATGGAGTTGTAGAAAAGTAGATAGATATGAGACATGTTCATTTAGGTATAAATAATCTGACCTTGTGACGGACTGAATATGGGAGTGAGTAAAAGGAAGATATGAAGGATGACACCTAAATTAGAGCTTATGCAATAGGATGCTACTACAATTGACTGAAATAATTGACTGAACAAAGGAAAAAGGAAATATTTGGTGTGGGCAGATCATGAATTTGGTAGTGAGCATCTTTTCATATGGCATTGACCAAAGCCTCCAGAGCAAGGCTGAATTAAAATGACAATAATATATATTCTTATCTTATGCCTCATCTAAACAGAAAAAAGTTTCATCATTTTATTACTAGATGTGGTATTAATATATGTTATAGGTTCTTTGTAGATACCCATTAAGGGACTAAGAAAATCCTTTGTAATTGGATTTTACTAAGATATATTTACCATGAAGATATGTTCAATATTGTTAAACGCAATTTTCTGCATCTGTTAAGGTGATTGTATTTTTAAAATTTATAATACATAAGAAAGAATATAATACCTCATTTTGTTTCCAATTGTCTACAAACTTCATCTTGTTTACCTCTGATAGGGTTATGACTATGATAAGATTATGTTTATCTTATGATAGATGCTCTCTACGGTCTTGCATTCTCACAAAGAGACATGTCTTTGTATTTTATACCAATGAGAAGAAGATACATTTTTTCTGAAAAGCAACAAATCTGATCCAGGCACGTTGCCCTTCTTCTTGGTCCTTCGACATGCCAGGTAATTTCTGGCCTTAAGGCTTTTTCACCCATTGTTCACTTTGTCAAGGACTCTCTTTCTCTAGATCTCTGAATGGCTAACACCCTCATCTCCCTTGGGAATTTGGCTGAATGATTTCCTTCTCAATGAAGAATACTCAGTCTTTTAAAAATTGTAACTTGACTCACATTTCCACCCTCAGCACTTAGTATTTCCCTTACCCTTCTGCATTACTTTTTCTTACTTTTTTGTTTTCGGCATTTATCATCTTAAAATATACTATGGAATTTACTCATTAATTTTGCTTGTTGTTATTGTATTTATTCTTTCAGTCCTGGAATCTAAGCTGCATGAGGACAGACACTTTGGTTGTTTAGCTAAATTATGTATTCCAAGTGATTAGAACAGTGCCTGACACAAAGTAAGTTAAACTGCAAAAACAAACAAACAAATTACAACGACAAAAATCTCAAGTATTATATTAGAGATTACACAAACTATGATCCCTTTCCAGACTTCTAGTATCTCTTGGGAAAGAGTTGAGGCTAATTTGCTAATACCAAAGCAAATATGTGAATGAGGGGGTACAAAATCTGAGGATCATGTATTTGATCTCTTTATTTCAGCTAAATATCCCATATTCTCAGAAGTCTCAAGCAACCCTTACTTGAATTATTCTTCCAAGAAAGTTTTTTATGTTCATTTTCTCTCTTACACACATGTTGGTACTCACATTCATACACATCCACACACATAAACTTAAGGAAATAGATTTCCATGTTCACATAATCGTTTCTCTCTCTCTCTCTCTCTTTTTTTTTTTTTTTGAGACGGAATCTCCCTCTGTTGCCAGGCTGGAGTGCAGTGGCACGACCTCGGCTCACCGCAACCTCTGACTCCCTGGTTCAAGCAATTCTCCTGCCTCAGGCTCCCGAGTAGCTGGGATTACAGGCACGCGCCACCAAGCCCAGCTAATTTTTGTATTTTTAATAGAGACGAGGTTTCACCATGTTGGCCAGGATGGTCTCGATCTCCTGAACTCGTGATCAGCCTGCCTCGACCTCCCAAAGTGCTAGGATTAGAGGCATGAGCCACCGCACCCGGCCCTCGTTTCTCTTTTATAAGCCTACTTTTGAGTTGGCACTGCATTTTTACATATATACAAAAAGATAACAATAGGATTAAAATATGATCATGTATAAAAACATCTATTTCCATGTATATTATTTGAAGAAAATAAAAATCCTCTTATACTGTGAAAACTATACTTCCTGAGTCACTTTGTATCTTTCACATGCACTTAATGAAGCCAATTGCCTTTAACAGATTTTCAGTTTCAGGACTAGACTCCTGAGAACTTTTATTGTTACTGTAATTTTTCAGCTTTTTCTTTGCTCTGATTAATAATTTTAATTTACCATAATAATTGTAGATATTTATGGGGTACAGTGTAATATTTAAGTACTTGTATAAAACAGGTAATAATTAAATCAGGGCAATTAGCGTATCTCTCATCTAAACTATGTATCTTTTATTTGTGTTAGGAACATTCAAAATTTGCTGTCTAGCTATTTGAAAATATGCAATAAAATGTTAATTACAGTCACCCTGTAGTTCTATAGAACACTAGAACTTATTACTTCTAACTAACTGTAATTTTGCCTTTGTTTAACAACCTCTGGTTATCCTCCTTCCAACACACTTCCCAGCCTCTAGTAACCATTATTCTACTCTATTTCTGATATCAATACTTTTTAGATCCCACATGTGAGTGAGATCATGCAGTATTTGTTTTTGTGTGCCTGGATTATATCATTTAACATAATTTTTTCAGGTTCATTCATGTTGTCAGAAATGGCAGAATTTTATTCTTTTTGTAGCTGAATAGTATTCCATCGTGTATATATAAGACATTTTCTTGATGTATTCATCTTTTTATTGAGAGTTAGGTTGATTCCATATTTTGGCTATTGAGAATAGTGCCATCATGAACATGGGAGTGTAGATAGATATCTCTTTGACATACTGATTTTGTTTCCTTTGGATATATATCCAGTAGTGGGATTGCTGGATTGTATGGTAGTTCTATTTTTAGTTTATTGAGAAAGCTTTGTATTGTATTCCATAATTTATATTCCCATCAAGACTATATAAGAGTTCCCCTTTCTCCACATCCTCACCAGCATTTGTTATTTTTGGTCTTTTTGATGATAGTCATTCTTACTGAGGTGGGATAATATTTCATTGTGGTTCTGATTTGCATTTTCCTGAGAATTAGTGATATTGAATTTTTTTCATATACCTGTTGGCTATTTGTATGTCATCTTTTGAGAAATGTCTATTCAGCTCATTTGCCCATTTTTAAATTAGGTTATTTGTTGTTGTGCTGTTATTTGAGACCTTAAATATTCTAAATATTAATTTTAGATTAAAAGTTTGCAAATATTTTTCCCATTCTGTTGGTTTTCTCTTCACTCTGTTGATTGTATTCTTTGCTGTGCATAAGTGTTTTAGTTTGATATTATTACATGTGTCTGTATTGTCTTTTATTGCTTGTACTTGTGAAGTTTTATTTAAAAGATCTTTGCCAAGACCAATGTTGTGAAGCATTTCTTTCATGTTTTCACCAATTAGTAATACAGTTTTGCATTTAAGTTTTAGCAATTTTTAGTTGATTTTTGTAGACGATTAGAGATATGGGTGTAGTTTTATTCTTCTGCATATGGATATCTAGTTTTCTCAGCACAATTTATTGAAGAGGGTGTCCTTTCCCAAAGGAATGTTCTTGGTACCTGAAGGAAACCAAAACATTTTACCCCAAAAAATACTTTTTTTTTTTTTGAGACTGTGTCTTGTTTTGTCTCCAGGCTGGAGTGCAGTGGCGTGATCTCTGCTTGCTGCATCCTCCGCCTCCCTGATTCAAGAGATTCTCCTGCCTCAGCCTCCTGAGTAGCTGGGATTACAGGCACCCACCACCACACCCAGCTAATTTTTGTATTTTTAGTAGAGATGGGGTTTCACCATGTTGGCCAGGATGGTCTTTATCTCTTGACCTCAGCCTCCCAAAATGCTAGGATTACAGGCGTGAGCCACGGCACCCGGCCCTCAAAAATACTTTTTAACATATTTTGAGATGCTTGTTCAGGGCACCTCTCAACAGAAGTAGCCTTGAAAAGCTGTCTTTTGTGTAGGAAATTCGCATATGTAGAAGAAAATTTGCATTGATATAGCCGGGCTTTCTCTGAAGCTCTGTGTTGTCTAGATCTAGGAAAGACCTACTGAGATTCTGATACTACTAAAAGTCTGAAACAAACATGTACTATCTATTCTCTGTTAGGGTTGCTAACTGTGAGGTTTAATCTACATAATACGTTTATCTTTGCTATGAGCCCCCATTTATTCTGTAACATAAATAGTATAAAAGCTTCGGCTATCAGGCCACTTCTTTTGAGTTATTGTATGATTTTCATGCACACAAATACATTTGTATGCCTCTTCTTCTATTAATATGCCTTTAGTCAGTTGATTTTTAGTGAATCTTCAGAGGGTGATGTTCAAATTATCCCTTAGTTCTTGTCAGGATTTTGTTGAAAGTCAGTAGACTATAAATATGTGGATTTATTTCTGGATTCTCTATGCTGCTCCATTAGCCTCTGTATCTGTTCTTATGTCAGTGTCATACTCTTGTGGTTATGATATCTTAATAGTATGTTTTGAAGTTAGGCAACGTAATACTTCCAACTTTATTCTCTTGCTCAGGATTGTTTTGGTTATTTAGGGTCTTTTGTGGTTCCACTGTCTATTTTAGAATTGTTTTTTCTATCTTTGAGAAGAATCTCATTGATATTTTGATAGGGATTGAATTGAATCTGTAGAATGCTTTTGGGAAGGGATTAATATTGTAAAGAATTAATACTTTTGAGTTTTAGTATATGGATATTCTGCCACTTATAATTAGCACTTTAATTAGTAACAATCTGGTCTAGATTAATGACAACTTAATTTCAATTATATAAAAACTTTCCCTCTATACAGCTCTGTGTTAGTACATTTTGTCTTTTATAACAAAATATCATACATTGAGTAGCTTATAAACAGTCAAAATTTATCTGTCACAGTTCTGGAGGCTGGGAAGTCAAATATCAAGACATCAGCAGATTTCAGTGTCTGGTGAAGTCCTGCTTTCTGTCTTATAGAGAGTGCCTCCTTGCTATGCCCTCACATACTAGAAGACACAGTGGAGTCTCTCTTAGGCCTCTATTATTAGGACCCTATTCCCATCCATGAGGCCTCCACCCTTGTGACCTAGTCACCTTTCCCAAACTCCAACTTCTAATAGTATATCCTAGGGGGTTAGAAATTCAACATATAAATTTTGGGGGAACAAAAACATTCAGAACATAGTATACCGCCACTGCCCCTCACAAAATACATGTCCTTCTTACACAAAAAATACATTTACTCCATCCATGGAGCCCCAAAAGGTTTAACTAGTTCTGGCAGTAACTGAAAAGTATAGACTTCACAGTCTCATCTAAATATCATCCAAATCAAATATGTGTGAGACTGAAGGTACAATTGATTCTGCAACAAATTTTTCTCCAGCTGTGGAACTTTTTAACTTTTTTGAAATGAAAGAAACGTTATGTGCTTCTAAAATGTAATGGTGAGACAGGCATAGGATATACATTCCCATTCCACAAGGCAGAAATGAGAAAGAAGAAGGAAGTAACAGGTCCCAAGTAAGCCTGAAACCCGAAGTCAGACAACATTAAATCTTAAGTCTTGAGAACAAATTTCTTTGACTTGATGTTATGCCCTCCTGGACTACTGGGACTCTGGTTTCATCTTCCAAATCAACTAATGTGAGAGTCCTGCCTTCCAGACACACTGGGACAGTGGCCTTGCCTCTACTGCTTTGGACAACCTTGCCTCCAAGGCAACTTTCTGTCTAGGTCCTATTCTCTTAGCAGTTCTTTGCAGTGGCCCCCATCTTCATGACAGGTCTGTGCCTGATTCGCATGCTTGCTATTCTCTGAGGCTGGGATCACATGATAATGGCTTTATTAGTCTGGAGCTATGAGAACGTTCCCACTCCCACAACTCCTCTGGGTATTGCCCTAAAGGAAACTCTTTATATTGACCCCATACTTTTTAGGGCTTATGCACTGTGAGCCTGTGATGGGAGTGGCAGCCCTGATAATTTCTAAATTGTCTTTTGGGTCATTCTTCCTTTGTCTTTGAAAATAGGGCTTAGATTCTGTCTAGATGGGTGACTAATTTCCTTATCAAATAATCAATCATTCGACCACACCTTTGGTGTTTTTTCCTTAACATGCTTTCTCATTTTTGTTTTTTACAATAAAAACAGGTTGAGAATTTTCCAATTCTGTATACTCTGCTTCCCTTTTGATTAAAAAATTCATCTTTAAATTATTTTTCTCTTCTTAAATTTTCTAGTAGTAATCGAGACAAGTAAAGCCACACCCTCAACACTTTACTTAGGACTGTCCTCAGCCGCCAAATATCTAATTTCATCACGCAAAAGTTTCTACCTTCCACAAAACACCTGGACGGAAACACAATTCAGTCGTGTTCTTTGCTTCTTTACAACAAAGATATACTTTTCTCCAATTGTCAGCAATATGTTAATCATTTCTGTCTAAAAACTCATCAGCATAGCCTTTAGTGTTCATATATCTGTTAACACTGTTTGTGATTATTTAAATATTCTCTAAGAAGTTTGAGATTTTTGCTCTAGCTCTTCTAGTTTCTTTCTAGGCTCTTAATAGAACATCCCTTAATGATCTATTCACAGCAATGTCGGATTTTTTTAGCATGTACCACATACTCTTCTAGCTTCTACCCCTTATCCAGTTTCACAGCCATTTCCACATTTTTAGGTATTTGTTATACTAGCACCCTACTTTCAATACCAATTTTCTGTTTAGTCCATTCAGGCTGCTGTAACATAGTACCATAAAGTGGATGGCTTATAAACAAGAGAAATTTATTAATCACAGTTGTAGAAGCTCAAAAATTCAATATCAAGGTGCCAGCAAATACAGTGTCTGTTGAGGGCCAATTTTCACATTCATAGGTGGTGCCTTTTCACACTCTCCTCACATGGTGGAAGAGGCAAGACAGCTCTCTTGGGCCTTCTTTATACAGATACTGATCCCATTCATGGATGCTATGCCCTCATAACCTAACCACCTTCTAAAGGCTTTTCCTTCTAACCCATCCTAATACCATCACTTTGGGGGTCACAATTTTAACATATGAATTTGAGGGTACACAAACATTCAGATCATAGAAAATATCATTCTCTTTCCCCTCCTTTGTACTGCTATTAACATAAAAATTATCTTCTTATACATTGTCTGTATCTCAGAACAAATTCATAATTAGTAACTTATGCACTTGTCTTTTAAATTAGGAGTAGAAAAATGTTACAAATAAAAATGCATTTAAACTGCCTTTTATATTTATCTGTAGAGTTGCTCTTACTGGAACCTTTTATTTCTTTATGTGGGTTTTAATTACTGCCTAGTGTTCTTTCATTTAAATCTAAGGAAATCCCTTTAGTATTTTTTGGAGGGTAAGTTTTCTAGTGAAGGCTTCTCTCAGTTTTTGTTTATTTGGAAAATGTCATCAGTTCTTTTTTTTTTTCAAAGATAGTTTTCTGGATATATAATTGTTTATTGACTGTATTTTTTCTCTAGCATTTTGAATATGCACCATAGGTCTGTGATGTGTTCATTTTTCTTCATTGTTTTTTCTTTTTATTCCTCAGAATGTATAATATGAATTGATCTATCATCAAATTCACTTGTCATTATTATTTCTTCTAGTTTCTTAAATATGTTGTTTAGCCTTTCTAGTAATTTTTAAGTTATTATAGGTATAAGCTCCAGAATTTCTATTTGAATATATTTTTGTATGTAATTTCTCGTTACTGACTTTCTCTATTTGGTAAGATATTGTTCGCAAACATTCCTTTAGCTTTTAAACTTTTCTTTTTTCTTTTTGACTATTTTAAAAATAGTTCAATTAAGTCTTTTCTAGTTAGTCTGACCTATGGGCTTGCCTATTGACCTTAAATTTCTCTGTGTATGTGTCATGCCACATTATTTCTGTGCATGTCTCATAATTTTTGTTTGAAAACTGGACATTTTAAATAGCTGGTGGAGTTGATGATGGATGTTGTGACAAAGTAGGCTCAGAGTGTGACTGCCTGCAGGGTTTTCAGCTGACCTACTCCCTAAGTGGAGGAACTACATCTCAGATGAGTACCCTTCTTGTCAACAATATCCAGGAGAAGTGCCCACATAGGATCATAAACCCATTCAGTGTGCTGCTCTTGTCCAAGGTGTTAGACATGGTTGTGGAACCCTATAATGCCACCCTTTCAGTCCATCAGCTCATAGAAAACACAGATGACACATGATGCCTTTATAATGAAGCTCTCTACAACATCTGCTTCAAAACCCTAAAGCTGCTCACATCCCCTTACAGTGATCTAAACCACCTGGTGTCTGCCACTATGACTAGAGTCACCATCTGCCTGCACTTTCCTGGCCAGCTAAATGCTGACTGCAGAAACTGTCCATGAACATAGCCCCATTTTCCCACCTGCACTTCTTCTTACCTGGCTTTGCCTCACTGACCGGCTGGGGCAGCCAGCAATATTGAGCCTTGACACGGCTGAGCTCACCCAGCAGATGTTTGACACCAAGAACGTGATGGCTGCCTGCAACCCTCACCATGGCTGCTACCTAGTGGTGCTGCCATTTTCAGGGGCTGCATGGCCATGGAGGAAGCAGATGAGCAAATGCTTAGTGTCCAAAACAAGTACAGCAGCTACTTTGCTGATTGGATCCCCCACAGTGTGAAAATAGCCGTCTGTGACATCTTACCCCCAAGGCTAAAAATGCCCACCACCTTCACTGGCAATAACATTACTATCCAGGAGTTGTTCAGGTGTATTTCAGAGCAGTTCACAGCCATGTTTAGGTGCAAGGCCTTCCTGAACCCATATGTGAGTGAGGGCATGGATGAAATAGAGTTCATTGAGGCTGAGAGCAACATGAACAACCTGGTATCTGAGTACCAATAGTACCAGATGCCATGGCTGAGGAGGGAGAATTTGAGAAGTGAGCTAAGGAGGAGGTGGCCGAGAGCCTTCTGTTGCTAGGTGAAGGACAAAAGCAGTATGAATTCTTTATTCACTCACAACGTATTCTGATAGCCATGTCTTACTGTGCATGCACTTGCTGTTCTTCTTGCTACATGATCACTTCTATCAAAGCATTTTCATAGTAAAACAAAAATATGGCAATTATGGAAATCGGATTGCCACTTTCCCCAGGTTTTTACAGTTTTTTGTTCATTTTTGTTATTAGTTTTTATTTAGTTACTCTTTAAAACTAATTTTATAATGCCTGTATTCTTTGTCATATGTGGTCACTGAAGTCTTATTTAATTAACTTAATAGTCATTTAATGATTGGGCAGAGATACATTAAATTCCCAGAACCAATTATTCTTCCAGTCTTTGTAAAGTGGCTCTGTTTATGTGTTCTCAGCAAGGATGTTTACATGTCTGACTTAGCCTTCACTCTCTGCTTGTGCAGAGTCTCAGTGTTAGCCAGAGGTAATAGCTTAAGACCTTTCCACATTTATCTTTAGTCTGTATGCAGTCCTGGTAATGTGCACAGCTGTAAACATGGGTATTGACTTTCAGAACCCTGGAATATATGAGATGTTTTAATACCTCACTATAGCCAGGCACGGTGGGTCATACCTGTAATCCCAGAACTTTGGGAGGCCGAGGTGGGTGGATCACTTGAGGTCAGGAGTTTGAAACCAACCTGGACAACATAATAAAACACCATCTCTACTAAATATACCAAAATTAGCCTGGCGTTGTGCCACACACTTGTAGTCCCAGCTACTCAGGAGGCTGAGGCAGGAGGATTGCTTGAGCCCAGGAGGCAAAGGTTTTAGTGAGCCAAGATCATGCCATTACACTCTAGCCTGGGTGATGAGAGTGAAACCCTGTCTCAAAAAAAAAAAAAAAAAAACAAAACCCAAAAAACAAAAACAAAAACTCACTGTAAGCATTTCATGTGTTATCTGCTTTTTTAAAGCTTTTTGATTAGATTATTGTTTTCCCCAACTCTTACCTACTGCCTTAGGCAACCGTGATGTTTAACAATTGCCTCTGATTGTTCCTGAGAAAAATGTCAAGGAAAAAGTGCTTGTAATGGGTGAGCTCTGAATCATGTAGAATATAAGAGCCTTTTTGAGTAGAGTCTTCCAGGAAACTATCAGATGGATCAAATAATAATATATCTCTTGAAATGTGTTTTTGAAAGTGCTTCACTCCCTCTCTGTCTCTCCTGTTAGTTGTCAGGCTACTGTTTTTTATCGTAATGGCAGGTTGTTGATTTTCAAGGCCCTTGAAGAGCTGTTGGAATATAATGGTAATAATGCAAGTTAAATGCCACAAGGCTTGCTATTCTTACTGAGATTTAGCCATTTTTTTCTGGAATAAATGTTCCCCAGATTGCTGCAAGTCATTGAATAATTTTCAGAGTTTTAAAAAAGTTAATTTTGTCAACTTTTGCTAGTGTTCTCATTAATTATATGGAGGAGAAAATTTGTGTAACTTCCTACTTCACCGTTTTTTTTGTTGTTGTTGTCATTACCTTACTATTTCTTTTTGAGTCTGTTTTGGTATGATATATTTTTCTACAAATTGATGCATTATATATAATACTTTAAAACTTAAAATTGTGCATAATTTACTCTAATATTTTTAATTTTCTCTGTATCTGCAAACTTGTAGCCTTTTCCTTTCATAATATTGTTTATTTTCGCTGTCTGTCCTTTCTTGATCAGTGATTTGTTAATTTTATTAGTTTGTTTTTTAAATACACTTGTGACTATTTGGTCCTATCTACTCCATTTTTTAATCTTCTAATTTATTAATTTCTGCTATCAATTTTTTTTTATTTCCTCTATTTCTTTAGATTTTGTTTCTTGGCTTGCCTTTAATAGTTTTCATTGGATTCTTAGCATAAGTCTATTATATCTTATTTTTGATTATACATAAAATCTATACATTTTATTCCAAATACTGCTTTAATTTCACCCAATTAGTTTTGACAGTTGATATTTTTATTTTATTTAAAATTATTTTAGATGACTTCTTCAACTCATGAGTTACATAAAAGTGTTAACAATTTTTTTCTGAATTATTCTTTGTGGTTTATTTCTCAGTAATTGTGTCATCGTCAGAAAATAACATTTTAGTCACTGAGTTCTTTGAAATTTCTGCTTTTTATAATTTCAAATTTTATTTTAGATTTAGGGGATACCTCTGCAGATTTCTTATCTAGGCATATTGTGTGATGCTGAAATTTGGAGTTTATTCCATCACCCAGATACTGAGCATAGTACACAACAGTTAGTTTTTCAACCCTTGTGTCCCTCCCTTACTGCTCTACTGAGACTGTGTTTTTAAAATTATAACTGTAAGGAAAATCTGACATAGTTGGTTCCATCTTGCTTCTGACCTCCCAACTGTCCTTGATCATTCCTGGGCATAGGCCAACCTAACTGTGGAAAGAAGTTAGTTTATAGTTTAACATGAAAGGAAAGATGATATTAGTTCTTCCCTAAAACTAACCCCCTTCTTGCCTGGGACTGAACACCATTTTTGTAAGATTAATGAAAGGCTATAACAATAGGATTATGGGAGAAACCTGAACTCTGCTAAGGTACAGGTGTAGTTTTTATAATTCCTTACTCTTTAGGAGTCATGTGGCCAGAGGTCACAAGATTTGTGACTTCCACAATTGCTCTTATAGATAACATCACTATTGTAGAATCTAAGATTGTTTATTTGAAGATATATTTCAGGCTGATTCCACCCAGACTCACGACTCATTACTCAACTGATCCGGTGGTTCCACCCAGAGGCAGACTCAGCACACAAGAACCATTTTTCACACCCCTAGCATTTCATTCCCAACCAATCAGTACCATCCATTTGCTAGCCCCTGTTCACCAAACTGTCCATAAAACTTTAACCTCCAAACCTTCAGGAAGATTTACTTGAGTGATAAATCCAGTTCTCCAGCTTGGGCCAGCCTCATGTCAATTTAACTTTTTCTCTATCGCAATGCCACAGTATCAGTGAATATTTTTTTGAGGAAATGGCAGAAGTATCTGTTGGGTGATTACATCAGAAGTTTCCAGTGTTTATGACTGCCATCTTTAAATCCATGAGTACCCATTGTTTGATACTTATGTTATGGCCCCATATATACTTTATGTTGGAATCAGCTTTTGTGAAAATAATATGTATCTTGCATCTATTGGGTAGAAACCTCTCTATATATTTATTAAATGTCTTGTTATTGTTTTTAAAATCTTACCATATTCGTACTGATTTTTTTCATCCTACTGGATAACATCTAACTGTTTAAATCAGGGTTGGCATTTTTTTTTCTCTCCACAGGATCAAATTATAAATATTTTATACTTATGGTCTCTTTTATGACTACTCATCTATGTCATCATAACATGAAAGAAGTCATAGATAATACTTAAATAAATGGATATGCCTGATTTCCAATAAATCTTTATTTACAAAAGGAGGCAACAAACAAAGTTTGGCCTGTGTGGCATAGTTCGCTGATACTTTGCTTAAAGAAACATTATTATCACCTCCCATTATGATAGTGGATTTTTCGATTTATCCTGAAATTTTGTCTATTTTTACTTCCTATGTTTTATGCTATGCAGTAAGGTATGTAAGTTTAGAATTATCACTATTTTTTCTGTAAATTACATCTTACATTTTAATAATTTGATGCTCTTTTATTTCCACTAATATATTTTAATTAATGTGTAGTTTGGCTAATATTAACATAGCTGTATTTATTTTTTTAGATTAATATTTTCCTTGTGTAACTCTTTTCTCATCCATCTACTTTTAAACCTTCTGTATCCTTATGTTCTTTTACAGAAGCCCTTGTGTGTGGTTCTCTAAAAGAGCTCCATATGAACTGAATATTTTTTCTTTTAAGTAGAGTAGTTACACCTTTTACATTTATAGTATGTCACTTAATAATAAGAATAAATTCTGAGAAATGTTATCTTTAGGCAATTTTACTGTATGAACATAAAAGATGGTACTTACATAAACCTAGATGTTATAGCTTGCTATACACCTAGGCTATATGGCATAGCCTACTGCTTCTAAGCTACAAACTTGTATAGCATGTTACTAAACTGGATACTGTAGTCAGTTGTCACATAATGGTAAGTATTCGTGCTTCTATACATATCTAAACACAGAAATACAGTAAAAATACAGTATTATAATTTTATAGGAACATTCTGGTATATGTATTTCATCATTGACTAAAATGTTGTTATGTGGTACATAACTGCACATTATTTACATATGAGTATATATCTACCATAAAATTTTATACTTTGTCTTCCTTTTACTGTTCATTTTCTCTCTTTTTAGATTTAGTAATTTTCATTACTTTTTTCTTACTAGCTTACATCCTATTTTCTTCTTCTATTCTTTAGTGGTTACCTTAGAATTTTTTAAATGTTTATTTAAATTATTAATATAAAAATTATATTTCTTTACCCTCCTGATCAGTAACAAGTCCTAAAAACTCCTTAGTTATGATAATGCCTAACATATATATTTTGATTTTATGTATTTTAATTATATTTCATTTGCTGATCCCCTTAGAAAAGACTTGAAAAATACCATTATTTTAATTTCAGTCAGTTTTATTTTCAATTTCATGTAGATTTACCCTCATAATATTTACTTGGGATTATTTCTCTTTTGTCTAAAACTGCATTCCTTAAAATTTCCTATAGAATCTTTTGTTTGCAAATTATCTATTTTGTGTCTACAACTATCTTTATTTCCCCTTGTTTCTGAGAGAGTTTCATTGAACATGCAAATTTAGCTTAGTTATTTCCTCACAGCACATGGAAAACATTATTCTAAAATCTTCTGGCTTTCATATTTGCTGTTGAGAAGTTAGCTATGTCTTTTTTTTAATGATCTGTCTTTTTTTGACTGCTTTTAAGATGCTCTATTTTTTGTGAGGAAGGTGGGTGTTCTGCAGTTTCACTCTGCTGTCTAGTTTCTAGTTTTATATTTCCTTTAATAATTTTATTTATATTTTGATAAAGTAGAAATTACAGTTTAATTAATCCCCATACATACACCTCATCCCATTACAGTATGTATCTACTCACAGTTAATCTTGTTTTATCTATAATTATAGCCATCTCTACTCCTGAATCCTCAGATTATTTTGAAGTAAATTCCAGGTATTGTTTTTTCCAAGAAAAAATTAAGAAGTATCTCTAAGAGATAAAAACTCTTTTATAAAAACATAACCATGTTAGCATTTTCATACCCCCAAATTTTAATAATAACTTCTTAATATGATTATATATACAATCATAGTAAGAGTTATTCAGATAGTCTTTGAAATGTGCATTTTTCTCTTTTAAACTATGTGTTAGCCCATTCTTGCATTGCTATAAAGAAATATCTGAGTCTGGGTAATATATAAAGAAAAGAGTTTTAATTGGCTCACTGTTCTGTAGGCTGTACAAGCATGGCTCCAGCATCTGCTTCTGGTGAGGGTCTCAGGAAGCTTACAATCATGGTGGAAGGCAAAGGAAGAGCAGGTGGTATCACATGGCAAAAGCAGGAGTGAGAGAGATGGGAGAAGGTGAAACATTTTTTTAAATAACCAGATCTCATATGAATTCATTGAGGAAGAACTCACTCATCACCAAGGGGATAGTGCTAAGCCATTCATAAGGGATCAGCCTCCATGATGCAACACCTCTCACTAGGCCCCACCTCCAATACTAGAGGTCACATTTCAACATCAGATTTGGAGGGGACAAATATTCAAACCATATTAACCTGTTTGTTTGAATCAGCATCAAATAACATTCATTATAATTGGTTAATATATTTTTAAGTCTCTTTTAAGTCTCTTCATCTATATACTTTGCTTTTTCATACAATTTACATTTTTTTCTATAGACTGAATTCTGCAGATGCGTTGTATATTTTCTTTAATTACCATGCTTGGGACTCATTAGAATATCTGAATCTGTAGAAGATTGTCTTTTATCAGTTTGGGGAAAATATCAGTAATTGTCTCTTTACATATTGCCTTTGCTTCATTCTCCCTTTCCTCTCCTTCTAAAATTCTGATATTTGTATACTAATATCCATCTTTCTTAACCTCTTATCCTTCCAAAAACTGTTTTGGGATTGATTCTTCCATGCATCTTGGAGCATTTCCAATTAGGAACAATTTTAATTAAACTCTAAACATGATGTTCTTTGGACCACTCCGGTAGTACAAAATGTAGGCTGCAAAGCCATATGAGGGCAACGTTATTGCTATAAATTATCAAGGGAAATGTAGTTTTTTTTCTTCTACTTAGCATGATTGTTCAAAACCAGCAAGTTCACTTTCTAGTCCCCTGAATGTATATGTTTACTTCTTGTTCACACTTAATACTAAGGGTAAAACACTTGTGAGCTCCAACTTTATTTGGTGAGGGAAGGCTTATTCTATTAGACTCTGAATTGTGGGTGGTCTTTGGGATTTTTTTCCTGTACCACTTTACCTGTGAGTTGGTGAAAACTGAAGCACAAGGTTATCTGGTATGGAAAGTATCTTAAGAGCAGACCAATATTTTTCTGCTTTTAATTAAGTTTTAGAATTTTAATATTTTCACTTTCCTACCAGCTAATGGATGAATTTATAATGTTTTTAAAAAGCATATTTCATTCAGTATGTTTATTTATTTCCAGGACAAAATAGGTCAGAAGGTTGTGTGTGTGTGTGTGTGTGTGTGTGTGTGTGTGTGTGTTTGTATACCTCTTTTTTTGGTGGCTTCTTTAATCACTCAGGTGCAAAATCTGCGGCTCCAGTTCTCTAGCATTTAATTCTCTGCTATATAAGAACAAACAAAATGAGATAAACTTATTTTACAGTTTTACCTTAATCTCTTTGTTATCATCCTTAGTGGCAGTTAGTTCATTTGTTCATCTATAATACATTTGTCAAGTTTATGTAATGAAATTTATACTTTTTAAAAAGATTTATATATTGCTTCATTAGATTTCTCACATTAACTGGTTATGAAATCTTAGATGAGTAACTCAACCTTTGTGAGCTTTTTCTTCTTGTGTAAAGTGGAAGTGTTAATCCTACCTGACAACCTAGTGAAGAACAAATGATAATGAGATAATATATGTGAACATGTTTTGAAATTCAATGTAATGCTTGATAATGAAAGATGTTAATATTACTAAACAGAACACCTTTTTATCATAACTTGGGCACCCTATTTAACAGTGTTCACTTTTTGTATTAAATAGCTTGAAGTGACATTTTAAAAATCAGTGATAGTTAACTTTTCTTTTGCCTCAATGCTCCTGTATTCTTGTCTATATAAATGTCTTTATAGTACCATTTCACATGAAATGATCAATAATTTTTATGAGAATTTTACAACTAAGTCTAAGCTGCTGTATTTGAATACATCTCACAAAGTAAAAAATGATAATTACCTTTTACAAGCATATGAAGACCAAATACTTAACCTGTGTATTCTTTACTGTTTATACTATTATTTGCAAATTTTTAAATTCTAGGTTAGATTTCTGGATCTCTAATTCACCTATGACATACAATGAGTTTCCTTGGGGTGTATTAATGGATATATTCATATATCAATCTGAAAATATAATCTTATAAATTAAATTACCACATTGCATAGTGATTCCAATACCCACATATGCTCATCTTGACAGATTACTTAAAGTGTTTTCTAAGAATATGGCAAATTCCTAATTAAGTACACAACTTTCTTTACAGAGCAAAACTGATAACTTGATGAAGCAAAAAGGAAGACTATGACAATTATAAGTGTGACCAAATTATATTATGTGCTGATTGTGCCATACATAACAAGCATTCATAAAAATATCAGCTTAAACCAAAATAAAAATTCAAGGCTGGCTCTCTTCATTGTGTTTCTGCTCTCAAAATATTGTACCCACAAGATGATTTATCATTTCAAATAACTCTACTTCTGACCCTAAGTATTTGAAAAGGTAAATGCAATTATGAAGTCTACAAGTACAATTCTGAAGTCTACTAATACTAGAAAATTATCAGATATCTAATGAATCAAATATATCTTTTAGAAGTGACAATATATCAATATTTACCATGATTCTTTACTGAGCTCAAATCATACATGTTAAGAAAAGCAGAAACACAGTTGATTTATCTACATCATAGTAGTTAAACACATCAAATGAATGTTATAAATCTTTAAAAAGTAAGCATAGCTTCAAGATATAAGGTTAAAGAAAATAAAAATGAAGAGAATTTCGTTGCATTTGAACATGATTTGAAAGGTGAGCACTTTTACTCAATCCTGTTTTTGATGATGGTTTGATCAATAAGGTCCTTAATGCAGGTAAAAAAAAAGAGCTCCTGTTTTTAAAAATGTATGGCCTCAATTAATACAGTTTGATTCAATTTATTTCAATACATTTATTGAGACTTTACTAGGTCTAGTGGACCATTGTAGGAGTTAAGAGTTCTCCAAAGATGAACAAGAGGCAATTCTTATCCTCCAAGGGTTCTAAACTAGTATAGGAGTCAGACATGTATACACATAAATCTAATGAACATAATAGAGGAATAATATGCCATAGGAATACAGTAGAAGGATAAATTAGTTTTGATTGAAGTTGTCAGTTTTCATCTTGAAATCAGCAGTGACTAATATAACCTTATCTCTATGTGGTATAAAAGCAGTCAAGGCCAAATATTTTAAACTGGAAACACAACATTCCTGCAAAGTATTTTCTCATTTATAGTTATTGTGTATGTGTCATAAAGCATTATCTAAGATACCCTGCAATCTTTATACATCCCAGTAGGTAAAAAAATTATAGAATAAAGCTAGATGGAATAAGATCTAGTGTTGAGTAGCACAAATAGGACAACTATAATAAAGAAAAATTTATTTTGTATTTCAAAATAACCAGGAGAATGGAATTGAAATGTTTCTAACACAAATAAATGGTAAATGCTTGAAGTGATGAATACCCCAATTACCCTGATTTGATCATTACACAATGTTTGCTTGTATCAAAATATCACATGTACCTGACAAATATGTAAAACTATTGTATATCCATAATATTTTTTAAAAGAATAAAATATGAAAGAAAAGCACTAGTTCCCAGTTGTGGAATGCCAGATGAGAGAGACGAATATCTTCATTATAGAAATTCAAGCATGTTGTCATTTAATTTGTATTTCTAGAAATTTAGACATAGAAGGAAACTTAAAGGTCCTGTAGTCAATCTCCTCATTCTATGAATGAGGAACTGAGACCCAGAGAGGTGAACTGGTTTGGTGAAAGTCAAACAGTGGGTTAGTGGAAGAGCTGGGTTGAGTATTCTAAGTTTAGTGCTGCCCACCAAGCTGTTTCAGAAGAGTAGGGTAAGTGTGTTAATGAAATAATTTAATAGATTTCACAATTAATTTTAAAGAAAAAAATGACATACTGTTTAACATAAATGAATTATCAACATTTAACCCATATGTTAGAGTTTATGGAGCTGAAAAGTAAAATTCTGAGACAGTGTCAAAATATTATCTGGGGGTTGTCATGGCAACTTTTTAGGAAGTGTTTTTGAAAAATCACTGTAGAGTTTTGTAATATGTACTGGCAAGTGCCTGATTAAACTGTCAGAATAAATTTAGTTGAAGAAAATCTATAGAACTTGAGTTTCTGAAAAACCTGTAAAGGAATCCACATTTTTAAATTTTGTTATCTTCATCTAACCCTACAATTAAATAATATATATTTATTTAAATATTTAGACATTTATAGTTTCTGAATTAGAATGGCAAACACCTTGTAAAGCACAAGAAAATTATATGTTTAAATGTTAAATTTGCAAAACAAGATGATTTTATGTCTAGATTACTCAGAAGCAGTTATCAAGGCAGACAAGAGGTCATCTCTCACGAAACTTACATCATAATGAAGAGAAATAGGCAATAAGCAAACAAGCAAAAATATATAAGATAGTGATAAATTACTCAAAGAATTAAAATATGTTGCTAAAGATTGTGGATATTTTGCTTTGGAGGGATGGTCAGAAATAAGTTTCTTTAAGAAAAGTAGTATTTCCATTGAGATCTGAATGACAAAAAGAATGCAAATCTACAAAGATCAGAAGAAAGCAGCAAAGACAGAAGTGATTTTGCTGGGAACGCTATCATCTTGAAAGTGCTTCAGATAAATTAAAATGAGAAGGAAATAGTGTCACGTGCTTCATACCTGATGGTATTTCTTTCTCATTTTAATTGATGATTTAGTCAATGACAGACCACACATAAGATGGTAGCCCTGTAAGATTATAATGGAGCTGAAAAATTCCTATTCCCTAGTGATCTAAAGAGGTCAATTGGCTTAGTGAAAGTCACACAGAGTGGCAGAGCTGGGTTTAGTATTCTGTTTGGTGATGGTGTAACTTTGTAGCACAATGCATTGCTCACATGGTCGTGGTGATGCTAGTGTAAAAAAATCCATTGTGCTGTCACATAAAAGGATAGCATATACAATTATATCATATTACAATTATATGATAATACAATTATATTATGATCAAGTATTATGTATTACATATATATTACAATTATCATTATATATTACAATTATATATTATATTATATATTACAATTATCATATAATTGTAATATGATATAATTGTATATGCTATCCTTTTATGTGACAGCACAATGGATTTTTTTACACTAGCATCACCACGACCATGTGAGTAATGCATTGTGCTACAAAGTTACACCACCACCAAACAGAATACTAAACCCACCTCTGCCATTAATCCACTGTGTGACTTTCACTAAGCCAATTGACCTCTTTAGATCACTAAGGAATAGGAATTTTTCAGCTCCATTATAATCTTACGGGGCTACCATCTCATGTGTGGTCTGTCATTGACTAAATCATCAATCAAAATGAGAAAGAAATACAGTCAGGTATGAAGCATGTGACAGTATTTCTTTCTCATTTTAATTTATCTGAAGCACTTTCAAGATGATAGCGTTCCCAGCAAAATCACTTCTGTCTTTGCTGCTTTCTTCTAATCTTTGTAGAACTGCATTCTTCTTGTCATTCAGATCTCAACGGAAATACTACTTTTCTTAAAGAAACTTATTTCTGATCAAGTACGTAATACTTGATCATAATAATAAATGACTATGTTAGTGGTTTATGTATTTACTATACTATACATTTTATTGTTATTTTAGAGTGTATTCCTTCTACTTATAAAGAATAAAAGTTAACTGTAAAATGGCCTCAGGCATGTCCTTCAGGAGGTATTCCAGAAGAAGGCACTGTTATCATAGGAGATGACAGTTCTATGTGTGTTATTATTCCTGAAGACCTTCCAGTGGGACAAGGCATGACAGTGGAAGACAGTGAAACTGGTGATCATCACTCTGTAGGCCTAGGCTAATGTGTGTGTTGGTGTCTCAGTTTCTAAAACAAAAGTTTGAAAAATATTAATAGTAATATTTTTTAAATGGAAGAAAGCATATAGGATAAGGAAATAATAAAGAAATTATTTGTGTACCGTTGTATAATGTGTGTGTTGACCCATTTTTGCCTGGTGTTCCATTATTGGAACGCTAAGCATGTAAAAGTTATTTATATCTTACTGCTCA
Source organism: Homo sapiens (assembly GCF_000001405.40). Classification (NCBI taxonomy): domain Eukaryota; kingdom Metazoa; phylum Chordata; class Mammalia; order Primates; family Hominidae; genus Homo; species Homo sapiens. The sequence goes on from NC_000023.11 coordinate 94,331,725, forward strand.
AGGTCATTGCCAAGGTCTGATTGCAAAAATTCAAAAAATTGCAACCTCAGGCGTCAATGAGTTTTAAGCTATGTGTTATTATAAAAGAGTCAAAAATTTTTTTAAAAAAACTGTGTAAAGTAAAAGAGTTATAGTAAACTAAGGCTAATTTATTTTTTCAGAAAATTTAAAAAAATAAATTTAGTGTAGCCAAAGTGTATGGTATTTATAAAGTCTACAGTAGTATACTGTAATATCGTAGGCCTTGGCATTCACTCACCACTCACTCATTGGTTCACCTGGAGCAATTTCTTGCTAACTCTTTTCAGTGTAAGTGCCCTATAAAGGCATACCCCATTTATATCATATTCTTACTGTACCTTTTCTAGGTTTAGATATGTTTAGCTACACAAATACTTGCCATTGTGTTATGGTTACCTACAGGATTCAGTACAGTAACATGCTGTATAGGTTTGTAACCTAAGAACAACAGGCTACACCATATGGCCTAATTATGTAGTAGGCTATACCATCTAGGTTTGTACCTTCTATGATGTTAGACAATGATGAAACCGCCTAAGGATTTATTTCTCAGAATGTATTGTCATCTTTATGTGACTGCATAAGCAGTGCAATATGGTTACAAATGTGCATATTTGAATACACACCATCTAAGAAAAAGCTCTCTTTCGTCAGAGTGTGTTAGAATTAGTTAGCTGTTGAATATCCACAAAGTGTCATCATTGGTCAATATGCCTTTAGAACTAAAAATTATAATATATAAACTAACATTTGATGACAAGAAGCCAGACTATTTTAAACTGAGGCTTAATTTTCTCAGAAAACCAAAAGATATGGTTACTATATACATATTCCTATGAAGTACTTATTTTATTAATGAGCTGTAAGAAGTAGTTTTAGAAAGAAAATAAAATGTTCTAGTTGAGAATTTCTCAATATTGAATACATAGGATTTATATGCATACTAAAGATATTGAAACACTTATAGTTTAAAATAGTTTTTTTAATTTAAATGCAGGAATACTCAGTCTTTGTTAAATATAGTTGACCTTTTGAAACCTACAAATTTTCAGGTCTGACCCATCAAATTAACATCCTCCAAAACAGTGTTATATGGAATCTCAGATTAGCTGATACTCATATAGTCCAGCTATTTCACTTAGCAGAATGGTAAAGAAGATGCACAGAACTTAGCTCACTTCACCTCTTAGCAGCTGTATTAGTTTCCTATTGCTGCTTTAACAAATTAGAAACTTAAAGCAGTACCTATTCCTATTTATTTTCTCACCGTCTCTATAGGTCAGAAGCCCAGGTGGGATCAACGGAGTTATCTTGTTAGTGTCAAGACTGAAATATATATGTCAACAGTCTGGGCTCTTCTCTAAAGCCTAAGGAGAAAAAAATAAATATTTTCAAGTCCATTCAGTTTGTTGGCAGAATTCATTTCCTTTGTCTGTAGAATTGAGGTACTTGTGGCTACCAGCTGGGGTTGGCCATCTGCTCTTAGAAGCTGCACACATTCCTTCTAATGCGGTCTCCATCTTCAAGCAGCAGAGGCACATCAAGTTCTTTAATGCTTTGAGTCTTCCTAACCTCCTCTTCTGCCAGAGAAAGCTACCTGTGCTTAAGGGTTTGTGTCCACCATTTCATTGGACCATCTGGATAATCATGGATACTCTCCCTATCTCAAGGTCAGCTGTGCCATATAACATACATAATTACAGGAGTGATGTCTCATCATATCCAGATGTTTTAGAGATTAGAGTAAAACATCTTTAGGAGGACATTTTAGAAATCCTGCCTATCACAGAAGCAGATCTGAAACAAGAATCAAAATCTTTTTACTGTAGATTCAGTATTTTCTCCTATCCTGTTTAAAATCAGTAACTGGGTTTCCATAAATATTTAAGTCATTGAATTGATGTGGAAAACATAATTTATGTTATATTTAGTGTATTCTTAATATTTGTATATTTAATGTGAAGAAGAGTTATGATTGACATGTTTTCTCTCAAAGATCCTTGTTCTTTTATTATAAAGAGATTTCTAAACAGATTATCCATTTGTCATTTTCAATAATCACATTTCATTTTCCTTTTTTAATTAAAAGAAAATTAGATGGCATATTACTTGTATTACTGTAACAAAAGGCAAATCCAATAATAACAGCAATGCATTTTATTCCTTTGTAGGCATGAAAATTTAAAGTAATTAGTTTCTTTATTTGAACCAATAGAATTGCTAATGGATTAATTATCATGGAATAAAAAGTAACACACTATAAGTGTTAATTAAACACCCAGATGATGTTCAGTGATTATTTTCCAGACCACATTAACTGTTATAATTCTCTTAATTAACAGTATTATTTTTGCATATAGTCTTGCAGTCATTGTGAATTATTTCTTTGATTAAAAATAATAACAAAGTTTTTATTAGAGGTATGACAATTTTCTAAAGTGAAAAACATCTTCTACCAAGGAAGCTGAAGGATAATTTTACTAATATACAAACATAATTCTCAGTCTCAAAGTAAAGTGTAGTGAACATCTCATCGTTTTTTTGGTCTAGAATTACTTTCACTTTTTTCTGATAAATTCAACCTCATTCTTTTGAGGAGCTACCTCTTTTCCACTCTGTGGTTCTAATGGTGTTTACAAAATATAACCCAATCCCCTGGTCATAAGCATGACTACCTGTACCACTGATAGGGTTTGGCTCTGTGTCCCCACCCAAATCTCATCTTGAGTTTTACTCCTGTAATTCCCATGTGTTGCAGGAGGGACTTCGTGGGAGATAATTTGAACCATGGTGGTGGTTTTCCCCATACTGTTCTCGTGGTATGGAATAAGTCTCACAAGATCTGATGGTTTTATCAGGGATCTCTGCTTTTGTATCTTCCACATTTTCTCTTGCTGCCACCATGTAGGAAGTGCCTTTCACCTCCCGCCATGATTCTGAGGCCTCTCTAGCCATTTGGAACTGTAGGTCCAATTAAACTGCTTTTTCTTCCCAATCTCAGGTATGTCTTTATCAGCAGCATGAAAACAAACTAATACAGTAAATTCATACCAGTAGAGTGGGGTGTTGCTAAAAAGATACCCGAAAATGGAGAAGTGCCTTTGGAACTGGGTAACAGGCAGATATTGGAACAGTTTGAAGGGCTCAGAAGAAGACAGCAAAATGTGAAAAAGTTTGGAACTTCCTAGAAACTTGATGAAGGGCTTTGCCTAAAATGCTGATAGCAATATGGACAATAAAATTCAGGTTGAGATGGTCTCAGATGGAGACGAGGAACCTGTTGGGAACTGGAGCAAAGGTGACTCTTGTTATGTTTAAACAAAGAGACTGGCAGCATTTAGCCCCTGCCCTAGAGGCTTGTGAAACTTTGAACTTGAAAAAGATGATTTAGGCTATCTGTTGGAAGAAATTTCTAGGGAGCAAAACATTCAAGAGGTGATTGGGTGTTGCTAAATGCATTAAGTTTTATACGGGAAGCAGAGCATAAAAGTTTGAAAATTTGCAGCTTGACTATGCTATAGAAAAAACAAACAAACATTTTTTGGGGAGTAATTCAAGCCAGCTGCAGAAGTTTGTATAAGTAGCAAGAAGCCTAATGTTAATCCCCAAGACCATGTGGAAAATGTCTCCAGTCCACATCAGAGAACTTCGTGGCAGCTACTCCCTTCACAGGCCTGGAGGCCCAGGAGGAAAAAGTGGTTTCCTGGGTCGGGCCCATGATTCCTGTGCTGTGTGCAACCTAAGGACTTGATGCCCTGTGTCCCAGCCCCTCCAGCCATGGCTTAAAGGGGCCAACATACAGCTGGGGCTGTGACTTCAGAGGGTGAAAGCCCCAAGCCCTGGCAGCTTCCATGTGGTGTTGAGCTTGTGCCTGCACAGAAGTCAAGAATTGAGGTTTGGGAACCTCTGCCTAGATTTCAGAAGATGTATGGAAATGCCAGGAAACGCCAGGGAAAAGTTTATTTCAGGGGTGGGGCCCTCATGGAGAACCTCTGCTAGGGCAATGTGGAAGGGAAATGTGGGGTCAGAGCCCCCACACAGAGTCCCTACTGGGGCACCACCTAGTGGAACTGTGCAAAGAGGGCCACTGTCCTCCAGACCCCAGAAAGGTAGATCCACCAACAGCTTTCACCGTGCACCTGGAAAAGCCACAGACACTCAACACCAGCCCATGAAAGCAGCCAGGAGGGAGCACCCCTGCAAAGCCACAGGGGTGGAGCTGCCCAAGATCATGGGAACCCACTTTTTGCATCAGCGTGGCCTGTATATGAGACCCGGAGTCAAAGGATATCATTTTGGAGCTTTGAAATTTGACTTCCCCGCTGGATTTCAGACTTGCCTGGGCCCTGTAACCCCTTTGTTTTGGCCAATTTCTCCCATTTGGAATGGCTGTATTTACCTGATACCTGTACCCCCATTGTATTTAGGAAGTAACTAGCTTGCTTTTGATTTTACAGGCTCACAGGTGGAAGAGACTTGCCTTGTTTCAGATAAGACTTTGGACTGTGGACTTTTGGGTTAATGCTGAAATGAGTTAATACTTTGGGGGAATGTTGGGAAGGCATGATTGGTTTTGAAATGTGAGGATATAAGATTTGGTGGGGTCAGGGACAGAATGATATGGTTTGACTCTGTTTCCTCACCCAAATCTCATCTTGAATTTTACTCCCATAACTCCCACATGTTGTGGGAGGGACGCAGTGAGACATAATTTGAATCATGGGGGCAGTTTCCCTCATACTGTTCTTGTGGTAGTGAATAAGTTCTCATGAGATCTAACGGTTTTATCAGGGGTTTCTGCTTTTGCATCTTCCTTATTTTCTCTTGCCGCCACCATTTAAGAAGTGCCTTTCACTTCCCGTCATGATTCTGAGGTCTCCCCAGCCATGTGGAAGTGTAAGTCCAACTAAATCTCTTTTTCTTCCCAGTCTTGGGTATGTCTTTATCAGCAGTGTGAAAACAAACTAATACACCCACCCTGGCCTGACAATTTTTAATGCCCTAACTCCTTGGCCTCAATGATTCTCCTGAAGAAGGGTGTCAAAGACAACCAAAATCCTGTTCTTAAATTTCATATATGAACACAGGGAAAGATTTTCTTTTTTACTTCAGGGTTGCAGGCTAGAAAAATATAAAACTGATGCTATCTGCAGATATATCATCTCCCAACCCCCACTACCAAACTGAGAAAGCCTTTATTAAACAGGAAAGAGATGGGCCAAGAAAAACAGAAGTAGATATGAGATAAATATGAATCAATATGAAATAAGCAAGAGATAAACTGAGAAACTACAGCATGGCTTTATTTCTGAAAAAAAATTTACTCTTGACATTTCAGTTGCATGAGACAATGAGTTACCTTTTTGTTGTTATTTTTACTAATTTATAACATGTAACCCAAAGATCATTGACTAGTACCTTTGGGTGCATTACTGTCGGTAAATTGAATTAGATGACCAGTGTGACTTTAAGCAGAGAATGACAGTATCACTGCTGCTGCCTTTTTTTTTTTTGTCCAGTCTACCATCATTTCCCACATTGATTATTGCAGTAGCTTCCAAACTGGTCTCTTTGTTTTCACCCTTGCTCCAAGAGACTATTTTTAACATGGAAGCCATAGGTTTGATTGTGTCATGCCTTTGCTCAAGCCTCTTTGATGAATGGTCATTTATATTGAAGATTAAATACATTAAGGAGGTACACAGCAGTTCTTTAAACTTTAGGACATATCACAATCACAAGGGGATTTGCTGAAATGCAGATTACTGGCCCACACTAAGAAATTTCAAATCCAGAG